>NC_000005.10:53859807-54484807 GCF_000001405.40 Homo sapiens | reverse complement strand
GATATGAACAGACACTTCTCAAAAGAAGACATTTATGCAGCCAACAGACACACACTCATTTTAATTGAATTAGTCATCAAGCTTCTGATCTAGAACTATCTTTAGGATTGGGTGTTTTAACACCCTCTTCTCCTCTGTGATCTTGGAGCAGCTGTTGTTCCCCCCAAATAGCCCATTAATGTAGATTTATTTTTTAAATTACTACTTTGTTCTAATGATACATGAGCTAGTTAATTCTAAGAACTGAAAAGCCTGTTCAAGAACAACAGCATGTAAGTTCTCCAAATCTGTCTGTAGGAGAACAGCACACCATGCAGAGGAGTTCTACCACAAGATCAACAGGAGAGGTAAAACCCTGTGTGCACATGAGGCAGATCCAATTACGATTTTGTTTACTGGCTTTGCAAGGACTCAGGCCTCTCTCCCAGGCTTTGGATTTATTCTTCCTATTCAAGGCAACGACAGCCGAGTTTGACAGAAATAAAATTCAAGTCATAGCAGATCAAGTAACTCAAAGATTTCATTCCGGTAAAATTAGAATACTAAGTAGTTGAGTTATTACTGGGGAACTCTACATCGAAGTTTAAAGCCTCACATTTAATTATCATAAGCGTGTAGGGAGAGTAAAACTTGACCTCTGCTTTTTTAGGGTTTTTTGGTTGGGCCTAGGAATTAAGTTGACAGAAGACAAATTCATAGGAGAAAAGCATACAAATGTAATACACATGTTACATGGCTAAGGAAATGAAGATTCAAAGATGCAGAATTGAACACTTATACTGAATTAGACAAAGAGTCATGAATTATTAAAATGTGACAAGGTAAAGGAGCTTGGGCTAGGGTGGTTAACTGGGTAGAGAAGTGACTAGGAAAATAAGGATTAATTTAACAAGTTTCATTAGTACAGATCTCCTATCCTTGATGATAAGAATAATACCTTCTTTCTGGTATAAGGAGGGCATCTTTCACATGGGAATTTCATCTCTTGCTTTCAAAAAAATAAAAGGAAGGGCTGAGTGATCCTCTTGTCCTGCTGTTTTATTCAGTCCCTAAACACAAAATAGCCAATATACCAGAGCAGCATAGTTTGGAGTAGCATGTTCTTAGTTCCTTCAAGTAGAATAAGTGAATTAATTTTTAATTACATTTTTAATCTTGAGATGATTACAGATTCACATGCAGTCGTAAAAAATAATACAGAGATAGCTTGTATCCTTTAGCTGGTTACCCACAATGGTGACATCTTGCAAAACTGTAGTACACTATCACAGCTAGCATATCAACACTGACACAGCCAATTACAGTGTCCTAGGGAACTTTATAATTTCCTAGGAAAGTAATACTCCACTGAATCAGACCAGTGGTCTCTTTAGCTAGGATCTGTCAGTGGCACCAGGAATACTTACAGAAAAAGAGTACTAGTTTCTCTGATATCATCCTTAAAGTTTAGGAGTGTACCCAAACATTCACATTTTAAATTGCTATTAAAAGGGAGATCAGTCGTGAACTTTTTTTTTTTTTTTTTTGAGACGGAGTCTCACTCTGTTGCCCAGGCTGGAGTGTAGTGGCGCAATCTCGGCTTACTGTAATCTCTGCCTCCCGGGTTCAAGCAATTCTCTGCCTCAGCCTCCCAAGTACCTGGGGATTACAGGCGCCCACCACTGTGCCTGGCTAATTTTTGTGTTTTTAGTAGAGATGGGGTTTCACCATATTGGCCAGACTGGTCTTGAACTCCTGACCTCAGGTGATCCACCCACCTCGGCCTCCCAAAGTGCTGGTATTACAGGCGTGAGCCACTGCGCCTGGCCGAACATTTCTAACTCTTGTCTGCTGACTCCCTTTCATTCTTGCCCTTGCAGATGAGCTTCCTGCCCTCCTTCACCCTGCCGTGTGCCCCGTGAGGATGACTTATGGGCAGTACCAAACTTCGGTTGCCTGTGTTCCTCTCTGAAGGCCATGGCTTCATCCAACAGTCAGATTTCTCCATGAAGATGGCCCTCTCCAAGTGCTGGCACCCACTCCATGCTCTCACACCCCCCAGGCCTAGAGGAGGGAAGAATCCTGTGGTCCCTGTTGGGGCCCCTCACCCCTGACCTCAATTCTGTAAGGAGTCCCTTTGTTAAGCTACTTTCTGCCACTCGCCTTGTGTGTGCTGTCTGGTTTCACCTTAGACCCCAACCAATACATTCAGCAAACACTCACTGACCACGACTGTCTTCCTAATGCCCTCTTCTTCCTCAACCTGATGGACACTGCTCTCCCTACATCCCCTCCTACAGATGTAGGAGGGAGTCAAGGATAAAGCCCAGTGAAACACCACCATTTAAAAAGAGAGCAGTGGTCAGGAGGAAAGTAGAAGACGAAGCATGGCTCCCAGGCTCCTCAAACTCCAATTTCTCCCTTGGCTGGTGACATCTTGGGCTAAGGTGGTTAATTGGGTAGAGAAACTTCTTTCAGGAGACCCACAGGAGCCTCCCACTAACCACTTGATGAACTGCCCAGATCCCTCCTCTTTAGCAATAAAGGACTTGGTCACCCGGCTGCTGCGAATGTTGCCCGAAAACAGCCTTCAGCTGACTGCCTTCTGGGGGGCTGCCTTGGCTGAAGAAAACGGCCTCGTCCAGAGTCACGCTTCCTTCCGGCACAGCCTGCATCCAACGACTAATCAATGAGTCCGATGTAAAGGTCTGGTCCCCTTGGCCCAACTCAGGACAATTACTGGTTATCTATTGTTGCATAACAAATGACCCCAAAACTGGCAACTTAAAACAACAAACATCTATTATCTCTCAATATGTGGGGTTCGGGAATCCAGGAGTATCTTAGCTTCAGTTTCCATCTCAGGGTTTCTTATGCTGTTGCAGTCAAGCTGTCACATCTGAAGGGGCTGGGGTCCACATTGCTGTTGGTAGAAGGCTTCAGTCTCTCACTACCTTGGCCTCTCTATAAAGTTGCCCACAACATGGCAATGACTGCTGGGTCAAAATCCTGTTTTCTATGTAAAGCAGACTTCCTTAATAATTTCAGCCCCATATCATGTCTTGGTCACTTTTAGTCATTAGAATAGTTACTACTAGCTGTTAAAAAAAAAATGGCCACGTGTGGTGGCTCCTGCACTTTGGGAGGCTGAGGCAGGTCACCAGCCTGGCCAACATGGTGAAACTCCATCTCTACTAAAAATATAAAAAATATTAGCTGGGCTTGGGGGTGGGTGCCTGTAGTCCTAGCTACTTGGGAGGCTAAGGCAGGAGAATTGCTTGAACCCAGGAGGCGGAGGTTGCAGTAAGCTGAGATCATGCCACTGCACTCCAGCCTGGGTGACAGAGCAAGACTGAGACTCTGTCTCAAAAAAAAAAAAAAAAAAAAAAAAGACTTCCTATTCTTAAGATCCAATGATTTTATTTTAAAGCTTTAGTTTCATATCCAATGCATGGCTCTCTCCTCCTCTCCTATGCCCTGCAGAATAGAGATGTGATCTGGGTCACACACAACTTGTAAGTCTACCATACCTCCTGCTGGTAATGACCATGGAGGAGAAAAATGGAAGGGAGAGGTGCCCCGTGAGACCCAGCTTATTGCCATTGTGTTAGTGTGGACAGATGAAGGAAGACAACATCTTCAGACAGGGGATTTGCCCCCAACCAGTAATTCTAGATGCTAGGGGTTCCTTATAAGAGATTCATTCTCAACTTCAAGCCCAGCCCTCGAGCTGGTGGCCTTATGTCCCATTCCTCTGATGTGTGCCCCTCTTTGCCCAATATTGCAGCATAGCCAGACAAGACCAAGACTCCAAATATGGTCTACTCACCACAGCCAACTCCTGGGTCTTCAGGCTTTTGTGGAATCCACCTTTCAAGCCTCCAGGACACCATGACTTCAAGTGAAGACAGTTTCGACCCCTGCCCTGCTTGGCAGCCCCCCATCATGCCATCTCTTCCCAATGTATTTTTTCCTCTACTGTGGTGGCACAGGGGCTGGACAGTGAGCCTAGCATCCTTCAGCTGTTCAGACAGGTAGCACATATCAGATACTTACAAACCTGTGAGTGGTTCTCTCGACAGCTCTTACCCTTGGCTTTGAGGATGGGAGGCAACCTACCCCCTACCCTTGTTCTTGGGAGTAAATCATCCTAAATGAGCACTGCACTTCTGCAAAAGGCAACAGTCTTCTCCCTTTCAGTCTCACTTTATATTAGGGTGAGAGGTGTTGCTGCTGGTTCTGCTTCCTGGTTCCTCTTAGCAAACCTTGTCAGGGTGTGGCTGACCCACTCCAACAGCTGTGGTTCTAGGAATTTAGAATGTGGGGGATTTAACTCATATGATCCTCAGCTGTGAGCTTAGAATGGCATTAGTCACCAATACTTAGCAGCTGTTACATGTTTAAAATTAATCACCTTTCCCCCAACCACACTCTGATCCTGTATTGCCTATCTTGGTGAATGGTACTACCATCCTCCCTGTTGTATTAGTCTGTTTTCACATTGCTGTAAAGAAATACCTGAGACTGGGTAATTTATAAAGAAAAGAGGTTTAATTGGCTCAGGGTTCCACATGCTGTACAGGAAGCATGATGCTGGCATTTGTTTCTGGGGAGGTCTCAGGAAACTTACAATCATGGTGGAAGGGGAAGGGAAAGGGGAAGCAGGCACGTTTTACATGACTGGAGCAGGAGGAAGAGAGAGAGGAGGGAGATCAGACCTCATGAGAACTCACTCACTATATAGTACCAAGGGGGGATGGTGCTAAACCATTAATGAGGATTCTGCCCCCATGATCCAATCACGTCCCCCCAGGCCCTGCCTCCAACATTGGGGATTACAATTCGACATGAGACTTGGGTGAGGTCACAGATCCAAGCCATGTCAGTAACGAACTATTGCAGAATGAGAGATCTTCAGTAAGAGAACTGTGATAGTCCCTGGCAAAATGGGAAGGTTGATCACCCTACTTCCCATTTTCAATGACTCCAATCAGAACTTGTGAATAATTCAATTCCTCCCCTTTCTTCATTGGCCCTGCTCTGTTAGCTAGGCATGCTGTCCCCTTACCTCTAACAGCCTTTGCATCTATAGCCCCCTTTCCATTCTGCAACTCTCTTAATTCACACTAGTGATTATCAGCCTTGGTTTCTCACTGGAATCATCTGGAAGGATTTAGAAACTACTGATGCCTAGATCCCATCACCAGAGATTCTGATTTAAATGGCCTGGGGTGGGCCCTGGACAAACACCAGGGGATTCTTAGGTGCATTCTCCCACCTGAACTACTACAGAACTGAATGATCTTCTTAGCTCCAGGGTTGCCCTCTGTAGTCAATCCTTCACACGGCAGCCAGAGCTTTCTAAAACACAAAGCTTGTCACATCATGGCCCTGCTTAAACTTCTCCTATGGGTCCCCACTGACCCAGGATAAAGCTCAAACTGTTCATCATGGCAGAAGGGGAGCAGTGCTTGGGAGATGAAGCTGGCGAGGGAATCAGGGCCTGATCATGCAGGATCTTGACTCTTGGGCTAAACTGCTTACATTGCTTCATGTACACCATGCCCTCCGACAACATCAGCTTTTGCTCATTTAAATACTACTCACTGAGCACCTACTATGTGCAAGATGGTACAGATACAATGATGAATAAAGTGACCACAGTCATAGACTTTACCCTCAAGATATAGTAGGCTAGATCATTAAAGAGACCACAGCCACCCTCCCCTGGCTCAGAGAGAAGTAACCATTGTGGAAGACAGTGTGGCAATTCCTCAAGGATCTAGAATCAGAAAAACCATTTGACCCACCAATCCCATTACTGGGTATATACCCAAAGGATTATAAATCATTCTACTATAAAGACACATGCACATGTATATATATTGCAGCACTATTTATAATAGCAAAGACTTGGAACCAACCCAAATGACCATCAATGATAGACTGGATAAAGAAAATGTGGCACATATATACCATGGAATACTATGCAGCCATAAAAAAGAATGAGTTCATGTCCTTTGCAGGGACATGGATGAAGCTGGAAACCATCATTCTTAGCAGACCACACCTTTTTTAGTACCTACGTTGTGATCTGAGTATGATTATACAATAGCACTTGTAACCCTCATTACGGTTCTTTGTTTATACGTATGTTCCATTCTAGAAGTCTTAGCATAAGTGCCTTGAGGTCAAGAATCATACTGTTTCCATATTTTTATCTGCAACACCAAGCAGGGTGCTCAGTACATAGTGAATGCTCAGGGCAGTTTGCCAAATGAAAAAGGCAAGGAAGAATGGCTTAGTCTGACTTTCCACATAACTACTTGGGAATCGTAAATTCTACTTCCTTTATCCATTGATAATCTCACAGTTCTATGCTTTCCATTAGAATGGGTGTATTATGAAATAATTTCTCATGTATTCAGAATGGTCTTAGTAAATTTGTCAAATGGCCATTGTGTGTCTCTGAAAGCAGGACACACTCTCTCACAGGGCAAGTGAAGGGACTACTGATCCTTTCTTCATATGACTTCTAAAAATAGCTTAAGTCATCAATTATCAGCTATATGGGAGACACACCTGACAGCAGTAACTGAACTTGAGAATACCCTGAAAATGGCCCTATGGTCTAAGAAGAATGTGTGTTCAGAGTTCCAGGCTAAGGAATCTGGGAGTGGCCAACCTAGAGATTCACTCCTTATCCATGAAGGGCATCTCAACCCCTAGCCCTTCCCTTGGAATGCAGGCCATACAGGAGATGGAGGCCCTTTGTTTTGGGTTACCTGGAGGTTGCAAACTGGAGGTTGCTAGGTAGAGGGTACTAAGTGAAAATGCTATGGAAGCTGCATGCTTTTTACACATGGTAGTAGTTTTCCGGTCCAGCCCACCACAACTGGACCATTCCTGTATGTAATTCCCCTATATAAGCACTATATCTCATTCACTGTCTCTTGGTCTCTTTTTTTGGTCTCCAGGACATGGTGTTATCTTTATTGCAGTCAATAGGGGTCTGGCCTAATAACATCTTAGCAGGGATTACTTATATTATAGCATCACCTCTTACCAAGGAGATTGGCATGTCCAAAGACAATCTGAAGATGAAAGAGGAATAGTCCTTTTATTTTATTTTATTTTTTATTTTTTTTTATTATTATACTTCAAGTTCTAGGGTACATGTGCACAACGTGCAGGTTTGTTACATATGTATACATATGCCATGTTGGTGTGCTGCACCCATTAACTAGTCATTTACATTAGGTATTTTGCCTAATGCTATCCCTCCCCCTTTCCCCCCACCCAACAGGCCCCAGTGTGTGATGTTCCCCACCCTGTGTCCAAGTGTTCTCATTGTTCAATTCCCACCTATGAGTGAGAATATGCGATGTTTGGTTTTCTGTCCTTGCAATAGTTTGCTCAGAATGATGGTTTCCAGCTTCATCCATGTCCCTACGAAGGACATGAACTCATCCTTTTTTATGGCTGCATAGTATTTCATCGTGTATAGGTGCCACATTTTCTTAATGCAGTCTATCATTGATGGACATTTGGGTTGGTTCCAAGTCTTTGCTATTGTGAATAGTGCTGCAATAAACATACATGTGCATGTGTCTTTGTAGCAGCATGATTTATAATCCTTTGGGTATATACCCAGTAATGGGATCGCTTGGTCAAATGGTATTTCTAGTTCTAGATCCTTGAGGAATTGCCACAGTGTCTTCCACAATGGTTGAACTGGTTTACAGTCCCACCAACAGTGTAAAAGTGTTCCTATTTCTCCACATCCAAAGAGGAATGGTCCTTTTAATGGTCGAATGAAAAGGGTAGTGAAGCCTGTGTTTTCCAAGGATTATAGCCCCTTACTTCCCTCATAAGTAAGCTCTGTGCAAGAAGACAAGTGACAGCCACAGACTGAGCCCCGGGTAGAGCTCCCACTCAGCTTCTGGGGGAATTCCCCAATGCTGTAACTCAAACTGGTGCAACTACTCAGCTTTGACAATGCTTCTCAGGAGAAGGAAGAGCCATGTTGTTATGTCCTCAATGTCTCCCCCTGTTTTGTCAGTTACTCTGGAGTAGACTACATTGTCAGTACAATGGTTTTTATCCAAGCCAAACTCCTCAGTGCAGAAGGCATCCTATTTTCTCCTGAGTGCAGCACACAGTGGTTCAGGCTGCACACAAACTTTACAGCCGATGGCTCTAATGACCAACTCAGTCTCTCACACTCATCTTCAAAGTCTGTTTTACTCACATACTTAGTTTCTGTGGTCCCTCAGTTCATCAGAATCTTGCTAATAATCGGTTATAACCCCTATTTGTTTTTTTTTTTGCATTTGCATTCTCTTCCAATGATTATTCACTAAAAAGCAACAGCAACATAGTAGGATGCTACTGATTCCAGTCACTCATCCTCTCTACGTTAGTGTCAATATATTATTTCCCCAGGTAACTTGTTAAGTAGAGTGATCAACCAGCCTAGTTGGCCCAGGACTGAGGGGTTTTAGTGTAGGGCTAAGCAGATGGTTGGTCACTCTATAACAGATCCTAGATCATACAGCCAAGAAATAACACAAGCACTGAAGACTCTAGATCAGAAAACTGGAAGGAAGTAAATGCTAGAGAGAAAATGAAGGAAAGAGAAGTAGGTTGACAGAAAGTAAGCATGGTGCGGGGAGGGAGGAATGAAAGAACACCTGTGGAAGAGGAAAATACAAGAAGAAAAATCAAAATAAAAGAAGACATAACCCTGGGCAAATGAAAACTTACAGGTATAGAGAACTAGTTACAAATATCTAGGAACAGTCCTAAAGGGAATAAAAATAGAAATAGGAGTATACATGCCATGGTGATGAGCAGTGAGTTGGAAAGGAATAAAGAAGTCCTGTTAAAATATATCCTTCTACACATGGTGATTTCTTTTCTTTCAAAATGTCCCTTCTGAAACAAACAGTACATCTTTTTCTTCGTGTTACTTATAAAACATAGCATTGTATAATGTTTGGAGAAAAGAACAGGAATAAATCAGATAAAAATGATTATTACTTGTATAAATGTATTTTTCCCTTGTCTCTCAAAGAGAGTGATACTATCATCTGCTGGAAAATTACCAGGTCAGCCTATATTTAGTCTGGCTCCTTTGGGATATCTGTAATTTTGTTAAGTCCTATAGTTAACAAATATTAACGAAGTGTCTAAATGATATATGGAATTTCGTTGAATTCAGTAATTGTCCTATTTCCAGTGTTTGGTTTTGTAGCCTCACATGCTTTTCTATTTACCACTAAGGAGGGATAGAATTTGATTTTCTTTGCCCTATAAAAGATGACCTGAGTGGCCTTTTCAGTTTGTACAGCTTTAGGGTAAGTAGGCATTTGTGGAAGAAAAAAAATACAAAAAGAAAAATCAAAATAAGAAAATACACCACTTCATTGGTGGAAGAATGTGGATCCATCTGCACAAGAAACGGGCCTATAGGGTGGTAGTGGAGGGGATGGAGGATGGGAGTGCACATTACAGAGCACCTTTTGCCAGGCTGGACACTGAGTGGACACATCCTCCCCTTAAGAGAGGTGGAGGCCCTGGCCAATGAGATGCTACAACAGAATGGACCAGCTGGCCCTTGGGGTGAAGAGCACCCATGTTCTACAACATTGGATGTAATTATAGGAGCTGATCTACACACGCGGAACCCAATCATCATCACTTGTTGAAGCCCACGCAATGCAGGGACGTTGTGATAACTCTTTGTGAGGCCATGTTGAAATAATTACAAGGTGCAAGTGATTTTCAGGGCAAGGTTCCCACTCATTCATCCCACCCACATGTCAGACTTTCACCCATTTAAAATAGAAGAATAACTTGAACTGAGCCAAACATACAAGGCCATGTATTATATGAATCCATTTATATGAAACGACCAAAATAGGGAAATTCAGAGAGACAGAAAATAGACTGGTGGTTGCCCACTGGGGGATAGGGGAGACAGGGGAGGTTGAAGAAAGATGGAGTGATGGCTAGTAGGTCCAGGGTTTCTTTTTGAGGCAACAGAAATGTTCAGAAATTGATCGCGGTGATATTGTACACCTCTGTAGATACACTAAAACCCATCAAATTGCAAACTTCAAATGGGTAAATTATGGTATGTAAATTATATCTTGATAAAGCTATTATTTTTTTAAAAAGAATAACTTGAGGCTCATTGTCTTTCTTCATGAGTTTATACTGGTTTGGAGGAAATCTTTAGAGATGTGTAGCATGTGAGACAACATGCTAAACATGAGATTAAGCTTCTGGAGAAGTTCAGGCTGCTTGGGCAGTACCTTAAAAGTAAAGAATTCTAACCCAATTATCTTGTTAAGAAACTGAGCTGGTCTTTCACGGTGTTACAGGTTGAATTATGTCCCCCAAAAAGGTATGTTGGAAATCCTAATCCTGAGTACCTATGAATATGACTTTGTTTGAAAATAGGGCCTTTGTAGATGTAATAAAGTTAAGATGAGGTCACCCAATTAAGGTAGGCCTTAATCCAATGTGACTGGCATCCTAATAAGAAAACAGAGACACAGGGAGAGAACACTTTGTGAAGACACAGGGACAGACAGGGAGAAGGTGGCCATGCAAAGACAGAGACAGAGCAATCAACAAAAAGAATTGGCGGGGCACAGTGGCTCACACATGTAATCTCAGCACTTTGGGAGGCTGAGGTGGGCAGATCACTTGAGGTCACAAGTTTGAGACCAGCCTGGCTAACATGGCAAAACCCCGTCTCTACTAAAAATACAAAAATTAGCTGGGCATGGTGGTGGGTGCCTGTAATCCCAGCTACTTGGGAGGTTGAGGCAGGAGAATCACTTGAACCCTGGAGGTGGAGGTTGCAGTGAGCCAAGATTGCACCACTGCACTCCAGCCTGGGCAACAGAGCGAGACTCTGTCTCAGAAACAAAACAAAATGAAAACCAAAAAAGACAGAATCATAGAATTTTAGAAATAACCAAATAGACGTTAGAAATGAACAGTGATATTGATTCACTAATGAAGCATTTTATTTTTTAAAATTATGTTTTAGTCTTTAAATAAGGTAGAGATGTACATAATTAAACTACATAAAAAACATGACTGGGAATTTGCTCAAATACATATTTGAAATATATAAAATAATGGCTAATATTTATTGAACTCATATTCTGTACCACGCTTTGTGCTGAGTACTTGACATCTTATGGAGTGACCAACTCTCCTAGTTTGCCTGGGATGTCCCAATTCTAGCACTGTAAGTTTTGTGTTTTGAGAAACCACTCAGGCCTGGACAAGCCAGGCTTGTTGGTCACTCTACATCTTCATCTCATTTAGTCTTCCAAACAACTGTATGTGATGGTACCATAATTACCCCCATTCTACAGATGAAGAAACTGAGGCATAGAGGGGTTAAGCAAACTGATCAAAATTACCAGGTGTGGCCAGGCGTGGTGGCTCATGCCTGCAATCCCAGCAGTTTGGGAGGCCGACACAGCGGATCACTTGAGGTCAGGAGTTCGAGACCACCCTGGCCAACATGGCAAAACCCCGTCTCTACTAAAAATAAAAAAATAAGCTGGGCATGGCGGTGTGTGCCTGTAATTCCAGCTACTGGAGAGGTTGAGGCAAGAGAATCACTTGAACCCGGGAGGCGGAGGCTGCAGTGAGTTGAGATTGCACCACTGCACTCCAGCCTGGGCGACTGAGCAAGACTCTGTCTCGACAAAAAAAAAAAAAAAAGGCCCGGCATGGTGGCTCACGCCTGTAATCCCAGCATTTGGGAGGCCGAGGTGGGTGGATCACGAGGTCAGGAGATTGAGACCATCCTGGCTAACATGGTGAAACCCCGTCTCTACTAAAAATACAAAAAATTAGCCAGGCATGATGGTGGGCGCCTGCAGTCCCAGCTACTCAGGAGGCTGAGGCAGGAGAATGGCGTGAACCTGGGAGGTGGAGCTTGCAGTGAGCCGAGATCGCGCCACTGCACTCCAGCCTGGGCGACAGAGCAAGACTCCGTCTCAAAAAAATAAAAAAAATTTTTTTTTAAAATTTCCTTTGATGTTTTGCTATTTTTTTGTTGTCTTTTTGCTTGTTTTAAAAGTCTTCCCTAGAAGAATATATAGGTAGATATATCACCCTGAGTACCGAAGGGAAACAAAATGCATATTCAGCTTGGATTTTAAAAAGATACAATAAAGTGATTATTTATAGAGATGTGGGCAGGACTGAAGGATGAACAAAAATGGTGAGACACCCAGAGACCTGTAATAGAGGGGATGCCATTACCCCCCAGAGCATGAAGGATTAAGGGAAAGAAAATGGAACTACTTGCCCAGTGTGGGCTGCAGCCAGGAGAGAAAGTCTCATCAGAGAGGCAGCCACTGCAGGAGGCAGCCCCTGCCAGAACCTGGACCTGAAGCAATGAGAGTTGGAGAAGAAATTTCCTAAATCCCCCTTTCCTTCCACCCTCTGCTCTCTTGCTGGTGCCTTCCATTGAGTGAATCCAGCCTGAAGCCAGAGGACAGACCCCCAGAACACAGAACAGGGCAGAGAAGATCAGAGGTCAGGGGTGGGGATGGAAGAATGAGAACAACCAGCGCAGCAGACATGCAGAGCTTTTTTGTTTGTTTGTTTTTACATTTACTTTTTAGTCCATTTGGAATTTTTCTTTTTGAGATATATATGATAGGGATGAGCTTTTAATTTCATTTTTCTAGACAGGTCTACAGTTACCTTAGGTACATACATTGAATTGTTATGTCTCACCAATACACCACAACGTAGCAGTCTCTCATAGCCTGACATATCACCCAAAGTTCTTCGTCTCACGACCAAGAAAGTTAAGGAGCACAGGTGCCAAGGGTAACACTGGAGCAAAAGTTTAATAAGTGAAAGAAGAAAGCTCTCTCCTGTGCAGGGGGGACCTGGAAGAGGGTTGCTGTTTTTACAGTTGAATGCAGAGGATTTTATAGGAAACTGATGAGAGCTGGGCATCTCATTTGCATAAGGTGTGAATCTGTGGTAGCTCCACCCCATCCTCCTAGTGCACACGGGGGCCCTTAGCTTGAGTTATTCCATATTGCTTTGTTCCCCTTACTGTGCATGTGTCAGGGGACAAAATTTTTCATTGTGGGCATGTCTGGGAAACTGAGCTGTATAGCCTTTCTTATCTGTGTGGCTGTGGGCCTGTCTTAGGCAATCTCCCATGCAAGTTCCCTTATCTGTGCCGGTAGCTTGATGTTTTGGGGTGTTCTTTTGTTTGAAACAATTCAACAGAAGACTCACCCTAACTGCTTGCGTGACCAGTTTCTTCCTTTCTCCTCTCTCAGAATCATGTTAACATGTATTACAACTGCAACTGCTACTATTATCAAACTAAACTCTAGGATGTGATGGGGTTCTGATCAGTGTCTCCTACTTGGTTCTATTGATTTACTCTTATGTTAACATTATTTTAATTACCGTAACATTATGTTTTAACATTTAGTAGAGCAGCTCCCATGTATTCTAAAGTTCTGGTGAAAAACTAATAGGGAATCAATAGGTTTGAAAACTGGGGGAACTGTCAAATACAAAAAGGTTTCTTATTCAGATATATTTTGAAGTGATATGTACAATTAAGAGATATGTACAAATTCTAATTAGTTCCCTAACATAGGAACTCAATATATATTACTAGATTGTACAAGAAGAGGTGGAGTTTTTTTGAAAGATAAACATAGGAATATCTGATAATTAGCCATATAATTTTGCTTTGGCAAGATACCAAAGTCACTAGAATTCGTTTTCCTCTTGTTTTGATGCAAACCACTCAAAACTCAGTGGCTTAAAACAACCACAATCTGTATTTTCTTACAATTCTCTGTGATAATGGGCTCAGCTGGGCATTCCTTCTGCCCCATATGATCTCATCTGGAGGCTTGCCTGGGCTGAAATGTCAAGGAGGGGTATTTAAATAGCTAATAGCTAGGACTGCTTGTTGGATAGGAGCTTAGCTGAGAGAGCTCAGAGAGAGCTTTGGTTCTTCTCCAAGGAGTTTCACCATGTAGCTTGGGTTTTAAAAGGGAGTGTATGGAAGAGTGTGAATAGGAAAGCTTTAGATTTCTTCAGACCCAACCTCAAAAGTTACATAGTGCCCCTTCCTTCTTATTCTGCTGGTCAAGGAGGGACACAAGGACAGTCTACACCCCATGGGAGAGCAAATTGCTACTCTTGTCATTAGAGGTGGAGTCTAAAAATGTTTGGCCATCTTTATTCCAACACACCTCTATACTTATTTGGAAATATTAAAGAAAAGAGTTCTATCAACATTTCCAAAGACCTTTTATCTTCTGTCTCTTGATTCTAAATGTGGTTTGCATTTGCATTGTGAATCATGTGCATTATGAACTTAGTTCAAATATGCACGTAATTGCAAAAGAATGAAAACAAAAATGAGATATCATTTTGTCCAAATGATCTGCTCCAGGAATGAGAAAAGTTTGAAATGAGTTCTGAAAAAATAAGTTAAGTCTTAAGCATCTTAAATGCAGCTGCATTACTCTATTTTTAAAGCATTGGAAAATGAGGGAGGAAGGAGGGAAAACAGCTAATTTTAGCCACAGCTGCCACCGATGGGAGACAATTTGCAATGAGAAAGGAGGGGTTCATCAATGCTTGAACTTACTGTATTCTTTACTAGATATCTAATCTCTCCTTTCCATCCCATCACTTGACATATTTCATGAGAAAATTTAGAATCTAGTAGAACACTGTACTGCCATAACCCTTGGCGATTATAAATAAAACAGAAAAAAACAAAAAGACATAGCCAGTCTCAAAAATAAGATAAACAGCTCTGTAGACTCAAACAAAACAGAAACAGAAAGCAGTGGATTGACACCGTGTGCCTGCTGGCTTTCAGGCAGAAATGGACAGTGACAGGGGAACTTTGGGTCTTGAAAAGTAATGAGAATCAAGGAATTCAGAGGACAGGAGACAGATTCACCATGTGAGACTGGGAGCTGTGGTGTGTGGAGACCCTCCTGCCCAGTAAAGGGAACTGAAACCACTTGCAGGCTTTCTAAGAAGAAAGAAGAAAATCACCAAGCCTCATGCTTGTTTGATGACCGAATCTGCAGTATTCACAAGGTCACTTTGAGGCAGAGATTTCTAAAATCCTCAAGTTAAAGTCTAGAGCAAAGTTAACAGCAAATCCTCTAGATAGGGAAGGTTGATTATGGGATAGAGGGAAGATAACAACAACTACTGTTTCACACAAAACAAGCCTGAAAACCAAAATTCCCAAGTACTTCAAAAAACTTAATGCTAAGAAAATCAAACTAGTCCATACTTTGAACTTGAATTCTCTCCAGATAAAATTAATATATAGAACAATCCAATAAAGACTTTGAAAATAATTATGTTTAGGATGCTCAAAGAATTATGTCTATTTAAAAAGAATAAGAAATTATGAAAGAAATGGCAGGCAGAATAGTTTGATAGGCTGGGTGCAGTGGCTTACTCCTATAATCTCAGCATTTTGGGAGGCCAAGGTGAGTGGATCACCTGAGGTCAGGAGTTCAAGACCAGTCCAGCCAACATGGTGAAACCCTGTCTCTACTAAAAATACAAAAATTAGCTGGGCATAGTGGTAGGCATCTGTAATCTCAGCTACTTGGGAGGCTGAGGCAGGAGAATCGCTTCAACCCCAGAGGTGGAGGTTGCAGTGAGCCGAGATCATGCCATTGCAATCCAGCCTGGGTGACAAGAGTGAAACTCCATCACAAAAAAAGAAAAAAGGAATAGTTTGATAAAAAATGTAATTAAAACCATAGCCATTGAGAACACACATGAGATAAACTCAGTAACATGGTAAAAATGAGACTTCGTATCTCTCTGTGCTTTACATTATACAGTGCTATGGTTTGAATGGGTCCTCTCCAAAATTCAGGTGTTGCCAATCTCATAGTACAAAGAGATGGGCCTTTAAGGGGTGATTAGGCCACAAGGGCACCTCCCTCATGAATGGAATTAGGGGTCCTTATATAAGAACTTGACAGAGAGTGTTGTTTGTTATCTCTTGCACATTTGCCTTTCACTATGTGAGAAAACAGTAAGAAGGCCCTCACCAGATGCCAGTTCCTTGATCTTGGACTTCCCAGCTTCCAGAATTATAAAAGATAAATTTCTGTGTTTCATAAATTAGCCAGTCTCAAGTGTTCCATTATAGCAGCACATACAGATGAAGACAATTAGACTGGCAAAAATTTAAGCCTGAGTATGCTAAGGTTTGATGAGGATTTAGGATAATTTCAAACCCTCATATAATTCTAACGGTAACATAAATTGTTAAATCACATTGGAAAACGCTGGTATGATTTATTAAATGGAAGGTGGCCACACTCAATACTTCATCAGTTTTATTCTTAGGTATATACCTTAAAGAAATTCCTGCACATTAGCCAGGTGAAGTGGCACATGTCTAATCCAAGCTACTAGGGAGGCTGAGGTTGGAGGATCGCTTGAGCCAAGGAGTTTGAATCCAGCCTGGGCAACACTGACTTTGCTTCTAAAAAAAGAAAGAAATTCCTGCATCCGGAAGCCAATAGACATGTACAAAAATATTCATAGTGGTATTGTTCTATAGCTCTAAATTAATAAAAAATGTCTATTATTGTTTGAGCATGAAAGCTTATGCCTATAATCCCAACACTTTGGGAGGCTGAGGCGGGAGGATCGTTTGAAGCCAGGAGTTTGAGACCAGCCTGGGCAGCAAAGCAAGACTGTCTCTACAAAAAAAATTAAAAGATTAGCTGGGCATTGTGACATGTACCTGTAGTCCTAGTTACTCAGGAAGCTGAGATGGGAGGATCACTTGGGCCCAGGAGTTCAAGGCTGCAGTGAGCTATGATCACACCACTGCACCCAAGCCTGAACAACAGAGCAAGATCCTGTCTTTTTTTTTTTTTTTTTTCTATTAATCAGGCTGGAGTGCACTGGTGCAATCTCAGATCACTACAACCTCTGCCTCCCAGGCTCAAGCGATTCTCATGTCTCCTGAGTAGCTGGGACTACAGGAATGTGCCTGGCTAGTTTTTTGTATTTTTAGTAGAGATAGTGTTTTGCCATGTTGGCTGGGCTGGTTTTGAACACTTGGCCTCAAGTGATCCACCCACCTTGGCCTCACAAAGTGCTGGGAATACAGGCATGAGCGACCACACCTAGCTTAAGACCCCATCTTTAACAAATTATTTTTTAATGTTTAAAAGAGAATATCTATTATCGCCCCGGTATGGTGGCTCATGCCTGTAAACCTAGCACTTTGGGAGAAAAGGTAGGGGGATCCCTTGAGCCCAGGAGTTTGAGACCAGCCTGGGGAACACAGGGAGACCCTGCCTCTATAAAAACAAAATATATTTTAATATCATAAAGGAATGACTATTATCAATAGAATTCACAGATTGGTGCATTTATTCAATGAACTATATACATCAATAAAAATGAACAGAGTACTGTTCTCTGTGGATGGCGCTAAAGCAATCTTGAGTAAAGGAAGTAAGTCACAAAAAATACATAGGCTATACTTCCAGTTATATAAAGTTTAAACAAGTAAAAACTAAACTACATTGATTAGAGATGCAAATACATGTAGTAACATTTTTATCTTTTCTTAATCATCACATAGGACAGGATGGTGGTTGCCTCTGGAAGGAGAGTAGCCTCTGGGTGCTGTCAGTGACCGATTTCTTATGCTGGGTGATTTATTACATGGATGATCTTTTAAAAAAACATATGAACAATAATAATTAAGTTTTTCTATATGTATGGCATATTTCAAAAGGAAAGAAAGAACGAAAGGACTGAGGAATTCAGCTAGAAATAGAGCACAGAAAGACCAAGGGCTTTTGAGAGGCTTCAATCTATATATAGTAATAGTTCTAACTGAAGGGAATGGAGCCTTTGTGGAGAGCATGTGAAGAAGAAATAGCCATGAAATGTCCAGACCTTTAAAAAAAGATATTTGTTCAGACTGCATATTAAGCAGCACAAACAAATCCAGATCCAAGCCCAGACAAATCACAGTGAAACCACAGAACATCACAGAGAAAATATCTGAGACTACCAGAGAAAACAGATTATATACAAAGGAACGATTATGTTGCTGCTAATAAGAACTCCACTCTAAGTGGAGAGGACAACAGAATAATTACAGTGTTGAGGTAAAAATTACCATTCATCTAGAATTTTATACCTTGCTAAATATCATTCAAGAGTGAAGCAATGTAAAGACAGTTTTCACCTACAGAGCCTCAAAATAACTAGAAACCTTAACCGGAAGAGATAGGAACCCAAAGTTCAGCTGTGGAAAACAAGAAACAAAGGTGAGCACAGAAATTCATACATTTTCTTTTAATAGTAGGATTTTTTTTTTTCTTTTTGAGATGGAGTCTCGCTCTGTCACCCAGGCTGGAGTGCAATGGCATGACCTCGGCTTACTGAAACCTCCTCCTCCTGGGTTCAAGCGATTCTCCTTCTCCTGCCTCAGCCTCCTTAGTGGGTGGGACTACAGGCACACACCACCATGCCCGGCTAATTTTTTGTAGTTTTAGTAGATACGGGGTTTTGACATGTTGGCCAGGCTGGTCTCGAACTCCTGACCTCAGGTGATCTGCCCGACTCAGCCTCCCAAAGTGCTGGGATTACAGGCATAAGCCACCATGCCCGGCCAATAGTAGGATTTTAACAGTCAATATTTAAAGGTAAAACTTTTTTTTTTTTCCGGCAGGGTCTTGTTCTGTCACCCAGGTTGGAGTGCAGTGGCACGATCACAGTTCACTGCAGTCTTGACCTTGTGGCTCAAGCAATCCTCCCATCTCATTTTTGATTTTTTTTTTCCTCTTTTTTTGTAGAGACAGGGTTCTCATTTTGTTGCCCAGGCTGGTCTTGAACTTCTGGGCTCAAGCAATCTTCCCCACTCAGTCTCCCAAAGTGCTGGGATTACAGGTGTGAGCCACCGTGCCCAGCCCAAAACTAAATTTAATTTTAAAAATGTTTTAAATAAATAAGAGGTGGGGTCTCACTATTGTTGGCCAGGTTGGTCTTGAACTCCTGGCCTCAAGCTGTCTTCCCACCTTGGCTTCCCAAAGTGCTAGGATTATGGGCGTGAGCCATTGAGCCCAGTCTAAAAGTAAAATTAAGAATAGCAACAAGATGGAGGACAGTATTCAGTGGGTAGTAAGGACACAAATGACCTAGTCACAATCAGGAGAAGGATATTGACAGTTTTTTTGGTGGGGTGCGGTGGCTCACGCCTGCAATCCCAGCACTTTAGGAGGCTGAGGCGGGTAGATCACCTGGGGTCAGGAGTTCGAGACCAGCCTGGCCAACATGGTGAAATGCTGTCTCTACTCAAAATACAAAAAATTAGCCAGGCATGGTGGTGCATGCCTGTAGTCCCAGCTACTAGGGAGGCTGAGGCAAAAGAATTGCTTGAACCTGGGAGGCGGAGGTTGCAGTGAGCCGGGATTGCACCACTGTACTCCACCCTGGTGAGACTCTGTCTCAAAAAAAAAAAGACAAAGAAAATGTTTAAATTTTTATACTTGTATTATTTTCCTTCAAAAATGTATATTAGCCTATAAATTTTCAGGCAGTGTTTAAGTTTTAACATCTTAAAGATCAGTAGAAAAAACAAAGAAGTAAACCGAAAATCTGAAAGGGAAAAAAGCAAAGAAAAGCATGATAAACAGAAATATGAAATAAGAAATAAATTCAAATATTTAATTCCAATAAGTAAATGGATTAAACTTATCTACTAAAAGACAGATGATCAGACTGCATTTTTAAAAATTCAGCTATATGCTACTGCTTTTAAGAGACACATTTAAATACTGTAGTGTATTCAATATATTGAATATAAAAGAACAAGAGTTGCCATGTAAATAATAAAAACGTGGTATTTTTCAGGCAAAATAGAATTTAAGGCTAAAAGCATTAAATAGGGATAAAAAGTGGGCCTACATAATAATATAAGAAACAATTCGATAGAAAAAAATTACAATTTTAAACTTACAATTAGGAAAGTTATATAAGTTTATACAACAAACTTAAAAGTATAACAACATAATCTAAAAATACACAAAGTAAAAAATGGGCCAGAACTTTTTTTAAAAATGGAAAACTGCCTTTTTTCCAATTTCGAATCTCCAATTTTGAGAGATTCGAAGACAACAATCTATATGTTTTCTAGTATCAGGGGAAAAAAGGGAAGAACATAGAATATTTGAACAACACATTACAAAGAATGGTATCATACAGATCATTTGATCTTACCACATTGCACATTCTTTGTATTTCCTTGAGGTTAGAAAACATTAATAAACAGGATTATATTTTTATATACACACACACACTGTGTATTAAACAACACAGGAAATGTAAACAGCAGTTTGAATCATTTGCTTTTCAAATTAAAAATACTACCTCTCTTATTTTGCGGGGGGTCAGGGGTGGAGGTGGGATCCGGCCCACTCAACCACTAAATAAAATTATTTTCAAAATGTAATATAAGAGCTGTACCAAACCAACATTTTAATTTTTAATTCTTCTTTGTGACTAATTATTTGACAGACTCTGAAGAGAACTATGATCATTAGTAAAAAGTATTTTTGTTAAACTAGTGGAAATCATGGGTTTTTAAAAATTTGAGGTTGTATGCTAAATTCCCTCTATTCCCTTAATTTTCCTGGGGGACTTTTTTGTTTTTGTTTTTTATTTTCTTGGGTTTTCTTTGTTGTTGTTGTTTTGAGACAAGGTCTTGTTCTGTTGCCTAGACTGTACTGCAGCCTCACCCTCCCAGGCTCAAGCTATCCTCCCGCCTCAGCCTGCAGAGTAGCTGAGACTACAGGCACGTGCCACCACTCATGGCTTATTTTTGTTCTTTTTGTAGAGATGGAGTCTCGTCATGTTGCCAAGGCTTGTCTGGAACTCCTGAGCTCAAGTGATCCTCCCACCTCAGCCTCCCAAAGTGCTCAGATTACAGGCATGAGCCTAGCAACTGGCTAAGACTTCTTTAAGATTTGTTTCTCCCTGAAGAGAATTTCTCCATGGAACGGTTCCATGTGCTGAGCCAGCATCCCTGCCCACAGACCTGCCGAGCCTCTTCACAGCTCCCTGTGACATGGTAACCAGCACAGTAACACATCCCATCATCACACCAAGTTGGCTTCCCAGTTTTTTCTCATTTTATTTTCCTTGCCTCATATGTTTTCTAAAATAACTTTTTGGCTGGGCGCAGTAGCTCACACCTGTAATCCCAGCACTTCGGGAGGCCGAGGTGGGTGGATTACGAGGTCAGGAGATCGAGACTGTCCTGGCTAACACGGTGAAACCCCGTCTCTACTAAAAATACAAAAAAAAAATTTGTGCTACAGGGCGTGGTGGCACACGCCTGTAGTCCCAGGAACCCAGGAGGCAGAGGTTGCAGTGAGCTGAGATCACACCATTGCACTCTAGCCTGGGTGACAAAGCGAGACTCCATCTCAAAAAAAAATAAAATAAAATAAAAAATAAATGAAAATAACTTTTTGACTTGCTAAGGTCCTTAACAGATCAACTTTCAGATAATCACATCAATAGGGACAAACACAAGACCCAATCCACTGATTTTTTTGATCACTTGTTAGCAATCTCTACATAGACTGACCATACATGATCCCATTACATATTTTTAAGCATAGGGCTTCCATATATGATGCTTCCAACCCCACCTCCTGTCCCCATCCATATAACATTTTCAACAGTGACAAGTGTACACTTAGGTAATCCATTCCAGGGACAAGAGGCTATGCCTATAGCAAAAGCTTAGGAGAATCAGGAATTAAGGAAGAAAGCATTGTCCATATCCCTGATACTGGCCATTTTCCTTCCTCATATCCAGAGCCTCATCGCCTCCCAGCAAAGGGTTACAGCCAAGATGTGTTTTGTAACTTACTGAGTAACACCCTACTGTAAAGCAAGACCTCCATACATTTTTCTCGTTTGGGGTTTCATGGTAAGTATGGAAATTGAATAGGATTGTGTTAAAGCAATGTTTCATGAAAGAAAAACCTGTGGAACTCCAGTTGAAGTTCTCAGTCTTTCATAACACTGTACTGTCTTCCCAATATCAGAAAATGCTAAAAGACGTGGTCCAAACACAATTGCACACAGTGGGCAAACAGGAGACACTCAGGCAAAAAAACAAAACAAACAAACAAAACCCTTCAAGGTGGCTCTTTGAGAAGGGCCAGCGTGCCTGGTAAGTGCATGCGATTGCCAAATGCAGTCAGTGCGCTGGTGGCTAACAGTAGCCTTGGACTAGCTGGACATCTTTCAGGAAGTATTTTGGGTAGGAACCAGGCACTTTTGGCATGCTGCTCATAGTGTGGGGCACAGTATGCTGTGATGGCAGAAAGGATAATGAGGAGAGCTAGCTGGGAAGCATGTTGTTTCTTCTGTTTTTGATGTTTCGTTTTCCAAATAAGATTTCCAGGACTGTGTCTCTACCTTGAAGGACAAGTAGGTGAGAAAAATAGGCCAAGGACAAGTGGGGGACCTCAGTGTTGTAGGAAGTCAGGGACCCCAAACGGAGGGACCGGCTGAAGCCATGGCAGAAGAACGTGGATTGTGAAGATTTCATGGACATTTATTAGTTCCCCAAATTAATACTGTTATAATTTCTTATGCCTGTCTTTACTGCAACCTCTAAACATAAAGATTTCATGGAGACTTATCACTTCCCCAATCAATACCCTTGTGATTTCCTATGCCTGTCTTTAGTTTAACTCTTAATCCTGTCAGCTGAGGAGGATGTATGTCATCTCAGTACCCTGTAATAATTGCATTAACTGCACAAATTGTACAGCATGTGTGTTTGAGCAATATGAAATCTGGGCACCTTGAAAAAAGAACAGGATAACAGCAATTGTTCAGGGAATAAGAGAGATAACCTTAAACTCTGACTGCTGGTGAGCCAGGTAGAACAGAGCCATATTTCTCTTCTTTCAAAAGCAAATGGGAGAAATATCACTGAATTCTTTTTCTCAGCAAGGAACAACCCTGAGAAAGAGAATGCACGCCTGAGGGTAGGCCTATGAATGGCCACCCTGGGCGTAGCCATCTCTTAGGGTTGAGACTGCAGGGATGAAATAGACCCCAGTCTCCCATAGCACTCCCAGATTTATTAGGAAGAGGAAATTCCCGCCTAATAAATTTTGGTCAGACCCGTTGATCTCAAAAACCCTGTCTCCTGATAAGATGTTATCAACGACAATGGTGCCTGAAACTTCATTAGCAATTTTAATTTCGCCTCAGTCCTGTGGTCCTGTGATCTCGCCCTGCTTCCACTTGCCTTGTGATAGTCTATTACCTTGTAAAGTACTTGATGTCTGTGACCCACACCTATTCGCACACTCCCTCCCCTTTTGAAAATCCCTAACAAAAGCTTGCTGGTTTTTGCGGCGTGTGGGGCATCACAGAACCTACCGACATGTGATGTCTCCCCCGGACGCCCAGCTTTAAAATTTCTGTCTTTTGTACTCTGTCCCTTTATTTTTCAAGCTGGCTGACACTTAAGGAAAATGGAAAAGAACCTACATGAATATTGGGGCAGGTTCCCTGATACCTCAGTGCAGTTTGGACTTGGAGAGATCACTGAGAACAAAAATCTTGAAAATCTTCATTGACTTCTAGCTTTCTGGCAGACAGCTTTAAATAATAAACACACAACCTTGGTCCACAATTTACAGAAAAAGAAAAATCCTGGAGATGTTTAAGAGGACTAACTTTGCACCTAAGTGGATTAAAAATTAGATCAAAATATAAAGTGACATTAGGGTCCATAAAATCTGAAGGCAGTGTAGGTTGCAGAGCAGTAGATGATATAAGACTGTCTGATCTGCCTGGCATTCTCTTCCTGCAGTTTTGTATTTAAGGTTTACTGGATACAAACCTTGCATATCTTTTTGACTGACACCTTGTTTCTGAAGGCATCGCCTGCCTCCCAGACCATGCTGCTGCCACTTTTGCCAGCAGTTTTGCCAGGCTTCCAAGGCAGCAAGAGTCCACTGACTGAAGCCTTGAGCCCTACTCATGCTGAGTCATTCTTCTGCTCCTAATCATGCTGTCATTCTTCTGCTCCCAGCTTGGATGAAATGTCACATCATCAGGGTCTGGTTTCCAACAAGGCATTGAATGATAGAACCCAGAAGTACAGGAAAGTTTATCCCCTGTGAGCTGAACCTTGACTAATAGGAGATGGGATATTGTAGAGAATAAGGTGAGCAAATTCCCTCTCTCCCCTTGATTTTCCTGGGGACTTCTTTAAGATTTGTTTCTCCCTGAAGAAAACTTCTCCATGGAGCGATTCCCTGTGCTGAGCCAACATCCCTGCCCACAGACATGCTGAGCCTCTTCACAGCTCCCTGTGGCGTGGTGGTCAGCACAGTGACACATCCCCTAATCACACCATCTTAGCTCCCCAGTTTTTCCTTGTCTCATTTCCCCTATTTCCTCATCTTTACTATCCTGGGCTTGACACTTTCCAAATAAAGTGTCAGCTCTTCCTCATCCCATCCTCATCCCAAGCTTTACTTTGTAGAAAGAGACTTTCTAACAGAGAACTCTGACAATAGGACTCATTTGATTGGAGTACTGGATATTATCCTCCTGCCCCTGAGGGTCATCCTCACTTTTCTCCATCCTGCCCTTTGCCCTGGGGGGCCGTTGAACTAGATGACAGGACTCCCATGCCCTCTGGCCTCCAGTCAGATCCAGCCAATGGGGGACCCTAGCAGGAGATGGGAAGGAGGAAGTATTTGTTCTCCTGGCTCCCTCCCTGTAAGAGGTCTCCTTGGACTGGTCATGCCCTCAGATGAAAGTCACAGCTGGTAGTCTCCTCTATGCGACTTTCCTTTTGATTTCTGAGACCTGCTTCCTCCTCCCATCCCTTTGGACCTGGGGGACGTAACAACTCCACACTGAACGTCAGATTACTCCGCTTTCCTTTGCAGTGCCTCTATGCCCTCCCCACTCCTTTGTAATGTTTCTCTCTCTCTTGTTTTTTATTTTTGTTTTGTTTTGTTTTTTGAGACAGTCGCACTCTGTTACCCAGGCTGGAGCGCAGTGGTGCCATCTTGGCTCACTGCAACCTCTGCCTCCAAGGTTCAAGCAATTCTCCTGCCTCAGCCTCCCTAGTAGCTGGGACTACAGGCACGTGCCACCATGCCCAGCTAATTTTTGTATTTTTAGTAGAGACTGGGATTCACCATGTTGGTCAAGCTGGTCTTGAACTCCTGACCTGAAGTGATCCACCCATCTTGGCCTCCCAAACTGATGGGATTACAGGCGTGAGCCGCAATGCCCAGCCTGTAATGTCTCTTTATAAATAAACCCTTCTTGAATTTTTCCAATTTGATAGGGTCCAACTGTTTCCTACTGGAACCAAGAATGAAAAGAAATGGTTAAATGCTAATACAATTAAGCTTTGTTGGAACAGTGAATAGCCATTACAAATCAGTTCTTGTTTGGTAGAAAAAGAAAGCGATGCACTAATTTTTAAAAAGTCACTGTTGCGATGAACACCTATCAACCCCAATAGGGAAAGCACCAGGTTAAAGAGGCCAAAGAAGAGACCCAGAGCCAGCAGATGAAATGCGGTGTTTTATTAGGGGGTTAATACAGAAGAGAGAGTCCAGTAGCGGCAGGCTGGCTGGGAGAACACAACTGCTTGCAAACATTATGCAGTTTCTACAGCACTTTCACTTAACACCCTCCATCGAAAGAACTCCACCTGGCAACCATCATTTAACTCAAAACTCAAGGCCTCAATCTCCTGTACGGCACATATTCCATGGAACAGGCTGGGTGGGGGCTCAGATGTATAGATAAAAAAACGAATCTCCAGGTTGGCCATGCACAGATTGCCTAACTTGAAACACACATTCAGGTACATCTACCGTACTGGGTCTTTCTAAAGGTATGCTTAAATGTTTGCTATCACATGCATTTACTCTGCAATTGATTAAAAGGTCAAACAATCAGAGTTCTGGCAGAAAACAATTCCATTGCCTAAAGGACCATTTATGAGAGAGTGGGCAAAGTAAGGAGAATCAATAAGGGATAGTGACACACAGGGTACAAGAAAGAGCAGAGAGTCACCCCTCCTCCTCCTTTTGAACAGACGAAAGGAAGAGACAGTGTTACAACCCTAAGCCCTGTGAGAGTGGCAGCCCTGGAGGAACTCAGTCATAGAAGGATGCAGCCCTGACAGGGCCTTGGTCTGCAGCAGGTTAAGGGCGACAGAAGAATTCCCTGACCATTCTCCCCTCTTGCCCACTAATCTCTCTGCAATCTCTGGTCTCCAGTCAGTGCCTCTTATTGGCTGAACCCAACCAGAAACTAGAATGATGTGGCCCATCAGGGTCAGCCTGCTTGGGCTCAGAGTGGGGCTGAGAAGGGCAGAGAATGGTTTGACTTGGTGGGAGTGGGGAGGGCAACAGACAGTAGCCAGTACAATCAGGATATCAAACTCCATACAGATATAATCCTAATTTTGTGAAAAGTGATACATGTATTTATGTAGTCCTGTTGTTGAACAAGATATTTAAAATAGCTGCCTCATGGTAGCAGAAGAACCATAGATGATTTTTATTATTTATAGTGTTTGGTATATTTCCCAAATCAAAAAAATGGCTATAAGACTTTAAAATTTATCTTTAAAACTTATCTATATCTTATCTATAAGACTTTAAAATTTATCTTGTAAAAACAAGAGCTCATTAGACATGTGTTTACTTTAATTTTATTTTTAAAGAGAATATTTTCTATCAGTGGCTCCTCATGGTAGGAATTTCACCTCCTGAATTTTCCCGGGAGGAGGATCTCATCTAGAGTAAGATCAAGGCCGAAAGAGAGGGTTTTTTTGTTTCTCACCACATTAGTTTCTTTTCACACTATTCTGCCAATCACTGGGAAAGAATGATAATCCAGACAAATGGTATCCCAGTTCTGATCATATTAGTAGATCTGGAATCTCAACGACTGCTATTAACTTTGTTATGCAGCCAAGCTGATCTGTGATATTCACTTGGTCAAACAAAATTTTTCATATCTGAGTTGGACACACAAACCTCCATGTATAGGCATAAACCTCAGATATGCATATAACTGCAAAATCTTTTCAATTTAATTAGACAGTAAACATTCTTCTCAGATTACATTTGTTTTCAAAATAACTTTTAGAACTGTTTGATTCGTTTTTCTATTGCTTCATGTCTTTTACATTTTAACTTGAGCTACAGTAAAACAACGTGGGGGAGTACTGGGATACTGTCAGCAATCTGCATTTGCCCTGGTGTTTTCCACACCCTGCATTCCATGTCTATTCTTAGCACTGTCCTTGGGCTGCTTGTCAGCTCACATTCAGTGCGGGGTAAAAGGCAGGCAGCCACTGCCTCTGAAGAAATACTTAATGTATACAGAATGAGATAGCAAACCTTTGGAATGTCCCAGAGCAGCTGTTGAAGGCACTAGTCCTTAACCTCTACCAATGTCTCCACCTTGAGCCAAGGCAGTAGTTTGGGAGAATATAATAAGCACCAATCATCAGATGTGCTGTGTAAACTCAGACACGCAGTGTAAGCTCAGGTGTTGAACTTCCATTGGCTGCCAGGCTATTTAAAGCTAAGGATTATGCAGAGATAGCAGATGTGTTACATTTTGCCATCTAAGTTTATGGAGCATCTAAAAAGCACAGATTAAAACTCACTGAATTCAGCAATCAAACTTTTAAAAGTGGTGTCCTTAAGCTTCATATTAATTTACAAGAGGATATGTAAATACATATCTCATGAACATTTTGTACGTGTCCATAGAACTTATACTATCTTTAAAAAGTCAAAACACTTCAGATAGGATTCAGTATATCTTTAAAAAGATGAATGAGGTACATATTTGAACTTTTTAAAAATAAGATTTATATCTGAAAATTCCCATTGACCTTTAAGGCAGTAACAACTATACTAAATCATAAATAGATATCAGACCCAATTTCCAAATACTGTATTTTAATTTTTGCACTCCATATTTATAAAACCTCATTTTAATTAAAATACATTAAAAAGAAAAGCTTATCGAGTGAAGGGAATCACAACTCTTTTTGGCAAAATAAAAGATTTTCATAAAATGGATAGGAATTCCTTAAATGGGTATAGCTCTTTTGCCATCAGTGATTACAAATGCAGCTGGCATTGTTGGAATAATAAGAAACAATTCGGAGTCCTCTCTAATATCCAAATACAGCCTTCTGTATTTTCAATGTTTCAGTTGTAAGAATAGTATCAGTTTGAGCCACACAAACATATTTACAAATTTTCCTTTCTGAGTAAGAATAATAAAGACAACCTCAACATACCAGGAACTGTGTATATATTTTTAATCTTCATAAAAATCATAGCAAATCATTTCAAATGTGGGTAATACAAACATTCTCGTAGTACCAGTGGCTGAACCATCATCTTCCCCATGTCATCTGAACAGGAACCGATACGATGTCACTTAGTCCCAACTGGATCCTTTACTTCCACCACCAAAATTCCATCATGACAGAGGACTGCAGACAAATCTTTGATTTCCACACCATCTGGTAGTTTGTACTGTCGGGTGAAGCTTCTTGAGATAAAACCGTGCTCATCCATTCTGGTTCCGTGTTGTGCTTTTATCAGCAGCCAGCCTTCGAAGGTCTGAATGATGATGTCTTCAGGGAGGAACTGGACCACGTCCAGCAGGATCTGAAAGTGGGATTTGCCTTCTCGGGGTGGCGTCTCTGCCGCTGAGTCCACTGGAGGAGACTGCGCTGCCCTGGTTTTCCTCAGGTCCACGATGGTTGGCCCAGGCAGTGCATATAAAGCATGATCCAGCCTGCAGTCTTCTAGACCTCGAGCTTCAAACTCTTCCTGGTAACGCACTGGAATCTCTATGAGGTGCCTCAAAATGATTTTTGCCATAGTGAAGGCAAAAACAGCCTTGAACAGCCTCCTTCTGCCAACCTTCCACTGCCTTCAGTCAGTGGCGAGCCCCTGCAGTTGCCTACTGACTGGATTACCAGTTGAAGCAGCTAGTGGTTTATAGCCGTGCCCAGACGCAATCACTTAATTAGGCCTGAATCATAGCACGGAATGCTCTCTTGTCTTTTCACACATGCTGACAATGAACGGCTATTTATAGGGCATGTTTCCCAGTGCATTTAGCACACAGCCTGCACAAGCTGCCCAGTCATGGATTGCCCTTACATTCTCAGTTATCCTTGGCAAATGTGTCTGCCTTGCTTACTTCAAGAAAGAGAGTGGGAATCGAAAATGGTATTTGAAAAATATCTGGGTGAGGCCAGGTGCGGTGGCTCATGCCTGTAATCCCAGCACTTCGGGAGGCTGAGGCGGGTGGATCGCCTGAGGTCAGGAGTTCAAGCCCAGCCTGAACAATGTGGTGAAACCCTGTCTGTACTAAAAACACAAAAATTAGCTGGGCATGGTGGCTTATGTCTGAAATCTTAGCTACTTGGGAGGTTGAGGTAGGAGAATCGCTTGAACCAGGAGGCAAAGGTTTCAGCGAGCCAAGACCATACCGTTGCACTCTAGCCTGGGCAATAGAGTGAGACTCCATCTCAACAAACAAACAAACAAACAAAAACCAAAAATATCTGGGTGGGTGCTTTCTCCCTGTGAACTTCAGTAATCTAAGGGAATAGGACTTCTTAGAACAGTCAGAGATGTTCACTCATAATATGAACTGGGATCACATTTTCCCTCGTCTCCAGATACAAAGCTGGGGAGGGCAGAATCTAGCTGTAATTCAGAAAGAATTAATACACACATATTCAAATCTCAGCCATTCAACAAACTGCCCTGTGTCCTATGCATTTCCTTTTATTTTATCTTTTAGTCTTTTGGGCTAAAAGACACATTATCTGGGTTTATTTACATCTGACTCATCAAAATTAGATCAGATGACTAAGCTAGAGAAGTGACAAACGTCAGATGGGGGCTGCAGGGGCATAGGATGGGGAATTTTAGTGATGAAAATAGAGCCACAAAGAAGAGAAAAATGTCAAAGCTTTGAATGATTTGATATGAACCTCCAAAAATCTAAGGATTAATCTTGTCACAGCTCTGCTACTGAGTTGGCAAAAATAAATTAAATATAATTTCCCCACTATATCACCCTTTATACTAAACTTACCCTGAAAAAGAATGAGGCAACTCCTTATCCACAGCTATGGAAGAATCTCCAAGATATGTTAAATCAAAAAGAAAAGTCCAGGGCAATATATGATATGCTAGTGTTTATACTTTTTTTTTTTTTGAGACAGAGTCTTGCTCTGTCACCCAAGCTGGAGTGGGTGACAGCCTCGAAGTCCTGGAATCAAGAAATCCCTCACTCTCAGCTTCCTGAGTAGCTGGGACTATAGAACCATGCCACCATGCCCAGTTAGTTTTTTTGATTGTTTTTTTAGAGATGGGGGTCTTGTTATGTTGCCCAGGCTGGTCTCTAACTCCTGGCCTGAAGAGATCCTTCCACCTCATCCTCCCAAAGTGCTGGAATTACAGACGTGAGCCACTGCACCAGGCCTTATTTATACTTTTTTAAAAAGTATGTATTTGCTTATATTAATAAAATCTCTCTGAAAGCTTTGTAGCTGAAGACAGTGGGTGCCTCCTGAGAGTGATTGGCAGGTGGGGGCTGGAAGGAGACCTAATTTTTTACTGTAAATACTTCTGTGCTATTTATTTACTTACTATTTTTATTATTATTTTTGCCACCATCTTCTTTGTGATAGTGTGTGCTTTTTATTTTATTTATTTATTTATTTTTTTGAGATGGAGTGTCGCTCTGTTGCCCAGGCTGGAGTGCAGTAGTGCCATCTTGGCTCACTGCAACCTCCACCTCCTAGGTTCAAGTGATTCTCCTGCCTCAGCCTCCTGAGTAGCTGGGACTATAGGCGTCTGCCATCACACCCAGATAATTTTTGTATCTTTAGTAGAGACAGGGTTTCACAATGTTGGCCAGGCTGGTCTCAAACTCCTGACCTCAGGTGATCTGCCCGCCTCAGCCTCCCAAAGCATTGGGATTATAGATATGAGCCACTGCGCCCAGCCAGTGTGCTTTTTATTTATAGAGTGTATATGGAATATACCTACACACAATAAATTTTAAAATATGGAAAATTTCTTCTCCATGGAGATTAATATTTTCTTAAATGGATAGACTTAAGAGTACCTTTCCTTTAAAAATATATGCACTTTCTTCAAATGAAAAAATGTCTATATAAATTAAAAATCAGAAAATGGAACAAAAGTCTTCTTTAGCTCGCTTTATAAGTCTAAAAAAACCTCTGTGGACATATTGGCATACACTTAGAAACATGTCCTAACAATGCTGTTCACACTCAGCTTTTTGACCTGCAGTTTACAGGCTGGTGGCCCTCCAGAGGAAAATGTACTCTTTTAGATATGTTAATGTTCTCCGGCTCATAAAATACTGCGGGATGTTGTCATCAGTACTGCTCTTAGTGGAAAGTCAAGAACAGAACTCACTGCCAGTGACAAGAAATAGATATGATCTTAAGGATTTGGCATTCAAACACTAGTAAGATTTACAGCAAAACTGAGGGAAAGCTACAGACATTTCCTACATGCCTCCTACCCCTACACATGTACAGCCTCCCCCATTATCAACACCACCCCCAAAGTGGTACTTTTTTTTTTTTTTGAGATGGAGTCTCGCTCTGTGGACCAGGCTGGAGTGCAGTGGCACCATCTCAGCTCACCGCAACCTCAACCTCCAAGGTTCAAGCGATTCTCCTGCCTCAGCCTCCCAAGTAGCTGGGATTATAGGCACCCGCCACCATGCCCAGCTAATTTTTGTAGTTTTAGTAGAGACGAGGTTTCACAATGTTGGCCAGGCTGGTCTTGAACTCCTGACCTCAGGTGATCTGCCCACCTTGGACTCCCAAAGTACTGGGATTACAGGCATGAGCCACCGCTCCCAGCCTCAAAGTGGTACATTTGTTACAACTGATAAACCTACACTGACACATCATTATCAGCCTGAGTCCATATTTCACCCTAGGGTTCAGTCTTGGTGTTGTACATTTTATGCATGGTGGTGACATGTATCCACCATTACAGTATCATGTAGAGTAGTTTTACTGCCCTAAAAACCCTCTGGGCTCCACTTATTCATCCCTCTGTCTCCCCAAACCCTTGCTCTAAAAAACTTCTCAAAAAAAAAAAAAATAAGTTTTTTAAAACAAATACTAGAAAGAGGCTGTTAGGGTGAGACAGAGAAAATGTGTCAAATAATCTTACAGTTTCTTGCACCAGGGATCTCTAAGACAGGCAAAGAAGGCTTAGGTGTGAGTGATAAGTTTCCATGTATGATCTGTGAATGAGCTGCTGAGATTAAAAATGAGCAATTCCAGCACTTTGGGAGGCCGAGGCGGGTCAGGAGTTCAAGACCAGCCTGACCAACATGGTGAAACCCCGTCTCTACTAAAAATACAAAAATTAGCAGGGCATGGTGGTGGACACCTGTAATCCCAGCTACTCAGGAGGCTGAGGCAGGAGAATCACTTGAACATGGGAGGCGGAGGTTGCAGTGAACCAACATCGTGCCACTGCTCTCCAGCCTGGGCAACAGAGCAAGACTCCATCTAAAAGAAAAGAAAAAAATAAAAATGAGCATCACATTTCTGATGCGATATTCAAGACTTCTACTTCTGCCATTTTCCCAAAATTTTCCCAAAACTGCCCTTTGACTCCAGCCCTAAGCGTGACTGCCCTCATCATGATCATCAGCTACGTTGACTTTTTGTCCTTTTGGAGAATCTGTCAGGCTTCCTTCTCCTGCCCTCCTGTCCATCCTTCGCCTTGTAACTAGAGCAGTTGTTCTAGAGCATCACATAGATGATGTCACTCCCTTGCTTCAAACTTGAAGTCAGAAGTTTCTCATCACAACCAGAATGAAATATAAAATTCTTACCATGGCCTTTGAGAACCTATAATCTGGCCCCTCTGCCCTGCTCCCCTCCACCTCACACTAGGGTTCAGTCTTCGTGTTGTACATTTTATGCATGCTGGTGACCACAGGTAAAATGGTGGTGCCCCTGCTTCAACCACACTGGCCTCCTGTCTGTCCCTTGAACACTCTAAGCTTGGTTCTTCCTCAGGCTTCTTGTACTTGGAGTCCCTTTTGTTCTGAAAACTTGACTTTCAAGTTGTCTTAAAGTTGCCTCTTTCTCATCATTCAGGCTCCAGGTCACGTGTTACTTCTTCAGCCAAGTCTTTTCCAACTATCTAGGGAAAGTACTCTTGTTATCCATCATAGAACCCAATTTTTTTTTTTTTTTTTTTTGAGACAGAGTCTCACTCTGTTGCCCAGGCTGGAGTGCAGTGGCGCAATCTCGGCTCACTGCAAGCTCCACCTCCTGGGTTCACACCATTCTCCTGCCTCAGCCTCCCGAATAGCTGGGATGACAGGCGCCCGCCACCATGCCCGGCTAATTTTTTGTATTTTTTGGTAGAGACGGGATTTCACTATGTTAGCCAGGATGGTCTCGATCTCCTGACCTCGTGATCTGCCCACCTCGGCCTCCCATAGTGCTGGGATTACAGGCGTGAGCCACTGTGCCCAGCCCATAGAACCCTATTTTACCTTTTTTTGTATTCTTTTACGCCATGATCAGGGCGGTGTGGTCACAAGAGGAGATACAGGAGAGAGTCTCGGGAAAACAAAGTATGTTATACTCACAGGTCCTAGAGACAACTGGCTATGGAGGGTGAGAGGAAGACATAAGCAGTCAGGAGGCAGAAGACAGGAGCAAGTGGAAGATTTAGCCACAGCCATTATTGGGGTTTCCACAGGGAAAGGCAGGGCAGGATGAACAGTTTAGAACTGGCTAGTTTGAATAATTTCAGCAGGCCCTAAGCTACAGGATGTCTCCAATTGCCCGGTACCTGGCCTTTGGTTGACTAAGGCAGAGGAATGTTGTGTCCTGGAGTGCAGGGGCCACATAGAGGAGAGATGGCTCTGGGTTGGGCAGTTTGCGTATCAAAGGCACACTCCCAGCTGAGCCCTTTGCTGTCTCTAAGGATTGGCCAGCCCTGGGAGGTGCAGTCTCTTTCCAGGTGGAAAGGTTTTTAACATATCAAAACATCATAATATACAGAAAATAATCCACATTCTTTTATTAAAGAGTGGGAACTATTTTTTTTTCTTATCCCTCTCAAGAGGACAAATAGAGTTTTATTTTATTGCATGCATTCTCACTGGGGGTGATAGTGCCCACAAGGAGGTAAAAATTGGTTCCTATGGAGCAAAAAAAAAAAAAAGATTCACATAATCTAAGATTATATAAAATCTGAGATATTATGTAATGGTTTGTGATCCTCCAAAGGGCCACAGTGCATAAATGGACATGTATCTGGGTTATTAGAATTCTAATGGGGAGATGGAGGAGAAATTAGGTGAACAGTATCTAAAGATATCTGGGAGAGGATAAATGATACAGTAATAAAACAGGTGAGAAATGCTGTGTAGTCTGCTTCATTAGTCACCCATCAAGACACCCATGGCTTATGCCAAATGCTGAAGAGCTTAGGTGGATAAGGATGACAGTATAGATGCAGCAATGCTGTCCTCGACCAAACCAAGGTCAGAGTCATCAGTAGGGTGAACGTTAAATTGCAGTGACTTGGAGATCATTGACCATTGAACACAGGCGGCAAATTCCAATAACAGCTTGGCTTGAAGTCCGAGAAGGTTTTCTAAAAAGAGCCATGACTCAGCTGGGATAAGAAGGCTGACAGAGTGGGCCACAGGAAGCTTTGAGCAGAGAAGGAGAGGGAGGACATCTGAGTGTTCCAGGTAACAGGATGGCATCTTCAAGGTCCTGGAGCCAAAAGAAAACATCATGCCAAGAGAAGATACAAGAATCTCAGCGTGGCCACGATACACTCTGCAAAGTAGGAAACGGGGAAAATGAGGCTGGAGAGGAAGAGACCAGCCATGAAAAGCCTTGTCATCTTTCTTGAGACAAAATAACATTTTTAAAGTTGCCTGAACTTTCACCAGTTATTTAAGCTGCGACAGCAGAAATCTTAAAGACGATTCTTCATCGCCTCATAATCAAAATTTCTATTGAGTTTTTTTTTTCCAAATTAAAGTTTGGATTCTATTTTGGAATAATAGAGTTAACTTCAGGAAAACCCAAATCAGTGCCTTTTTAAAAACTTTTCTGACCACCCACAATAAGAAATATATTTACTATCATGACCTAGTGGATATACATATACACATACTGGGTACAAAACACTTAGCTTTCCTACGTGAATACACTCTGATGGTCTCTATTCAGTTCTATGTAGCTTAAGAAAAGTGATCCTTGAAACTCTCTAAATTGATTTCATGACCCCAAAATTGGTTAAAATTGATAGTTTGGAAAGTTACTTAAGTTTTTACATTATTAAGCAGGTAGTTTATCATGTTTGTGGGGTGAATTACATCTCTGCAGGGTGACTGTGGTGGTCTTAACTGATTGTTCTTCTGTGGCTGTGGTGAGGCATTGAGCAGGTAGGGAAGGAAGGAGTGCAGTGGGAGCAGGCAGCATGGCTTATGTCAAATGTTGAAGAGGTTAAGGAAGGTACGAATGGAATCCTAGATTTAGCAGTGAGGGTGTCTTTGACTTAACTAAGAGGAGAGTCCATGGTAAGGTAGGGACAGAAGTTAAACTGCAGTTGGTCAGGGAGTGAATATTACATATAAACTACAATTATAAGCATGTAAGGGGATGAAAAAATTAACATAAATTCCAGGTTTGTTTTGTCTAATAAGATGCTTTTAATAAAATTGACCAGCCGGGCATGGTGGCTCATGCCTGTAATCCCAGCATTTTGGGAGGCTGAGGCGGGTGGATCCCTTGAGGTCAGGAGTTCGAGACCAGCCTGGCCAACATGGCGAAACCCCGTCTCTACTAAAAATACAAAAATTAGCTGGGCGTGGTGGTACACACCTGTAATCCCAGCTACTCAGGAGGCTGAGGCACGAGAATTGCTTGAACGTGGGAGGCAGAGGTTGCAGTGAGCCAAGATCATGCTACTGCACTCCAGCCTGGGTGACAGAGTGTGACTGTCTCAAAAAACAAAACAAAAACAAAAGAAAATTGACCATTAGCCTGACGGATAGGAGAGAACTGGTTAGCAAGAGACCCTGACAGGCTGTGCTTGTCTGAGTCTGAGACCTAGATGAACAATATCCCATTTGGAATATTTCTTTTAAACAAAGTAATTTCCTTATGTCATCCTCAAGTCATTGGTAAGGTTTTGTTCAGCCCTACAGCCTAATGTAAACTAGGCTTTGGGGAATTAAGGAAGGGACTGTACTATATATTATATACATTAGAGCAAAGGGCCTCGGCTACCCAGAGAAGCAGTAATGAGACAACAGGAGATGAAAATAGTTGTTTGGAAAAAGATAAAATTGGCAACCCAGTTAATATCTACACATACCCAAGGGCATCCAAAAAGTTTATGACAGGAGGTTTGATTGGACCCTGCTGCACTCTTGAAGGCTGAAGTCAACTCTGGAATGTTAGCCTGGAATGTTAAGGACTTTGTCCTTCCATAGGAGCCATAATAAACACAAATAGAAGGAGAGTTGAAGGATGGAGAATGTAATCTTCCTAAGATTTCCAATATTCCTTCTTTGATCACATCATCTTTCCCCTGATCAAATACTTGCAGTGGTTCTTGGTTTTCTCACATAACTGTTGTGATTATACAATCTGATCTTAGCTTTCTTTCCAAATCTGTATTTTTAGGATTTCCTCCATCCTATGCTCCAAACTCTTTGGTCTGGAATTCAAGGACCCCACCAAGACCGCTAAATAGGTGTTTGTAAGAAGCCATACCTTATAGGATTGTTCTGTATCATCCCAACCCTCCAACTAACTGGCGGTCGCTGTCTGAATATTCTTTCTCCTTCTCTGTCTTTTCTTCCTTACATGCTATTTCTTTCAGCAGGGCTGCTGTGGTAGGCTTGATAATGCCCCCCAAAAGATATCTACATCTTAATCCTTGGAATCTGTAAATCTTTAGAATCTGCTACCTTATATGGCAAAGACTTTACAGTCATGATTAATAAAGATCTTGAGATGAGGAGGTTATCCTGGATGATCTGGCTAGGCACCAAATGCCGTCACAAATGTCCCTATAAGAGAGAGGCAGAGAAACACAGAGGAGAAGGCAATGGGAAGAGAGAGCAGAGAGGATTGGAAGATGCAGGCCTTGAAGATGAAAGCAATGCAATTACAAGCCCAGGAATCCCAGCAGCCATTAGAAGCTAGAAGAGGCAAGAAACAGACTATCCTCCAGAGCCTCCAGAGAAAGCACAGCCCTGTCAGCTCCCTGCTTTTGGACTCTGGGCCTCCAGAACTGTGAAAAAGTCCATTTCTGTTGGTTAAGCCATCAGGTTTATGGTTATTTGTTACCAGAGCCACAGGATATGAATACAGATACCCTCACCCTCTGACACAGATATTAGCTAGGATGCTCAAAATGTGTTTTTACTTTAAGCCTTGACCCAAACATTCCTCCTCCCTGTAGAGTTCCCATATCGCTTCAGCTGAAAGCAGTTTTGCTGTACTTGCTGGGTATGAGGTCCACCTGGCACCTTAGGTATAAACTTGTGGATCTCTTTTACGCATTGTTAAGCGAGACACTAGGCTAGGAAACATGAGAGATAAGAGTTAGTGTTCAAGAACTAATACAGGAAAAAAGCTTTGGAAGATTCTACTCATTGAATTGGTATCTAATGTGCTCATGAAACTTCAGGGCCACAAACTCTGAAGGGACTATTTATAAGATTTTTCCTTCTGGGACTGTCATGATGGAGTCAGGTTCATTAGGCACTGCTCAGGGACTGGAATGTCAGCAACCAGAAGTTAGCAGGTGGAGCAAGCCCCACTGTGTTCACTTTGCCTCCCCTGAGTCCCGACTGCTGGGCTCACCAATGCACCCATACTCAGGCTCAGCTCTGTTCCTGCTACTGAGTTGATTGTAACCAAAGCAAACAAATCATCAACAGCCTCAGCTCAATCTCATCAGGACTGGAAATGAATCTAGCCTGCCAGACTCTGTGGCATAGCTTCAACAGCTGAGCATCTGCCTGCGCTCTCAAATCTCCAACCAGATTCCAGACCGGAGCCACTCGTACTCTTGGAGTTGGTGCAATTCATAAAGCTGAACATTTGGCCAAGATTTTCTCCTCTGTTTGCTTTCCCCCCAGCCAAATTCCACAGTCCCTCTAAAGGCCTGGATCCTGCCCTGAACTGAGACTTCACTGGTGGTTGGGGCAGTGGTATTTCCTCTAGAGTCCATTTGTTCTTTTTACGGAGATAGATCCTAGTTCTGTGCCTTCAATCTGCTAGCCATGTGTGTTAGTCAGGGTTCTCCAGAGAAACAGAACAAATAAACTGCAAATATAGAGATCTATAAAAGGAGATTTATTGTTGGAATAGGCTCAGGTGATTATGCAGGCCAAGGCATCCCATAATCTGCCATCTGCAAGCTGAAGAGCTAGGAAATTCAGTTCAAGTCCAAAGGCCTAAGACAGGGGAACTGATGCTATAACTTCCATTCCAAGGAGTCTGAAGGCCCAAGAACCAGGAGCTCTGATGTCTGAGGGCAGAAGATGGATGTCACAGCTCATAAAGAGAAAGAACAAATCCACCCTTCCTCCTCCTTTTTGTTCTATTCAGGCCCTCAAGGGATTGACTGATTGCCACCAACACTGGTGAGGTTGATCTTCTTTTTTTAGTCTATACAGTCAAAGACTCATCCCTCTGGAGACACCTCACACACATACCCAAAAAGAATGTCTGACCAGCTATCTAAGCATCCCTTAGCCCAGTCAAGTTAACACATACAAGTATCGCACAAGGCTCCTGCCAGACTGTCTGACTTTTGGACTTAGGGATTCTAGCCATCCATGCCTCCTGCTTCATGGAGTAATGGTCTGTAAACATCACTTGAGCAGCCATGCCCTTTGACTAAGTAGTGGAGACTGTAGTCTCAGCCAGTGAGAGCAACTGGGTAGCTTCCACAGTTACCTACCCTGCGTCAGCCTCCTTTTCCTGACATTGACTTCTGAGCACCAGTGCGCCTCCCTTGTAAACCTGCCAAGTCTCTATACCTAGGCCCATCTCATCTCCAACAGATCCACTTCTTCGTGGTGGTTAAGAACATGGAGTAAGGGGGTCTCCTTCGATGTGTTACTTCACCTGAGAATGTTTCAACTTCTCTAAAATGGGTATAACTACAGAACATACCATCCAGAGATGTTGGAAAGATTGAATTTGATTCTGGCCATAAAGTATGTTCTCTATGAGGCACTGTGCTAAGTGATCTATCGGGGGGAACCAGCCCCCGATATTCAACATGGGTCCTTTTCTATTTTCCCTAAGTGTCAGTCAGTCTGAGAAATAAAGGGAAAGAGTACAAAAGAGAGAAATTTTAAAGCTGGGTGTCTGGGGAAGACATCACATGTCAGCAGGTTCCGTGATGCCCCCCAAACTGCAAAACCAGCAAGTTTTTATTAGTGATTTTCAAAAGGGGAGGGAGTGTATGAATAGGGTGGGGTCACAGAGATCACACGCTTCACAAGGTAATAAAATATCACAAGGTAAATGGAGGTGGGGCAAGATCACAGGACGGGGCAAAATTAAAATTGCAAATGAAGTTTCGGGCATGCATTGTCATTGACAACATCTTATCAGGAGACAGGGTTTGAGAGCAGACAACCAGTCTGATCAAACTTTATTAGGCAGGAATTTCCTCATCCTAATAAGCCTGGGAGCGCTATGGGAGACTGGGGCTTATTTCATCCCTTATCTACAACCGTTAAGAAAAAAAAAAAAAAAAAAAACAGACGTTCCCAAAGTGGCCATTTCAGAGGCCTCCCCTTAGGGATGCATTCTCTTTCTCAGGGATGTTCCTTGCTGAGAAAAAGAATTCAGTGATATTTCTCCTATTTGCTTTTGAAAGAAGAGAAATATGGCTCTGTTCCGCCCGGCCCACAGGCAGCCAGACTTTAAGGTTATCTCCCTTGTCCCCTGAACATCACTGTTATCCTGTTCTTTTTTCAAGGTGCCCAGATTTCATATTGTTTAAACAATTTGTGCAGTTAACACAATCATCACAGGATCCTGAGGTGACATTCATCCTCAGCTTACAAAGATGATGGGATTAAGAGATTAAAGTAAAGACAGACACAGGAAATCACAAGAGTATTGATTGGGGAAATGATAAGTGTCCATGAAATCTTCACAATTTATGTTCAGAGATTGCAGTAAAGACAGGAGTAAAAAGTTATAAAAGTATTAATTTGGGGAACTCATAAATGTCCATGAAATCTTCACAATTTACGTTCTTCTGCCATGGCTTCAGCCGGTCCCTCCATTCGGGGTCCTTGACTTCCCGCAACAGTGATCAATATATATAATGTTTCTGTTGGTTTCTCCAAAACATAAGCAGTCTGGACACTCGAAAAGTAATTTGTTGTCTATCAAAAACTGCAATCCCACTTTGGGAGGCCGAGATGGGTGGATCGCTTGAGCCTAGGAGTTTGAGACCAGCCTGGGCAACATGGCGAAACCCCATCTCTACAAAAAAATAAACCAAAAAAAATAACTAGGTGTGGTGGCATGCATCTGCAGTCCCAGCTACCCGGGGGGCTGAGGTGAGAGGATCACTTGACCGACGAGTCAAAGGTTGCAGTGAGCCAAGATTGCACCACTGCACTCCAGCCTGGGTGACAGAGTGAGACCCTGTCTCAAAAACAAAACAAAAACTATAATCCTTTTTCTCAGCTAATCTTTAGAATTTTCATGAAAAAGCATATAAAGCTACTTTTCTGGGGAAATACAGGTTACTGAAACACAGACGGTACATAAATGGAATAAAATATAAAGTTTTAGACACAGAAAAATGTTTTTTACTCTGTCACTGAGTGTTTGGTGCAGGGTTTCCACCCCTCAAAATAGAACCAATACAAGCATCTGTCTTTGGTCCATTTTAACATTCCTTTATGAAGAGATGGTTTCTATGCTATCATAAGCTCCTTTAAGTTGCAGGCAAAAAAGAAAGGCATGACATGTTAGTTTCAGACTTAAAAGAAGCAGAGATGTTCTCAGGATCTGTACTGGGCTGTAAACCTAATTCCAGATGTAGTGTGATGTGGTGTCTGAAAGTGAAGCCAAGAGGGGCTTTCTGGTTTATGTGATAACTGCCCTCTGGTGGGAGAGGCTAGAATTTTACTGATGAAAGACTGGTTCTTTAATAATAACTGAGATTCTAAACAAATAATTCTTATTCTTCTTGTCTTTTGACTTTATTTTCCAAATAAAGATCCCCATATACTGAGTCCATTTCACTATTTGGTCTGACTAGCTTTTAAATTACTTGTATTATATGGGGTGGGAGGTGGCAGGCTTGGGGAAACAAAAATTTCTTTAATGCCTAGAATCTTATTCCCTATTTGGAAAATTTTTGAAGGGTAAACGTTGAACCCAGGCTTTCTGATTGGAAGCTACAAAGCACAAATTATGCTGGTTCTTTCTACATGCATATTCTGAAAGAGGCATCTTATTAGTATGATGAAAGAAACCTTTTTTAAGGGACATAAAGACCTAAATTTGAATCCTCACTCTGCCTTTCACCATCTGCTTGATCTAGGGCAAGTCACGATCTCCCTAAGCCTTCATTTCTTCTTCACCAGTAAAATAAGGAAAATATGTGTATCTCTTAGGTTGCTTTGAGTGTTAGAAAAGAGACGTAAAACAGTAGAGCCTGGCACATAGTAAATGTTCAATACATGTTAGATATTATTATTTATAGTATGTAACAGGATGCAAACTCTTTGGAGAAAAAGCTGACCCACTTCAATTCCATTATGGCTATTTTTAAAAGAATAGCATGTAGCATTGCCCACATTTCTTTAAATATTAGTCAAAGCCATGGCAAATATTAGATGTTACTGGATAACTACACAAGCCACAATTTCTACACAGATGAGGTTCAGACCAAGCTAGCACTTGGGAAGGAATGCACTAAGACTTCCCTATCACACTAGAATTACCTTTATCAGCTGTGATCAAATGATATTTATTCTTTTTCTGCAATTTACTTTTAAGCCCTTTGGTGATATTAACATTACTTTTTAGTTGCTGAGCTACTAAGCTTGAGAAACTCAAGTCTGCTTTTTAACCTGAGGGAAATTCCAAGGAAATACTTGCTATGGCTTGCTCAGAAGTGGTTCTTGGGGCTTTAGGAGTTATTTTTCCACAACATAGTTTAACTGAGAGATCAGATAAGGACGTCAAGATAAAGAAAATGTAGAATTGGAGATACTAGGGCAGAGAGTAGAGGGAAGAACTGGCAATCAAAGGCAAAGGTAGGAGACAGGAGTCCTAATGAGTCTCCTAACACCGGGTAGATGACCAAAACCTCCATGAACCCCACTTCTCAGCTGGAAAATAGGGCAAGGGACTGAACTACATTTACAAAGTCCCTTCCAGGTTAAAAAAAAATGAAGAAAAAAGAAAAAATCCACTTGAGTATCATGTTAATTACACATAGCCTGCCAAAGTGTTCTCAAAAACATTATCATTTTATTCTGTGTGCACCCACTCCCCAGCCCCAGCAACTCCCTTTCCATTCATTTCATACCACCAGCCAGGGTTGCCTTTTCTCCAGCACTAAAGACTGGCAGAGGGGCAGGTGATTCAGAAGCACTTTGTTTTTTCTTTGAGACAGGGTCTCACTCTGTTACCCAGGGTGGAGCGCAGTGGCACAATCACAACTCACTGCAGCCTTGACCTCCTGGGGTCAGGTGATCCTCCTGCCTCAACCTTCCAAGTAGCTGGGACCACAGGTGTGTACCACCATGCCCGGCTAATTTTCTTTTTTATTATTTATAGAGACCAGGTCTCACTATGTTGCCCAGACTGGTCTCAAACTCCTGGGCTCAAGTAATCCTCCCTCCTTGTCCTCCCAAAGTGCTGGGATTATATAAATGAGCCACTATGCCTGGCCCATAAGCACATTTTTATCTGAGGACCCTGCCATCAGATATGAGGAGTTAATTAATTGGAGGGAAGGCATTTGTCCTTGGGATGTTATAAGGGAGATTCTTGTCATTTCCCCACACTCTTGAAAAACCCATCTTGTATGCCCCCTTGACTGAAAGCCTGATCCAATAGCACTATGGCCCTGGCATGCGGCCCCAACCCCTGTCCAGTGAGTGGACCCAGGGCGGACCCTTGACCGGAGATTTGGAATTGAGATTCTGAGACTTTAGGCCCTTATTGGGGCATGAATTAGGTGTGCATTAGGCCCTTTAACTGAGGTCTGCATGGAGTTCAGGCGGCTATTTCCTGCCATAGGAAGGCCAAAGCAGGGCAGACCACACCAGCCTTCATGTTGGCCTCACTGTCCTGGCTCTGTAGCGAGCAGCAGAAACAGGGCATCCCACAGCTTCGGGGAGAATAGTTGCCTTAGAACTAGGAATTGCCCAGAAACCAAAAAATTGCCAAGAGCCAATTCCCAAGCCATTATCTGCCCCTGTGCTCTGGGAAGTAACACTTATATCACTGGGATACAGTTCTGTTTATTTCTAAAGCTGGACTGAATAGGTTTCTGTTAGCCTTTAAAGAGCAAATACATACTGGCAGAAGAGCATGAAGAAATTTATTCTCGTGCTCAAACCCCAAAAAGCTCATGACTTGAAGTAATAACCCTCAAATAAAGACATTTCAGACACCAAGATGAGCTATTGGAAACATATTTTAGGGCTGAAGGGTCTTCTTGGGGTCCTTTAAGTCCACAGGCAGCTTCCTGTGCTATCTTCCTGGTTTCGGTGGGAATTCTAGAGGAACATGCTTGGGCAGGCTCTTTATGTCCTTTGCAAAGCAAACAGGAACTAAGATCTAAGATCTCATACATGAAAAGAAGTGAAACTCAAGGTGGTATTTTTATAGCCTAGACTTTGAAAAAGCTGTCTTTGGAGGCCCTTCTGGAGGAAGAATGAAGGCTCATGCAGCTGATGCAATCTGCTCCATGCTCACAGCCCATCTGCTATTCGGGGTTTTTGTTTTTTGATTTTTGCTTTCTTTGTCATTCCACTGTTTGAGATACGATCTCGCTCTGTTGCCCAGGGTGGAGTACAGAAGCACAGTCACTCCGTGCTACAGTAGCACAGAGGCTCACTGCAACCTCAAACTCCTGCGCTCAAGTGATCCTCATTCCTCAGCCTCCCAAAGAGCTAGGATTCACCACACCCGGCCCCATCTGCTGTTCAAGTCTCAATGACAGGTGGCCTTGCGTGATGATCAAGAACATAAGATACGGTCACCTGGGTTCAAATCCTGACTCCACTCTCAACCTGGACAAGTTACTGAATGCCCACCTCGCTGTGTTCTTTTAAGATCAAAAGAGACCATGTATGGAGTATCCAGTGGGTTCCAGACACTATTCTGCATAGTTTTACATGAAAATGAAAGCTAGCATGTATGCACGTAGAGTACCTTAGCTTATTGATCACAAGAGGAGTTAGAGAGACCACTAAGAAACTGGGGCTTGTGGGGTGTGGACACATGCACAACCCATGCGTGGTCCTACGATTCTAGTACCCAGGACCAGCAATGAAGGGAGTTAATTAAAATTCATTTTAGAAACTCACAACCTGCAACAATTTCTCAGTAACAATCAAATTAAAAACCCTAATGATGTGTTTACCACTACAGATGCTCCTCGACTTAGGGGTTATGTTCTGATAAACCCAGCATAACTTAGATATATCATAAGCCAAAAATGCGCTTAGTATATCTAACCTACCAAACATCATAGCTTAGCCTAGCCTAGCTTAAATGTGTTCAGAACACTTACATTAGCCTGCAGGTAAGCTAAATCAGCTAAATCAACACAAAGCCTATTTTATAGTAGAGTGTTAAATATCTCATGTAAGAATATCATACCACATATAGCTTGCCTGGGAAAAGATCAAAATTAAGCTGGGTATGGTGGCTGGAACTTGTAATCCCAGCTACTTGAGAGGCTAGGTCAGGAGGATTGCTTGAAGTAAGGAGTTTGAGATCAGCCTGAGCAACATAGTGAGACCCTATTTCTTTTTTATAAAAAGGAAAAAAACCCACAAAATTTAAAATATGGTTTCTACTAAATGTGTATCAATTTTGTACTATCATAAAGTCAAAAAATCGTAAGTTGAAGTTGAAAAATCATGAGTCTGGGACTGTCTGTATATGTGTCAGACAGGGGTCCTCACAGTGGAATATTCTGATGATGTATTTTTCTAAGCCCCAAAGCAAGATGTACTATCCAGTGGCAATCTCATTGGCTTTATAGATGGAAAGATGCAAAGTCAACAGGCATGTCTCCTACAGTGAAATATTATGTCCGAACGCTAGCACAGAGTAAACACTTAAGTGTTTATTTCTTTCCCTTCCTTCTACAAAACATTAACTTAACCGTGTCACCATCTAGGGTTGCAACAATCTAGCCATCTCTTAACTACCTCCTTGTGATAATATCTTGGTAGTTACAGCATGTGCTTTTATGAAATGTATTACCTTCATTTCTTACAACACTGTACAACACTTCTACTGACCTCTAGAGAACTATAGACTTTTATACTTTCCGACCTCTAGAGAACTATAGACTTTTAGACTTTACTGCCTTCAAGACTGCATCTTCCGCAACCAACTTATCCTTACAACTTCACCGCATGCCTCTTCCCCTTCCTACCTTCCCTGCAAACAAGCCTGTGTGCACACACTTGACCTTTACCTGCTGAGACTTTTTTCTAGATTTCCAAAAGGCCATCCCTTTCAAGCTTTCATGCGTTTGCATTTGCAGTTCCTTTTTCTGTATGGAAAATTCCTGTCAGACTATACTGTTTCCTCTTCTGAGAAGCCTTCCCCAACTCAATCAGATAGAGCTAATCACCTCACCCTCTATGCTTGCAAAATGCTTTTAGGTTATCCACAAAGCTGTTCTGTTCCAGGTCACTGTTCCTGACCTCTGAGGCAGGGACAGGATCTTATACCATCTTGGAAATAACTGCTTTCGAGGAGACTTGAATGTGTCAGTCATGTTCCCAGCAGGGAATACGGCATCTGCAAACTGAGAAATTGAAGAAGGGTTCAAAATATAGACTATTTACAAAGGTGGGCAGAATCTAGGAGAAACACAGGGATAATGCAGTGTCTCCAGGGCCAGCAAGAGCAGGGAGTTTTGGCCTGAAGAAGCCAAAGAGAGAAGGTAGCCACTTGAACCCATAGTAAGAAATATATATAGAGAGGGGTCCACATAGCAGGACCAGAAACCCTTTGCAGAGAGAAATAGACAACCCCCTGTGGACTGACAGGTGAGGAGTTGAGAATATACTCTGACCTCATGCTCTACCTGCTGCTTTCCATTGGCCAAGCCCATCAGGAACCTGTGGCAACGGGCCCATTGATGTAATCCTTATGGCTAGTCTCCCTGAGCACAGAGCAGAGGGAGAGTAGCTTGGGAGGGTCAACGGGAGACAGCCAGCACTGTATGCATAGTGACAAGTTTTTTGCACACTATATAAATGCTCAAACAGTAGCTTTTAGACCCAGCAGTAATAAATCAACCACATATTAGAGATATTTAGCAAAATGATCCCAAGGTGGGTTCCCTGGGCAGCGGACTCGAGATGGTTACCAGCATGCAGGAGACACATTTGGGGTCAGCTCCTGTGGGAGAGAAGGGAATGAAATCTGTCTCGCTGTTTCTCTGTCCAAATGACCCAAGGGTCTCAATCAGAAAAGATTCCAGCCTTGAATCCCAATGATGAAATGTATTTACCCTGGTCCTTTTCTGGGCCCCAAAATAACAGTCATTTGGGGTCCTCCATTTTTATCACCCCCCAAAAAAACCCCCATACATATTACTAGTTTCCCCATTTCCCTACCACCACCCTACATAAATGCCCACATTCTCCACACTTGCCAGCACAAATGGAGTGGAGCATGCATTCTCAATAAGGGAAATATCAGCCCCTACGGGGCAAAAATTGTCCTGGCAGGGTGGGGCGGGGTGAAAGAATGTAGTTATTACATAGTACAAGAAAAGATGTACAGAGTATCTGGGAGAGTGAAATTTCATGAACTGAGGGGTGGGAGGGATGAAACTTGGGGGGAAAAAAGTCTAAGATGGCACACAATGCCACCTGAAAATTTCATTGTGACTGCATAGCACTTCCCAGTGACCCAGCAGGCACAAGCAACACTTCCAGCTGCAGCTTCAGGCATCATCTGCAGGACCTCCCAGGTGTCTGAGTGACAAAGCTTTCCTCTGTTGTACTCCCCTGAATAGGTGCTTATGAGGCCAAACCATAACACACAACATTGTAGCCAATGTGAAGGGGCTAAAACTGACCAAACCTTTCACCTGACCTCATTAAACCCTGGACTCTTGCTTTTAGACACCCCAAAAGATGTACCAGGCTCACCTGATATCTTCCATGCCTCAAACTTGGAATAAGCCATTACCGCTAAGGAGCCCAGGATCTTTTTAATGGGGAACGGTACTAAGAGACCTCAATCTATGGGCTAGGGCCATTTCTATGAACTGCAGTGGAATATATACACACTAATTTTAGAACATTTTCATCACCCCCAAAAGAAAACCTTATACATATTACCAGTCATTCCCCATTTCCTCACCATCACCCTACATGAATTTTTATTTCAGTTTTGGATTGTTTTGATTTGTTGAATGTGGCGTGAATGAACACAGCCTAGTTTTAGAATGAGTTTGTTTCTGGGAGAATTGCAGGGTGACATAAAAGAGGACACAACACAATTCATTGCTGCCCAGGGGCCATTATCACTTACTACCCATTGCTGTCTGACCTATCAGAAGAATGTGCTCTTCACTGAATAAAAGGCAGCACGAGGTAAATAGCTTTGGAGTATCTTCCCAGCTCACACGGCCCTTCCTTAAGTGAACTACTCCTACCTTCTCAACCACACCAGTGGACCCCCAGAAGCTACTTTATACAACATGGAATCATGCCCCTGGCCACAGTTGATAATACCAGGGTTGAACATCCCATCCAAGTTAGGCCAGAGCTCTTCCTTGGTAATTTAGAGAATCCAAAGGGAAGAGACTGTTAGAGAGAAGAGGTAAGATAGAAGAGAAGAAGATTTTTTCAGTTTTCCAGCACTTAAACTGAGTCCATTTGTGGTAGGCAGAATTCTAAGAGTCCAGCCCTGGTATAGACCTGTATAATACCTACCCTTGACAGTGGAAGGATCTGCAAATATGAAACATCACTCCTATAACTTACTATGTTATATATATACATATATTTTTGAGACAGAGTCTCACACTGTTGCCCAGGCTAGAGTGCAATGGCACGATCTCCGCTCACTGCAACCTCTGCCTCCCAGGTTCAAGCAATTCTCCTGCCTCAGCCTCCCGAGTAGCTGGGGTTACAGGTGGCTGCCACCACGCCCGGCTAATTTTTTGTATTTTTAGTAGAGATGAGGTTTCACTATGTTGGCCAGGCTGGTCTCAAACTCCTGACCTTGTGATCCACCTGCCTCAGCCTCCCAAAGTGCTGGGATTATAGGCATGAGCCACCATGCCTGGCCAACTTACTATGTTATATGACAAAAGGTGTGTTCTAGATGTAATGAAGGCCTTAAATCAGTTGATTTGGAGTTAAAAGGAATATAATCCTCACTGAACTTCACTTAATGGGGTGAAAACCTTTAAAAAGCAGCAGAGAGAGTCTCTTAACTGCTCAAGAAAGAAAGCAAACAGCCCTGGGTGACTGTCTGTGGAGAGAAGTGGCCTGCAGGAGTGGAGGCCTCAGTCCTGTGACCTCAAGGAACTGCATTCTGCCCACAAACAAGCTGAATGAGCTTGGAAGAGGGCCCTGAGCTCCAAGTGAGAACCAGCCCCCGCTGACACATGCAATGCAGCCTTGAAGAGACTGTGAGATTATAAATTTGTGTTCTTCTCAAGCCATTACGCTTTTGGCAATTTGTTACACAGCAATGTGTAATAATATGCCATTCCCAAAGCCTCATTGGGTTGGGTTCAAAAAAACCAAACAGCTGAACATGCTTCCTCACTAAATTCTTCACTTTTTACCTGAGCTAGTTAACAGTAGTTTATTTCAACCGGAAAGTCCTAATATGGTTTTTGGTACATTATTCCAAAGAAAGAATAATTAGTTAATGCTGAAAATACCAACCCACTTGAATGCCTTTACATATTTCTATTGACACATTTCCCTCCCCTCTGCCTCATATGATGGATGATATAAATATGAATAGAATGGATAACAAGAATCTTGGAAAAATTCTAAGGGTTGGATGTGGGGAGGGGAGCAGAAGACAGTGCTTATCATTGAAGCAATTAAACCTAAAGTCAGACATGATTATCTTAATACTTTTGAACAGAAGTATGCTTTCTGCTAATGAGGTTACAAAAACGAAAAAAAAAACTTTTTTTTAAAAATATGCTTCTTGGCCGGGCGTGGTGGCTCATGCCGGTAATCCCAGCACTTTGGGAGACTGAGGCGGGCGGATCACCTGAGGTCAGGAGTTCGAGACCAGCCTGGCTAACATGATGAAATCCTGTTTCTACTAAAAATACAAAAAATTAGCCAGGCGTGGTGGCACTCACCTGTAATCCCAGCTACTCAGGAGGCTGAGGCAGGAGAATCACTTGAACCTGGGAGGCAGAAGTTGCAGTGAGCAGAGATTGCACCATTGCACTCCAGCCTGGGCAACAAGAGCAAAACTCTGTCTCAAAAATAAATAAATAAATAAATAAATAAATAAATAAATAAATAAAATATGCTTCTTCGTGGCTCTACATGCTAGAGAGGACAAAATAGTGAATATATTACTCTATTTGGTGCCCTCTGACCTTCAAATTTTATCCAACATAATAATGACAATATCTTTAGGTGCAAATGTCTAGCTCATCCTCTTAACCATAGCAGTGGCCCCAGGGATCATTTTGTAAAACTGAACCCACTCTCCTGGGCCAGAACTGTATGGTAATTTGGAGGACAGATACACACAGACTCTACTACAGGTAAATGCTCTACATAGATGTTCACAGTGAGGGAACTTTTGGGTCTTGGTGGCTGTGGCAGCCATAGAGATGCACCACTGCTCAGCTCTTCCTTCAGGAAAGGAGTGGAGCTGGGAGGTGCGAGAGCGGAGTTAGCTGACGGCCTCCAGCTGTTAGTGCCTTCAGAATCTGCTTCAATTTTTGAGCTGGAGCCATACTTCTTCTAGGCAACCCCCAGCTAATGACTAAGCACCACAGAGGTCCTAGAGCCTGGACATTTCTCTCCAACATGGAACACCTCTAGCAAATCATCTTTTTGCTCTGGAGTTCCCCATTGGCTTGGTCTGAATTTTGTCATGTCCACATCATGATCTGAGACTCACTTGCCCAATCCTGATTCCTCCCGCTTTCCTTTAATAGGTGTCCAGTATGCATCATGGTGTGAAGACTTTCCCTGTCCAGTTACCTTCCTCTTCCTCTTCTCTTTCACAGGGATTACATCTCAACAAACCTCATGTGCTCCCAGCTCCATCTCAATGTCTGCCTCACAGAGGACCCAGCTAACTCAGTGGCCATACTTGGGCATGCATGGGAATGGAGAAGAGGAAAACAATCTATATAAAGAGAAGAATGAAGCATACACTGAGGAAAGAGAGAAAGAGAGAGAGAGCGAGCAGGAGAGAGTGGGGGAGAGAGAGGGAGGGAGAGAGATGTGACGATATCTGACTGCTATTTAATCCACAAGTTCCATGGGACACTTATTAGTAAATTTCCATTTTTTTTCCTTCAGTTAACTTAGGCTTTTTTTTTTTTTTCTGGTCACAAAGATAAGTAATTAATCCATATTTGACACCCTCTTCAAAAAAAGTGGGGGTGGGGAGCAGGGGATTAGGGCCACAGAACCGTCATCGGAATTGTACCCCTTACATAGCTCCAATATGTAACCCCAAACCACCCACCATCCACACCATTATGTCTGAATGAGATGGAAAAACACCAAGAAAATTCCCCTAAGTCAGATGGAGGAAGGACCACGTGGAAGGAGACAATTAACACTAATTGAGATAATCTTCTTATAGTATGGAAAACAAGAGCAACTACAGCTAATAAAATTAACCAAAAAAGTATATAGGTTTAACTTTGAAGCAATTACAAATGTGCTATCTTTTTTAAAACGTGCTTCATTGGCTCCTTATGTAGGCGGCAGAGGGGAGAGAATGAAAAGATATCTGTTTGGTGGCCTCTAACACTGAAATATATTTTGGCAGCATACATTAATTGAATACCTACTATGTGTCAGGTCTGGAAAAAGCACTGAATACTAGGATAAAACATTCATCTCTTAAAAGTGCTCAGATTATTGCAAGAGACAAATAATAAAAAAGAAGTTTAGAGATAAACACTCAGAATAAAATTCCCTTTATCTGGGTCATATCAGTTTTTAATAAAGAAAAGTAGTATCCAGGCACAAGAGAAGCTCCCCAGTTACTGAAGCATTGGAACTATAAGAAAATTGCCATTTTTCAAAAAAGAATGGAAATTATTTGAAAATTAGGCACAGTTTGAAGTGAGGAAGAGAAATAGCATCTTAAATGTAACTGCCAAGATGTAGCAAAAGAAGGGTAAGATGGATCCAGCACCAATGTCAACAGGAAAGCTCTCTGAGCCATTAATTCTAAAGAACACATCTCCCAAGAACATTAGTTTTCAGCCCGGCCTAACAGATTCCTCCTGAATAGTGTATGTGGGCTGCCCGGCTGGTGAGGTGTCCTTAGAACCTGAGCCCCTGCAGTGGACATCTCCATGTCTGTTTCCTTCCAGCTTTACAACCAGAGGCCATCATGTAGCCACCAAGGTCTGCCTCCCTTGGCTGTGTTTGAATTCCCTCTCAATTTCTGTTGATTAGCGTGGTAAGAAGCTACCAAGATGTTTCCCAAGGATCCCAGATTCCTGGTACTTGCACCCTTAGTAGTGCTGTGCCATATTGAATAAAGCCGACCTATGTAACCAATAGGATATTGCAGAAATGCCCATGTGTGGCTTCTTAGGCTAAGTTACAAGAGACATGGAAGTTTTTTTACCTTATTTTCTTCAGTCTCTTCCTCTGAGGCAAGGCAGCCACCATCTTGTGAGGGTACTCGAGCAGCCTGTGGAGAGGCCCACATGAGGAGGAACTGAGGTTTCCTGCTGACAATAAGCATAATGTAAGCAAACTGTCTTGAAAGGGGATCTTTCAGCCCCAGTCAAGCCCTCAGATGACTGTTGCCCTGGACAACACCTTGACTGTAACTTCAAGAAAGACCCCAAGCCAGAATTATCCACCTAAGCCACTATTCAATGTCTGTTTCACAGAAATTGTGTGAGGTAGTATTTAGCATTGTTTTAAGCAGCTAAGTTTTGGAATGATCTGCTATGCAGCAAGAGATAACTAACACAGATATCGGGTACCTGAATGTGAGGCACTATCCTAACAAAACCTCAAATGTGGCCTCAAACAATCCTCCCGCTTCAGCCTTCTAAAGTGCTGGGATTAAGAGTGTAAGCCACTGCCCGGCCTCCTGTGGTTTTGATGGCAATTTCCTTACCTCCCTTTAATCCCACACTGGCAGCCTAGTGAATGTCTATCAGGCTTCTACTATCAGTTTGTTCAACATGTTATGCTTTCACTAACACTCTCCTCAAAGTCTTTCCAGCTTCCATTCATTTCCTCATTCCAAAGCCAAAGCCAAAACAAACAAATAAACAAAAACAAAAAAATGAAAGGAAAGAGGATCCTTGTTATATAGTGGTAGAAAATTTAGCAACACCGTCCCCTTCAGTAAGGTGGAGGTAGCATGGATTGGGTGATTTTGTTTTTTGGTGTGTGTGTGTGTGTGTGTGTGTGTGTGTGTGTGTGCGTGTGTTGAGACAGGGTCTTGCTCTTTTGCCCAGGCTGGAGTGCAGTGGCACAATCACAGCTCACTGCAGCCTTGACCTCCCAGGCTCAAGTGATCCCTTCCACCTCAGCCTCTTGAGTAGCTAGGACCACAGGCAGATGCCACTACACTCAGCTAATTTTTTAAATTTTTGCAGAGATGAAATCTCCCTATGTTCCCAGGTTGGTTACAAACTCCTGGGCTCAAGCAATCCTCCTGCCTTGGCCTCCCAAAGTGCTGGGATTACAGGTGTGAGCCACTGTGCCCAGCCTGGACTGGGTGACTTTGAACAGGATTGTCTACAACTATAGACATCCTATATTTTTCCTCCCATTGCATGTTGTGTGTGATGAGGGTAGGTTACTTGTTTCTTTAATTGGCAGGTCTTCAGATGAAGGAGAATGGTATTCAAGGAGCTAAACTTAAAGAACTGCTCTTAAGAAATCTCATCCAAGGAGTCTTGTGCTTGATTTATATAGCAAGATTTTGGATGTTCAGCAGGTATTGTAAAGGGATTAGACTTTTGGGGTCATGAGGGGAGGTGAGAGTATTTTGTATGTGGTAAGGAGGTGAATCACTGGGGGACCAGAGGACATTCTTTGGTAGCCCAGTCATGCCCACCTCCTGGTATTCATGCCCTTGTGTAGTCCCCTCTCAAACTGAGTAAGGTTGACCCATATAACCAGCAAGATGTCATAGAAATGATGATCAGTGACTCCTGAGGCTTCCGTAAGAGACACTGTGCATTCCTCCTTGCTCTCTCTTATGTCACTCATGATGGGGGACACCAGACATTGTGTCATAACAACACTCCAGCATCCCATGGAGAGACCCACATAGGTAGGAACTGAAGCCTCCTTCCAACAACCATATGGATGAACTATTTTGGAAAGGGATCCTCCAGTCCCAGTCAAGTCTTCAATGACTGTAGCTCTGGTGACATCTTTTTGTTTGTTTTGTTTTGTTTTGTCTCTCACTCTGTCACTCAGGCTGGAGTGCAGTGGCACTATCACAGTGCACTACAACCTCAGCCTCCTGGGCTGAGGCGATCCTCCTGCCTCAGCCTCCCAAGTAGCTGGGACTACAGGCATGCACTACCACACTTGATCATTTTTTTTTTTTTTTTTTTTGTAGACATGAGGTCTCAAAGTCCCCTGGTGGCATCCTAACTGCAACCTCATGAGAACCTGAGACAGAACCACTGGGCTAAGCCACTATTAAATTTCTGACCCACAGAAACTGGGATAATAAAAGTTTATTACTTTAAACTGCTAATTGTTGAAGTAATTTGTTACATAGCAATTGATAACTACAGCAGTCTGGGTTTTTGTTTGTTTGTTTGTTTCATACCATCATTACTCCTTTCCTTCTATCTACCCACCAAATGTGTTGTAATAAAAATATTTTTTAAAGTCATTATTGATATAATATTGGAAAGAATGATTCCTCCATTTCTCTGATCACACTAAATAGTTTCTACTCATCTGTGCCTGAAGAAGATTAAAGAGGCATAGTAGGTAAATTCCATAAAATTACTTTTAAGTGGTCAAAGAGGAATGACAGCCAGCACTGTCATTCCAGCCACATGGAAAGCAGAAACTAACAAAGCACCTCAGTCAATGCAAATCAGCAGACAAAATGAGATCCTATTTAAGGAAATCATGTTTTCAGATTAAACTGCTCAGAAGGAACTGGCCTTAAAAATCAGGTTTGCTTTAAGTATTGTCAAGTTAAATAAATAATGCAGAAACAGAACAGCTGTCATTTTGGGAGCAAGACCAGACTCTTCCAGCCAAGAAGAAGGTGGCTGTGTCACCCATCCATTCCAACGCTGATAACATGTTCTACCCAGGGGCTCAGATTCTCTGTATTTCAGTCCATATATTTGTGGACTTGACTGTAACATCATAACGTGTCTTTCTTTCTAGGCTAAAGACATCAAATCTTTTAGGGAAAGGCCTAGATTTGATGAAGGAGAGAGCAGCTCTGATATCAAGTTCCTTGACGACTTGATTAAATGAGCTAACCCATGTGTAGACACATAGGAAGAATGCAATAAATATAAACTATAAAAAAAGGAATGTGATTAAAAGAACTTATGGAATAATAAAATCAACAAAATGGTAATTTCCATGCTATTTCTCTTTAGCACCTTAATGTTATTAAAAGACCCAATGGTTTTTACACCAACTCAATGAATATTTGATGTCTGCTCCCACTTGATTGAAGAGTGGGAACATTGGTGGATATTTTAACTGGCTTTTATTAGAAATGTTTGAATTAAACACACACAAACTTCCCATGCCTATTAGTGGCTCCTTACATGTAGCTTTTCCCTCTCACCTACTCCTGGGACCCTTGACTCTGTTACTTGGGTCCCTTGGAGCATGGCTTGGCCCCCTGCCTCTCTGCTATCACCTCCTTATTTCCTAAACAGGGGAAACTTGCATGTTTTCATTGTCCTTTTTTTTTTTTTTTTGGCTCTGTCTTTTACCTGCTTGAGTTAGAGTTGTCTCACCTATGGATATATTTCTTTTACAACTTCTCTCCTATCAACTCATTTTCTCCTCCTTTTTGTTTCATTTATAATCTAAATACTAATCAAATTGATTATTTTCTTTTTCTCTTTTTATGGCTATGTCTATTAGTAGCATGAAGGATTAGAAGTATATGGGCCATCAACATTTAATGGAATCAAATGTTCTGAAAATGTCTAGAAATTTTCTTCACATCCTTAAATATTTCTAAGACTCTGAACTTCTTCAAAGGAAACCTCTTTTAGTTCAACCAGTGGGATTGTTGGTCAATCAACTGACATACTTTCCATTAGATTGTATTTGTTTTATTCAGTTAGTAGTACTAATTTTACTGTAGTATATACTTTTACAAATGTGGAGTATTTCAACCACTCTGAGTTCAACAAATTTTTGTACATTAGACATTGCAATATTAGAACTTGAAATATATTAAAATAGAAACATTAATTAATTGTATTAGATAACAGTAAATGAACAATTCATTATAGGAAGTATTCCATTTATAACCAGCCTAGGTAACAAATGCTTGGTTATGTCATTGAAATGAACAAATGTTAAATAAGTAAAATTGACATGTAGGAATCCTCACTCATAGAAAAGAGTAATCCTACATATTTTAATCTCAGTACTGGCTCAGGTTGGGTTTTATGAAAGCAGATACTGAGACAAAGTCTGAGGTCCAACTTGTTGATTGGGGATAAACAACTGTGAAAGGAAAGGGAGAAAGAAAGATTGGGCAGAGAGAGAAGTGATGTGGGCCTGACAAGTCTTAGCCACTCCCCTGGGGAGCTCTGGAGCAAGTATTTACTGTTGTGGGTGGATAAGAGGGCAGGTCCTTTATACCCACCTCGCTCAGCCGCCAGATGGACTGCTCATGGAAGGGCAAGGTGCTCTTTGCAGTGGTGGCAGAGTGTGAAGAAGCAGACAGCTGAAACAGTCTGCTGTCACACTGCCTGCAGGTGGACAGCAAGTCCTCCTTGAAAGGGGACCTAGGTGGTGCTTCTCAATGTCTATCACATATGACTTTTTTTTTTTTTTTTTGAGATGAAGTCTCACTCTTGTCACCCAGACTGGAGTGCAATGGTGTGATCTCGGCTCAATGCAACCTCCATCTCCCAGGTTCAAGTGATCCTCCTGCCTCAGCCTCCCAGTAGCTGAGATTACAGGTGCCTGACATCATGCCCAGCTAATTTTTGTATTTTTAGTAGACACATGGTTTCCCCATGTTGGCCGGGCTGGTCTTGAACCCCTGACCTCAGGCGATCCACCCGCCTGGGCCTCCCAAAGTGCTGGGATTATAGGAGTGAGCCACAGCGTCCGACCTGGCATTTTTGAAATTACATTCTAGAGCACCAGCCTTCTACAAAATGTACTGGCAGCGTCCTGAATGTATTTGTCCATGAGGTGCGTATTCACATTCCTCTATCATGGAATCAGACCACATATGTGGGCATATTAAAGTCTTCAAAAAGTCAGTAATCAAACCGGTTTAACATTACTTAACTCATTGGTTACCAGTATTTAACCAGAGGACCTTTTTGGGGAAACTAGTGACATTTCTTGGACCACTAAAAGAAAAAATGCTCTTTAGAACAATGGACTAAGTATCTCAGCTTTCTTTGCATAGAAACTTCACTTCTATCTGATAATAGGAACAATTCCCTGGTTTTGGAAGAAAGGTAAAGTTTTGTTTAACATATTCTCTAAACCTCTAATGAGAAGTCTGGCTTATATTTTCTCCATCTTAATTGCTTTTAAGTGGTAGTAAAATAGAGCAAGTGTGCTAATAACTGCTTTCTGTAACTAATCGCTGTACTTGTAGCTACTGCCTAAAACTTGGTGTTCCAGGAAGAAAGGTACCATAATGCTCACTAGAGCTCCCCAAACCTACACGAATGATCCAGTTCAACACAGGATACTCACACTCACCATGACGCCTGCTGCTTTTCACTTAAAACTTAGAGAAGAGTTAATCACTAGAAGATCATTCATTCAGCTTGCTAAAAGTTGATTTCTCCTGCATCTCTGATCTATATTTGGAGAGTACTAAGAGCACCAAAGTATTGGAGCCACGAAAGAGAAACAAATTTTATGACTTGGTTCAGTGAAGTTGCTAAAGCCATGTTAGTTTTTTGACTGTAACCCAAACATCCCAGACCTCCTATTTTCAAACCTCATGCCCAAGCTGTCTAGTTTGTCTTTAGCCCCACTTTGCCGGATTATTGGCCACCACCTACCCATAGGTGACTTGAGTCTTGAGCAAACCCAATACCCCTTAGGCTTTGGCTTTCCCAGAAATAACCCTGGACATGCAGGGTGGTGTCAGGCACGATTCCTCTTGATGTTATCCTCTGCTCTTCCTGCTGATGTCTGCTGCTCCTAGCTCTTCAGCGAGGCTGCCCCCACTTCCTGAGCACTCCTGGGTTCCACAGCTGCAAATCCCTCCACATGCTGAAGGGGCCATGTGACTTCTGGCCTTATTTCTCCCCAAACACTATATACATGGCATACCACAGAAATAGAGAAAACATCTCTCCAGCTGCTCAGAGGTGACATTTGGCCCTATAAAACTGGAGAAGGCACTGCTTTGTACCCCAGAGTCTCAACAGCTCTTTCAACCACTGCCTAACACCCCTAAATCCAGAAATCAGACCTAGTTTCTGAGGTTGAGCCAGAAAAAAGGGAAATGAAGAAGGTAGTGGTCTTACCACCGTCTTTCCCCTCCAGAGAAATTTCTTCTTTCCCTTTCTTCATGCAAATCACCTATATAATTTGAAGCTATGGGACCAGCAATAACACAACCAGAAGCATAGTGAAGCACAGTGGAGGAATTATACCCCTGCCCACATGGTTCAAAAACAATTTCTTCTCAATGGAAAGAAAAGTCAATTTTTTCTTTTTTTTTCTTTCTTTTCTTTTTTTTTTTTTTGAGATGGAGTCTAGCTCTGTTGGCCAGGCTGGAGTGCAGTGGCATGACCTCAGCTTGCTGCAACCTCTACCTCTCGGGTTCAAGCCATTCTCCCATTCCCCTGCCTCAGCTTCCTGAGTAGCTGGGATTACAGGTGTGTTCCACCATGTCCAGCTAATTTTTGTATTTTTAGTATAGACGGGGTTTCACCATGTTGGCCAGGCTGGTCTCGAACTCCTGACCTCAAGTGATCCACCCACCTTGGACTCCCAAAGTGCTGGTATTACAGACGTGAACCACCGTGTCTGGTCCCCAATATTTTTTGCTTTTGAGGACTCAAAGAGGCTGTTTCCAATAGTTTTTGGAGAAAGGGTGGTTTTTTTGTGGGCATGTCAGCCTGATTTTTCTGTTGATGCCATCCTGCTGCAGGCTGTTGATTCAGAACATTGGATATTCTGTGGCTGATGAGCCAAGTGCCCACTGTGAAGGAGATGATAAACTCATATACAGTGACAGCAACTCAGGATTCTCTTATCAATTCCCTTCCTATCATATAAACCAAGAGAAGTGGCCTATGGGAAAAGTGAGCAGGAAAAACACAATTTAATTTTCAAAGCTTCAAAAGATTAACATGCTACATATTTTTAAAATCCACAACATTAGAAAAAGATATCTGCTTATGCTTCTTGGAAAGAAAGTAGTAACTAAGGTTGACAGTGCCCAGCCTAGAAGTCAGCTGCAGGCAATTCTCTCAAACGCTGACTGGTTTTTGCTTCTCTCTGGGCAAGGGAGCACCAGAGGCTGGCGATACATAGCAGCTTATAAGAAAGGGGAGGCTTTGTGTTAGCCCATCCAATACATGGGCATGGATAGAAAATACCTGGGAAGAAAAGCATGGTGGAAAAGAAATAGATACTAATAGCCCATTAAATCCTTTCTAGTGGTATCTGAAGTGAGTGGAGGCCAAAAAGAGAAACATGACATAAGGGGAAGCCCCTTTGCTGGGGCTCTCAGAAGGCACCAGGCTTCCTAGGATTCTCAGGAAGAGAAGCTCATTAACAGTGTCAGATATCCCAGCTGTAACTTCTAGACATGAGCATCCTCCAACACTGAAGGGTTAAAGGTAAGCAGCCCAATCACTTGTTATCCTGCAATTTCTGTAAACAAAAGCTGATTTTTCTAAAACTTAATGCTAATTTCTACCAAGAAGACAGGAAATATAGCTGACCTCCAAATCTGAAGCTTACCACCTTGCCGTTTCTTATTATGTCTTGTATTATGGCTTCCTATTTCTTTTACACTTCAGTTGGAACTCTGTAAGAGAATGATGTCTTCCGAGTGGCTAAAAATAATTTTGTAGTAATAATAACAGTAGCTAGCTTCTAAGTGCTTAATGTGTTGCTGGCCATATATGAAACTCTTCATTTGCTGCTCTTAGGCTTTACGACGACCTTTTCCAGAATAGAAAATGGAGGCACAGAAAGTTTAAATAGCTTGCTTGCAGGGAGGAAACGTGCAGGGATGGGAACAGTGAAGCCCTACAGTCCATGCTCCTAACCACTGGGCTACACTGTGAAGTGGCTATTTACCCCCAATCTCCAACTACTCCATATAAGATTAGAGAACTCAGCCAGGTGCACTGGCTCATACCTGTAATCCCAGCATTTTGGGAGGCCAAGGCGGGTGGGTCACTTGAGGTCAGGAGTTTGAGACCAGTCTGGCTAACATGGCAAAATCTCGTCTCTACTTAAAATACAAAAATTAGCGGGGTGTGGTGGTGGGCACCTGTAATCCCAGCTACTCAGGAGGCTGAGGTTGGAGAATGGCTTGAACCCGGGAGGTGAAGGTTGCAGTGAGCCAAGGTCATGCCACTGCACTCCAGCCTGGGTGACAGAGCAAGACTCCATCTAAAAAAAAAAAAAAAAAAAAAGATTAAAGGACTATGCCTGGAAGTGCCATGAAAATGGAGGAAAATGCCAGGCGGTTGGCACAGGCATTTCGTGAAAACTTCTAGAAATAAAATAAGGGGGAATGTATGTTTAAAATACACACACAAAACCAATTTTCAGATGGTAAGAGGTGGTTTGAAATAATCAGTTCTGAGTGTGTATTTTAAACTCATATTCCACCCCTGCCACCCATTTTATTTCCAGAAGTTCCCATGAAACGTGTGTGCCAACTGCACTATCACGGTACTTCTAGGCATAGTCCCCTACTCTTACATGGGGTGGGTGGGGACGTGGAGGTGCAAACAGTGAATCAGGAAAAGCAAAACCTACTGGAGCAAATGCCATCTAGAACTAGTTACTTCCATTTTAGATACATTTGAATGTCATTTCATTTTTTTGTCTTGAACAAAATATATTTATTACCTTATAGTCTAGGATGCAATATGGTCCATTAACCAAGTAATTAAAACCAGTTGTGATGAGTTAAGTAAAGGGGACTCACAAAAAAGCAGATGAAAATGCTTAAGACTGTGATATGGCCAGAAGTGAGCTGTGAGGTACAGTGAACAAATTCAAAACTTATTTTTTTTCTCCAATCCTCCTTTTTTGAATTTGAGAAAAAAATGCTAGAAGGAATAAGAAATGGATCATAGATAATTTGTGTAGGTGAAAATGTAATTTACCTCAAATCATTATTATGAGTAAACACTTCTTTGGGGCAACAATATTGTTTTCTCAGAATGTCTGCCAAGTGTGTTGATATTTCTGAAATCCAACCTTAACCTGTCATTTTCTTTCTTTAATTTCCTAGACTCAATATTCCCCTCCACCATCTCTAATTCCCTTCCACCTTATATACGCTGTCTCTCCCTAAAGGGTGTGAAAATGGAATGAGTGCATTCTTCTTTCCTTCTCATTCATATTAAATAATGAACTAAGGAATTTTACGATAAATCATTTATAAAGAAGAAATAGAAACCATATTAATAGCATTTTTTTACCATAAATCTTAATCAGAATGTTAACGCCCGGCAAACATAGATGACATCTAAACTATAAGAAAAACCATGTAAGTTTGCCTGATTTTTTACATAGAAGCAACAAGAATATTACTTTATGATATGGGTCTTCTTAAGTTTACTTTTCTGGAAGTTACCATAGGGATCTCAGATGGACTTTTAAAAGCCTTTATTATTTGCTATTTCAAGGCTTTGGTTCTTAGCCAAGCTGAAGAATTTCTCTCTACCTGATTTTACCAGTAGCATCTATAATCAGCAAATTCCTCTGTCCTTGAGTTCCCTAAAATACCCTACCCTTCCTGTCCTTCCCAGCGTTGATCTTCCTTACTTACCTGTAGACAGCCTACAAGCCAGGTACCACATCAGCTTCCCTGGGAGAATTTTCCTAGTGTTGGTTCTTTAGTTCCTCAAAATTGTCTGATCGTACCTGATTAAATGAACATCTTTCCCAAATATGACATTCCAGGCAAGGCCTTAATTACATAACCAATTTTTCCAATTATGGTCTGGTAAACAAAGAACAGTTTCTTATTGAATATTTGCTAATAAGTATATTGCCATGAAAAGTAAGAATACTTGATAATAGTTTGTGAATTCAAGCGGTAGGTGGAAAGGGTCAGTGAGAAAAATATATTATTTAAAAATATTTTATTACTGTTTACAAAAGCAAATGGATAAGGAGTTATGGGGTTACAGATAGCTTAAGAAAGAATTTCCTTATATATCCAGAAAATACAGCATTAAAACAATATCAACAATATTCCAAACACATAACTTCAATCATCCCTCTATTCATTCATTCATTCCTATGTAATTAATTCTTGTTCTGCGGTAGCTTGGGTTAGCAGTTTTATGAAGCCTTCTGCTTCTCCATTAGAGTTCTGAAAATCCTGACTCAATCCTCAGGGACAGACTAAAAGTTGCTAAGCACAGAAGCCTATATGAAAGAGTCTATTTTTAGAAGTGTCAATAGTTTAAAAGTACATGGTACAGTTCTTTTCCATCAGTTTCTGAGGTAGTCATTATTTGAAGGCAGCAACTCTGGAGGGTAGCTGATTGCCGAGTCTTCAGGAAAGCATTAGAGGAAAACACACCCCATCTGTAGATGATAAAGTCTTAAAACAACGTGGTAAGTTGATTACTGATTATTTTCAAAGTGAAAGGCCTGATGAGCGTTCATAGCAAGAATAATGCAACTGACAAGAAAGTTTGGTTATTTCTGTGGCATGCAAAATAAAAGTTTTAGACAAAATGTCTATAGGGACAACTAGCCAATTTTCAATGTCTACAAGGACTATGATTAGCCAGTTTTCCATGTCAGTATGTGTTACAATTGATTAAAAAGAATGAAAATAATTTTTACATGTAATAATCTTGAGACAAAATATACCAAGAGTATGTTAAGACTATACCAATATGAATATTTCAAGAATATCAATTAGAGATTCAGCAAGTCTAGAGTGAGTCCTAAATATCTACATTTTAGTAAAACTTCACAGCTAAGTCTAACATGCATCCCCAGTTAAAAACCACTGGCCAAGAAGCTGCTAGTTTCAAATTAAATAAGTAATTTTGTGGCCAAGTTTCATATAATAAAATGATGACTGATTACCCTATAGGGTTTTTGACTGACATCATCAGACAACTACAACTGATAAGTATAGGAAACCTCATCAGAATTATTTCATATTATTTCAGTGTTTTCCTTGAGGTTCAAATATATTAAAAATAAAGGCATCGGCAAATCTCCGGGGACTTTTCATGAAGCACAGAATTTCTAAAGTGTTACATTGGTAACATTTTACCTATGCAAATGTGCAAGATTTAACCCACCTAAAGAAAACAGCATGATCGGTTCTTGCTCTCCCCCTCCCCCTCCCCCTCTCCCTCCCCCTCCCTCCCTCCCTCTCCCTCTCCCTCTCCACGGTCTCCCTCTGATGCCCAGCGGAAGCTGGACTGTACTGCTGCCATCTCTGCTCACTGCAGCCTCCCTGCCTGATTCTCCTGCCTCAGCCTGCTGAGTGCCTCCGATTGCAGGCGCGCGCCGCCACGCCTGACTGGTTTTCGTATTTTTTTGGTGGAGACGGGGTTTCGCTGTGTTGGCCGGGCTGGTCTCCAGCTCCTAACCAAGAGTGATCTGCCAGCCTCGGCCTCCCAAGGTGCCGGGATTGCAGACGGAGTCTCGTTCACTCAGTGCTCAATGTTGCCCAGGCTGGAGTGCAGTGGCGTGATCTCGGCTCGCTACAACCTCCACCTCCCAGCCGCCTGCCTTGGCCTCCCAAAGTGCCGAGATTGCAGCCTCTGCCTGGCCGCCACCCCGTCTGGGAAGTGAGGAGCGTCTCTGCCTGGCCGCCCATCGTCTGGGATGTGAGGAGCCCCTCTGCCCGGCTGCCCAGTCTGGGAAGTGAGGAGCGCCTCTTCCCGGCCGCCATCCCGTCTAGGAAGTGAGGAGCGTCTCTGCCCGGCCGCCCATCGTCTGAGATGTGGGGAGCGCCTCTGCCCCACCACCCCGTCTGGGATGTGAGGAGCGCCTCTGCCCGGCCGCGACCCCGTCTGGGAGGTGAGGAGCGTCTGTGCCCGGCCGCCCCGTCTGAGAAGTGAGGAGCCCCTCCGCCCGGCAGCCGCCCCGTCTGAGAAGTGAGGAGCCCCTCTGCCCGGCGGCCGCCCCTTCTGGGAAGTGAGGAGCCCCTCTGCCAGGCCACCACCCCGTCTGGGAGGTGTACCCAACAGCTCATTGAGAACGGGCCATGATGACAATGGCGGTTTTGTCGAATAGAAAAGGGGGAAATGTGGGGAAAAGATAGAGAAATCAGACTGTTGCTGTGTCTGTGTAGAAAGAAGTAGACATAGGAGACTCCATTTCGTTCTATACTAAGAAAACTTCTACTGCCTTAGGATGCTGTTGATCTATGACCTTACCCCCAACCCGGTGCTCTCTGAAACACGTGCCATGTCCACTCAGGGTTAAATGGATTAAGGGCGGTGCAAGATGTGCTTTGTTAAACAGATGCTTGAAGGCAGCATGCTCGTTAAGAGTCATCACCACTCCCTAATCTCAAGTACCCAGGGACACAAACACTGCGGAAGGCCGCAGGGACCTCGGCCTAGGAAAACCAGAGACCTTTGTTCACTTGTTTATCTGCTGACCTTCCCTCCACTATTGTCCTATGACCCTGCCAAATCCCCCTCTGCGAGAAACACCCAAGAATGATCAATTAAAAAAACAAAACAAACAAACAAAAAAAAACAGCATGATCTTCTCTCTGTAGGTAATGAATGAATAATACAATTTTAAAGTTAAGAATTACTCATATTGCTTAGTAACAAAAACAAAATCCAATTTATGTTAATACATTGAAAAATAGATACAAAGTTAATATTCAACACAAAAAAAGTGAGTTCTGCGTTAGATCTCTGCAGAGCTGCCACTAGAGGGCACTATAAACAGATTACAGAATAAATCCCCTGGACCTTGTCTTTTTTGGTACAGAGCTTGACTGTTGAATCTTAAACTGTTAGTAACAGTAAGAAGGTACACATCTTTGAGACTTGGTGAATGTGTAACCTCATATCTAGTTGCCACACCAGCTCCATGGATATTATTTAGGGGATTTCTGCCAGGGATGGAGGTGCAGAAAGTCATGTTGGAGGACTCCCTCTTGTGCAACATTAAACTAGAGCCTTCACCTCAGGCTTCAATTACTTTAATAGCTTTTCAAATATTATACTACATATATAATATAGTATAATATATCTATATTTCCTTATTAAACCTTAGGCTAAGTACACAAATGTATATTATTCTCTAATTTTCTATTGCATTATATATGTATATAACATATGTATACATTATATATATATAATTATATATATTATATATTAACATTATATATATAATATATATTATATATTATATATATTGTATATTATATATATTATATATATTGTATATTATATATATTATATATATTGTATATTATATATATTATATATATTATATATTTTTATATATTATATATATTATATATATTATATATTTTTATATATTATATATATTATATGTATATTATATAATATACATATACTATATATGTATATTATACATGTATACTATGTATAATATATACATAGTATACATATACATATATTATATATAATACAATAGCAAATTAGAGAATAATATACTTATTCTCTAATTTATGTACTTACCCTAAGGTTTAATAAGGAGATATAGATATTTGCTTCAGATACAATCATGGGTTGCTTAACAACAGAAACTTATTCTGAGAAATGCATCGTTAGGTGATTTCATCATTGTGTGAACATCATAGAGTGTACTTATACAAACCAAAATAGTAGAGCCTACGACACACCTAGGCCACATGGTGTAGCCCATTGCTCCTAGGCTACAATCCTGCACAGCATGTTACTGTGCTGAATACTGTAGGCAATTTAACAGTGGTATTTGTATATGTAAATATATCTAAACATAGAAAAGGTACAGTAAAAAGACAGTACTATAATCTTATGGGACCATGTCATATGTGTAGTCCATTGGCCAAAATGTTATCATGTGGTATACGATTGTATTTTTAAGAAATAAAAGACTCTACAGATACAACAAAAGGCTTTTGAACGCTCTCTCAGTTCTATTGCTTCCCTCCCTCTCTGTTTAACAATTTCAGATTAAACCACTATTTTGAAATTGATATGTGTACTTCCCACCCTATGTTTAATATCTACACTACATAGAAGGAGGTACTGTTCATATTATGTTCTATTGTTATGTTCCAAGGGACATTGTTCTTTCCTTCCATTTGGATTGTTTTCTTGATCCTTGCTACTGATTTGGAAATTTTTTGTTTTCTTTCTACTCTTTTAGTATATATTTTTGGGCTAGTAAACATGTTACATCATTTAATGACCTCAGAGTCTTAAATATGGTCTTCCCTACTCCCATTCTTCATGTCATCTATCATTTGTTCTTTTGTTTTTTCATCATTACTCATCACCTATAAATATTTTTGCCTTATGTTTGAGTGTTGGTAGTGGGAGGAGCATCTCTCTCCATCAGCTCAATTCACTGGGTTGTTGTAATTCCACAGATAACCTTCTAATTGGTCTTCTCTCCAACCCACTGAACACCACTAATTTTTGTGAAGTATAGTTTTTTCATTATACCTCTTTACCACCTGTGAACATTATACTACTTTCTAGCTCAAGTGCTCATTTATTATGTTTGGAACCATATAATATGTCCCATCCTATCCTTTCTAACTTGTCTCACTGTTTCCAACATGAATCCCCTAGTCTAGATCATGATCCTTCCTCACTGGTCCACAATACCCTGTGTTGATTGATACACTTGTGCTTTTTATTATGCCTATAGGCAATTCTTTCTCTTCTTTTTCTCTATCCTAATCCTATATTTCTTCCTAAATCTGTTTAAGGTCCAGTTTGTGAGAGAGTCTTATCCTAGTTACTCCATATCTATTCATCTTTATCTCTTTTCTCATCTTTTAAGACTCTAAAAGTCTATAATCCAATTTTACATTGATCATATCATCTTTTTTAAACCCTATTTTTTTTAAAGGATCAGTCCCTCTTGATTAGAAAACAGAGTTGGTTGTTTATTGGTTGTTTCGTTTAACTGACAGATACAATAAGTATTTATTAATTTGAGTTCAATTTTAAAACACTTTAGCAATTAAATACAAAACATTTGTATTCTGTTTGTAGAGAGTTTACTGGGCGAGCTCTGTCAGTGATTTCCAATTAAATCAGGGCTATCTCCCTTCCTTGTTAATTTACATCACTGTTACAGTCATTCAGATATCAAGTGAGAATGTATGCACAAGTTTCTGTGCTGTGAATCATGGAGAAAGGCAGAGACACTGGTTACAAAAGCCCACCTATCCATTAAATGTCACACACAAGAGGTGGTAGAATTTGGACTCAGACTGTCTCAGTTTGAATCTCAGTTCAACCACCTCCTGGCTATATGACCTTACCAAGCTCTTATTCTCCATGCCTTAGTTTGATGTATAAATAAAGACAAATGGCCAACCTCCTGGTGCAGTGTTCACTGGGAAACACTAATGGATACAGGAAAATAAATACAGTATGCCACCCTCCCCCATCTGAGTTTTCACTTGCTATGAACAACCACAGTCCAAAAATATTACATACAATAAGATATTTTGAGACAAACAATGTTCACGTTAACTTTTATTATAGTATGTTGTTATAATTCTTCTATTTTATTATTAGTTATTGTTATTAGTCTCTGCCTAATCTATTATATAAATTAAATTTTATCATAGGTATATATATGAAAAAACATAGTATATGTAGGGTTTGGTATTATTTATGGTTTCAAGCATCCACTGGGGGTCTTGGAATGCATCCCCCTCAGATAAGGGGGCACTAGTGTAGGTGTGTGAGTCTCCAAGTAAGTCAAAGACAGCACATAGCAATCTGGTCTTCCTGGATGTCAGACTTCAGGAGAGCGGACTCCCCGCCTTGCCTTGTGTTGCTTTTAAGCTGCATGATTAGGAAAGTCCAGGCCCTTCCTTGGTGTGACCAATACCAGGATGGAATACACCAGCAACATGATGGGGTAGGAGTTTGCCTCCAGCCCTATCCTTCCAGCTCAGCACTGGCAGTTGAGGTTAGCACCAGGGAGCTGGTGTGCAAAGCAGTGGCAGGATCTACCACCTGAACTTTCATGGTTGGGGAAGCCCCAGCCCCTGCCTGGCAAGAAAAGGACTCAGGCTGTCTGGATTCTAATTTCTGTTCAACCACATACTGGCAAGACTTGTGGGCAAGCCTTGCTTTGGGCTACAAGCCAGAGTTTAAGGCAATTCATTCTGATTGGTTTCCAGGGTATCCTGGGGCAAGTTACCTCCTTTTTCTGGAAGGCCAGCCTGTAGGGGATCATGAGACCAATTAACTCCTACTTCTCACTTTCCTTATCTGTAACAGGGATAATAATACTACCTACCCCCAGGGGGTTGGTGTGAGTTTAAATGGTTTAAACATATAGTATGCATAAGAGTGGGTGGTACATGCTAAGGGCTCAATAAGCATTATGTCTTATGTGTGCATTTAATTACAACACAAGTGCCTTTGAAGAGATACTATCCTATGTGAGTTCAGAGTGAATCACTAACTGGAATTACCAGAAATATTTATCTACATCAGTCCATAGTTGGTGTCCCCTCAAATCTGCTTATGCAGAATTGCATACCTTGTTGTGAGCCTCACTGTCTGGATTCTACACTCTGCCTTTTCTATCTGTTTGTTTTGATGTCTAGAGCCTGAGGCCCATCCACATTCTCTAAACTTCACTTCTGCTGGCTTGTCTGAATGACTAAGCCTCACTGTTCCTCACAGACATCCCAGATCTCCTGGGGACCTTAGCTTCACCCAAGGCTCTGCTACTGCGACTACTCTTTGTCTTAGTGAACCCTAGAATCTTTTATTAACCCTAGACTGAACTTTACTGTGGATAAACCTCATATATATATATATATGTTTTTTGTTGTTGTTGTTTGTTTTTGTTTTGAGACAGGATCTCTCTGTGTCACCAAGGCTAGAGTGCAGTGGAGCAATCATAGGTCACTGCAGCCTCAACTTCCTAGACCTAACCAATCCTCCCACCTCTGCCTCCCAAGCAGCTGGGACTACAGGTGTATATAACCACACCTGGCTAATTTTTGTTTTTGTATTTGTATTTTGGTAGAGATAGGATTTCTCCATGTTGCCCAGGCTGGTCTTGAACTCCTAGGCTCAAGCAATCCTCCTGCCTCAGCCTTTCAAAGTGTTGGGATTATACGCATGAGCCGCCACACCCGGCTGAATCAGCCATTTAATCAAACTGTGTTTATCCTCTCTCCCTCTAAAGCCCTGCCCTTAACCTTCCCTTCTTTTATCTTTGACCCTTAAACCAGGCTCTACCACCTGATGTAACTTGTTTTTATGCTTTCTAGCCTCTCCATTTTTCACCTCTTATAGCATTCTTTTGTGAATAATAAAACCAAATCATAATATTTTATGAAACATTATAAGGTACACAGTAGTTGTTAAAGGATGAGTAAGACAGAATTCTTGCTATGTAGGAATTTACAGCTTATAGGAGACATAAAATATAACAATGCTCATAATACTCCTTTATTATCCTTTCAATATCCATGGGATCTCTAGTGATGTCTCTCCTCTTCCATTTCTGATATTAGTACAGCCAGCCTTCCATCTTCATGGGTTCCCCATTCATAAAATCAACCAGCCATGGATCAAAAGTATTTTTTGAAAAGCAAAAATAAAAATAGAATAAAATAATACAGATTTTAAAACAGTACATTGTAACAATTATTTACATAGCATTTACATTGTGTGAGGTATTAAAAGTAATCTAGAGATGATTTAAAGCATGAGAGAAGATGTGTGTAGGCTATATGTAAATACTGTGCCATTTTATGTAAGAGATTTGAGCATCCATAAATTTTGGTATCCATGTTGGGTCCTGGAACAATTCCCCAGGGATATCATGGGACAACTCTAATTTGTGTCTTCTCTTTTTTTCTTGGCCTAGAGAGTAACCAATTTTAATATTCTTTTTAAAGAACTAACTTTTGATTTTGTCTATTAATTTCCTATTTTCCATTTCACTGATTTCTGCTCTAATTCTTCATTGTCTTTTCTTCTCCTTATTTGGCATTTGGTTTGCTCTTATTTTTAAGTTTTCTAAAATAGAAGTTTAGATTATTGTAGATCTTTCTTCCTTTCTAGTTTATGTATTCAATGCTATAGATTTCCTTCCAAGTACTGTTTTTGCTGCATTATGCAAATTTTAATGAGTTGTATTATCATTTTCATTTAGTTTGAAACATTTTTTAAGTTCTCTTGAGATTTTTTTCTTATCCATATATTATTTAGAAGAGTGTTTCTTAATCTCCAAGTATTTGGGATTTTCTAGCTATCCTTCAGTTATTATTTTTTCATCAGCAGGAGCTGAGGCCTCTATCTTTCTGTTATTGATTTCTAGTTTAATTACAATGTGGTCTGAAAGCAGATGTGTGATTTCTAGTCTTTTAAACTGTTAAGGTGCATTTTATGGCCTAGAATGTGGTGTATTATGGTGAATGTTCCATGTGAGCTTGAGAAGAATGTGTAAGGTGAAACAGTCTACCGATATCAATCATATCTAGTTGATTGGTACTGCTACTGAGTTCAGCTATGTCCTCACTGATTTCCTGCCTGCTGGATCTGTCCATTTCTTATTAAGGTGTGTTGGATTCTCCAGCTATGATACTGGATTTATCTATTTCTCCTTGCACTTTTATCTGTTTCTGCCTCACTCATTTTAGTGCTCTGTTGTTAGCCACACACACGCTAAGAATAATTAAGTCTTCTTGCACTGTTTACACCTTTATCATTAGTTAATCCCCCTCTTTAAACCTGATAATTTTTCTTGTGGTGAAAAAATATAACAATATAAATTTCTTTATAATAGAAGTGTGTAGGGGGCAGCCAAGAAGTATAATTCCCACTGAAAAAGGGATGCATGGGTAAGAACTTATTTTTTATCGTTTATCATGTGCCAGGTACTGGGTCTAAGAAACGGGGGCAGGGATTGTTTCTTTAGGCATGACACGATTGGAGGCTGGATGCATGAAGTTGGTAGCAATAAATAAGAAAAAAGCTTGTGTCTATATGTGCTTTGTATATCTAGTCTATCTACCTACTTATCTATCTGTCTCTCTTGCTGAATCAGTTCAGAATGAATGAGGCATTATGACATTTTATTCCTTAATAGTTCAATGTACATCTAAAAAAAAAACAAAAAAACTGAGCATTCTCTGATCTCACAAGACAATTACATCTAACAATCAACAGTAATTCTCTAATCTACTCTGTACTTGTCGTGCTTTATTCTCCCTTTGCCTTCTACCTCCAGATGCATTCTCCACTTTTTTCTGTTTTGCTCTCAGCTCCAAAAGGCTTATTTCTACAGACTGCCATGGGTGGCCAGGACTCCAACTGGGGTCAGCCAACTGGAGGCACCTACAAGGCATCAGAGGCCAATGGTGAGCCCTGGCAAGAGATCAGAGGGTGGGAGAGTGGCTGGGATACTCTCTCTGCTCCTCCCTGCTGAGTTCCTTGTCCGGTACTGGCTGCATCTGCCACTGTATCCCTTGTGAAGCTGTACTCTGTTCAGCAGCTCCAGCTGTGACTAGACACTCATAACTGCCCCCATGCCTGCTCCTTTGGGTCTAACAGCAGTTGGTGACAGCTTCCCTGCTGCGCCCTGGGTGCCTCAGCACCCCCTATTGATTCCATTAGCTCTGCCTACATCCCTCAATAGTCCCTTCTTTAACTGATTCATGATTAAGTTCTTTTGAGTTTGCCATCGGTTTCCTGCGAGGACCCTGCCTGATATTTGAATATTCCATATTCAAAATTCACCATTAACCCAAAGTGTTTTTAAAGCTTTTTTAAAAACCAAAATCCACTCAAGAATCCCATGTTGAATTGGTTTTGCCTGTTTAGTCCCTTAACCTAGCTCCTCTTCCTTTTTTCCTTGTCATTAACTTTTTTTTTTGAGACCAGAACAGCTGTCTTATTCTGTCCCATATTCTGAATGTGTTCAAGTGTACCTTAATTTGTTCTTCTCTGCTTTGAATTTCCTTTAACTTGAATCTAATCCAGCCTTTAGATTCCATTTCCATCTTAAACATTATCTCTTAAATATTATTGACAGGTGCTGTCATATAATTTATAAAGCATTACCTCAGAAGTCACACAGCATCATTAATAGTGGGACAATCAGATAGTAAGTTACCTAGTGATAATAGCCATATTTCTCCATGGTAAAGGGTACTTTTTCCTCCGTTTGCTATAAACAAGTAATAGCAAATTACTTGTTATTTTAAGGGTGATACTTTGGTGCTTTTTGAATATCTGGTTCTCTGTTGACTGTTCAACTAACAGTTTTAGCATTCATTATTGATCCTTGTTTGGATTGATTATTTCATAATGTCTTGCAAAAATATTTTCTATTTCCATCATTATTTCTACATTTATTATCTAGCATTCTTTTGTATACAAAAGCTTTAGTTTAATAACGGGAGCTATTTATTTTTCCTGACTACAGGTGTTACGTAAAAGCAGAATAATCCCTAATTTGGCCCCCTTTAATTCCTTACTCTGAAATTAGATAATCAATGTAATGCCATTACTAATATAAACTGTCTATATTGGGTTTCATTAATGAGCTCTCATAATTCTGTGCAATTAAGCTTGGTTATCAGGGAAATTGAATTCTATATCTTCTCAAACACAATAAATTCAGCTTTGTCTGCATCTTCTTACCTTTTATTATTGCTGCAGAGATGTCTGCACCAGCCCTGGTCATCCATACATTACTAGCACTAATAGATACAGACCTCTGGTACTGTGGTAGCACAAACCCGATGAACAAAACCCACCATCAATAGCTGGTATTTACACCACAATTAGATTGCGCATCTCGTAAGAGCGCTCAGAAGGCATTCAAAAGGGCTATCATCTCTTTCCTGTGTAAGCTATTAGTCTCACAAATTTTTGATCAGGAGACCCTCAAAGCTTAGCTGTACTGTTACATTGCTTTCTCATGCTGAAATAAGCCATTTTGCTTCCCTAAGTGCTTCTGTCTGAAAAAAATAATGGATTTTTTAAAGCTAAGTGAGACTTCTGGGTTCTGTTGGATTTTCATGAGTGATCATGTAGGGGCTGGCCATTTGTTATCCTCAAGTGCACTTTTGGCTGTCTCCTTCACTCCCTATATGCAGTCACAGGTATCTGCTACATGTAGTAACAGACTTTCGCCAAGCTCTCTTTCAAATACTCAGTGCTAGTCAGAGTTCCCAGCCTCATCTGTATGGCTCTGGACTTTTCTCTGCAGCTGCCACCTCTTAGTAGCTGTTCCTCAATTGCAAACACCACAGCAGAGGGGAGAGAATCAGACAGAAAGAAAAGGCTCACATAGCCATTCACCAATTAACAAAGTCTTTCTCCAATAAAACTAACAATAATTAGCCGAAATCCCTAACATCCCAGTCATCATCACAAATAAATCTCTTTACTCATTGAGACAACGTAGAGTGAGCCATACATGCCAAAAACATCTAGGCTAAAGGATGTACAAAACAAAGTTGTGATAAGGTCTGTCTGGCCATTGGCTTATTTGCTCCCAGATCCATTCATTGTCTTTCCCCTGTCTGTTCCATGTTACAGGGGCTATCCTCTGCAAACTACAATTCTCAGTTTATTAATTTTCTATTACTATATAACAAATTACTGCAAACTTTGCAGCTAAAAATAACTCCCATTTACTATCTCATAGGTCTATACTTCAGAAATCTGGGTTAATTTGGCTGGTTCTCTGTTTAGAAAGCCCAAGTCAAGGTGTGAGCTGGACTCTTATTTTGAGACTCTGGGGAAGAATCCACTTTCTAGTTCATTCTGGTTGTTGGCAGAATGTCGTTCCTTACAGCTATAGGACTCAGGTTGCTTTTCCTTGCTGGCTGTCGGCAGGAGACCAGGCCTCTCTCCGTCATTGACTGGGAGAGGTGGAATGGGTTTAGAGGAGGGGCAGGGTGGGTTGAGGAGTGGACCGTGATGAAACTCATTGCTGGGGGCTGTTAGATAATACTCCTCCTCTCAGCTGAGCAATAAGTCCTTTCTGAGGAGTATCTAAGCCGGGGGTTGGTAACTGTATATAGCCTGCTGCCTATTTTGGTATAGCTCCCCAACCTAAAAGTAGATTTTTACATCTTTAATGGTGACATTTTATATTTATTTTTTATTTATTTTTTGAGATACAGTCTTACTTTGTTGTCCAGGCTGGAATACAAGAGCATGATCATGGCTCACTGCAGCCTTAACCTCCTGGGCTGAAGTGACCCTCCTGCCTCAGCCTCCTGAGTAGCTGGTACTATAGGTGCAAGCTACCATTTTTTTTTTTTAAGAGTGAGAGAGATGGTGTTTCACTGTGTTGCTCAGGCTAGACTCAAACTCCTGAGCTCAAGAAATCCTCCTGCCTCAGCCTCCCAAAATGCTGGGATTATAGGCGTGAGCTACTGTACTCTTAGCACTTACATAATATCTTGATTTTGCTGCTTAGCTCTCACAGGTTGAAATATTTACTATCTGGCCCTTTACAGAGAATAATTCATGGGCTCCTGAATTTTATGCTGGGCATCTTTGTGTCTGTTCAACCCTGGCAGGTCAGAATAGAGGGCATGGTGAGGGGGACCCTGATACTGTAATTGAGGAAGGGAGAAAATGGGAGACATATCGAGTAGAAAAAAACCCAAAACCCAGAAACTTGATAGCAGGGCATGCATAAAAAAGTGAGACTGTCATTTAAAACTTCCTGGAATGGAGTATAATTTTTTAGGTCTTTGCTAATTTGTTGTAATAAAAATATTCTTGTTTTAATTTGCATATCATTTGTCTACTAATAAAGTTGGAATTGGATCTCTTTTCATGTGTTAATTTAAAGAATTGCAAATGACAGCCACAAATAAAATGAACAGATTTCTGAACCAAGGATAGAAACAAAATAGTTAATATCCATATACCTAAAATAATCTACAAAATGGAAAACATTAAGGTTCCTACCAAAAAATGAACAAATGTTTATGCTTTTAAATTTGTTAATACTTGAAAACAGAAACAAATTTTGAAGCATAGCTTCTGAGTCCAAAACCTTGTAGTTGAGCATTTTGAAATATCTAGGGTAGTTCCCTAGTACTTCTACCCGTTCACTTCTCTACTCATTTGGCTAAACTAAATAGTTTTATTTCTAAAGAATATTTATGTTATCAAAGAAGCAGAAAAAAATTTTTCCTAAGGAAAAATGGAGTCAAGAATACCAAGTTTTATATTTGCAATAATGATATTTTCTCTCAAAGAATTTGCAGGAAAAACATTTATAACTATTAGTGCACAGCTAGAAAATTGAAATGGCACCAAGAAAAACCTACGTGATTGCAATCAGCTCTTGTTCAAGAGTAAAATCCCCTTTAGTGCCTGAATTGTGATTTTTAAATATCATTCTCCACTAAAAGAAATTCCTTTTGAGAAATAGTTGATTTTAGGTCCACATCAGGACATTTACAAAATGAGTAAGACATAATTTTCTGCCAGAAAGCAGGGAAATAATCAAACTTTAAAGAGGTCATGTCAAAAGTACACAGGACCTAAACTGAAAAGGCTTCTGCTGGCAAAGTTGTGACAATTCAAGCCAAAAGGAACAATATCACTGCTTGAAACATAAATATATAAACATTCAGTAGTTCACAACAATACTCAGGGATCAACGCATTGGTCACCATCTGAGTTGGCTAGGGCACCAACTCTACTCTCAATTTTTTTTGTGTTTGTTTTGAGATGAAGTCTCCCTCTGTTGCACAGGTTAGCGTGCAGTAGTGTGATCTCAGCTCACTGCAACCTCTGCCTCCTGGGTTCAAGCGATTCTCCTGCCTCAGCCTCCTGAGTAGCTGGGATTACAGGTGCACGCCACCACACCCAGCTAATTTTGTGTTTTTAGTAGAGATGGGGTTTCACCATGTTGGCCAGGCTGGTCTCAAACTCCTGACCTCAAGTGATCCACCTGCCTTGGCCTCCCAAAGTGCTGGGATTACAGGTGGGAGCCACTGTTCCTGGCCTACTCTCAAAATTAATAAAAGAAAAGAATCAAGATTTTACCTTTCCGGCATAAGCTGCGTTTCCATTTATCCAAAGACTTGAGGTCATGTGCTTCACAGAATTCCAGCTAACAAATGCAGAAGAAATGATAGGCTTAGAAAATCACTATCTTTCAATTTTAGTGAGATACTATGGATCTAGGATAATCAATGGTTGATAAATATTGTAAAGGAGGGATCCAGCTGCCACTTCCTAATACACTGATCAATTTTAGCATCACTCAAATTAGATAGGCCTTGACATTGTATTTCAAGATACAATGCCATAGGAACTATAAAGCTCCACTTACAAAGTATTCATACCAAATTGAACATGTTTCGAGATCTAACAATAAGTTTATAGGAAATATGAGGAATAAAGGAACTACTTTTTAAAACCATCATGAGAAAGCAATCAGCCAAATTCAAATATGGAATACTCTGTGGTATGAAGAATGGACTTCTCCAACAAATCAACTGTATTAAAAAACAGCAGAAGGGTATAGAATAAAATACATAGCAGATATAATAATCAAATGTAATATTTAGGCCATATTTGGATCCTAATTTGAACAAACCAGCTGTAAAAAGCATTTGAGACTATCACAAAATCTTTTTTTTTTTTTTTGAGATGGAGTCTCGCTCTGTTGCCCAGACTGGAGTGCAGTGGCGCTATCTCTGCTCCCTGCAAGCTCTGCCCCCCGGGTTCATGCCATTCTCTTGCCTCAGCCTCCCAAGTAGCTGGGACTACAGGCGGCCACCACCACACCCGGCTAATTTTTTTGTATTTTTAGTAGAGACGGGGTTTCACAGTGTTTGCCAGGATGGTCTCGATCTCCTGACCTCGTGATCCGCCCACCTCAGCCTCCCAAAGTGCTGGGATTAGAGGCGTGAGCCACCACGCCCGGCCTGACTATCACAAAATCTTAACATAGTCTCGGTATTACATGAAATGAAAAAAACCACTGTACATTTTGTTGAGTAGCATCATGCCATGGTGGTTGCGTGGGGAGAAAAAATAGTCTATCAGTTATCAACGCTCCAGCCTGTCTAAACTTCCCTCAAGGCCAATGAGGACTCTTTAGAACACAAAAGAAATCACATGGGCTCTGAAACAGTCTGGTTCTATCTGAAGCAGCATTTCTTTCCTTTCATGCAACAGTATCTCATAAGTGACAGGTAAACTGGGTACTGAAGATCATGATGCAGAAGTTGTGGTGGTGAATATGCGATTTTTGCCAACCCATCATTTGAGGTGATCAGGGTAAATTTTTTTACTGGGAGGAAGAAAATCTAAGAAATATATGAGTACGTTAGGGAAAAACCTGTATATTCCATACAGTGAAGACCTTCAATGAGGTAGTGATTCTTGAAGCCATTAAACCAGCCACTAAGTTTTCTATTATATTAAACTATCTGGTGAAGCTGTGAGTGCAGTTGAAGATGCTTTGAAGAGACATCCCTCTGTATTGAAACCCTAGATCAGAATTCTAATGTCGATGCCTATGTTCTCTATTGGCAGTGAATGCCCCAAGGACCTACAAGAAGCCTGAGCCCCAGGATATAAGGCTGCAAAGGGCTGTCTGTGATGCTAAAGGCAAATGTTTACAGAGATTCAGCCATGCTAGTATTTCTATTTGTATTACACTCTCAGGTTTTTTACTTCCTAATTCTAACACCAACCCCATTTTTCTCATAAGCCCTATTATTTTAAGTATACTATATTGCTAACTGAAGAGTGTTTTTTTTTTTTTTTAGGAATGCATATGATGTCTTAGCAAAGATAACTGTGTACCAAAGTTAAAATTTTGGCCACTTATTGGAAGCCTAACATTGAACAAACCACTAATCTTCTCTGGACTGTCTAACTAGCTTTCTAAAATTTGACAAATGGGAATATCACCTCTCTTAAAGGATTGCTAAGGTTGTACACATAAAGCACCTAATATGTCATCTAGCACATGGGAGGACTGAATAAATAGTAGTCATTATTATCCGAGGATAAGTGTTGGTCCTCGACCTGCTGCTGCTGAACTAGGGAGCTCAACAGCAACCAAGCTGAGCAGTCTGCAGATATTTTGACATGAACACTCAGTGATTTGTCCTACGCTCTCTTCACCTCCTCTTCCAGACCACAGAAACACAGAAACACAACTAGTCTTTCATTGTTCCCTCCTCTGGTCTGCAGGTTAAACCCCAAATGGAGCCACCCCTGAAACCTCAGCCTGGTTGTTACACACAAACTGAGCCAAGCTCAGAAAACTCTAAGTTCCTGCTTCGTGCAGTGTTAATGCAGGTTAACACACAGTATGTTGAGAAGCAGTCCTGGCAGCCCCCCAGCGGCTTTTCCAGATATCCCATTGCTGGTTTGATAAACCAGGTCCTAGCATATCTCCTCAGAGGAACTCCTACTTAGGAGTCCTGTGATCAGGGCCTCAGGGTCAGTCCCATCACCCCAGTGCCCTCCTCAGTGCTTCTGGCTGCAGAAGCTTGGTCAAAGGGAACCCCAGAGGGAATCCTACCCATAGCAGACACCTCTGCTAGTGAAAAGAGATACAAAAGGAACCTGGTGAGAAACTCCTAGAGCCCTTTAGTTCCTCTCCAATATAGCTGCCCATATACATTTAATCAGACATGAGGAGAGTTTAAAAACACAGCACTGAAAGGAAAGTGGAGCCTTGGATCTAGCTCTCCTCATGGGAGCTCTCCTGAGGCTCAAGGCAAAAGGCTGGGACCCACGGCCTGGGGCTTCCCTGGTGAGGCTCCTCAGATTCCTACCCTGTCTTTCCTCCCTGGTTGCCTGGGAACTGACCAGCTTGCTTATGGCCACTTTCCTTTCCACTCAGCCTCTTCTGACAAAGGGCACCCCCTAGACTGCATCCAGCACCAGATCCCAAGGAGATTCCTTTACGGCATCATGGCGTGATTCAGAAAAGGGAAACGGAGAAACAGAGAAGTAGGTGAAGAAAGTAGGAAAAAGAAAATAAGGGGAAGAATGAGGCTAAAGTCAAAAGAAAGGCCAAGAACTTATTCATGGCTGGGGTGTCACATGTGGTCATCACCATCATATATTTCCTGATTTAAAAATTATCTAAAAGGGCTGGGCACGGTGGCTCACCCCTGTAATCCCAGCACTTTGGGAGGCCAAGGCGGGCAGATCACCTGAGTTCCAGAGTTCAAAACCAGCCTGGCCAACATGGTGAAAACCCGTCTCTACTAAAAATACAAAAATTAGGCAGGTGTGGTGGCACATGCCTGTAATTCCAGCTACTTGGGAGGCTGAGGCAGGAGAATTGCTTGAACCCGGGAGGCAGAGGTTGCAGTGAGCCAAGATCGCACCATTGCACTCCAGCCTGGGCAACAAGAGTGAAACTCCATCTCAAAAACAAAAAAAAAAAGAAAAAAAAATTATCTAAACGTACTTAGGAAAGAATTGAAGGATTATATCCTGAAAAGATTCACTGTTTTGTTGTGGAAATTTGGCCTTTAAGGGCTTTTGTTTCCTGTGAAAATGCATGAGCTATAAGAGTAGAAAGTTTACAGACCAAGTAAGAGATCTTCAGAGTTATTTAGGTTTTAATAAGCTTGCCTCATTCCATATATATTTTTCCAAGGGCAGTCAATCATCTAGACACGTAATGTTAATAAATGAAGTGACATTTGTATTGTCTATGTAGAAGTGACTGTTGCTTACACAAAGCTTTCTTCCAAAGAGTGTAACATTCCCATGGAACGCCCTAACAGGCAGACAGATCTTTTAATTGTTCTCAGAAAGTGCTTCCAGACTTGTAACCTCAGAGAGTGTCTTGCTTACAAGTAGTCTGAGAACAAGTTCTTACATGTTCTAGAAAGGAAGGCCCTGAAAACATAGAAGCAGCCTGTTTTCAAAAAAGGGGAAGAAAAACAGATGTCCGGTTGATTGGACAAATTAGTCCTAGGTAGAAAAAAGAATGTGAAATGCACAATAATTTGAGGGGTGAAAGGCAGTTGTCAGATGGAGAAGGTAATAATGAATGATAATTACTGTGTATTTACTTTCTGGAAGGAGAATGTAGGAAATGTTAGAGCTCAATCACTTAAAAATTCATTGGTTTTTCACCACTATTCTTGACAAAATAAAACGTCAAAATTCACACAACAGCATAGAAAAATAGATGAAACATAGGCAGATAGAAGTTGTGAGTGCCTCGTTCTATCTTGAATGTCTAGAGGCATCTGGATGTTTTAAAGATACCTTTACAAAAAAGTAAACCTTAAAAGAACTACCTAGGCTCTTTTTTCATAACAAAATAAAGGGGATTGCGTAAAAGATTATTGCTTAGAGATCTGGAAGAATTCCAAGAACATTCATATTCCTAAAATAAAAGCCAGCCCAATTTAAAAGTTTTATGAAAAGCTTAACTGGGGTTGTTTCTAAATTAAATCCAAGAACACTCTCAAGTTGATTTTGTCTATTTAGAATTGCCTAAAATAAAGGAAAAGTGTGAAAAACATATATTAGGAAAACTGCCAGACTTAAGTTTTCGCTTCTATCAAAAGGATTATACTGAAGGAAAGAGTCTTTGCTTCTTTATGCATGAAGAATATGTTCTGAAAATAAAGATATCGGCTATCCAAGCAAGCTTTAAAATTGCTCTTTTGTGAGATCCCATGGTATGTGGTGTAAGTACAAATACATTAGAGGTGTGTATTAATTATTGATGGCTGCCTAAAAATTTACCCCCAAATTTAAGAGCTTAAAACAACGTTTATTACCTCACACTGTTTCTAGGGTCAGGGTCAGGGTCAGGAATCCAGGAGTGGCTTAGTTGGGTGGTTCTGCCTCCCGAGATTATCATCAAGCTGTCACCTAGGGCTGAAGTCTTCTGAGGCTTGACTGGGGCTGGAGAATCTCCTCCCAAGCTTATTCACGTGATTGACAACAGGTCTCAGGTCCTCATTACCTGAGATTCTCATTGCATGGTGGTTGGCTTCCCTTTGAGTGAGTGATGAGAGATGGTAGCCACAATGTCTTTTATAACCTAATCTCAGAAGTGACATATCATTACTTCTGCCATATTCTGTCACACAGATAAATTCTGGTACAATGTGGGAGGGGAATTATACAAGGGTATGAATACCAGGAGGAGACAATCTTGAGGGCTGGCTACCATAGTCTGCCTTCTAGGCTCCAGTGAATCAAGTCCCTCCAACATGCAAAACACGTCCACTCCATCTCAACATTTCTAAAATTCTTGTCTCATTACAGCATCAACTCAAAGTCTAGAGTCTTGTCATTTAAATCAGGACCAGGTACACAAGAGGTTCCTTAGGTATAATTTCTTAACTCTAGCTCCTTGGGTATAATTCCTCTCAATCTGAAACTAACACGCACACACATAGACACACACACACACACACACACACCCCAAACACACAATGGTGGAACAGGAATAAACACTATATGCATTAATATTCAAAAAGGAAAGGTACTGGACACACTACTATGTCCCCATAGCAGCTCTGAAATCCAGCCAGGCAAATGTTGGAATCGCCTTAGGATTTAGTCCTATTTCTACGCATGAGTTATTCTCTGAGGCTTTTAGCTTCCCCTTCAGAGTCATCCTTTTTTAAAAAGAGACAGAGTCTTGCTATGTTGCCCAGGCTGATTCAAACTCCTGGGCTCAAGTGGTCTTCCCACCTTGTCCTCCCAAAGTGCTGGGGTTACAGGAGTGAGTCACCATGCTTAGCTATTCTTTCTTTTTCATGAAAGTTAGTACATGTATGCAGCTGAAATTTTTTCTTAACCTGCAGTGAAACAGGGGCAAAGTGAGTACCAAGGCCTTTTTTCATTTCATACTGTCTCTATCCCTTTGAGTTCTAGTTGGCAATGTTTCTACTAATATAATTCTTTTAAAAAATTTGTGAATCACCTATGAATTTTTGGGGGTCCATTCCATTAGACAAAAGTCACGCCCAAAAATCTTTTTGAGATAATCCCTTTCCCACCTTGTGATTCTGCTGAAAAACTATGCTCTTAAGCTTCTCAGGAGCCCTGTTTTTGAAAGAATCTGTGAGTCACAGCCTTAAAAACTTTAGAGGGCCTTTGTGTGACCAAACTGGTACTCTGAGGCACCACTTTTGATCTTTCTGAGGTCATAACAAAGGATTTATAGTCACATCTCAGCTTCATCTTTGGATTATGTTTTCATGATGGTGCCCAGGATTTGACCTCTGTCCTTCAGCCATTTCTTAATTTAGCATTTTTCACCATCTGTAAAAGCTGAGAATCTTTATGTCTTTATGAATAGCAAATTAGATCACCCAGTTTACCAGGTACATTCCCACCACCCACATTATTGCAGACAACAATATTGCTAAGATTTATGCCACTCCATAGTAAGGATTCCCTGTTCTGTTTTCAACAAGATTTTTCTCACTTTCTTTTAAACCTCCACCAGCAGCCTGGTCAAAGTCCAAAGTTTTTCTAATGTTTTGTTCAAGGCTCCTGAGACTTTCACTGCTATGCTTCTTAAATTCTTTCCAGCTACCTCCACTGTCTAGTTTCCTAGCTGTGCCTACATTTTAGGTATTTATTATGGTAGCACCTTACTTCCAGGTATTAAAAAATATATTAGAATAACAAATTATCCCAAAACTTGGCAGCTTAAAAAAACAAACTTTTTTTTCATCTCGTACAGTTTTTGAGGACCAGGAACCCAGGAACAGTTTAGCTGAGTTGTTCAAGCTGAGAGTCTCTCATGAGTTTGCTGTCAAGCTGTCAGCCAGGGCTGCAGTCTTCTAAAGGCTTGACTGGAGCTGCAGGTTTCACTTCCAGTGTCACTCGCATGGCTACTGTCACATGGGCCTCTCCATAGGACTGCTCATTACATGCCAGAGGGCTGCCCCCAGAATGAGTGATCTATAAGAGACAGAGAGACCTAATGTCTAATGACATATTGCACTGGTCACACAAACTAACTCTGGAACCACAAGGGAGGGTGGGAATACCTGAATTGGGATTATTAGGGGGTAATTTTGGAGGCTATCACAGATATAATTGCTTTTTTTTCTTTTTTTTTTTTTGAGATGGAGTCTCGCTCTGTCCCCCAGGCTGGAGTGCAGTGGCACGATCTCGGTTCACTGCAAGCTCTGCCTCCCGGGTTCATGCCATTCTCCTGCCTCAGCCTCCCGAATAGCTGGGACTACAGGTGCCCACCACCACACTTGGTTAATTTTTTTGTATTTTTAGTGGAGACGGGGTTTCACCGTGTTAGCCAGGATGGTCTTGATCTCCTGACCCCATGATCCGCCCACCTCGGCCTCCCAAAGTGCTGGGATTACAGGCGTGAGCCACTGTGCCCAGCCACAGAGTATAATTTTTAAAAGAACTCCTTTTCTCTCCCGTACCAGAACAAATTGAAAAGTAGATGCAATGCAAGAATCAAACAAATAGATCAAAATATTAACTTTATTATTGATAGAAGCTAAATTGGAGGAGGTGGCCTAGACATGTGGCTACAATGAGCTTCAATACTTGACCTCCAAATTAGACTTACCTACCCAGTTATAGAAAGAACAGGACTTCTCACTTATCAGATTAGCTTATCACACAGAGAGCAAAACAAAAAGCACCTCTTCTGTGTTTTTTTTCTGTGTTTTTGTGGGGTCTTTTTGTGCACAGGTGCCTGCCCCTTGTGTAATACATCTAACAAAATCTGTCCTGCCTTCTTCGTTAGATCCCAGAAAGTCTAACACAGTTCTCAAGCTTTAGTATGCTGATTGCTGGGCCTGGAGAATCTCCATTCCTTTATAAATTCCCAGGCAATCTTGATACAGCTGGTCTGAGAACCACACTTTGAGAACCACTGGCCAAGTACCTATGATGCACTGATGCTTATGGGCATCTCGTTTTCATTCCCAATCTCATTAGTGTCCATAAAAATATAAGATAGATTTCACTAACCCTTCCCCTGCACTTGACAGACATGGAGAACAAGGCTCAGAAGTGAAGTCAGTGGGCCAAGCTTACATCCTGCTAGGCATGCAAAGCCAATCTTCAAACCCAGGTCCAACTCCACAGCCTGTGGTCTTCCCTCTCCACCAGGTTGCCACCAATTACTAAGGACTGAACATCAGTGCATAGTCTGAGTCTTAACAGTAATCTCCTAGAACTGTTTTCTATTAACTCCACTTTGCATCTTGTTTTTTATTTATTTTTTTATTTTTATTATTTTTATTTGTTTATTTAGTTATTATTATTATTATTTTTTGAGACGGAGTCTCACTCTTTCACCCAGGCTGGAGGGCAGTGGCACAATCTTGGCTCACTGCAAGCTCTGCCTCCCAGGTTCACGCCATTCTCCTGCCTCAGCCTCCTGAGTAGCTGGGACTACAGGCACCCACCACCACGCCTGGCTAATTTTTTGTATTTTTTAGTAGAGACGGGGTTTCACCATGTTAGCCAGGATTATTTCTATTTTTTAAAACTAGAACATTTATTTGCATGACTAATTGTTGACGTTCTGAAGCTAAACTGGATGCTGCAACAGCTGCCTTCTTGGGTTTAGGTGTTGTTCCTTCACAGAATTCATCCTGAATCTGAGGTGTACAATTATCATTATTATTTTTTGAGACAGAGTCTCACTCTGTTGCCCAGGCTGGAGTGCAGTGGCACAATCTCGGCTCATTGTAACCTCAGCTTCCCAGGTTCAAGCAATTCTCGTGCCTCAGCCCCATGAGTGGCAGGGATTACAGGTGCGCGCCACGATACCCAGCTAATTGTTTTGTATTTTTAGTACAGACTGGGTTTTACCATGTTGGCCAGGCTAGTCTCAAACTCCTGACCTTAGGTGATCCACCTGCCTCAGCCTCCCAAACTGCTGGGATTACAGGCATGAGCCACTGTGCCCGGCCGCAGTGTACAATTTTTAAGTGCTTCATTTGACCAGTACTGGTGGCATTTCATCTTTCAGCCCTGGCACTCAAGTTATACTTTCTCTTGCTCTTGTCAGTGTGGCCGCATTTGCAGCAGATCAACTTCTGAAGTTGGTAGGCCTTGGCGCCACTGCGGCAGCACATTTACTTCTTATTGCAATGCTTTTCAAATGGTGACTTTCTATTCATCGTCTTGTGTCTGTGGCCAAGACCAGACACTTCTCATCTTCTTGACCTGTAGTCTCAAGCACAGTTTGCTCCATTTTCATTTGTCAAACATAATTGTACACTATGCACAATACATTCAACTGGGTAATGTCCATACATGTTAAAAGTAGGTAAATATGTTTACCTTAAGGGGCAAGATTAAGACTATCAATTAACAATGGGCTACCATTCCAGAAGTTCCATAAAAGAAGTTAGAAAACGTCCAGCACAACAGATACCTAGCTGCTTTCCCTCCAGGTTTGCTCTCCACTTTCTCCACCCTCCTCCCTGCCCAGGAGGTGGACCTCCGTGACCTACATCAACAGTCTTCCTTGCCTTCTAGATTCCCATTGGCTTTCTCCTCTCCAATAGTGAACAGAGGGAGGAAGGAGAGTTCCCCAACTCCCTTCATGTAGGGTCACCTCGGACTAACTGCATTTTTCCATAAAGTACATGAGTCCTCTCAAGGCAGCTGCTCTGCCCTGAGTGATTTTATTTTTTTTTAAGACAGAGTTTCACTTTTGTCTCCCAGGTGGGGGTGCAGTGGTGCAATCTTGGCTCACTGCAACCTCCACCTCCCGGGTTCAAGCGATTCTCTTGCCTCAGCCTCCCAAGTAGCTGGGATTACAGGCGCACACCACCATGCCCAGCTAATTTTTGTATTTTTAGTAGAGGCAGAGTTTCACCATGTTGGCCAGGCTGGTCTCAAACTCCTGACCTCAGGTCATCCGCCTGCCTCGAACTCCCAAAGTGTTGGGATTACAGGCGTGAGCCACCGCGCCCAGCTATGAGTGCTTTTTTTTTTTTTTTAAGAGGTTTCAGGAACTCCTGTCTCCCCTATCCCTTGAGGCTCAAGGATAGTAATAGCTCTTAAAGTCCTGCACTATTGCTGTGGTTTTCCTCACCCTACCCATAGCTTTCTAAACAACCCCCTTATTAGTACCTCCTTGAATTATCCTAACTTGAGTGTGCTATTTCCCTTGGGGCCCTGAATGAATACATATTTAAGTACAGTTTACAGTTTGCCTTTCTTTGAGCTAGCCCAGGTGCCTTAGCTTAAGGTCTATGTCATCTTCCTAAAAGTCAGTAACTTCCTGCTGCTGCCCAGATGGTTATTAAAGGCATGAAAAACCACCTTCTGGGCCTCACATGTGCTTTGTAGGTAGAACAAATGGCAAGAGGCGACTTGGAAGGTTCTGCAGGCAAAATTCTTCTTATCAAAATTGCTGCTAAATTTTAGAATTCTATAATTTTCTACCTTATATTAGGCACTTATTCTAGCAAGAGGTAAATTATCCCTGGAAGAAAGAGATAAAGTTGTCAGTCAAAGACATTTGTGTTAAATGAGTTTCAGGTGTTTCTATTTTGGCTGCTAGCTGCAAGCCTGGTTTGAGAAAAAGGAAGATAAAATCCATCTAGGTTCTAGAATAATGGTTTTCAAGGTGTGTGGGGAAGATGGTTTTCACTGTCTTCTGGAAGGCATTTTGGAAATTATGGGGAGTCTTTGTGAGCCAAGGGCCAGAGATGCTAGTCTGCCTGTGCTGAAAGGGATGGTTCCACACAACAGAGAATAACTGTGTGGGAACTGTAATGCTCTAAGAGCATTCATGTTGCTGAGAAACCTGTTTATAATTACCCAGGCAAAGGGCTTATGTTTTCTTTTATGGAAAGAAAGAAGGGAAGAAGGGAAAGATGGATGGAAGGAAGGAAGGAAGGAGGGAAGGAAGGAAGGGAAGGAAGGAGAAATGGAGGAAGGGAAGGAGGGAGGGAGGAGGAAAAGAAGAAAAGGAAAGGAAAGAAGGAAGAAGGGAAGGCAGAAGAGAAGGAAGGGAGGAAGAAAGAGAGAGAAAGAAAAGAAAGAGCGAAAGAAAAAAAGGAAAGAAAGAAAGAAAAAGAAGGAAAGAATTTGTGTATGACTTTAATACTCACTGAAATTTCCAGGAATGCAACTGCCATATAAATTGAGGGACTATCATACATTGTTTTGTTTGAATTTTACCAAGCTGGTTACAATTAGAGAAAAACACAATTTTCAATCTGCATTTGTAGCTGCAGCATTCAAGGTGAGTCTACAAACATATTAAAGTGCCATAACTTCATTGTATCTTAATCTAGTGAGGTTTTATTCTACTATACATACTGAAATTTATAAAGAAAATCTCCTTGCACAAAATTTTAAAAAATTAATGTAATACACCAATGGAAATCTAATAGATACATACAAAGAAAGTAGTTATAATTATTTCATTTCCAGGTAGTCAAAGGTGTATATAGCAAAGTACCTACCATAGAAATGGTCATTGGATTTGATGAAATTTGGGACCCACAGATCTAAAGCGAGGTGTTCTGATGGCTGAAGGTACCACTGGGGAGGAGGTCCACTGCAGGGAAATCCCTCCTGGGGGAAAATTGCCACGAAAGAAGCTATGTGGAAAGAATGAGAAGGAAGTGATGACAATAAGGCCTAGTGTGTATCAGAAGCCTTCTAGTATGTGTAAGGCCTTGGAATGGGCCTTATTACTTATTGATAACACCATTTAAAAAAAAAATTACTGACTTCTTTCAAGACCGTGTGGCATTAGTTTATCTCTCAGTATCATCTGGCAGGGAGTGGATATTCAATGAATGTCAAAGAAAATCATTCAACAAAACTCTCCTTGAATAAATTGAAGATACTACCACTCATTACTAGAAACATTTATCAAAAAAGCAACCATGATTTGTAACTTCTTTACAAAGAGATCCTGTAATATTTTTTATCACATATGGTGACTTTGGTGGGTGTAATTTCCTATGTAACTTCAAATCTAAAATGTAGTGTTCACAGCCAGGTGAAAGGTTATTTGGCCAAACTGGAGGCCTCAAGGGCCCAAATAAATCAGGAGCCGACTTGTTTTGTTATGCTCATTATATTTCACATCTTGACAAGTTAAGAAATGTCTTGGGTATTTTTTAATGTCCGGAGTGCAATGACAGAGATTAATAAATCATCTGGAAACAGAGCTTCTTTATTAAGAACAAAAACTCAGTGAAAGCTAAACCCTGAGCCCCACTCCCTTCACCTGACAGCTGCTCATGCTTTAGGTCTCAAGCCCTTCCCTGAACCCCAAGTCTGGGTTATGGGTCCTTCATCTGGCTTTCCCAGGATCCGATACACTGACCCACGAGCTACAAGGGTAACTGCTTGATTACTTACCTGTTTCTCCCAGTAGACTCTTGAGGTCCATCCATGTTTCTCTTGTATTTGGCACACAGGTTGTCAGTGCTTAGTCAGTCGTTCAACAAATTATGCATTTGCATATTGCAAATGGCAACATTGGCTTCAACACTGTTCCACTGAGCAACCAAGGATAGGTGTGCCTTCACACATGGTTCCCACTGAACACCATCTAACACTACTTCTGTGCTTTCTACATTTTGTCCTCTAGCCCCAAAGCTCCTCTGCTTTATCTATTACCTTTTATCTCCAATCAAGTTGGGACTAGGAAGCATGAGAGGGCTGGGAAGTAGAAGAGTTACTATTCTTATCTGTTTATTTGACTGTTCAGTTTAATTTTAATAAAGATCAACTCCTTTTCTGTTTCAAGTCCCTATTCAGGCTTCAGTCAGTTGCGAGAAAGAGAAAACTGTTTGGTTTGGTTTGAGAAAATGTTAGTTTGATTGTTCATATGTTCCCAAATTTTAGCAGGCTGGGCCTCTGGGGTTTCTCATTATGGAGGCCTGAGATGGAGCCCAAGAATTTGCATTTCTAACAAGTCCCCAGGTGATGCTTGTGTTGTTGGTCTAGGGACCACACTTGGAAAATCACTGGCTGAGTAAGAATAAGTTTTAGCAAATGTTATTTATCTCCTCACCAGGTACTTGTCTTTAAAGATATCTCCAATTGTGAATAACAAAAAAGAAATTAGTCTCCTGTCATAAAAGATATGCAGATACCAAAAAGTAGATAGAATCTAAAGTACCAAGAGGGGCCTGAATATATACCAAACTCCTTAAGACAAACCTGGTTCTATTCTTCAGGTTAGGCTGAGGAGGCAGAAGTCCACTTCTTACAAAGCAGCCAAGTTGGGACCTGGCAAGAAATAGTAGAACTTTCTAAGGCCCAGAGCCTCATTCATCCTCAAGTAGGTCTGCTCCCAGCAATACCCACTTCTTAATCCTGTCTGAATGGGAAAACTATTCTGGCTGAATCTGAAGACCATCCAATGCATCTGCCTATTTTCCAAAACATTTGTTTTTGAGTTCACATCTATATCATGTATTACCTGCTAGGAACAAAGTTTCTAACAAGATATGGAGTTGAAATGTAATATGTTTTAGCTATCTTGCATGTGTGCTTTTTCTTTTTCAAAAAAATGTGAGCTCTTTTAAATATTATTGATCAGCTAACTTTTGCTGTATTTTCTTAAGCAGCTACTTTTTTTCCCCATATATCCTTTTTCTTTCTAAACTCCCTCATATGGCAGAGTCATATTTTTTAAATAGCAGTGAATGTGTACTATCCTACCTCTGCCCAGGCAGTCAAGGCCAGGGCAGACATTCTCACAGAAGCATTTCTGCTCCCAAAGCATGGCTAGGAAAGAACATAGAGAGCCCTTCAAATGGTCAGGGCATGGCTTGTGGTAATCAACAACAGAAAGCCAGTCAGGCCAGCCAGGGGAGTAGAGCCAGAGGTGTTCACCAGGATAGGTCACACTTCAAACCAAACAGTTTCCTCTTTCTTACAACTGACTGAAGCCTGAATAGGGACTTGAAACAGAAAAGAGGTTGATCTTTACTATAATTAAAAATTATTTCCTGAAAGCAAAATCAGGAATGCAGTCCCATTCATAATTGCCACAGATATAATAAAATACCCAGGAATACAGCTAACCAGGGCGGGTAAAAGATCTCTGCAATAAGAATTACAAAACACTGCTCAAAGAAATCAGACGTGACACAAACAAATGGAAAAACGTTCCATGCTCATGGATAGGAAGAATCAATATTGTTAAAATGGCCATACTACCCAAAGCAATTTAAAGATTCAATGCTATTCCTATCAAACAATGACATTCTTCACAGAACTAGAAAAAAACTATTCTAAAATTCATATGGAACGAAAAGAGATCTTAAATAACCAAGGGAACCCTAAGCAAAAAGAACAAAGATGGAGGAATTATATTGCCTGACTTCAAACTGTACTTCAAGGCTACAGTAACCAAAACAGCATGTTGGTACAAAAACAGACACATAGACCAATGAAATCGATACAGAGCCCAGAAATAAAGCTACACACCTATAGCCATCTGACCTTTGACAAGCTGATAAAAATAAGCAATGGGGAAAGGACTCCCTATTTAATAAAGGGTGCTGGGATAACTGGCTAGCCATACGCAGAAGACTGACACTGAACCCCTTCCTTACACGAGATACAAAGATCAACTCAAGATGAATTAAAGACTTAACTGTAAAACCTATAACTATAAAAACCCTGGAAGATAACCTAAGAGATACCATTTTGGACATAGGAGCTGGTAAAGATTTCACTACAAAAATGCCAAAAATAATTGCAACAAAAGCAAAAATTAACAAATGGGACCCAATTAAACTAAGGCGCTTCTGCACAGCAAAAGGAACTATCAACAGAGTAAGCAGACAAGCTACAGAATGGGAGAAAATATTTGTAAACAATGCATCTGACAAAGGTCTAATATCCAGAATCTATAAGGATCTTAAATATCTAGCAAAAAACAATCCTATTAAAAAGTGGGCAAAGGACATAAACAGATACTTTCCAAAGGAAAACATACATGCAGCCAACAAACATATGAAAAAATACTCAATATCAGTAATCACTAGAGAAATGCAAATCAAAACGAGAGTGAGATACCATCTCACACTAGTCAGAAAGGCTATTGTTAAAAAGTCAAAAAATAACAGATGCTGGTGAGGTTGCAGAGAAAAGGGAATGCCTATACACTGCTGATGGGAGTGCAAATTAGTTCAACCATTGTAGAAAGCAGTGTGGCGATTCCTCAAAGAACTAAAAACAGAACTACCATTCGACCCAGCATTCCCACTACTGGTTATATACCCAAAGGTATATAAATCATTCTACCATTAAGATACATGCATGTGTATGTTCATTGCAGCACTATTCACAATAGCAAAGACAAGGAATCAACCTAAATGCCCATCAAAGGTAGACCAGATAAATGAAATGTGGTACATATACACCATGGAATACTATGCAGTCATGAAAAAGAATGAGATCATGTCCTTTGCAGGAACATGGGTGGAGCTGGAGGCCTTTATCCTTAGCAAACTAATGGAGGAACAGAAAACAAAACACTGCATGTTCTCACTTATAAGTGGGAGCTAAATAATGAGAACACATGGATAGAAGCAGGGGAACAACAAACACTGTGGCCTTCTTGAGGGAGGAGGCTGGGAAGAGGGAGAGGTTCAAGAAAAAAAACTGTTGGGTACTATGCTTAGCACCTGCATAACAAAATAATCTGTACACCAAACCCCCAAGTCACAAGTTTACCTGTGTAACGAACCTGCACATGTACACCTGAACCTTAAATAAAACTTAAAATATTTTTCTAAAAAAGAATTATTTCCTGCATACCTTAATTTTGGGCAGAGGTTCACATCTGCTACACATATGAGCTCAATAACTGTGTTGTATTGTCTAATATTGTACGCTTTCTTAAGCTGTGAGTTTGTGGTTTTCTTTCCTTAATCAACAAAATCTTATCATTGATTATTCTTTGGGAGATAGTCTACCTATGGCTGTTTATTTTTTTATTTTTATTTTTATTTTTATTTTTTTGGAGACAGAGTCTTGCTCTGTCCCCCATGCTGGAGTTCAGTGGCGTGATCTCGGCTCACTGCAACCTCTGCCTCCTGGGTTCAAGCAATTCTTATGTCTCAGCCTCCTGAGTAGCTGGTCACCTGCCATCATGCCCGGTTAATTTTTCTATCTGTGGTAGAGATGGGGTTTTGCCATGTTGGCCATGCTGGTCTTGAACTCCTGACTTCAGTTGATCCACCTGCCTCGGCCTCCCAAAGTGTTGGGATTACAGGCGTGAGCCACTGCGCCCGGCCTGCTGTTTATTTTTTGGTGAAGCACTTTAACATTTAAGCTATATATAGTGAAGACCTGTGAACTTACCACTCCACTTGATTAAAAAAAAACACACACACACAAAACATTTTAGAGATATTTGAAACCCTCTGTGTTTTCCCCCAATCTCATCCCCTTCCCCACAAAGTGAATGCAACCATAAATGTTTTTATACTACATATCTATCTAAGCCCTGTAAACAATAAATAGTATAATTTTGCTTGTTTTAAGGTTTATATAAATACCATTTTGTTTGTCCTATAATTAGTTTTCACTCAACATTATGTTGAGACATATCCATATTGATACACACAGTTGTAATTCACTAATTTGTGGGATTATACCACATCTTGCTTAGCATTTTTCCAAATGATGGCAATTTCACTTGCAATATTTACTTTTATAAGGAATAATTTAATGAGTAGTTCCATAAATGTCACCTTGCACATGTGTGCAAAATTTTCTCCAGGATACATGCTACAAAAATATTGCTGGATTATAGCTATTACATACCTTCAACTTTTCCTGATATTGTTAAATTGCTTTCTAAAGTGGCTGTGCCAATTTCACTCCAAATAGCAGTGTTTGAGAGTTCCCATTGTTCCACATCCTTACCAAGTCTTGATATTGTCAGTTTTTATTCTTTTTGCCAATCTTGTAAGTTTGAAATTATATATTATTTAAAAATTGAATTTACCTGGTTACTAAAGAGGTAGTACATCTTATTTATGTTTACTGGCAAATATAATACCCTCTGTGTGAATCAGTTCGCCATTTTTCTTTTGGCCTTATTATTTTTCTTTGTAAGAGCCTTCAATTTTTATCAACTATGTGTTGCAAGCATATTTTCCCAGTCTGTGTGTGTGTGTGTGTGTTTTTGTTTTGTTTTTGCTATCTTACTGTATAGAAGTTTTAAGTTGCATGTAGTCAAATTTCAGTCTTTTTCACTGATATTTTTGTCTTATCTGTATGACCTGAGAGTTGGAGAATAATTTACATCCACAATTTGCCTAAAGGTTTTGCTTTTTCACATTTATATTCTTAATCTTCCTGGAATTGATTTATGTATTGGTGTGAGGTAGGAATCTAATTTTATTTTATTTTACTTTTTCTGTAAAGATAAGCATTTTCTCAGTGAGATTTACCCAGGATTCCTTTCCCCCACTGATTTATAATAGCACATTTGTCATTCAGATGTGTAAACCCATATGGAGTCTGGTTCCAGATTCTGTTCTGTTACACTGGTCCATTGTCTGCTCTTTTATTTTAAAGTGATGGTAAATAAAGCAGTTTATTAAAGCGTGTTAGTGTGTTTTCATGCTGCTGATAAAGACATACCCGACACTGGGAAGAAAAAGGTTTAATGGACTTACAGTTCCACATGGCTGGGAAGGCCTCACAATCATGGCGAAAGTCAAGGAGGAGAAAGTCCCATCTCACATGGTTGCCAGCAAGCAAATTTGTGCAGGGAAACTCCCGTTTTTAAAAACCGTCAGATCTTGTGAGACTCATTCACTGTCAATCACAAGAATAGCACAGGAAACACCCACCCACCCATATTCAATCACCTCCCACTGGGTTCCTCCCATGACATATAGGAATTGTGGGAGTTACAATTCAAGATAAGATTAGGGTGGGCACACAGGCAAACAAAAGTGATTCCCCCAACACCTTGTTAATCTCCAATATTTGACCTATATGTAGTCCTTTGTTCTCTCATACAGAAACACTATATCAATTAGTCAAGGCCCACAGACAAACAAAACAAAACAAAACAAAGTCTTGTTATGAGTATAACTCTTAAAACCAAATAGTTTTTTGTTTTTGTTTTGTTTTGTTTTTAGAGAAAACTGAGTACTTGTACCTATTTCACTCATTATTTGAGGAATTTATTAGCTAGAAGAAATGTACATTTGTTTCAGGCCTTAAAAATCCTGGGAGCACTGTCCTGAATACCTTCTGGAACCATTTGTATAGTAGCTTTGAGAGAGAATGACTTGGCCAAAAACTTTATTTTTCTAATCCCAGGGAAGATACAAACTCAGCAGTTGCTGTGTGGTGCTCTAAATGATTAGCCCAAAGACCTCCTACTGAGATCTCCATAAACTGGCAGCTTGGATTACTCAGTGATGTCACCCCATGCAGGTTTATGGGCAGATGGCCAAACCTTGACACAGGCTGCAGTCAGATCCCAAACAAGTACATACACATAGACTCTTCCTTGTCTATAGCCTAAGCCATGGTCTGACACAGCCAGGAAAAACTCCAAAGAGGAGTAGATCACAATAACCTGGTTTATTGGTTTTATATCATTAAGTTTCAGAAACGTTTTAGGACAAACAGCCTTTGTAAAAAGCCAACATCTATATGTACTTTTCTATTGCAACTGGCTTAAGTAATAAGTGTCCTATTTGCCTTATAGAATTCTAAATTTAGTACAATTTGCTGCTAAATATATAGAATTATATTATAGAACTGAAAAAGAACCTAAAGGTAATCTAGTTCAGTGATGGTTCCCAACCTTAGCTGTACTTTAGGATTACCTGAGAGGCTTTAGAAGAATCTCAATGACTAGACTTAGACTAACTAAATAATATTGGGCAGGTGATATGGTTTGGCTGTGTCCCCACCCAAATCTCATCTTGAATTGTAGCTCCCACAATTCCCACATGTAGTGGGAGTGACCCAGTGGGAGATAATTGAGTCATGGGGGCGGTTTCCCCCATACTGTTCTAGTGGTAGTGAATAAGTCTCATGAGATCTGATGATTTTATAAGGGGCTTTCCCTTTCACTTGGCTCTCATCCTCTCTTTTCTCCCACCATGTAAGACATGCCTTTTGCTTTCCACCATGATTGTGAGGCCTCCCCAGCCATGTGGAACTCTGAGTCCATTAAACCTCTTTTTCTTTATAAATTACCCAGTCTTGGGTATGTCTTTATCAGCAGCATGAAAATGATCTAATACAGCAGGAGACCCAAGTATCAGTACTCTTTTAACATTCTTTGAGTGACTTCATTGTACTGCCAAGATCGAGAGAACCATTGGCCTAATTCACACCTTTTGCATACTAAGAAAATGAGGCTTAGGTTAGGTGACTTTTCATTATGTTTTAAACTTACACTATCCGATATGGTAACCATTAGCCACATCTGGCTATTTAAATTCAAATGTATTACAATTAAATAAAATTACAAATTGAGTTCCTCAGTCATGCTACTCACTTTCAAGTGCTCAACACCCACATATGGCTACTGGTTACCATATTACACAGCACAGAAGAGACATTTTCATCATCACAGAAATTTCTCTTAGACAAGTAATTTTACATGTGTTTTTAAAATTCTTTTGGGTTTGATTTCTATCCAGGCATTTAGTAACTTCAGAAACATTTTAAACCATTATTCCACAATGATTAATATAATAAAATATTTTTAAGCAAGAATAGCTTAATATTAGCATGTACATCTGTAAAGTTCCTAATACCATAATAAAAGCAACAGCTTCCTAGGGAAGTGTAGATGTGACTCAAATTCACCCACACTCCACCCCTACCTCCAAACCAATAGATCATAATCCAGAAGGCCATTTCCCCTACTTGATTGGTAAGGAAAGCACACCGGGGGAAGGCGAGGAGGAGCTACAATTTCCCAGTGACCAGTTCGTCACTTTAAGAGCCAACCCACAAGCATGGCCAAGCACAGTCTTGGCTCAAGAAAAGCATAAATGAAATTGGTAGAGGACAGTCTCCTCCTCCTTATGGAAAAACAAGACACAGTACAAGAACCAAGTTGAAGTCGATTTTTCCATTCTCAGTATAACAGGATGTATCACCACTGCTGTCTTTTTTAAAATTATAGGACAGAATTTATCATCTAAAGCTTCTCGACCTCTTAAAGAAAACATGCCATAGAACATATTTCATAAAGCAGGTGTTAGTGCTAGAGGGATTCAAATCTGTTGTGTTGGTTATATTTTTGTCACTGCAACCACCTAGAAATATGTCAACATTTTTAAACTTTGTTTTTTCAGTTGTGTTATGAAATTGAAACTTGATATAACTGTACCAGAATACATTGTTCCTTGTCATGTAGCTCAATATTTCCATTCCCAAGTGCATTATATCAAGCCATGTGATAGTTATGCCTTAATTTAAACAAAAGCAAGCCAGAAAGCCAATAGTGCAACAATAAGCCAATTTCAGTGATTACAGTGTACTAGGCACTGTTCTAAGCATTTTACATGGATTACATCATTTAATTCTCACAACAACTCACAATGAGGTCAGTGCTATTATTATTCTCATTTTACAGATAAAGAACCCAAGAGACCCACAGCTGAGTAATTTGCTTAAGGTCACACAGCTAGTAAGTGGTAGAATTGAACTGCCAACCCTGGCAGTCTAACTGCAGAAAATAGCATTTTAATTGCTCCGCTGTGTTTTCCACATGCACATACTTCATAAAAAGGTCATCCTTGACTTATTAAGGTCAAGATAAGAGACACTGGAATAGACTGGTCTATTTGAGCAGTAAAAGGGACCCCATGTGGCAGCAAGGTGTGGACGTGGGTATATGCAGCCCTAACCACAGGTTTCCCAAGATTGCTTTATTGGGGAGATGCCTCATTCTCGCTTTGACTTTTATATCACCTACTCTCTGGCACAACACACACCCCTCGTTTTGCAAGGGCCACAGTAGTAGTTGCAACAAAAATGGTTACCAGAGACTAGGAAACAGCAGGAGAGCAAAACAAAACAGCAGTACCTGCAGGCGCTGCTCAAGTGGTTACACAATATTCCCTAGTGTCTGGGCCCTGGATAGACATGGAGGAGTAAGGTTTCCTGGCTCAAGGCAGGGGGCTGAGATGGATAGATATCTGCATTAATTAGATCATTATATAAAACATCACCTTTCTTAAGGCCATATTCTCTCGTTCATAACCTTTACAAATCTCAGCATGTTTCCACATTTCATCCACAAATTTCATCCACAAGAAAGACAGTCTGTCCCAATGTTACTGGTTTTCCAGCCTGAGCAAGCCAAATTATTTTCTCAACCAGACAGCAGCCTGACATTCTTATCAGCATCAGAGTGTTCTTTGGGTCTTTCATACCCACGGTTTCTTCGTTTATTGTTCTACAGACTAATACAACTTTCCCATGCAGCCTGGCTTTGAGCCCTTTGGACTTGTCCCCTTTTCTCCCAGCCCCAAGGATGTCAATTTTTTAAAAACAGACTTTTTTTTTTTAGTGGTTTTCAGTTCACAGCAAGCGTGAGCAGAAGGTACAGAGAGTTCTCATATATGCCCCCCAACAAACAACACATACACAGCCTCCCCAACTATGAATATCTCATACCAGAATGGTATATTTCTTATAGGTGATGAACCTACATTGACACATCATTATCACTCAAAGTCTGTAGTTTACACTAGGGTTCACTCTTGGTAAGGTAGATTCTTATGGATTTTGACAAATAATAATGACATGTATCGACCACTATAGTATCATTCCATTGTTTATTTTTAAAGGGTATTGTGTTCATCGGTTTTGTGCTGCTGTAACAGAATACCATAGATTGGGTAATTTATAAAGAACAGAAATTTACTTGTCATGGTTTTGGAGCCTGGGAAGTTCAAGAGCAGGGTGCTGGCAGGTTAAGTCTCTGGTTCCAATATGGCAGCTTGTTGCTGCATCCTCTGGAGAGAAAGAACTCTGTGTTCTCACATGGCAGAAGAGCAGAACAGAGAACACACTCCCTCAAGCCCTTTTTATAGTGGCTTTAATTCATTCATGAAGACTCTGTCCTCATGACCTAAACACCTCCCTCAAGGCCCCACCATTTAACACTGTTGCGTTGGGGATTAAGTTTCTAACATGTGTATTTTGAAGGGAACAAAAACATTCAAACCATAGCAGGTACCATATGTATACTTTGTCTTGAGAGTCCTCACTTGCTTTTCAGAATTCAAAAATGGTCTCATTGTTTCTGTGAGTTCACTACCAAGTCCTTTGCACTTGGTCTGACAGTGAGTGACAGCAGAGGCATCTGGGGCTCTGAGATACTCCTCGCACAGCCAGCTTAAGAGCCAGAACTCTGCAGTTGCCTTAGCAACAGCTAAAGTTTCCTGTCCCAGGCTAAAAAGCGTGATATCTCTTCATTTGTAAAAAGTCTATTTTATTCTCTCAATCTGCCTGGGGCATAAATATGCCAGGAATGGAACCCTCAGGGTTGGATTTCCTGTTCTTGATTTTGAAATAGAAGGTAAAATACTCATAGAAGGAGGTAAAAAGGAGGCCTGCACATGTTCTTATACTTGATAGCAGGCTCAAATATTCTAATATAGCCAGAATCTGAGCTAGTCAAAGTCTTAAACTTGCAGACGATTTGATTTTAGACCCAGCATTTTTTTTAATTCATCACAGAGAGAAATAATTCAATGGTCTTCATTTTGCAGAAATGAAGAAACTCTCTATCCCAGCTCTTGCATTTGAGAACTCTAATAGAATTTTGAAAGGGAAAAAAAGTGAAACATCTTTAAATGACTACATATTTGATCATGCCTAATATATCTTAAGTATTATTGAAGAGCTCAGAATATTCTCCAAATGTGAGCTCATTCTAGCCTAAAACACTTAGGAAGCCCATCAGCCTTGAATTAGACAATAGAAATTCTCTCCATTTCAACTCTCTTCTCTAATTGAAGCTTCCGTTTAAGCCCAAAGAGTTGCAATTTCTTTGTCTCTCCCTCCAGGTTCTCCAGACCATCGCTTATCCCAAAGCCTACATTTCTGCCTGTCTGAGACACAGGTATATAAATAATATTTAATCTTTCTTCCTTCCCTTGACGTGTTGACTGAAAGCTGAAACAAAAGGCATTATAATGTTAAAAATGTAAAGTTAATTTCACCTTAGCCAAGTTTGAGGACAAATAGCCCCTGAAAACACTGACTTAGCACAAACCGATAATGAGTCTCAGAGTGGGTTACATGAGGCACGGTATTCATGTGTTCCATTACATAGAAAATGAGAGAAAGGGGTAATAAAGTAAAGGTGACATTCTCACAATTCTGATTGGTGCTCAGAGACATTGTACATAAGATAAAGCAACAGTCTGGTTAAGTTATATAGGGTAAAAGGTTAGCAAGTATGTGGGCATCTTAGGGTCTGGAGAGGGATGATTGATTTTATCCTGCCTTTATGCTATATCTGATAGATAGGGTTGTATTATAATTCGTACATATCAGTGAAATATTTGACAGACTGCAGCCTTGCTGGTGAGGGTTCAGCTTTAATTCATAGGCCTAGTTTCTATTGTCTATGTCCAATCTGCAGCCATCTTAGACCACTTTTAAATATATTTTTCTTTCAGATTTTCCTTTTTCTGAAGAGTTAAGTACCTAGCTTCTAACAAACATCCACCAGATTTTATTTTAGAACTTGGAGAATAACTGAATTTCTTGAAGCAACATGATTCACATACTTCTACCGTCCTATAAGTTCAAATCACTGGGGGTGGCCACCGCCCAAGTGGTTATATGCACCTAGGCTTGGCAGGAAGTCAGGCAAAAGAGAGCATTTGGTACTAAGTAAATCCAGCAGCCTCAACCCAATTGCAACATCCACATCAGGAGGTCAGACATGCTCCTGCCCATCCTTTGGTATCAAGGGAGGCAAAGTATAAAGACTAAAAAAAGTAAATAGTATGCTCTTTCATCTTTCCCCTAGCAGAGGATGGCGGGAGGTTCTGGCACGGTGGAGAATAACCTCAGAAGTGCACCAGCGGGCGGTAGCAACGGCCGCACTGAAGCAGGTTAAGCACCCTGAGAAAAGTGGTAACATCTAGAGCAGGCTCTGCTCCCTGGCCTCACACCTCCATCCTACTCTGAGATAAAAAAAACTCCTCATCAGTTATCTTTTGGGGCTTTATACATAATAGATGTCCAATAAAGAATTCAATGACATGAAGGATCCCACATTGAGGAAAGAGCAGAGAAAACATGGCTGTAGCCTTTGTGAAATTAAATAATTCAAACTTAAAATAATTCAAACTTAAAGCTGTTTGAAATTGAAGTTATCCTGAGCCTTGAGAGGAATGTGGCTATGCAGCTTAAGTCACATGGCATGCAGCTGCAACTTCTGCCTTTTTTATTTTCTGTAAATAATTAAGAACAAAGTTCCCCAGAGATAAGACTCCCTCAGCTCACTACTCTTCCTCTTGGAGTAATAAAGCAATCTTCCTTAGAATGTAGCAGTTCGTAACCAATCAAATCACTGTGATGTGTGTGTGCACTGGTCGTGTATGGAAAATGTTGCCATGCTGCTGAAATTTAACTTCTCTACTTTGGAATGCTTGTTGCATTCATTTGGAGTCAATGTCTCTGGGTGGCTATCCTCAAACTTTGCACTCGAATAAACTCTATACTTAATATATTTTTTGAATCTCATTATTTAAGGTTGACACCTTTAAGGAACTTCTAAGTTTGTTTCTGGCTTGTTTATTTCTCAACACATACACACCATGGTTGGAGTACCGGCAAGGAACTATTGGGAGGGAGGTTTGACTAATTCTAGGGAGTAGAAAGGACAGACTCAGTGAGAAAAGCTTCACAGAGGTGATGTGCAAATTGAGATTACAGGGAGGAGTACAAAATGGTTAGGTTGGACAAAGGAGCAGGAGAGGCATTCTACCCAAAAGAAACAGACCTAGCAAAGGCACAGAGACCTTGGGTTATTCCTCAGGGAATAGGGAAGGACTTTACGTACTGACAGGCCTAGAAAGAAAGGATTCAGCTGGACTGGGAAAGCTTTGATTACCAAAAAGCCAAGATGAAGAACTCAAATGTCTCAGGAAACACAGCAGAAAACAAAGTGGTGCTGTTGCATAACATGTGGAGAACATTAGCACATTGTTTAAGGGCAATGAGTTTAAATTTCAGAATACCAAACTAGTCAGTCAAATACTTCTGCAGACCATACAGCTTGCTTCCTTCTCCATTCATATAGGGGTACAGGCTCAGAAGATAAGGGGACCCTGACTTCTAGGATACAGATGGGGCATCAAGAGATGCCATATCTGGGCTGGGCACAGTGACTCACACCTGTAATCCCAGCACTTTGGGAGGCTGAGGTGGGTGAATAATTTGAGGTCAGGAGTTCAAGACCATCCTGGCCAACATGGTGAAACCTTGTCTCTACTAAAAATACAAAATTAGCCCAGGCATAACGGTGCACGCCTGTAATCCCAGCTACTTAGGAGGCTGAGGTGGGAGAATCAAACCCAGGAGGCGAAAGATGCAATGAGTTGAGATTGCACCACTGCACTCCAGCCTGAGTGACAGAGTAACACTCTGTCTCAAAATAAAAGAGATACCACATCAAAGTTAACAAGAACATGTCTGAATAGGGAAAACCATTCAGGCACCAACACAACCTATGCTGAGGCTGGGAGGCAACTAGCAGACTAAGGACCTCAGCGACTTTCAGATTCCATACAGCAAGCAACTGTGAAATCTAACATTCCTTATTCTTGAAAATCATAGCACACCAGGTGTATCACAGGGTGATGACCAATGTTCCCAAATCAAGTAGGAGGAGAGATTTAGCCCATCATTTTTTATCATAAACTTCAGATCCTTCTCCGTGATAACTTTTAAAATTTTCCTTTTTTTTTTCCATGATCTGTGTTGCTGTATTAGATCAGCCTCCAAAACCCTGATTTATAAGCTTATTAGTTATGTACATTAGTCAGTGTTTGTTGTGTAACAATCACCCCTTAAATCTCAGTGGCTTACAACAACAAATACGATCTTCTTGTCCTCAGATCTGTGTGTCAGCTGTGGTTCTGATGAGTTCCGTTGGACTTGGCTTCCCACAGTAGGTTGAGTTCAAGCCTTTTCTGAATGCTTCTTTAATCTGGGAGCGAGTCTCAAGAACCCATTTCTAATTGAGCATATTCTGGAGCCATTGCTTTCTGAGGCATGCTCTTCTGATGGCAGAGCATAGGAGCTCAATAGGCAAGTGAAACTTTTTTTTTTTTGATTTTTTTTTTTTTTTGGTTTTCTTTTTTTTTTTAAATTGATCATTCTTGGGTGTTTCTCCCAGAGGGGGATTCGGCAGGGCCACAGGACAATAGTGGAGGGAAGGTCAGCAGACAAACAAGTGAACAAAGGTCTCTGGTTCTCCTAGGCAGAGGACCCTGCGGCCTTCCGCAGTGTTTGTGTCCCTGGGTACTTGAGATTAGGGAGTGGTGATGACTCTTAACGAGCATGCTGCCTTCAAGCATCTGTTTAACAAAGCACATCTTGCACCGCCCTTAATCCATTCAACCCTGAGTGGACACAGCACATGTTTCAGAGAGCACAGGGTTGGGGGTAAGGTCATAGATCAACAGGATCCCAAGGCAGAAGAATTTTTCTTAGTACAGAACAAAATGAAAAGTCTCCCATGTCTACTTCTTTCCACACAGACACAGCAACCATCCGATTTCTCAATCTTTTCCCCACCTTTCCCCCTTTTCTATTCCACAAAACCGCCATTGTCATCATGGCCCATTCTCAATGAGCTGTTGGGTACACCTCCCAGATGGGGTGGTGGCCTGGCAGAGGGGCTCCTCACTTCCCAGAAGGGGCCGCCGGGCAGAGGCGCCCCCCACCTCCCGGACGGGGCGGCTGGCCGGGTGGGGGCTGACCCCCCATCTCCCTCCCGGACAGGGTGGCTGCCGGGCGGAGATGCTCCCCACCTCCCAGACGGGGCGGCTGCCGGGCGGAGGGGCTCCTCACTTCTCAGTTGGGGCGGCTGCCGGGCAGAGGGGCTCCTCACCTCCCAGATGGGGCGGCTGCCGGGCGGAGGGGCTCCTCACCTCTCAGACGGGGCGGCCGGGCAGAGACGCTCCTCACCTCCCAGACGGGGTCGCAGCCGGGCAGAGGCGCTCCTCACATCCCAGACGGGGCGGCGGGGCAGAGGCGCTCCCCACATCTCAGACAATGGGCGGCCGGGCAGAGACGCTCCTCATTTCCTAGATGGGATGGCGGCCGGGAAGAGGCGCTCCTCACTTCCCAGACTGGGCAGCTAGGCAGAGACGCTCCTCACATCCCAGACGGGGTGGCGGCCGGGCAGAGGCTGCAATCTCGGCACTTTGGGAGGCCAAGGCAGGCGGCTGGGAGGTGGAGGTTGTAGCGAACAGAGATCACGCCACTGCACTCCAGCCTGGGCAACATTGAGCACTGAGTGAACGAGACTCCGTCTGCAATCCCCGCACCTCGGGAGGCCGAGGCTGGCGGATCATTCGCGGTTAGGAGCTGGAGACCAGCCCAGCCAACACAGCGAAACCCCGTCTCCACCAAAAAAATACGAAAACCAGTCAGGCGTGGCGGCGCGCACCGGCAATCGCAGGCACTCGGCAGGCTGAGGCAGGAGAATCAGGCAGGGAGGTTGCAGCGAGCCGAGATGGCAGCAGTACAGTCCAGCTTCGGCTCGGCATCAGAGGGAGACCGTGGAAAGAGAGGGAGAGGGAGACCGTGGGGAGAGGGAGACCATGGGGAGAGGGAGAGAGAGAGGGAGAGGGAGCAAAATTTTCTTTAAGATCAAAAGTACAAGTTAAGAAAATTATTTGAGTTTTATTCCTTATTCCTTAAACTATATGCAATATGCTTATATTTAGATATGGATAAATTAGGGTTTGTGAGATTTTTCCATCTACCTACGTTGTCTGCAAGGTCTGTGAATGTGACAGTCACTTTCTGTCAGGCTGCCAGAGGCCCAGGATTCACACTTTGAGAAGCACAAGTCTTGGGTGAGATTTTAATCACTTGAATGCAAATCCTGTAGGCTTCTGTGGATGCACATGTGTTTTCAGAGGGCAGGAACTATGACTTGGACATTGTCGTGTCCTCCACAGTATTTGACACCATACATGCCTCATACGTTTGCTGGACTGAATACCAACCCTGTCCAGGGAACAGCATGCCAGGCCTAGCTGGACTTGAGCACCCTGGCTGGCTTATTAAGTACTTGCCTGTGTGAGTGGCTGCCCTGGGTATTTGTGACTTGATTACAAACCCCTTAATCTCATCTAGGAGGAGGAAAAGGATGAAGAGCTTACTATGAGTGTTACTAACTGTGCTAGATACTTTATGTACTGTATTACATGTATTTTTCATAATCTTACAATGTATTTTTTTTCTAGTTTACTGGGGAGGAAATTGAAGTTCAAGTAGCTTCTCTAAGATTAGAAGCTATCGTACCTTTGCATGTTTGACTCCAAAACCCAAAATCCTAAGAGGAAAAAATCCCAACCCACTACCTATCAATAACGAAATGTGTTAACATGGCCTACCTGATAGGTGCTGTTCGGTGGAAATTCTAAGGTGGACCCTTTATACAAATCAGGCTCTATCAAGTTTGGTAAATAAACAAACCATGTTATGCACCTCTGATAAAATCAAGTTTCTAAACCTGCAAAATAAAGTGTGATGGAAAGAAATATTACCCTGCCCCCTGGTGACTCTGCCAGAACACATCCTCCCTTGGAGACTCAGCCTCTAACATGTGATCCATCTTACTTGTACAGCACACAAACAAACCAGAGAATGAAATTTCAGAAAAATCTCTTTGAAACCTCTTCTCCATTCACAGAAACAGTCCTGAACCTACTCCTCTCGAGCTCCATCTGTGTTCCCAGGGAGCCAGCCTGCTGAGATGCCTCTGTCCTCCAGGATAACCCTTATCACTGCAAGGAGGCTTCTCAAGGCTCTGTTAGCATTTTTTACTTCTAACCCACAGATTGCACATCAGCAATACAAATGTGCCCATAGTGAGCCTACAAATGGTGTAAGGCTCTGAAGAGCACAGAGTGACACTTTATTGGTAATAAAATCCCAAGCTAACTGGAGAGAAAGCATGAAAGCTTCTCAATCTGCTAGAGAAGGGGGAAAAACAAATCAAATAAGGTAAATTTTTCCTGTACCCCACTCCACTCACATTTTTTTAAAGCTTGATTTTTGCAAAGAGAAAGGCTCTTAAATTCTACAATTAAAAATCATGAAAGAGACAAAGGGAAAGAGTGAGACAAAGAAACAGAGACACAGAGAGACAAAGAGAGAAGAGATGTCCAACAGAGATGTAGTTGGAGAAGTCAGTGGGTCTGTAACTCCGAGTTCTATGACTTCCTTGGACCCAAATCAGAGGATGTCCATCAAATGCATTACTGATGCAGGATTTTTCTCGACCGCTTTGTTGGATTTGCGACGGGGGTGCCCCATTTACTCAGCCCATGGTGCTCAACCCCTTGCAGGAGGAAGCATGTGAGCAAGTGAGTGGAGGATCCAGCCGGCCATTTGGCCGCTAGCAGGAGCAAGCTCCATGTGGGCCCTGCAGCCAAACCAGGTGTGAGCAAATGAGTGCGGGATCCAGCTGGCTGGTTTGGCCACTGGCAGGAGCAAGCTCCATGGGGACCCCGCAGCAGCACCCAGGTGGGGGCGCCTGTGACCCCGAAGCTCCAGAGGGCATGTTACAGTGCTCTCTTAGATCCACCATCCATGGACAGCAGTGTGTTATCAGCTCATTGGGCCCCTTGCCTCATTGCATGGGGCAGCTGCCCTCTGCCAGCAAGGGCAAAGAGCCAGTATGAAAGCCTTTTCTGGGTACCTGTATTCAGTGGGTCCTGTGCTCTCGTCTGGCATCAAAGAAGAATGAGGTTGCACAGACACTTGAAAGATGGTGGAGGCAGAGAATTTTATTTAGTGGTGGAAGTGGCTCTCAGCGAGAGGGAAGCTAGAGAGGGGGCAGGATGGGCAGGTAATCTTTCCCCAGAGTCTGGTCATCTTCGGCTGGCTCTTCCCTGAAGTCAAACTGCCTCTCTGAAGCCAAGCCATCTCTACTCCAAAGTCCAGCCTTCCCTCTGAAGCCAAGTTGCCCCTCTCCCTTCTATATCAACTGAGCCTGGGGTCTTTATAGGCACACGATGTGGAGGGGGCGGGGCAAGGCAGGCCATGTGTAGTTTTGGAAAAAGCAACATTCAATTGGTAAAAAGACATTATCCAGAAAGAACCAATTGGGAGAAAGTGGGCAAACAGGGATAGAAGTTCTCACTTTGGACTGCAGGCTTCAGGCTTTTCAGCTGAAAGGTGGTGTTTCACTGGGAACCTGCCCCTGTCTGCCTAGAATTTCTCTGCTTCCTGCCTCTATCATTACTATCCAGATATTAAGAATGATGTACATTCTACTTGACATGGAAAGACATTTATGACATTGAGTAAAGAGAAGAGTTACAAATTAATATCATTCTATATTAATGTATTCTTATTGTGGTAAAATATACATAAAATTTACCATTTTAAGTGTACAACTCAGTGACATTAAGTGCATTCACATTATTGTGCAAAAATCACCACTATCCATTTCCAAAACTTTTTCACCATCCTAAACTGAAATTCTGTACCCATTAAAAAATAACTCCCCAACAAAGGAATGCTTATACACTGTTGGTGGCAGTGTAAATTAGTTCAGCCACTGTGGAAGACAATGTGGTGATTCCTCAAAGACCTAAAGACAGAAATGCCATTTGGCCCAGCAATCCTATTACTGGGTATATACCCAAAGGAATATAAATAATTCTATTGTAAAGACATGTGCACATGTATGTTTATTACAGCACTATTCACAATAGCAAAGACATGGAATCAACATAAATGTCCATCAGTGACAGACTGGATAAAGAAAATGTGGTACGTATACACCATGGAATACTATGCAGCCATAAAAAGGAATAAGTTCATGTCCTTTGCAGGAACATGGATGAAGCTGGAAGTCATTATTCTCAGCAAACTAACACAGGGACAGAAAAACAAATACCACATGTTCTCACTTGTAAGTGGGAGCTAAATGATGAGAACATATGAACACATAAAGGAGAGCAACACACACTGGGGCCTTTCAGAGGGTGGAGGGTGGGAGGAGGGAGATCAGGAAAAACAACTAATAAGTATTATGCTTAATACCTGGGTGATGAAATAATCTGTACAACAAGCCCCCATGACACAAGTTTACCTATATAACAAACCTTCATTTGTGCCCCTGAACTTAAAAGTTAAAAAATAAGTCCCCTTTAATTTTTTCCCTCATTCCCATAACCAATCTTCTACTTTCTGTCTCTATGAATTTGACTATTCTAGGTATAGCCTGTAAGAAGAATCATACAGTATTTGTTGTTTTGTGTCTAGATTATTTCATTTAGCATCATGTCTTGAAGGTTCATCCATGTTCCACAGGTTGAATATGCCTTATCGAAAATGCCTGGGACCAGAAGTGTTATAGATTTTGGAATATTTGCATTATATAATTACCCAGTTGAGCATCCCAAACCCTAAAATGCTCCAATGAACATTTCCTTTGCATGTTACATTAGCACTCGAAAAGTTTTGAATTTTGGAGCATTTCAAATTTTAAATTTTCAGATTTGTGATGCTCAACCTGTAGCATGTATCAGAATTCCATTCCTCTTTAAGGTTAAATACTATTCCATTATCTGTGTATTCCACATTTTGTTTATCCATTCATCCATAGATGGACACTTGGGTTGTTTCTACCTTTTGGCTATTGTGAATAATGCTGCTCAAACATGGGTATACAAATACATATTTGAGTTTCTGCTTTTAATTCTTTAGGGTATATACCTAGAACTGGAATTATTGGTGCATATAGTAATTCTGTTTAATTTCTGAGGAACTGTCATACTGTTTTTCACCACAGCTTCTATATTCATATTTTTTAACTATTTGTAAAGCACATACAAAATGTTTTACACACAAAATGTTAACAGTAATTTTTGGACTGTGAAATTATGGGTTAATTTCCCCCTAAGTATTAGCTGTCTATTGATATATAACATATTGCCCCCAAATGTAGTAGCTTAAAGCTACAAACATTTATTATCTCATAGAGTTTCTGAGAAGCAATTAAGTTGGTTGGCTCTGATTCAGGATCTCTAGTAAGGTTGTAGTTAAGGTGGCAGCTGGGGCTAGAGGATCCTCTTCAAAGTTCAGTCTTATGGCTGCTGGCAAGAGGCTTTAGTTCCTCACCACAGAAACCTCTCCATAAGGCTGCTGATGACATGATTTCCTCCAGAGCCAGTGATCCAAGAGAGACAGATTGAGAGAAGGAGAGACCAAGACAAAAGCTGCAATGCCTCTCTTCTTCTTCTTTTTGTTTGTTTGTTTGTTTGTTTGTTTTTGGAGTCAGGGTCTTGCCCTGTCACCCAGGCTGGAGTGCAGTGGTACAATCATGGCTCATTGCAGCCTTGAACTCCTGGGCTCAAATAATCCTCCCACCTCAGCTTCCTGAGCAGCTAGGAGTACAGGTACATGCCACCATGCCAAGCTAATTTCTACTTTTTTTTTTTGTAGAGACAGGGTCTAGCTATGTTGCCTATGCTGGTCTCAAACTCCTGGCCTCAAGTGGATCACTCACCTTGGCCTCCTAAAGTGCTGGAATTATAACCATGAGCCACCATTCCCAGCCTGCTGTATCTTTTATAAACTAGTTGTCAGCATTAACACATTACTTTCGCATATTCATTGTACATACAAGACAACTCAGGTATAATGTAGTAAGAGACTGTCTAAGAGTATGAATATCTGGAGGTGGGGCCATCTTGGAGTCTGGCTACCATACCACATTGATCTATATTTTCAAATTTAACTAAAATGCATATCTTTAGTGACACGACACATATAAAAAGGGAGGATTCTGAGGAAGTGACAAAGTAGGAAGCACCAGGAATCTGTCACCCCACCTAGACAACAATTTCACTGGCAGAATATATCGGATGTAGCTATTTTGAAGCTCTGGAGTCTATTGAAGGATTAAAACTCCAGAGGAAGGCTTAGACAGTGAAGAGCATTTAATTCTGATCAATTTTAACTCTTAGCACAGTAGCAGCTACCCGTCTCTCACCTTCAGCCCCATGGCAGGTAGCCATGCCTGTAATATTGCACACATGTCCTTGGAGTAGCTTGCAAAAAGCTTGCAGGAGCTAGGATGAACATAAAGGGCTCTGTCATCCAAACATCAGAGATTTCCATTCTAATCACTGATTGCTGCTCCTGATCACAGAGGTGCAGACAAAAAGAAGACTGGCCACTGCTGTTCTACTTCCCGCCCCCCGCCACCATTGTTGCCAACCCCTCCATCTCTGGCTGAAGTGACTTCCAGGGAATTTAAAAGGCAATTGTCCTTTCTTCCCCTTCCTTTCATGTTTTTTTCCCCACTTTCAGGGGCTAGACATTAAAGACTAGAACATTCAAAAGCAACTGCATATACAAGGAAAATTAGAAAGAGACCACACATGCCCAGGGAAAGGTGCAGGATCAGAAAAGACCTTAGAAAGACCTTAAGTTTACACCTCAGGCTGATCCTTGGCAGAGAGAACCTACAAAAATTAAAAAAACCAAACCCCATAAATAACAAATGAAACAATAGCAAACCACAGGGAAAGAGGAGAATCTGATTGTCAGAGGTATTACATTATTAGTTTCGAATGTCCAGTTAAAAATATTACAAGGTCATACAAAGAAACAGGAAAGTGTGACCATTTCAAAGGAAAAAAAATAAATCAACAGAAACATCCCCCCTAAAAAAGACCTGATGGCAGATTTACTAAATGAAGACTTTAAAACAACTGTCTTAAGGATGCTCAAAGGACTAATAGGATGTGGAGAAAGTCTAGAAGGCATGGCTGGGTGCAGTGGCTCACACCTGTAATCTCAGCACTTTGGGAGGCCAAGGCAGGTGGATCACTTGAGCTTAGGAGTTTGAGATAAGCCTGGGCAACATGGCAAAACCCTGTTTCTACAAAAAAAAAAAAAAAAAGTGCTGAGTGCAGTGGCCACACCTATAGCTCCAGCTACTTGGGGGTCTGAGACAGGAGGATCACTTGAGCCTGGGAGGCAGAAGTTGCAGTGATCTGAGGTCATGCCACTGCACTCCAGCCTGAGCGACAAAGTGAGCAGTCCCTGTCTCCAACCAACCAACCAACCAACCAAAAAAAAGAAAGTCAAGAAAGCAGAAGAAAGCAACATATGAACAAAATGAAAGTATCAAAAGGATATTAAAAACCTAAAAGGAAACCAAAAAGAAATTCTGGAGCCAAAATATATAACTAAAATTAAACATTTATTAGAGGGATTCACAGTTAGATTTAAGCAAGCAAAAGAAAGAATCAGTGAACTTGAAGATAAGATGATAGAAAATATCAAGTCTGAGGAACAGAAAGAAAAAAGATTGAAAAAAAAAAGCAGAGTCCAAAGGACCTGTGGGATACCACCAAGTGGACCAACATACATATTGTGGGAGTCCAAGAAACAGAAGAGAGAGAGAAAGAGGCAGAGAGAATATGTGAAAAAATAATGGCTGAAAACTTTCCAAATTTGTTGAAAACCATGAATATAAACATTCAAGAAGATTAACAAACTACAAGTAAGATGAACTCAAAAGGAACCACACCAAGACACATTATAATCAAACTTTCAAAAGACAAAGAGAATCTTGAGAGCAGCAAGAGACAAAGAACTCTTCAAATACAGTGGACCCTCAATTAGATTATCAGCAAATTCCAAATCAGAAACTTTGGAGGTAAGAAGGCAGGGGCTAATATACTCAATGTGCTAAAAGGAAAAAACAACATCTGTGAACCAAGAATCCCATATCTGGCAAAACTATCCTTCAAAAGTGAGGGAGAAATTAGGGTGTTCTCAAATACACAAAAGCTGAAGGAGTCTGTTACTAGTAGACCTGCCCTGTGAGAAATGCTCAAGGAATTCTATAGGGTGAAATTACAGCACAGCAGATAGTAACTCAAAGCTGTATAATGGAATAAAGATATCAGTAAAGGTAAATAACATGAGCAATGATAAAAGCTAATATATTGTAACAATGCTTTGTAATTCTACTTTTTGTTTTCTACATGATTTAAGAGATTAATACATATTAAAAAACAATTATTAGTCTAAAAATTAGAATTATTGTAATGTTGATTTGTAACTTCACACTGTTTTCCACATAATTTAAGAGATTGGTGCATTTAGAAGAATTATTAGTTTATGTTTTGGGGTATGCAATGTATAAGGATGTAATTTTGTGACATCACTAAGGAGATAAAAGCAAAGCTGTAAAGGAGCAGACTTTGTGTATGTTATTGAAGTTAAACTTTTATAAAATCACATTAGAGTGCTATAACTTTAGGATGTTAAATGTAATCCCCATGGTAACCACAAAGAAAATAGCTATAGAATATACGCAAAAGGAAATGAGAAAGGAATGTAAACATTTCAATATAAAAATAAGCTAAACATAAAATAAGAGAGTAATGCAGAAAATAAAGATCAAAAAGCTATAAGGGAGATAATAAATAACATTATGACAGAAGTAAGTCCTTCCTCATCAGCAACTACTTTAAATACAAATGGCTTAAACTTTCCAGTGAAAAGACAGAGATTAGCAGAAGGGATTAAAAACACATGATCTAACTATTTGCTGTCTACAAGAGACTCATTTTAGATCCAAAGACACAAATAGATTGAAAGTGAAAGAATGGAAAAAGATATTCCATGAAAATAGTAGCTGAAAGAGAGCAGAGGTGGTTATATTAACATCAGACAATATAGACTTTAATTTTTTAAACTTACAAGAGTTAAAGGACATTATATATTAATAAAAGGTTTAATACATCAAGAAGACATAATCATTATAAACATGTATGCACCTAATGACAGACTATTAAAATATATGAAGCGGCCGGGCGCGGTGGCTCACGCCTGTAATCCCAGCACTTTGGGAGGCCGAGGCGGGTGGATCATGAGGTCAGGAGATCGAGACCACCCTGGCTAACAAGGTGAAACCCCGTCTCTACTAAAAATACAAAAAATTAGCCGGGCGCGGTGGCGGGCACCTGTAGTCCCAGCTACTCGGCAGGCTGAGGCAGGAGAATGGCGTGAACCCGGGAAGCGGAGCTTGCAGTGAGCCGAGATTGCGCCACTGCAGTCCGCAGTCCGGCCTGGGCGACAGAGCAAGACTCCATCTCAAAAAAAACAAACAAAAAAAAATATATATATATATATATATATGAAGCATAAACAGAATTCAAGGGAGAAATAAGATAGTTCTACAATAATAGTTGGACACTTCAATAGCCCACTCTCAATAATGAATAGGTCACCAGAGAAAAGAAAAGTAGGGAAATAGAAGACAAACATCACAATAAATGAATTAGATCTAGCAGACATATGCAGAACACTCTACCTAACAACAACAGCATGCACATTTTTCTCAAGTGCACATGGGGCATTTTCCAAAATAGACTATATGTTAGGCCACAAATTAAGTCTCAATAGATTTAAAAGGATAACTATCATAAAAAGTATTTTCTGGCCGGGCATGGTGGCTCACACTTGTAATCCCAGCACTTTGGGAGGCCGAGGCAGGCAGACCACAGGGTCAGGAGATCAAAACCATCCTGGCTAACATGGTGAAACTCCATCTGTACTAAAAATACAAAAAAATAGCCGGGCATGGTGGCACGTGCCTGTAGTCCCAGCTACTTGGGAGGCTGAGGCAGGAGAATCGCTTGAACCCACTAGGCAGAGGTTGCAGTGAGCCAAGATTGTGCCACTGCACTTCAGCCTGGGCAACAGAGTGAGACTCAGTCTGAAAAAAAGAAAAAGTATTTTCTCTGACACTAGGAGATGACATTAGAAATTGATAAAGAAGTAAAACTGGAAAATTAAAAATTTGTGGGAACCAAAAAATGCATTATTAAACAACCAATGGAACAAAGAGGAAATCACAGGAACATTTGAAAATACTTAGATATAAATTTTAAAAAAGACACCATTCCAAAAACTTAAGGGATGAAGGGAAAGCAATGCTAAGAAGGAAACTTATAGCTATAAATACTTACATTAAAAACAAGAAAGATCTCAAATCAAAAACCTAACTTTACAACTAAACCCAAAGCTAGTAGAAGGAAGAAAAAATAATACTAGAGCAGAGATAAATAGAAACTAGAAAACAATAAAGAAAATCAGTGAAACCAAAAGTTGATTCTTTGAAAAGAGAAAAAAAATTGAAATACTTTTAGCTTGATAGACAAAAAAAAGAACAGAAAAGTCTCAAATTACTAAAATTAAAAATAAAAGGGGAACTTACTACTGATTCAGTATTATTCTTTTTAAGAAATAAAAAAGATTATTAGAGAGTACTATGAACAATTGTACACCAACAAACTGGATAATCTAAATGAAATGAGGAAATTCTCAGAAACTCAAAAACTACCAGGTCTAAATCATAAAGAAATAGAAAACCTGAATAGACCTATAACTAGTAAGGAGATTGAGTCAGTATTAAAAAAAATTCCTAAGCAAAGAAAAGCCCTGGACCTGGTGGCTTCACTGGGGAATTTTATCAAACAATTAAAGAAGAACTAATACCAGTATTTCTCAAATTTTCCCAAAAAATTGAAAAGTAGGGAACACTTTCTAACTAATTCAGTGAGGCCAGCATTACTCTGATACCAAAGCCAAAGACACAACAAAAAAAGAAAACTACAGACTAATATTCCTTAAGAATATTGATGCAAAAATTCTCAACAAAATACTAGCAAACCAAATTTAGCAGCATATTAAAAAGATTGTGTATCAAGTGGGATTAATTCTGGAATGCAAGGATGTTTCAGCATGTAATAATCAATGTAATATACCATGTTAAAATAATAAAGAAAAAATACCACAATTATCTCAACAAATGCAGAAAAAGCATTTGACAAAAATCAACCATTTTCATAATAAAAACATTCCAATGAACTAGGAATAGGAGGACATTCCTATTACATATTACCCCAACATAATAAAAGCCATATATGAAAAAATTTAAAATAAGCATCATACTCAATGGTAGAAGACAAAAACCTTTCCTCTAAGATCAGGAATAAGGCAAGGATGCCTACCTTCACCGTTTCTACTTAACATAGTACTGGAAGTTCTAGCCTGAAACATTAGTCAAGAAAAAAAATAAAAATCATCCAAACTAAAAAGGAAGAATAAAATCATTTCTGTTCAAAGATAATATGATATGCAGAAAATCCTAAAGATTTCACAAAAAGCTTTTAGAGCTAATAGAGGAATTATTCACAGTAGTAGGATACAAAGTCAACATACAAAAATCAGTTGGATGTCTACATACTGACAATGAACAATCTGCAAAGCAAATTACAAAAGCAATTCCATTTATGGTAATATCAAAAATAATAAAATACTTAGGAAATAACCAAGGAGGTGAAAGACTTGTACAATGAAAACTATAAAATATTACTGAAAGAAATTAAAGACCTAAATAAATTGAAACACATCCCATGTTTGGATAAAACTGTTAAGATGTCAATATAACCCAGAGCAATCTATAGATTCAATGCAATCTCTATCAGTATACCAATGACTTTTTTTTACAGAAATAGAAGAACCCATTCTAAAATTCATATAGAATCTCAAGGGACCCCAAATAGCCAAACATTCTTGAAAAATTACAAACCCGGAGGACTCACACTTCCTGATTTCAAAAGTTACTACTATGTTATTGGCATAAAGACAGACAAATAGACCAATGGAATAGAATACAGAACACAGAAATAAACCCTTATATGTATCATCAAATGATTTTTGACAAGGCTGCTAAGACCACTCAATGAGGAAAGAACAATCATTTCAACAAATGATGTTGAGAAAACTGAATATCCACATGCAAAAGAATGGAGTTGGACCCTTACCAAATATCATATGCAAAAATTAACTCAAAATGGACCAAGGACCTAAATGTAAGAACTAAACTATAAAATTCTTAGAAGAAAACATAGGGCAAAAGTTTTGAAACACTGGTTTGGCAATGATTTCTTGAATATGATACCAAAGGCACAGGCGACAAGAGAAAAATAGACAAATTGGATTTTATGAAAATTTTAAAATTTTGTAAATCAAAAGACAGTATCAACAGAGTAAAAAGGCAAACCACAAATAGAAGAAAATATTTGCAAATCATATATCTGATAAGAGATTAATGTCCAGAATATATAGAGAACTCTTAAAACTCAACAGCAACAACAACAAAAAACTAATTCAAAAGTGGGCAAAGGACTTGAATAGACATTTCTCCAAAGAGAATAATCAAATGGCCAATAAGCACATGAAAAGATGCTCAGCATCACTAATCATTAGAGAAATACAAATCAGAATTATAATAAGATACCACTTTACACTTGCTAGAAAGGTTACTATCAAAAAACAGAAAATAAGTGTTGGTGAGGATGTGGAGAAAGTGGAAAATTGGAACCCTTGAGCACTGCAAGTGGGAATGTAAAATGGTATAGCTACTTGGAAAACAGTATGGAAGTTCCTGAAAAAATTAAAAACAGATAACCATACAATCCAGCAATTTCACGTCTTGGTATATGTCCAAATAATTGAACACAAAATTTTAGGGAAATTTATCACCCATGTTCAGAGCAGCACTACTCACATTTGCTAAAACACGGAGCAGCCCAAGTGTCCATTCAACAGATGAATGGATAAGCAAATTGTGGCATATACATACAATAAAATACTATTCAGGCTGAGAAAGGAAGGAAATTCTGACATATGCTACAACATGGATGAACTATGAGCATATGATGCTAAGTGAAATAAGCCAGTCACAAAAAGAAATACTGCCTGATCTCATTTTTATGAGGTATTTAGAGTTGTCAAAATCATAGAAACATATAGACTGGTTGCCAGGGGCTGGGGAGTGGGAGACATAAGGAGTTACTTTTCGATATGTGTAGAGTTTCAGCTTTACAAGATGAAAATCAGTTATGGAGCTGGATGGTGATGATTATTAAACATTATGAATATGTTTCATACCACTGAATTGTACAGTTAAAAATGGCCAAGATGGTAAATTTTATGTTAGGTGTGTTTTAAGATGATTATGAAGTGTAACTGCTGTTAAGACCCACAGAAAAATGCCTACACTCAGTAAAACATTTCCAAGCATTGAAAAACAAACCAGTAAAAATACCAGGATTTACTCAACTTTTGTCTGACTTCATAAAAGACAGATTGATCAGGAAATGTTTTCATTGAGGAACACTTTACTCCTATCACTCAGGTTGTTCTGGCCTCATCTTTAACCTTCAGCTTCAAACAGAAGCCCGGGATGTCTTATGGTTCCAGGAGGACCCTGAGCAATTCTATGGCAGTGCTAGCACAAAGTCCAGAGGCTTCAGCAGAGGTAAATCTGCAAGGCATCTCTGGGGTAGCCTGCTACCATGGTCCCTGTCTTTGGTTTATCTTTTGTTGAGGGCTGAAATGTGACAGCTTTACTGAAGGAATGAATAAAGCTAACACTTTATCCACAAAATCTGACTATCCCTGGAAGAGGTAACACATCATAGCTTTATTGGTCACAATTTAAAGATATTTAAACACTTCTAACAAAATTTTAAATTATAAAATATATATCATAAGATGTATAGAAACAAAAATATAAAGGACAAAATTCATCCCCTAATTCTAGCAATAAACAGCGTGATTGGGTTTTGGAGTTGGGTAAGCTTGGATCCAAACCCTGGCTCTGACATTGAGTAGCTGTGCAATCTGGGGAGAGTTACTGACCTTCTTGGAGGCCACAGTTTCTTCATCTAAGAAATGGTATATATTTATAATATCCCCAAACCATAAACAACTTAAATGTCCATCATCTGGCAAATGGATAGACAAAAGCTGGTATATTCACTATACTGGGAGATTTTCTCAGCAATAAAAAGGAATAAACTGCTGACATGTGCTATGAAATAGACAAAACTCAAAACCATTACACTAAGTGAAAGAAGCCAGGTACAAAAGACCAAGGGACCACATAATGTATAATTCCATTTATATAAAATGTCCAGAAAAGGCAATATAGAGACAGAAATTAAATTAGTGATTGTCTGGGGCTGGGAGTAGAAATGAGGATTAAATGTAAATAGACACGAAGGAGCTTAGTAGGGAAATAAAAAATTATAAAACTGGACTATGGTGATGACTGCATTTCTTGGTAAGGTTACTAGAAATCACTGAATTGTATTGAAATAGATGAATTCTGTGATATGTAAAATATGCCACAATAAAGCTGTTTAAATAAAAAGGATGAAAACTGGTCATCCACTTATAATAGTCTGTGCTAAAAAAATAAAAGTATTCATGGTAATGGTTTAAAAAAAGATATAATCTCATCCTATGGTTAATGTTTAAATAAGGATATCTATAAAACACTAAATGCAGGGTCTGGCACATGTAAATACACAAACTGTTGACTGTTATAAGAATAGGGAAAGATCAGCCACTGTGAACATGAAAGGAAATACAATAAAAGGAAATACAATACAAGGTATTTTTTCTAATGCATGCATATTTCATGTAGGCCAGAGCATTTTGTATTAGTCCTAGCTTGCCTTTATTCTATTTACCATAATTGCTGTATTATTATGCTTTTCTTTTCTTTCTTTTCTTTTTTTTTTTTTTCTGAGACAGAGTCTTACTCTGTCACCCAGGCTGGTGTGCAGTGGCGTGATCTCAGCTCACTGCAACCTCTGCCTCCTGGGTTCAAGTGATTCTCCTGCCTCAGCCTCCTGAGTAGCTGGGATTACAGGCATGTGCCACCACAGCCGGCTAATTTTTGTATTTTTAGTAGAGACGGGGTTTTGCCATATTGGTCAGGCTGGTCTCAAACACCTGACCTCAGGTGATCTGCCCGCCATGGCCTCCCTAAGTGTTAGGATTACAGGCATAAGCCACCGTGCCTGGCTTATTATGTTTTTCTTAAGCACTCCATGATGATATAGAGCATGATAGGGCTAAACATAACTTAAACATTTACTGATGGGTACTTAGCTTTTACAATTTGGCTAGCTCTTATTTATTTATTTATTTTTATTTAATTTATTTTTTTTATTTCTGTTATACTTTAAGTTCTGGGATACATGTGCAGAATGTGCAGGTTTGTTACATAGGTATACGCATGCCATGGTGGTTTGCTGCACCCATCAACTCATCATCTACATTAGGTATTTCTCCTAATGTTATCGCTCCCCTAGCGCCCACCCCCCGACAGGCCCCGGTGTGTGATGTTCCCCTCCCTGAGTCCATGTGTTCTCATTGTTCAACTCCCACTTATCAGTGAGAACATGTGGTGTTTGGTTTTCTGTTCCTGTGTTAGTTTGCTGAGAATAAAGGTTTCCAGCTTCATCCATGACCCTGCAAAGGACATGAACTCATCCTTTTTTATGGCTGCACAGTATTCCACATTGTTTATGTGCCACATTTTCTTTATCCAGTCTATCATTGATGGGCATGTGGGTTAGTTCCAAGTCTTTGCTATTGTGAACATTGCTGCAATAAACATACGTGTGCATATGTCTTTATAGTAGAAAGATTTATAATCCTTTGGGTGTATACCCAGTAATGGGATTGCTGGGTCAAATGGTATTTCTGGTTCTAGATCCTTGAGGAATCACTGCACTGTCTTCCACAATGGTTGAACTAATTTACACTCTTGCCAACAGTGTAAAAGCATTCCTATTTCTCCAGATCCTTTCCAGCATCTGTTGTTTCCTGACTTTTTAATGATCACCATTCTAACTTGTGTGAGATGGTATCTCATTGTGGTGTTGATTTGCATTTCTCTAATGACCAGTGATGATGAACTTTTTTTCAAATGCTTTTTGGCTGCATAAATGTCTTCTTTTGAGAAGTATCTGTTCATATCCTTCACCCACTTTTTGGTAGGGTTGTTTGTTTTTTCTTATAATTTTGTTTAAGTTCTTTGTAGATTCTGGATATTAGCCCTTTGTTAGATGGATAGATTGCAAACATTTTCTCCCATTCTGTAGGTTGCCTATTCACTCTGATGATAGTTTCTTTTGCTGTGCAGAAGCTCTTTAGTTTAATTAGATCCCATTTGTCAATTTTGGCTTTTGTTGCCATTGCTCTTGGTGTTTTAGTCATGAAGTCTTTGCCCATGCCTATGTCCTGAATGGTATTGCCTAGGTTTTCTTCTAGGGTTTTTATGGTTTTAGATCTTACATTTAAGTCTTTAATCCATCTTGAGTTAATTTTTGTATAAGGTATAAGCAAGGGGTCCAGTTTCAGTTTTCTGCATATGGCTAGCCAATTTTCCCAACACCATTTATTAAATAGGGAATCCTTTCCCCATTGCTTGTTTTTGTCAGGTTTGTCAAAGATCAGATGGTTGTAGATGTGTGGCGTTATTTCTGAGGCCTCTGTTCTGTTCCATTGGTCTATATATCTGTTTTTGTACCAGTACTATGCTGTTTCGGTTACTGCAGCCTGGTAGTATAGTTTGAAGTCAGGTAGCACGATGCCTCCAGCTTTGGTCTTTTTGCTTAGGATTGTCTTGACTATATGGGCTCTTTTTTGGTTCCATATGAAATTTAAAGTAGTTTTTTCTAATTCTGTGAAGAAAGTCAATGGTATCTTGATGCGGATGGCATTGAATCTATAAATTACTTTGGGCAGTATGGCCATTTGTTACTGTGGATCAACCTACATGGGGAAGTGTTGGATAATCGCTATGCCATTTGTCAAGTGGACATATCCATTAAGTGTAAACCCAGAAGGTTATCATCATTCATTATGAAACATCCATATTTGCATTAATTCTTATTGTGGGTAAGAATTCCCTACTCTATCTAGACTTTTGTTCTCTGAAAACTAAATTTTGAGAACCTCTTCCTAAAAATTATTTATTAACATGGAGGGAAAGTGTTCATTTTTTAAAATCGGTGTCAGTAAAAAGTAGATATATTTGAGAAGGTTCTTAAAGATGCAATGTGTTAAATTAAAAATAATTGAAAAACTGATCTTCGAAGATGACACTAGTTGTGTAACTTTGGGAAAGTTATTTTACTTCTAAGTCTGTTTCCTCATCTATAAAACAGGAAAAAAATTGCATCTTTACCCTAGACCTATATGACAGCTATAAGAAATTGTAAGTCACCAAGCCCATTAAAAATACTCAGAGATTCCTTTATTCTTAGGACAAGGAAACTAAATGGTAGGTCAAGTGACTTAATTTTCTGTAGATTCTACTCAGGCAGGAAAATGTAAAAATAGTAAGTAATTATTAATAATATTTACTGTTTATTGCTCAAAAAAACTGTGCTAGGTCCTTTTATCATCTTATTAAACCTTCACAACACTGGTTGTTACTCCCATTTCAATGATGAGGAAATTGAGGTTTGAAGAAATTATCCTGCTTTTCACACAGAGAGTCAGATGCTTCCCTGTGACTCATTTCTGGTGTTTCTTCCATGCAATTAAATGCCCAATTTGTTAGACTTGTTATCCAATGGCCTGCTTGACATGTCCACTTAGATGACTAATAGGCATCTCAAACAAGATGAAAAGCAAGATTCTGGCCTTGCCTCCAAATCCTGATGTTCCTACAATCTTCCAGACTCCATCAATCTAGGTGCTCAAATCAAAAACCTTGGAGTCATCCTCAACTTCCTCAAACCCCACTCTTATATTTAATAGAACCTGCCAACTCTGTCTTCAATTATATCTAGATTCTGAACAACTTCTTACCTTTCCAAGCTACCACTCTGGCTGAAGCTGCCAATGACTCTCACCTATATTAAATATCCTACTATGTGGTTCATTTCTGTCCTTGTGCCTCTTCAGCCTACTTGTACAAAGCTGCTAGAATGATCCTGCTAAGATAAAGATTTGTCCACATCTCTCTGCTCAAAACCTTTCCCTGGATTCCTGTGTGACTCAGGGTAAGAACCACAGTGCTTTTGAGGGTTCACACAACTGATGTGGCTCTCAATACCACTGATCACAATTTCTACTCCTCCCCCATGGCTCACTCCATTCCAGCCACACCAGCCTCCTCACTGTCTCCTCTGAGAGGGCTGTTCTGACTCCAGATTCCACCATGGCTCACTTCCTCACTTCCTTCAGGCTTTATGCAAAAGCTGCCTTCTCCAGGAGGACATCCTTCATTACCCTACCTAAAATCTCAACACCCTAATTCATTCACTTCCCTATTTCTGCTTCATTGGTTTCTTTTGCACTTATTACCAATATGCTGCATGTTGTACTTACTTCTCTTGTTTGTTTCACCTTGCTAGAATGTAATTTCCATGGGGCCCAGGAATTTGGTCTGTTTTGTTCTCTGATGTGTTTCCAGTGCCTAACACATGGTGGGCACACCATAAATATTTGTTGAATCAGTGTGTGAGTTTGTAACTGACTTGTGCTTTGCTCCACCCCTGCTGTCTTCCATCTTACCTCATACCGCACATGAGAGTATCCTTTGCAGACACTTAAACTTTTCTGCACATTACCACCTGTGACTTTCAAGAGGTATAACAGGACTATCCTTAGAGTTTTCTAAAACCCATTTCAGGCTCTCCTCCAGATTTTATTGAGGAGTCTGGGTCACATGAAAATATCTAGTCCAACCTCTGGCAAAAGGGCATGGGACTACCATAACTGTAGTGGTTTAATCATGATTTATTCCCTGAAGCTGGGCAGATTGCTGCAAGCAATTAGAAAGAAGAGGATGAATTTTATGTAGGAAAATAAGCATCTGCCAAATCCACTGAATCACGATTTCCTGTCTGTGAACACATTTGAACTTCAATATATTTATGTGGAAAGATAGACAGGAATTCTGACCATTTTACAGAGAAGGGAACGAAAGTACAGAGATTCCCCAACATGCCAAGGTCATGTCATAAATCAGAGGAGGTCCAGTGTATTCTACACAAGTTCTGGGTTCTAGAGAAGAAGAGTAGAGCAGGAGTCAGAGACCCAGAGATTCTTTCTCAATCTGCACAAAAAAATTGTATGACCCCAAAGGGGTTCTGACCGCTCACAGCCTCAGTTTCCCCATCTATAAAATGAAAATAAAGTCTCTTTCTTTCTCCAGAACTGTGTTGGGGCTGATTAATCATTAAGAATCTTTTCTTATCTGTTGAATTTCAGCTCAAGCTGAAGTGTGTTGGTGGACTTCGAACTTTGCAGAGCCAGAAGAGAAGAATTAGATTTATTCCTCCTTTCGTTCTGAAAGTAAATACAAAAGGATGGTCTTTTTAAACCTTTGTATGTTCCCCAGGCTTTCCTCTGGGTTGTGTCTCTAAACCCTTCTAGATCTAGGTTTGACATTTGAGGAACACAGGTGTTCCTCGGCAGGTTGTCTGTTCCTCATTTAGAGATCAATCTCCTTGTGCCTCCACAGCTGGAAGCTTCCATTGCACAGTCCAGTTGCAGAGCCCACTGCAGTGTTCTTCATAGCTTGAGAGCTCTCCTATCCTAAGGCATTGCTGGCCAGGGTCCCGGTACACACAGTTGCCAGGCTACATTCATTCTAAATTCTGCTGTTGTGTTTCTCACTCCTATGCACAGTTTCCAATATGTTGCCTAAGAGAGTCAAGTTTTTCTGTTGAAGGAGTGGCTTTACGGGAGCAATGGGAAGAAAATGTTGTTTAATAATTTAGAGTACATTGCATTCTAAGTTCTATACCCATATGATGCATTTCCAACCTTCTAACCCCATAGATTCAGATCTTTCATCTTTCTTCAGTGTAAAAATTAATATTCAATAATCCTTCACTTTTGGATTATTTTGGATAGAAATTTAGGGTGCTTCACATACTCTTTCATGCGATTTTACAACTGAGAATAGATTAGGTAACTTGCACAAGGTCATTAAGCTGGTAAATAACAAAATTGAGATTAGATCCCAGGGCTATCAGGCTGCCTCTGACGTATTATATGAGGTACTATAATTTTCATGCATCCAAAATAGACATTTATTTGTACTCTAAGTTACCCATTGTTAGGATCTCAGGTTATATCTTTTCTGAAAAATCTAGAGAGGGAATTTTACTTGAAGAGAGCTGCTTACAAATTTTATTACTTAAACTAGGGGTTGGCAAACTTTTTCTGTTAAGGGCCAGGTAGTAAATATTTTAAGCTTTGTGGGCCAGATAAACTTTGTTGCAACTACTCAGCTCTGTAGTGGTAGTGAGAAAGCAGCCATAGACAATATGTAAACAGATAAGCATGGCTCTGTTTCAGTAAAAGTTAATTTACAAAAACAAGCAGCAGGCTGGATTTGACTCACAGGCCATTGTTTGCCAACTCCTGAACTAGGCTGGGGTTCTATTAGAACCATGCACTCTTTTGCATAATGCTTTCAAAGGTATTAGTGAAAATGTCTCTCATTCTCTTAGTGAAATGGGAAGGTAAATTTTGTTTCACAATATACTCACCTAGTGCTTCAAAAAGATCTCTAAACATTTTCCTCACCAATCAATATACGCCACAAACTTGACTGAAACAGGGAATGTTTCGTATCCCTTATGAGTATACAAGGGATACTTGAGATCATCTAGTCTAAGCCTCTCATTAGAGAAATAATTGGGGGTGAAGAAACAAAGGAAGTTTTTCAACCTCCCATCCAAAAGAAGTACAAGGTACACTTTGGAAGACCAAGAAGCTATGAGTGTTAAGCTTAATGTGTGGTTGGAATCTTGATATTTCTTTGCTAAAGAATAAACTATAACATATAAAATGCATCCTGATAACTTCCTTTTTTAACTTAGTATTATTATAATGAGTTTATTTTTCCTAAAAGGTATTGTAAAGCCTTTAAAAAACTCAGGCAGAAAGGCAGGAAAAACTGCCTTATTTTCCTAGACTTCAGCAAATCTCTTTTTAAAATGTTGCTCTCCTGTGTCCTTTAGTTATTGGCGGAGACACTAAGACCTCTTGTTTTAATACAGCCTCCCACAAGATGCCAGGGGACCTGTCAGTCTGAGTCACAGTGGAATGCAGACAGCACCCTCAGATCAAGATTATTCATGGGGGAGGGAGGGCAGAGTGTTCGGGAATCACAAGGGATAGGGCATTCACCCAAGGAAGCTGTTACCACTCCCAACATATGAAAAGGGATATCTCAGGCCTGAAAGCATGAGCCGAGGCAAACTCTGGAACTTGCAGTGGTGAAAAGAAGGCTTCCTTAAAGTAACACGGCCCTCAGTCACGAGACACAGCTGGCCTATGCCAGACTGTTGTCAGCTTGATACCTCTGCTCCTGTCTGAGGCTGGGAAGTCAGTTTCCTGAATGCCCTTCCCAGTATAGTTCCAAGTTAGGGTTTGCCAAGGAGAGGAATTCAAGTGAAATTTGGAAGGTGAACTTGAGGGAAAAACCATTACTTTTGGGAGGTCATCTTGGTCAGACAGTGACAGAGAGATGTGATGTTTCTGGCAGGCCTCCCCACACTGGCCCTCTCTCTTCCTGCTCTGAATATAGCATGTTTCTCTAAGGGCTGTCACTGCTCACCAAATCAGCCTCAAGCCCACCCTACTTAGCGGCAGCTTCCACAGACTCCTTGACAACCTCCCTTTTCTGGGTCCCACTCAATAACCAAACATGCATTGCTTCGTAGACTGTCTATGATCTCTATCATACTGGGAAGCCCTGATGCCAATGCACTGGCTAGAGTGACTATGATTATCTCTCTGACCCTCTGAATCTGTCATCCAGACTTTCTCATCCCAGTGCCCTCCACCTTTTGCCTAAGCTCTTCTTTCTATATTAAATCCTTTCTTCCTGGGTTATTTGCAGTGATGCTCTTTTCCTGACACCTCTGGATGTTCAGCACCAGGCGACCTTGCAGGAGGGAACCAGGTGAGTAGACACTCTGACCCTGCTCCCCTCCCTCCTTGATTGTCTGGCCAGAACTCTCCATTAGCTGAACAGAACCAAAAGTCAAAGATGAGAGACTTCTGGTGCAGACCACCCAAGTCAGCATCCAGGGCAGACAGATGGGTACAGGGGAAGAAGAGGGGTCTAGGGTGGGTGGAGAGGAGGAAGGACATCTGTGGCACAGACCACTCAATAGTTTTTGCTAGACCAAAATTCCAAGAAAACTTCAGAACATCTTACAATTTCAGCTCTACATATATATGAAAAGGCAAGGTGAGTGGCCTTCTCTGTACTCTCCCTCCCAGTTAAAAAAAAAAAAAAAAGTTGAAGACTTCAAGTTGAATATCTGTGAAAAACTAAGAAACTGAAAAACAACGTGTTTGAGGAATGGCTCCCTTTGTTTTAATCAAACTGAATTTCATGTAACCACATTTTATAAAAAAGACTTTATGTAGAATAATGGTTTCTCTGAACCATCTGTGCTGCGCCTTTATGGAAGAGAGAAAAAAATGATACTGAATTTGTATAAAGAAATTTAAATCAGACACTAAAATAAAAGAAAAAAAATCCATTTTTTCCAAGATCAATTAAAGTAAAAATTTATTCTAGAGAATTCCAGCAGAGTTTGGTAATTCTTCACCTCTTTCTAGTAAGAACCCTGTTAGAAACCATAGGACTCTTTAGAGCAGGGCTGTTCAACAGCAATGCAATGCAAACTACAAATGCAAGCCACATGTGTAATTAAAAATGTTCTAGAAACAACATTTTAAAAAGCAAAACTGGGTAAAATTACTTTTAATAATAGATTTGTGCTTAACCCAAGATATCAAACATTATCATTTTAACATGTACTCAATATTTTAAAATCAGTAATGAACTATTTTATGTTCTTTTTCATGCTAAGTCTTTGAAATCTGAGGTTTGTTTTACACTTACCACACATCTCGATTGAGACTTGACACATTTCTAGTGCTCAGTAGCCACATGTGGCTGATGGCTAGTGTATTGGACAGCATAGCTGTAGAGCATGTATTATTGTCCAATGAAAGTTTCTTTCTCATACAAAAGAATGCAGCATAATGTAAAAGAACACGGGTTACTCTCTGTCTGTGTTTTTCAGGTTTTCACCAGTGTTTCCAGTTCTCCTTTGCTTTTTTTTTGAGACTGAGTCTTGCTCTGTCACCCAGGCTGGAGTGCAATGGTGCAATCTCAGCTCATTGCAACTTCCACCTCCCAGGTTCAAGCAATTCTGCTGCCTCAGCCTGAGTAGCTGGGATTACAGGCACTCATGCCCAGCTAATTTTTGTATTTGTAGTAGAGACGGGGTTTCACCATGTTGACCAGCCTGGTCTCGAACTCCTGACCTCAGGTGATCTGTCCAACTCGGCCTCCCAAAGTGCTGGGATTACAGGCATGAGCCACAGTGCTCGGCCCTCTCCTTTGTTTTTGAGTAGATAGGAAGACTGTCTTCCCTACTCCCTTGAAGTTGGGTGGGCAAAGCCAAATAATTTGCTTTGGCCAATGGAATGTGAGCAGAAGTGATGCACCACTTCTAATTAGCAGCATTTAAGAGCTGGCATGTGCTTATCCAGGCTCTTCTCCTGCCATGATGATTGTGAAAGCTTGTGTTGATATGGAGCTGTCCTGAGATTGAAGCTGCCTGAAAGGCTGAGCCAAAACATGTAGTACAGCTGCCCTACGTGACCAGGATAATAACTTTTGTTCTATGAAATCCCTGCTTCTCTCAGGTGGCCCTTTCAGAGTTCTGATAATAGGTCTTCCCTCTTGCTCTTTCAACCCAGGCAGGGTGGTCACTCTCTGATGTTGCCAGCCAAGGCATTTGGCTTTTCCGGAGCTCTGCCCTCATCTTTGTAAACGGTCCCTTTATCAAACGCTCTTCAATTATACTGTTGACTGTGCCATCTGTTTCCTGTTAGGATTCTGACTGATACAGTATGTTTGCCAAATATAAAATGAGCCTAAAGACAGAATAAGATGAGTACATTCAAGAAATAATTCCTTGAATGACTATAAATCAATTTTCAAAGCAATTTCTAAGATAGTTCCCTCACCAACCACTCTTATCATACAAAATATCCTCTTTATCTTACTTCTGTAAAAATGTGCAGTTATTGCTCACAGTGATTTGTGTTTATGTGTTTAAGGAAATCTGTTTCTTTTTTTCTTTTTTTTTTGAGATGGAGTCTCACTCTGTCACCCACGCTGGAGTGCAGTGGCACGATCTTGGCTCACTGCAACCTCCGCCTCCTGGGTTCAAGAGATTCTCCCACCTCAGTCTCCCAAGTAGCTGGGATTACAGGCACCTGCCACCATGCCTGGCTAATTTTTGTATTTTTAGTAGCGAAGGGGGTTTCACCATGTTGGTCAGACTGGTCTCAAACTCCTGACCTCAAGTGATCCACCTGCTTTGGTCTCCCAGATTGCTGGGATTACCAGCACAAACCACCATGCCCAGCTGGAAATCTGCTTCTTGAACCTGATTGGTCTTCATTTTTACTTTAAATACATGTTAAACATTTACTTACAAATTTGTGTTTGGCAAAATTAGCAACAAATAAAATAACTAGGAATTATAGTTAAAGATCAGCTTCAAAGAGGATTGTATATACAGGCTTGAGCTCCTACCAAGAAGCCTGAGACTTGAAAGAGTTATTGCTGTATTATTTGTTTCTTGTAAAAAGATCAGAAAGTTACAAATAAGCACAAAGAAAGTACAAATAACTCGTCACACAAAGATAATCACTGCTAGTGCATCCAATTCTAAATTTTTAGAAATCAAATATTATTGTTTGAATACAATCTTAATTTGTTAATGTTTGACTAAAGTTTGAACTTATTTCCATATAAATAAATACATTTTTATGCAATTTTTTTAACTTAAGTTCAGGGGTACATGTGCAGGTTTGTTACATAGGTAAACGTGTGTCAGAGGGGTTCATTGTACAGATTATTTCATCACCCAGGTATTAAGCCTAGCACCCATTAGTTGGTTTTCCTGACCTCTCCATCCTCCCACCCTCCACCCTCCAGTAGGCCCCAGTGTGTGTTGTTCCCCTCTATGTGTCCATGTGTTCTCATCATTTAGCTCCAACTTATAAGTGAGACTTGAGGTATTTGGTTTTCTGTGCCTGTGTTAGTTTGCTAAGGGTAATGGCCTCCAGCTCCACCCATGTTCCTGCAAAGGACATGATCTCATTCTCTTTTATGGCTGAATAGTATTCCATGGTGTATATGTAACACATTTTCTTTATCCAGTCTATAATTGGTGAGCATTTGAGTTGATTCCATGTCTCAGCTATTGTGAATAGTGCTGCAATAAACATATGTGTGCATGTGTCTTTATAATAGAAAGTCTCAGAATACAAAATCAATATGTAAAAATCACTAGCATTCCTATACACCAACAACAATCAAGCTGAGAGCCAAATAATGAATGAACTTTTGCTACATTCACAATTGCCACAAAAGAATAAAATACCTGGGGATACAGTTAGCAAGGGAGGGGAAAGATCTCTAAAAAGAGAACAACAAACCACTGTTCAAAGGAATCAGAGATGACACAAACAAATGGAAAAACATTCCATGCTCATGAATAGGGAGAATTGATATCATTAAAATGGCCATACTTCCCAAAGCAATTTATAGATCAATGCTACTCCCTTTAAACTACCATTGACATTCTTCACAGAACTAGAGAAAACTATTTTAAAATTCATACAAAACCAAAAAAGAGACCAAAAGCCAAGGCAACACTAAGCAAAAAGAACAAAGCTGGAGGCATCACACTACTTGACTTCAAACTACACTACAGGGGTACAGTAACCAAAACAGCATGGTACTTGTACAAGAACAGACACATAGACCAATGGAACAGAATATAGAGAACCTGGAAATAAGACTACACACCCACAACTATCTGATCTTTGACCAACCTGACAAAAACAAGCAATACGGAAAGGATTTTCTATTCAATAAATGGTGCTGGGATAACTGGCTAGCCAATATGCAGAAAGCTGAAACTGAACCCTTGGCTTACACCATATACCAAATCAACTCAAGATGGATTAAAGACTTATATTAGTCTGTTCTCACACTGCTAATAAAGACATACCTGACACTGGGTAATTTAAAAAGAAATAGAAGTTTAATGGACTCACAGTTCCACATGGCTGGAGAGGCCTCACAATCATGGCAGAAGGAGAAGGAGAAGCAAAGTCATGACTTACATGGTGGCAGGCAAAGGGAATTTGTAGGGGAACTCCCCTTTATAAAAACCATCAGATCTTGTGAGACTTATTCACTATCATGAGAATGGCATGGGAAAGACCCCCTCCATGATTCAGTTACCTCCCACTGAGTACCTCCCAGACATGTGGGAATTATGGGAGCTACAATTCAAGATAAGATTCGAGTGGGGACACAGGCAAACCATATCATACCACCCCTGACCCCTCCCAAATCTCATGTCTTCACATTTCAAAACCAATTATGCCTTTCCAACAGTCTTCCAAAGTCTTAACTCATTTCAGCATTAACTCAAAAGTCCACAGTCCAAAGTTTCATCTGAGATAAGGCAAGTCCCTTCTGTCTAGGAGCCTATAAAATCAAAAGCAAGTTAGTTACTTCCCAGATACAATGGGGATACAGGAATTGGGTAAATATGCCTGTGCCAAATGGGAGAAATTGGCCAAAACAAAGGGGGCTACAGGTCCCATGCAACTCTGAAATCGAATAGAGCAGTTATTAAACTGTAAAGTTCCAAAATGGTTTCCTTTGACTCTACGCCTCACATCCAGGCCACACTGATGTGTGAGAGCAAGAGGTAGGCTCCCACAGCCTTAAGCAACTCCACCCCTGTGGCTTTGCAAGGGTATAGCCTACCTCCTGGCTGCTTTCATGGGCTGGCATTGAGTGTCTGCAGCTATTCCAGAAGCATGGTGCAAGCTGTCAGTGGATCTACCATTGTGGGATATGGAGGACAGTGGCCCTCTTCTCAGTCCTTCACTAGGCAGTGCCCCAGTGGAGACTCTGTGTGGGGACTGTGACCCCACATTTCCCTTCTGCACTGCCCTAGCAAAGTTTTTCATGAGGGCTCCACTGCTGCAGCAAACTTCTGTCTGGACATCCAGGTGTTTCCATACATCCTCTGAAATCCAGGTGGAGGTTCCCAAACCTCAATTCTTGACTTCTGTGCATCCACAGGCCCAACACCTCATGTAAGCCACCAAGGCTTGGGGCTTGTAGTTTCTGAAGCAATGGCCTGACCTGTGTGTTGGCCCCTTTTAGCCATGGCTGGAGTTGAAGCACCTGGGATGCAGGGCACCATGTCCCAAGGCTGCATAGAGCAAGAGGACCCTGGGCCCAGCCTGCAAAACCATTTTTTCCTTCTAGGCCTCCAGGCCTGTGATGGGAGGGGCTGCCATAAAGGTCTCTGACATGCCTTGGAGACATTTTTATTGTCTTGGTGATTAACATTTGGCTTCTGGTTACTTATGCAAATTTCTGCAGCTGGCTTGAATTTCTCACCAAAAACTAGGGTTTTCTTTTCTACTGCATTGTCAGGTGGCAATTTTCCAAATTTTTCTGCTCTGCTTCCTTTTGAGTGCTTTGCTGCTTAGAAATTTCTTCTGCCAGATACCCTAAATCATCTCTCTCAAGTTCAAAGTTCTACAGAACTCTAGGGCAGGGGCAAAATGCTGCCAGTCTCTTTGCATAGCAAGAGTGGCATGTACTCCAGTTCTCAACAAGTTCCTCATCTCCATCTGAGACCACCTCAGCCTGGATTTTATTGTCCATATCACTATCAGCATTTTGGTCAAAGCCATTCAACAAGTTTCTAGGAAGTTCCAAGCTTTCTCACATCTTCCTGTCTTTGAGCCCTCCAAACAGTTCCAACCTTTGCCTGTTACCCAGTTCCAAAGTTGCTTCCACATTTTTGGGTATCTTTACTGCAGCACCCCTCTACCCAGAACCAATTTACTGTACTAGTCTGTTCTCATGCTGCTAACAAAGACAGCATGAGACTGGGTAATTTACTAAGAAACAGAGGTTTAATGGACTCATAGTTCCACATGGCTGGGAAGGCAACACAATCATGGCAGAAGGCGAAGGAGGAGCAAAGTCACAGCTTACATGGCAGCAGACAAAGAGAACATTTGCAGGGGAACTCCCCTTTATAAAACCATCAGATCTCATGAGACTCATTCAGTATCATGAGAACAGCATGGGATTCAATGCTGAATTCCCGTGATTCAGTTACCATCCACTGAGTCTTTTCCAGACATTTGGAAATTATGGGAGCTACAACTAAAGATGAGATTTGGGTGGGGACACAGCCAAACCATATGAAGACTTAAATGTAAAACCCAAAGCTACAAAAACTCCAGAAGATAACCTAGGCAATACCATTCAAGACATAGGAACAGGCAATGATTTCATGACAAAGACACCAAAAGCAATTGCAATAAAAGGAAAAATTGACAAATGGGACTAATTAAACTAAAGAGCTTCTGCAAAGCAAAAGAAATTATCAACAGAGTAAACAGAAAACCTACAGAATGGGAGAAAATTTTTGCAAACTATACATCTGACAAAGATCTAATATCCAGCATCTATAAGGAATTTAACTTTACAAGAAAAAATGACAACCCCATTAAAAAGTGGGCAAAGGACATGAACAGACAATTCTCAAAAGAAGACATACATGTGGCCAACAATCATAAAAAAAGCACAATATCACTGATCACTAGAGAAACGCAAATCAAAACCACAATGAGAAATGATCTCACATCAGTCAGAATGACTATTATTAAAAAGTCATAAAATAGCAGATACTGACAGGGTTGTGGAGAAAAGGAATACTTATGTACTGTTGGTGGGAGTGTAAGTTAGTTCAGCTATTGTGGAAGACAGTGTGGTGATTCCTCAAAGACCTAAACACAGAAATACCATTTGACCCAGCAATCTCATTATTGGGTATATACCCAGAGGAATATAAATCATTCTATTATAAAGACATGCATGTGTATGTTCATTACAGCATTATTCCCAATAGCAATTATTGTTTATAGTAACTTCCTTGTCATCATTATTCCTTTCTATTTTGTTAGCTCTTTTGTTCAATGCCAATTTTTCAACACTCATATAATACTATAAGCTTCTTTGTAGCTTTAAGTATCTGGTCAAATTTTCCACAGGTAAATTCTTGGAGGTGAGAATGTCCAGGTTAGAAGGGTTTGCATGTTTTAAAAGCTTCAGATAGATTTCCAATATGCCCTCCAGAAAACAACTGATTAATTTATATCTTTCATAGGAATGTAGGAGATTGCCCTCTATTTCCACATGGACACCTTGCCAACACTGAGCATTATCTTGGATTTTGTATCTTTAACAGGAAATAAATGGTAATGCATTTTAAGTTTGCAGTGAAAGAATAAACAGTTCTATATTTTGGACAATTGTATGTTTTCCCTTGTATAGTACCAGTCTTCGTCATTTTCCCACTTTGCTAATAGTGAATATTTATGCTCATAATACTCTCTAAATGCAAACATTTGAGTGCTTTTGTTAGGCTATGTTTCTGACAGAAACCATTTTTTGTGATTTCCCTTACACCTCTATAGCATCCATACAATTTTTCTCATAAATGAGAAAACAAAAGCTTTAAAGAATTAATTAAATTAATCAAGATGACTTAGTTACTGTAGAAGATGCTACTAGTACTATCCCTAAATCACCTAATCCATCTAGCACTCCCATCCTCCAGGGGCTAAGATTGTTTGTGGCTAACAACTCAATTTTCCATCCTTCTCTGGAAAATTATCCCCAAAGGGAGTCAAATGCCAAGATGGCCAATAATCAATGACTGACTTGTGAAAAGGGACATCCTACACCTGGTAAAGTAAAAACTTCAGCTGAATTAAATTTAAAGGAATTTAATTGAACAATGAATGATTCCCAAATTGGGCAGCCCCCAGAATCACAGCAGATTCACAGAGACTCCAGTGCAGCCATGTGGTGGAAGAAGATTTGCAGACAAAAAAAAAAAAAAAAAAAGGAAATGATGTACAGAAATCAGCAGTGAGGTACAGAAACAGCTTGATTGGTTACAGGTTGACATTTGCCTTATTTGAACATAGTTTGAACACTTAGCCATCTATGAGTGGTTGAAGTATGGCCACTGGGATTGGCCAACACTCAGTTATTGTTACAGGTGTGTACTCCTAAGTTAGGTTTTCAATCTTGTCTGACTATTAAGCTAGGTTACAGTTCATCCATAGGGACTCAAATATAGAAGTATAGAGTCCTTCTTAGGCCATATTTAGTTTGCATTAGCAATTCCCCCTTTTTGGTCATTTTCTCTATTTTAAGAGATTGACCAAAACTTTAGTCATTGATGTTACTATCATTTTGCAAATGTACTTATATGGTCTTGAAACCCTTTGGTGAACAGTAGAACAATGGGTTTTGCAAGGAGGGAACAAGGCCTGAGTAGAGGGTGCCTCCTTATGTTGGAACGGCCTGTATACAGGAGAATAACAAAGTCTGGTCTGTTCTAGGATTTACGTGTTTCCTTAAAGTCTTGGATTATGTCACATGTAGCATGAGTGACTCCATTTAATTTTGTCGGTTGGGGCCTAATAAATGAGCTCAGTCAAAAATAATGGCTTTCCACAATTTTTTTTTTTTTAAATTCCCCGTTTTGGCCAGGTTCTTACTCAGACAACAGTGTGACCAAAACTTAGGGCCTTAGCACCACTCTCAGTTATCACCATTTTGGGTTTCCGGGCTTGGCATGTCATTCACAGGTTACATTGTCCTCATGGTCACACATTTCTTTCAGCTTTTGTCATTCCAGTTGAAGAGAGAGCATTTGACTTTCTAGAGATTGCTGCATGCAAACATTTAAAACATTTGAGAGAATACAGCGCACTGGGGAGACTATTATTATGACTATGAGGAGGATAATATCAAGAGTTTGCAGTATGCTCCTTACCCAGGGTCCCCATAAACCAAACCACCTAAAATTAAATAGATTAAAGAATGAGCTAGATGAAGAGTCTACTCGCTTGACTAAGTGGTCTTTTCATTAATCCCCTACAATTGAAGTTTTATAATCTACATTTGATGTATTTCTCCATAGGCCACAAGTGTCAGCAGCTGCACAGATACTTTTCTGTTTAGCTAATTCTATTATTTAGCACAACTTTCACAAGAGTTTAAAGTCTGTTGTGTAATGATAGCCTTTAAAGTAGAAATTGCTGTAGAGCCTATTATGAGGGAGACATTTTAAATTATTGCCTTTTATTCTAAATCATGGAAAAAGGACCTAACAAATGATGTCCTTCTAGAAGAGTGAAGGCCTCCTGGCAATATTCTCTTTAATCCATGATGTAGGTTAATAGGAGTTTTGACTGATTATGAGGCAACATATGTATCATTAACCTTTCTCACCTATATTTGGCCTTCATCTTTTATCTATTAAAGGTTATTCACGTATAAGGCTGGCCGCAAAATCCTTCACAAATAAAGGTACAGCCTATAAGTGTACATAATAGACCACCCTTTCACTTCTGTTGTTCACAGAGGCATAAGAAATGAAAAAAAAATTCAAAGATAAGAGTTTCATGATAGTAGAGAAGTTTTGATCTGTGATTCTGGGAAAACTGTTCACATTAAGGATGCCATCTTATTCTGGGGAGAAACTGTCCTGGTTAGCTTTACCTTAAGGGTTACAATAGGTGTACAGTTCCAAGAGTGTGGAGGGACCCTTCTCAGTTGTGAGATTATGAACCCAAAGTGTAAGGTCCCAAAGTTTTGCTGTAGTGTGAATGGCAAGGATGGTCTTTTTCTGATGTTCTCTTTGGGTGTCCAAATCTTTGGGCATCTGATGTCCAATCTTTGGGTTCTAGACTGTGAAGGGGTTGTCCTCAGTGAACCATAAAGAGCTTTCTTTACCTAGTGAAAATATACTGTGGCATAATAATCTACTGTTATAACATTAGCCCTCTTACATGGGAAAGCTTTTATATAACCAGAAAACATGCACTGAAAATGACAATTGAATAAAATTCCTTTATAAATGTTTAAATGGCCTATCAGGTAGCCAAATGTACCTGAAATTTTTATTGTCTTCCCAGGAATATGGAACCAAACATTGGCTTTCAACTATTTCTGCGATTTATAAATCACCACATCAATATATTCAATTTGGATCATTTTATCTTTTCCATGACAAGTCATGGAATGCAGAACCTTTAATAACAAAAGCTTTAAGGACTCAGGAAGGACAAGGCAGCCATCCTGATTCTTCATGAGTCCATACTTAACATTGAATGAATACCAGTTGTTTAACCAATTTAGGAGCATAGCACTGATAACTAATGGGTTATCATAGGTAATTTGACTTACACTGTGGAGTTCATTCAAATTGTATATCTAGTATTGGCTGATTTCACATGATAATTGGGCAAAGTATTTTCTTGGTATTTAATTAATTTTTCTTATACTTAAGTTGGAAGTTTTATAAATCAGTCAGTCTTTTTATTAAGGTTTCAGGAGTTCTTATCCAGACCAATTCTTGGGGAATTCATGGGGAATTCTTACCCATGATATAATTTTAAAGTTGTTAGAAAACTTTATTCAAGAGTGCTTTTCAGGGTTCTTTCTATCCTTTCATGACCTCTTAAAAGACATCATATTCTGGGATTTTTGTGTGCTTATGGAGTTTTTAGAAACTGCAAGAGCATTAAGCAATTAATTGTAGAAATGAGTTTAAATAGTGATAGTTAAAAACACAATTGACAAGGAAATTTCGTTATCTCTCTGGTCTACAATAACTTAACATTATAACCTTAATTATGATTGATATCATATACTCAGACATATTAGGGTTTTAGAAATCCCTATATATATATATATATATAATTTTGGAAAATATATTAATATCATCACTAAAATATAACCTGAAGATTCAACATTATTTTAATGCTTCCCATGATTTTTATACCAAATAAGCCAAATGTCACTGTTGCATTAGTGCATTATTGATGTCAAACCCAATTCTTAATAAAACCTTACAGACAAATGTATTCAATCTTAATTAGTTTGATCATAAAATAAGAACTTTATAAACCTTTTATAATCCTTTACAATTTTTGTTAAAGGGCAGATTAGTGCTCTAAGAAAAACCTGTTGTGCTTTTATTTTGATGTTCAATTTATGGAAAAACCAAATAATACCCCTTTAAATTTAGTCAGTATTTTCACTCATAGAATTTTTTGCAAGGTTAATTTTTTTTTTTTTTTTTTTTTGAGACGGAGTCTCACTCTGTCGCCCAGGCTGGAGTGCAGTGGTGGGATCTCGGCTCACTGCAAGCTCCACCTCCCGGGTTCACACCATTCTCCTGCCTCAGCCTCCCAAGTAGCTGGGACTACAGGCGCCCGCCACTACGCCCGGCTAATTTTTTGTATTTTTAGTAGAGACGGGGTTTCACCGTTTTAGCCGGGATGGTCTCGATCTCCTGACCTCGTGATCCGCCTGCCTCGGCCTCCCAAAGTGCTGGGATTACAGGCGTGAGCCACCGGCAAGGTTAATTTTTATAAACCTTCCACAACTTGTTTAAACCTTTAGCTTTATTTAATTTAAAACAATCCTTTAACTGTTTAATCTAGGCAAAAAGTTCAAATTCCCATGACTTCTAATAATCTTTTACCAAAAGTATATTCTACTTTCCTTACACACCTTGCATGTAAACTGTTTTGTTCAGTAGTCTCATATACATGTTATACTGTTAACCCTTAGTGATTTTTACCTCTGCTGAAAAGCCTGGTTAGTAAGTGATTCTAATTACGTACCAGTGTGGAACCTAGGACCCAGACAAAAATTCAGGTAAGGTCTGACTCTTTCCAGCATCTAACTCCACGTGTCACAGGCTTTACATAGCTGTTAAGCAGGCATGCTGTACAGTTAAGAGTCATAGTGGCATTTTATGAAGCATTTAGGAGCCCTAATCACCTTTAAGTTGTACGTTTCTTGGATAAATGCGTTTCATAAATTATTTCACAACTTATGCAGACAATCTATGACATGCTTGGACTTTCTGACTCATCCTAAATATCCCTCTTTTTAAACAACCAGTCATTTTACTTTCGGACAAGAATTTACCATACAATATACTTTCTTATATAAAATCTCTCTTCTTTACAACCTTCTTTGCATAGCTAGGGTGCATGGCTAATTCCACATGTCCTCAGGCCTCATCTAGAATCTAACATATCCAAGGTAAGTAAATTGAACAACTTTCAAAAGTCAAAGAAGCTGATTATGACCTGAAAGCATTTAGTAAACTTAATATCTGACCTGCATAATTTAGACCAAATGTTTAAATTTTGCCAATAATTTTTAAAGCTGTTCTTATTTCCTAAAGATTAGTACAGTTATGTAAACTAAAAGGCATTACAGTTTTTATTTTTCTTTCAAAATATTTGATTTAAGCACTTATTTTTGTTTAAGCCAATTAATTAGAGCTCTTTATATAAACATTACACACACGACACATATATAACTACACAGACAGAAGATTAGTACAGTAGTTGTAAGATTTTTCATTTGCCAATTTTTAAGTTTCTTAATTGGTTATTGGCTTTATGGTGGAGTCCTTGGAAGAACAGGGCCAGGAAAGGGTCTCTAGTGTCTCCTGTTTTTCCCAAGAAGTCCAGGCCATTAGAGCTTGAATACCACTTTTAATTACGCTGGCTTTTAACCATAGCACTCTTTAATAAAGTCCTTTTAAAATTTCTTAATACTTGACTTTAGCCAAGCTAAATGGACAATATTTCTGGCTTTTGAACTTTAGCAAACGTAACCTCCCAGGTGCTTCGAGAAAGAAAAATTTAAGACAGTCCATAGAAGAGAATAGAATCAACAAGTTCATGCAAATATCAAATCAGAAATGACTCATTTCTTAAGCCAGGAATCAAACCCAGACAGGCACTGCGAAAGGGCAAAACCTTAGCTACTGGGCTATAGCACAGGGCAGTCTCCATATCCCCTCCCAGAAGAAGTCTGGAGTAGTCAATTTTGAGCTTGCAAAGGCTTTTAACTACTCAAGATAATTTTTAGAGCTAACTATGACATGAACCCTAAAATTCCTATTCCCTGGAAAACAGAGACCAAGAGAAAGTACTGCCATGTGGTTACAAGGTCAAGCTCCCAAGGACATAAAACAAGATGAAGGCCCCATCCAGTTTTTTGTTTGTTTCAGGGACCTACTGCAAAGTTTGTTACTGACCAGCTTGCTGGACCATCTTGAACAGTGAGCTTATGGGGTCCTAAGCCCATGTTTTATCCTGAGGTACCCCTCAACACAGAAAAATGAATTCATAGCACAAAATACACAAGATTCGCTACAGCTTAAGGCTAGCTTCAGAATTCTTTTTTGCATTAATCAAAACTTTACAGAGGAGAATAAACAGTAGTTTTTACCATTCATTCAACTGGTTTGCACAGAGAGAGGGAAGCCAGAAATCTGAATGGTAAGAAATTTTTACCCTTTTGCTGGTATGCCAGGCTTCTGGATTCCCTTACCCTGAGCAGCCCTAGTGACCCAGCTCACCATACCATAGCCCTGGGGGCCAAGCCACAACACAAAAGATCAGATCTGTTCCTGGACCCAGTCCTGTTTCTGTCATGACTTCCAAACCCAGTTTGGATCAGAAATTTGCTCAAAGAAACTCCGAGAGCTCAAAAAACAAATCCATGGAGCTCCAAAATATGAGAGGAACCTTACCCATGATCCCCAGTCTCTCTGAGAGATCAGTGGACATAAGTGGGTCCTGCAGGTACCTTGCATGTTCACTCAGTGCTCCTGGGGGTCGCTAGAAGCCCTACTTTAGATCCCACTTCTGATGCCACCATGATAAAAGAAAAACTTCAGCTGAATTAAATTTAAAGGAGTTTAATTGAGCAATGAACGATTCATGAAACCAGCAGCCCCCAGAATCACAGCAGATTCACAGAGACTCCAACACAACCACGTAGTGGAAGAAGATTTACAGGAAAAAAAGGGAAATGATGTACAGAAATCAGCAGTGAGGTACAGAAACAGCTGGATTGATTACAGGTTGGTGTTTGCCTTGTTTGAACACAGAACAATTAGCGGTCTATGAGTGGTTGAAGTATGGCTGCTGGGATAAGCCAAGACTCAGTTATTGTTACAGGCGCATACTTCTAAGTTCGGTTTTCGATCTTGTCTGACTATTAAGCTAGGTTACAGTTCATCCACAAGGACTCAAATATAGAAGTATGGAGTCCTTCTCAGGCCATATTTCATTTGCTTTGACACCCTTAAAGTGGTACCATGTTTGCCTCTAATCTTTCATTACGATGGGCTAAGGCTAGACTTCAGCTTGTGAAAATAAATTAAATTTGGCTTAAAGTTGCCTTTATATCTTGAGAGTCCCTAAATGGCAAACTGCAATCTAACTTACAAACTGTAACCTAACTTAAGAGTATATTCTTGTAACAAATAGCTGTGTCTCAGCCAGTCACCAGAGCTGAGCTTCAGCCAATTATAGGCTGGCAACTGATCAAACCATGTACATATAAGGCCTTATCACACCATGCTCAAATAAGGCAAACACACAGCTGGCTGTAATCAATCAAGCTGTTTCTGTATATCATCACTATCTTTCTCTGTCTATAAATACTACCTGTCCACAGTTGCTGGGTGAAGCTCTCTTGCAGTTCTGATTCTGAGTGCTACCCAATTCATGAAGTACTTTTTTGCTCAAATAAACCTGGCTAAATTTTTTTATTTGTTTATTTATTTTTTTGAGACAGGGTCTCTCTCTGTTGCTCAGGCTGGAGTGCAGTGGTGGGATTATGGCTCACTGCAGCCTCAAACTCCTGGGTTCAAGCAATCCTCCCACCTCAGCCTCCAGAGTAGCTGGTACTGTAGGCATGCGCTACCACGACTGACTAATTTTTGTGTTTTTGTATAGATGAGGTTTTGCCACATTGCCCAGGCTGGCTTATAACTCCTGGGCTCAAACAATCCTACTGCTTTGCCTCACAGAGTGCTGGCATTACAGGCATAAGCCACTGCGCCTGGCCCTTAAATTTAACTTGTCTAAAGTTCGGTTTTACTTTTTCCTCACCTTTAACTTCTATAGGACTTGAAGTGTTTTGTTATTGTTGTGATGGTGGTGGTGGTGGTTTTTTTTTTTTTTTTGTAGGTAGCTGAACCTTTACCTTTGCTAGCTTATTCTCCTGTCCTGTCCTGTCCTGCTTCCCTCACTTCTCTAGGTTTTACTAGAGAGGAATTTCTCAATAAATCACTTGTATAAGAATCTTTCTCTCAGCCAATGCTCCTAGGAAACCCAACCTAAGACAGCTGGAAGTGGGAATTCATATTTAAACCATCTGACTCTAGAATCTACACATGCAAGCAATAGAATATACCCTATTCCTATCAAAGACACCAGCTCAAACATCATCAAGATAGCAAACACTTTCTCCTAGTTTATCATTTGCCTTTTACCTTTATGATATTTGTCATAAAGAAGTATTAAATGTATGTAGATAAATTTATTGATCTTTTCCATTGTGATTTCTATTTTTCATGTCATACCTATTCATCCTGAGTTTTAAACTATATGTTATTCTAGTTCTTTTCTGGTTTCATTTATTTACATTTATTTTTAAAATTCATATGTTCAGTGGGATACTTATATCAGTCATTCTAACACCATTTCAAAAATTCGTTAACTCACCAATTTGAAATGCTGCATTTATCACGTATACTTATATATGCACTCTGGAGCTTGATTTAAAAATCCATTAACTCACCAATTTGGAATGCTGCATTTATCACATATACTTATTTATGCACTCTGGAGCTTGATTTTAGGGTTATTATTCTTTTTTGCTGATTTCTATAGTACAGTGCTAGTTAAAACATTGTAAAATTCCTTTCTATTGAAATTTTATGGTATATTTCTCTCCATTTTTATTTCAGATAAACTTAAGAGCTGCACACTTAAGATATATGTACTTTTTGTATGTATATTATACTTCAATAAATATTTTACAAAAAGTACCGTAGACAATTTATTTGGAATTTCACTGTTTCATTTTTAAACAGTGGCTTATAAAACAATTTAGTGAGAATTGTCATCTTACAATACAGAATAATTTCTTCATTTTATTTTTAGAGACAGGGTCTAGCTCTGTCATCCAGGCTGGAGTACAGTGGTACAATCATGGCTCACTGTAGCCTTAACTCCTGGGCTCAAGCAATTCTCTCACCTTAGCCTTTGAAGTATCTGGGATTACAGGTAGCACCACCACACCTGGCTAATTTTTTTGTTTATTTGCAGAGACAGGGTCTCACTATGTTGCCCAGGTTGGTCTCAAACTCCTGGCCTCAAGCAATTCTCCCATCCTGGCCTCCTAAAGCACTGAGATTACAGGCATGAGCCAACAAGCCTGGCCTAGAATAATGTCTTAAAAGCACATGTTATCTCTCCATTTATTCAAGTATTTTTATGGTTCTCAGTAAAGTTGCAGTTTGCATATGCTTCATATACCTTAAATTTATTCTTGGATTTCGTTATGATTTGTATTATTGGAAATATTATTTTTAAATGTTTATTGCTAAAATTTAGAAGAGTTATTGACTTGTTATTTTTGTGAGATTTTATCTGAAATTTTCTGGTGTATACCTTTGTTTTCTTGTTATCTGTAACAAATTTCAAGTAATAGAATACCCAGCTCAAAGTTGCATAAATTTGAATTTATTATTTCACTTAATGAAAGTGTTCAGAAGTAGGTAGTTTCACAGCCGGTTAAGTAGTTCAACAATGTCATCAAGAACTTGGAATTAGGTCAGGAGCAGTGGCTCATGCCTATAATCCCAGCACTTTGGGAGTTTGAGATCAGCCTGGAGAACAAAGTGATACCCTGTCTCTACAAAAATAGAAAAACAATTATCCAGGCATGGTGGTGTGCACCTGTAGTCCCAGCTACTCTGGAGGCTGAGGTAGGAGGATCACTTAAGCCTGGGAGGTCAAGGCTGCAGTGAGCTGTGATCACACTACTGCACTCCAGCCTGGGTGACAGAATAGGACCCTGTGTCAAATAATAATAATAATAATAATAATAATAATAATAATTTAAAAAGAAAAAGAAGAACCTAGAATTAGGTCTTTTTGCTCTACCATCTTCAAATTGTTATCTGTGTGGTCTCTCATGATGTCAAGACAGCTGCAGAAGCTTATGCGTGTCCCAAAGTGAATAGAAAGCGTGGGAACTTGTACATTTAAGCAAGAAGAAAACTTTCCAAGAAGCCATCATCATACTTTCACTGAAATTTCAACAGCCAGAATTTGATTGTGTATCCAAACCTTAGATACAAGAGGGGCTGAGAAAGCTTGTACAGTTGTCCCTCTGTATCTGTGGGGGATTGGTTCCAGGACTTTCTGTGGATCCTCAAACCCACAGATGCTCAAGTCCCAGATAGTAAATGATACAGTATTTGCATATAACCTATGCAAATCTTCCTGTACACTTTAAGTCATCTCTGGATTACTTATAATACCTAATACAATGTAAATGCTATGTGAATAGTTGTTATCCTTTATTGTTTAGGAAGTGATGACAAGAAAAAAGTCTGTGCATCTTCAATACAGATGACTTTTTTTTTTTTTTCGAGACAGTCTCACCCTGTTGCTCAGGCTGGAGTGCAATGGGGCGATCTCGGATTACTGCAACCTCCACCTCCCAGATTCAAGCAATTCTCCTGCCTCAGCCTCCTGAGTAGCTGGGATTACAGGCACACACCACCACGCCTGGCTAATTTTTTGTGTCTTTAGTAGAGACGGGGTTTCACCATGTTGGCCAGGCTGGTCTTGAACTCCTGACCTCATGATCCACCTGCCTTGGCCTCCCAAAGTGCTGGGACTGCAGGCGTGAGCCACTGCACCTGGCCCAGATGACTTTTTTCTGAATATTTTTTATTAGAGTTGGTAGAATCCTTAAATGTGGAACCCACAGATACAGAATCCATGGATACAGAGGGTCAATTGCATCTGGCATTTTCAGCTACCATTCATTATGGAAATGACCTCTAACAATTAGGTAGACACAGAGGGCTACAGCTACCACGAAGGTAAAAAGCAAAGGCTATTACATGATCTATCTTTATGTCTGTATTTGTAGAATGAAAGTTTCCTAAGAGTCGGCACCTGGATGGCCTAAAGCCTGCCCATGGGGCACAGTGCCAGGGGCATACAAGCCCATGCAAATAATTTTCATTTTAATTTATCTTAAAATTGGAGGGAAAAATAATAATGAAAGTATATTAATGAGTCAGATTTGGCTTATATTTATTTTCATCCCAATGCAATTGTAAAATGTAATTTTTAATATTTTTGTGCCGAGGAAGGGGCCCCCAAGGGTGTCTATGGACTCCTAAAGTTATAATATAGCTCTGCTAACAAACATTTTGATTATATTATAAAATTATTGTCTTAGTAAGTCAATAAAGGACACTTTGGAGGGAGAAAGGTATAAAGATATTTTGATAGTAGAAAGAAATGTAAGGAAATAGCCATATGGGATGAGATGCTTTTTTCAGAAACACAGACCAAGCCAGATTATTCTAATGGGGAGATATGAAAACCCAAGGACAAGCAAGACGATGCAGGCAACCTAGAGGGTGGGAAATAATGGAAATGTAGCAAGGTGAGCCATAAAAGGAAGAGAAAAGAAGGGATGACAATGAGAATGGGCAAAAATGATTAAATATAAATAATTTCTGTGTGTCAGCAATGGCCTTGGTTGCAAGTTTGACAAGGACATTTTAGCTGGGGGCTATGACTGCTATTCTAGGATCCCAACATTTTCCCCACTTTTGAAAAAAGCTCTCAGGCTTGTGCTTTCAGAAATGAGTCTGCCATCAACATCTGGGTTAGACTGTTTTGTATTGTTAAGTCACTGTGTCCTGTGTCCTTATTAAAATGTCAGGGTCAACATGTGGTAAATTAAAGGGGAAAGAAAAAAAAAGAAACCCCACCAGATTAGAGACTTCTACCCCTGCTTTTGTTACTCCCAGAAGCATCTGGTTACTCAAAATAAAGCAAAAGAAAAATGTTTTAAGACTTTACTCACTTTAATTTTAGAATGTGTGCAGCAGCTGTGGGAAGGATAGGACCTTGGAAGACCTGGACTGTGGCAGACCCAGCTTCCTCTGCTGCATCGCCTTGAACAGGCTTCTTGATTCTGTAACTGGACATAGAGTTTGAATAGATAATTTCTAGGGTCCCTTCTAGCTACAAAATTTTACAAATTTGGGGGTGGGGTCATGCAGCAAAAGGGTAGTTTTGGAGGATTAAACCAAAACCAAGACAGTTGTAGCTCTGAAAATGCTAGAACCTCTGCAATGCACAGTAGTTCCTTTGGCATTGACCTGTTGCAGGCTGTCCTCCATTGACAACAGCCTATTAAATCAAGTGATACTGTGTCCACCAGCAGCACTGGAGAATGGCTGGATGTGGTGAGTATCTGGTGTCCTAGCCTTCCCATTCAATACAAAAATCAGCATGTGCAGCAGGTGAGGAGTTATTCTGCACCAGCTGGAGCAATTGAGTCTTAGGAAAAACAAAGCCCCAGCATTAGGCTCTCTCCCCATGCATAGTCTATCAAAAGTTCTCTGCTGCATCAATCCATCCAAAAAGAGATATCAGACTTGAGCTCCTGTGTCCTAATTTTACTCTTTAAAAATCAATGATTCTTCTGGAAATGGATAGTGGTAATGGTTGTACAACACTGAATATACTTAATGCCACTGACTTATACACTTAAAAATGATTATAGTAACAAAAAGTCAATGACTCAAAAATCAATGATTCATTCTTTTTTTTTTTTTAACTTTCTCAGTCCTTTTACTATCAAAATATGTGTTTTTATTGTATGTTTTTCTAAGAAGCTGGGTTGACCGTATCTCCCAGGAGTATTAAAAAATGCAATGCAGGGGCCAGGTGCGGTGGCTCACGCCTGTAATCCCAGCACTTTGGGAGGCTGAGGCAGGTGGATCACTTGAGGCCAGGAGTTCGAGACCAGCCTGGCCAACATGGCAAAACCCCTTCTCTACTAAAATTACAAAAATTAGTCAGACGTGGTGGTGTGCGCCTATAATCCCAGCTACTTGGGAGACTATGACAGGAGAATCACTGGAGCCCAGTGGGTGGTGGCTGCCTTGAGCTGAGATCATGCCACTGCACTCCAGCCTGGGTAACAGAGCAAGACTATGTCTCAATAATAATAATAATAATAATAATAATAATATTTAAAATTGTTAAAAAATGCAACGCGGGTATATCTTTTGCCTTCATATTAGACAATATTCTTTTGACAATGACTACTCTGTGTGGCAGTGAGATACTGGTAAACACTTCTCTCACAGCACTGATGTTATGGCCATCGCCATGTTTTAATTTGCAGGCATTTTAGAACCATGGTCCCCAGGCTTCTTTGTTCTATGTTACATGCACTGCCCACTGAGCCTGATAGTCTGTCCCAGCCTACGAAATACTTTTTTTACTTTGCCCAGCCTTCAAAATGGAAACCAAATTTTAGTCTGCTTTAGCTTTATTTCACTCTGTTGTTTACTTTGCTGTGAAGAAGACCTTTAGTTTAATATAGCCCCATGTGTCTATTTTTGCTTTGGTTGCTTGTGTTTTTGGGGTCTTAACACAAAAAATCTTTAACCAGAACACTGTTCTGGAGAATTTCTCAAATATTTTCTTCTTAAAGTTTCATAGTTTCAGGTCTTAGATTTAAGTCTTTAACCCACGTTCATTTGATTTTTTGTGTATAGTGAAAGATCGAGCTCTAGTTTCATTCTTCTGTATATAATTATCCAGTTTTCCCAGTGCCATTTATTAAAGAAGCTGTCCTTTATCCATTTTATGTTCTTGGTGTCTTTGTTGAAATCAGTGGAGTGCAAATACATGGACTTATTTCTTGGTTCTCTACTCTGCTTTATTGATGTGTGTATCTATTTTCATATCAATACTGTGATGTTTTGGTTACTTTAGCTAGGTAGCATATTTTGAATTCAGGTACTGTGATGCCTCCAGCTTTGTTCTTTTTGCTCAGTATTGCTTTGGCTATTTATGATCCTTTTTGGCTCCATACTAATTTTAGGATTATTTTTTCTATTTCTGTGAAAAAGGTTGTTAGTATTTTGGTAGGGATTGCGTTGAATTTGTAAATTCCTTTAGGTAATATGATCATTTTAACAGTATTAATACTCCAATCTATGAGTATGGGATGTCTTTCCATTTGTTTGTGTCCTCCTCCATTTCTTTTATCAATGTTTTATAGTTTTCATTCCTTCCTCTTTTGCAATGTGGATGCCTTTTATTTCTTTATCTTACCTGATTGCTGTGGCTAGGACTTCCAGTATCATGTTGAATATGAGTGGTAAAAATAGTCATCCTTGTCTTATACTAGTTCTTAGAGGAAAGATTTTCAGCTTTTTCCCATTGAGTATGATGCTTAGCTGTAGGTTTGTCATATACGGCCCTTATTATACTGATTTATATTCCATCTATGCCTAATTTGTTGACAGTTTTTATAATGAAAGGATGTTGAATTTTATCAAGTGATTTTTCTGCATGTGTTGATGTGATCATACGGTTTTTGTCCTTCATTCTGTTGATGTAATGTATCACATTTATAGATTTGCGTATGTTGAACCATCCTTGCATCCCTGTAATAAATCCCTCTTAATCATTGTATAATATCTTTTTGATACGTTGCTGGATTCAGTTTGCTAAAATTTGTTAAGGATTTTTGCATCTATGTTCATCAGGAATATTGGCCTGCAATTTTCTTTTTATTGTTGTGTCTTTGTATAGTTTTGGTATTAGGATAATGCTAGCCTCATACAATGAGTTAAAATAATTTTTCCTCTTCAATTTTTTGAAGTAGTTTGAGGAGAATTCATGTTAGTTCTTTTTTATAAGTTTGATAGAATTCTTCAGTGAATTCATCTCATTCTGGGCTTTTCTTTGTTGGGAGATTTTTTATTGCTAATTTAATCTTGTTACTCATTATTGATTTATTTATGTTTTCTACTTCTTCTGGTTCAATCTTGGTAGGTTGCATATGTCCAGAAATTTATCTATGTCCTGGTTTTACACTTTGTAGAGAATAGTTGTTCATAACAGTCTCTAATGATCATTTGTATTTCTGTGGTATCAATTATAATGTCTTCTTTATCATTTCTGATTACTTTTTTTATCTTCTTTCTTCTTGGTTAGTTTAGCTAGTGGTTTATTGATTTTGTTCATTTTTTTAAAAAACAACTTTTCATTTTATAGATTCTCTGTAATGATTTTTTAGTCTCTGTTTCATTTAGTTCTGCTCTGATCTTTCTTATTTCCTTCTAGTAATTTAGAATTTGGCTTGTTGTTGCTTTTCTAGTTCTCGGGGTATAGCATTAGGTTGTTTATTTTAAATCTTTCTACTTTATTGATATAGGCATTTATTGCTATAAACTTCTCTCCAAGGCTGTTTTTGCTGTATTCTGTAGGTTTTTGTATGCTGTATTTCCATTTTCATTTCTTTAAAAATTTTTTTAAGTTTCTTCTTAATTTTCTTATTAACCCAATAGATGTTCAGAAGCATGTTACTCAATTTCCATGTATTTGTACAGTTTCCAAAGTTCTTCTTGTTATTATTTTCTAGTTCTAATCCATTATAGTCTAAAAAGATATTTGATATGATTTTGATTTTTAAAAATTTGTTAGGACTTGTTTTTTGTCCTAACATATGGTCTATACTGGAGAATGTTCCACGTGCTGATGAGAAGAATGTGTATTCCGCAGCTGTTGGATGAAATGTTATGTAAATGTCTGTTAGGTCTGTAGTGCAGAGTAAGTCTGATGTGTCTTTGTAGATTTCCTGTCTAGATGATCTGTCCACTGCTGAAAGGGGGGTGTTGAAGTCCCCAGCTTTTATTCTATTGGGGTCTGTCTTTCTTTAGCTATAATAATATTTATTAGCATATAGATTTACAATTGTATATCCTCTTGCTGAATTGATCTCTTTGTCATTATATAATGATCATTTTGTCACTTTTTGTTTTTTAACTTAAAGTCTAGTTTGTCTGATATAAATATAGCTACTCCTGCATGCATTTTGTTTGTGTGGTATACTTTTTTCCATTCCTTCACTTTCAGTCTATGTGTATCTTTACAGATGAAGTGAATTTCCTGTAGGCAGCATATAGTTGGTTTAAAAAAAAAAATCAGCCAGTCTGTCTCTTTTAACTAGGAAACTTAAACTGTTTACATTCAAGGTTGCTATGGATAGGTGAGGACTTACTCCTGTCATTTTGTTAATTGTTTTCTGATTGTTTTGTATATCCTCCATTCTCTTCTTCTTATTTTATTGTTTTCCTTTATGATTTGGTAGTTTTTTGTTATGAGAGTATTTGACTCTTTTCTCTTTCTCATTTGTGTATCTGCACTACCAGTGATTTTTATACTTTGGTGTGTTTCTATGATGGTAGATGTCATTCGTTCACCTCCAGATGTAGGACTCCCTTAAGCATTTCTTGTAAGTCTGGTCTAGTGGCAATGAATTCCCTCAGTCTTTGCTTGCCTGGGAAATAATATTTCACCTTAGTTTTGAAAGATGGCTTTGTTGGGAATAGTATTTTTGCTTGACAGTAATTTTTCTTTTAGCACTCTGATTATATTATCTCATTCTCCTCTAGCCTATAAGGCTTCTACTGAGCAATCCACAGTCACTCTGATGCAGATACCCATATCTTTGACTTGATGTTTTTTTATTAATTTTTTAAAGTTCTCTTTTTGTCTTTGACTTTTGACTATTTGACTATAATTTGCCTTGGGGAAGACCTTTTGGGATTTAACCCATTTGGAGATTTTTGAGCTTCCAGTATCTGAATGTCTATATCTCTTGCAAGACTTGGGATGTTTTCAGGAATTGTTTCATCAAATAGATTTTCTATGCCTTTGCCCATCTCTTCTCCTTCTAGAACCACCAAAATTCAAATATTTAAATGCTTTATGGTATGCCAAAAGCTTTCTTCATTCTTTTTCTTTCTTTTCCTTTTTTTTTTTTTCTTTGGCTGACTATGCTATTTCAAAAGACCTGCCTTCAAGTTCAGAAATTTCTTCTGCCTGAGCTAGTCTATTGTTGGAGTTCTCAACTGTATTTTTTATGTTATTCATTGAATTCTTCAGTTTCAGAAATTCTTTTTTATTCTCTTTAATATCTATCTTTTTGTTGAATTTCTCATTCAAATCATGAATTACTTTTCTGATTTTGTTGTGTCGTTTATCTGTGTTTTCTTTTATCTCATTTAATTTCTTTAATATTATGATTTGAATTCTTTTCCAGGTATGTCATAGATTTTCTTTTTGCTGTTATCTGTTACTGGAGAATAATTGTGTTCCTTTGAAGGTGCCATGTTTCCTTGCTTTTTAATGTCTCTTGTGTCTTTACATTAATATCTGCAACTTTGGTATAACAGTCACTTCTTTTGATTTTATGGATTGGCTTTTGTAGGGAATGACTTTTTCCTGTAGATGTATCTACAGTGTTACTTGGGTAGGGTGCTTTGGATTTGATTCTGAATAGATGCAGTAGTGTATTCTCCACATGATTTCTTCAGCTGTAATCAGCATCAGTGTGGTATCTGAGAGTTCCTCAATGGCTTATCCGGTGGTTGTTAGTGGAGGCTGTGGTGAGGCTTTGCTGAGAATGGGGATGTCAGATGGGCTATCCAGACAGGTAGGTCTTCAGCCCCCTGGGTGGCATATGTGGTATCAGTGGTGTCAATAGCAGTGGCAGGCCAACCTTTGGGCCCATGAACTGTGCACATGGGCACCAGCAGTGGTAACAGTGGACTACATGGGCCAATCTCCAGGCCCCCAAGTGGTTTAGGAAGGTAGGTGCTGGCAGCAGCAGTGGCAGGCTGAGTAGCCGAGTCCAGGGATGCTGGGAGACATGTGTGGGCATCAGTGGCAGGTGGTGGTTCTTTCTTATGCCCCTAGATTGTTCATGTCTGTGTTGGTAGCAGTGGGCAGGGCAGGCCTATACCCAGGCCCCTGGACACTGCACATTGGTGCTGGTAAGTGGGGACAGGTTGATCCCCAGGCCTCTCGATAACATGTTTGGACACTGGCAATGGTGGTGGTGGGTGCAGAAGAAATGTCCTTAGGCCCCTGGATGGTGAGTGTGGGCAACAGTGGGAGCAGGCAGTATGGATCAATCCCCAAGCCCCAAGACAATGTGTGCAGGCACTGGAAGTAGTGGCAGCGAGCAGGGCATGCCTGTCATCAGGCCCCCCCTAAAGTTGTGCATGGGTGCTGGCTGCTGTGGCCAGGGTGGATCAATCCCCAGGCCTCCAGACGGAGTGCATGCGTGCCAGTGGTGCAAAGGGTGCATGGGTGCAAGTAGGATAGGTCAGTCCTGAGGCCACTGGACAATGTGTGTGGGCACCATTGGTGGAGGTTACAGGTAAAGCAGGTCTGTCCTCTGGCTCCCAGTGGTGCTTGTGGGTACGGCTGTGGTGGGTTAGGTAAGTCCTGTGTCTGTTACTGTGACACTCATCACTCTGTACTTTATATGTCCATTGAGCAACTGTACACCCAAAAAGCATACAAGTATCAAGAGGCCAGGATCTGGGTTTGATTTCACCAGTGAGTTCTCAGAAGGCATATTTCATAGAAAGTGTTAAATAAGTGTTTTGTGTTAAGTCCCAATTCTATTATGCCATCCCTGACTACTCTGATTTATTCTGTTTTTTTTTCTCCTGAAATTCCCTATCAGTCACTTGGCTTTTAATCATAGGCTTTCTCTTAACTCTTTTATTCTTTGAGATCGAATATTTTTGAAATTTTAAATGCATAATCTTATTTCATAAGCAAGACAATGTATATTTTCTCTAGAAATCTTGCACTTGTCCACAACATCAGACCCTGGACTTCATGACATGCTGTATGTTTATGGAATTAATGGTTGGTGCTGTATTATGAGACCGTGACTCCATCACCTAGAAAGGACATGAAACACTGCTACCATTCTATGTGATTTAAGATAGGGGGCCTACCTTGTTTTTTTTTTTTTAATTTCAGGGGTTAGCAGTGTGGCCCTCTGGCCCCGTCAGTCTGGGCAGTGGAAGTGTTATCATACTAATGATGTTCTTGAGGTGGGAGTGGGCGTTTCTTTTTCATTAGCAGAACTCAAAAGACTTTCAGCTCTAAGTAGAAAAAAGACATTATCGGAAGTTCTGGGTTTTCCTTCATATAGGAAGGTAGAAGACATCTCACTTTTCAGGCTTATCATGACTCCTAGCACTGCCCTGACAGTGCCAGCAACTTTTGGGTATCTGGGAGGCCATTGAAAAGTTAATCAGTCTGATGAGGCAGCTGCATGTCTGTTCCATCCAAGTGCTAGACTATTTATGCATATTAAAAACAGAAACCTATAAACTGACCCCGGCTGTACTACTTTTAATGACTTCAAGCTGGGCTGTCAAGTATTTTGCTATTTTTAAAGTCAGTTGTTTTTCCATGCCTGCATTTTGTTTTGCCATAACACATATGCAACAAGAATTTTTCCATAAGCTTTAAAAATAGAAGAAATATACCTTTAAGCTAGTTCTCTTTAAAAAAAACTGTTGTGACAACTTCAGTCTATAAGATTTTTAGTTAGTCCCTCTCATTACGTCTCAAGTCTTTTTTTTTTCTGCTAATAATGCTGGAGGTAGAGATATGGTCAAGATGTTTAATCAAAGTGAATGGAATTAGGAAGTAAGCCATCCCTATTTTTCCTAGGATTGTATTACTTAGGCTTAGCTTGCTCTGCTTTTAAAGTCACCTTGGTTCTAAAACATACAGGATAACAGAAACTAGAATTTAATATGGAAACAACCATCCTATGATAAAACAAACTAGGTTTGCTATACACCAATCAAGGGCTTAGGGGAGAAATCAGAACTTAGAGTGGGTGGAAGCAATGAATATGGAGTACCATTTCCTAGTCTCCTCATGAAAAATGGGCCACCAGTGTTTGATGCCAAGAAGCTGATTGTTACTTAAACTCTATCTTCCTGGAGAACTTACAAAAGTAGTATGTTTTAATTGCAGACAATTTGGAGGATGCTAACAAGCTTAAAATTTTTTTAAATTAAGGATCACACCCAAATATAACCATCATGTTTATGTTGTCGGCTGGAAGTACCAGTCCCTTTTAAAGGTTTTTCACAGAAAACTGTGCAATACAGATGGAGACTAACTTAGCAGATCTAAGGAGAATGGAGATTGGGCAGGAAGGTTTCAGGGTCCATGAACTGTATGATAGTGACTCTCCTACAATCCATAGACTCTTTAGAGCAGGTCCTGATAGTGACCCAATGGTGGGGCCATCTCACATGCAGACCTGCCTCAATAGCCTTGTGCTCTAATTCCATACCTTGCAAATCTGGGGCCCTGCATTTTGGCATCTTATGGCAGACAAATGATGCTAGTAGGAAATAGTAGAAATCCCAACTCTCCCTTGTCTCTACCTTCTCCAGACCAGGCAATACTTTGGCAGTGAGTCCTACCAAACTCAGTATAAGCTTCTAAGATGCCAAAGAAAAACAGCACTGACTTTCCATTCAGTGGTCATTCACTGTCCATTCAGCCAACAGCTCCAGCCACTGGCCAGACCCAAGGGTCTCCTACAGGCCTGATGCATGTAAAACTGAGACAGAATTTGCAGCAGATAGAAGAAATCATGATTCCAAATGACATATGCTGGAAAGGGCAAATGACGGTGTTACTACATCTGAAGGACAAACTAACACTAAGAGATTTCACCATGATATGGCCCCAACTTCCCTTAGGAGGGAGAAAGGGAGCAGAGCATGTCAGAATCTATACAGTTACACAATGAGACCACTGGAACGCCTCACCGACAATACCTTTACTCTGACAAAGGGTGGCTGAGAAGTTCTTCCGCTAGTTGCTCCAGTAGACGTCTACTCCCAATGACTGAAGCATGGATGGGGAGGAGCGCAAAGTGGCAGAGTTATGTTGTTGGTGTGTTGGTGTTGGTGGTGGGCGGGGGGTGGGGGGGGGGCAGTTCTACATAATAGCAGGGCTTTAGGAGTAGGGTAGGGCAGTGGCTAACACATTCCTTGCCCCTTCTAGGAGGCAAGTAGCTAGAATTGGTAACCTTAGAAACTCAGCCTTAAAAACTCCTGACATTCCCCAGATGTCCCCATTCCCTAGCTCAAGACAAGACTCCTTAGTCACCGGTGGTGCTGAAGACACAAGGAAGTTGCATGAACAAGTAGCCCAGATGTCTATGGCTGCAGCATAGCCTCGTTCCTCTTAACCTGCATCTAAAGCTTCATGAGGATTGTCTGTGGCTAGTTGACCAAAGACGAAAAAAAATTAGAAAATTCGGCATGATTTGCCACCAACACCCAAAAGTAGATGACTGCAGCACTACAGCCCTATCCCAGGGTGGCTCTGAAGGATAGTATTTAAAGAAAATCTTCCTCCCAGTGGGCAGAACTTTGAGCAGTACGTCTGTTTGCCCATTTCATCCAGAAAAAGGGATGGCTAGAGGTCCACATTCATCATGAGCAATAGCTAATGGTTTAGGTGCATAGTCAGGGACTGAAAAGAAACATGATCAGAAAATTTCTGACCAAAGAGGTCTGGGAATCTAGTATGTGACTAAATGGCGTTCACACAGAGTGTGAAGATATTTCTGTCTCATGTCAATGCTCCCTGAAAAGCAAGCTCAGAAAAAGAGTATTGTAATAATCAGGTGGACAAGCTGACCTGTTCTGTGGGTGTCAGTCAGCCTTTTCCAACAGCCATTCTTTGCCTTGCCTAGTGAGTGCTGAACCATGATAGGAATGAAGTTTCTGTATGGGCTCACAATATGGATTTTCTTCTACCAAGGCTGATCCAGCTATAGCTGCTGTTGAATGCTCAATCTCCCAACAGCAAAGTCCAACAGTGAACCCCTGATATGGCACCATTCCCAGGCCAGGTGTGAAGATGGAGAAAACCAGCTAGCCACCTGGTGGCAGATTGATTATGCTGGACCACTTCCATTATAGAAGTGGCAGCTCTTTGTTCCCAGTGGAATAGATACTCACCCTGGATAGGGATTTGCCTTCCCTGCCTACAGTGCTTTTATCAAAACTGCCATCTGTAGACTTACGAAATGCCTTACTCACCTTCATGGTATTCAGCACAGCATTGCTTCTGACCAAGAAATTTGTTTTATAGCACATAACATATGCTAATGTGCTCATGGTCTTGGAATTCATTGGTCTTATCATGTTTCCCATCACCCTGAAGCAAGTGGCCTGAAAGAATGATTGAATGGCCACTGAAGACTCGGTTATGACAATAGCTGCATGGCAGCACCTTGTAGGGCTGGAGGAATATCCTCCAGGATGCAGTATATAGTCTAAGCCAGATTGTGCTATTTCTCCCTTAGCCAGAACTTGGGGAATCAAGGGTTGGAAATAGGAATGGCTCATCTTATCTTTGGTGATTCACTGGCAAAAATTTGCTTCCTGACTTCATAACTTTATACTGTGCTAATCTAGGGTTCTTAATTCCCAAGGGAGGGATGTTTCTACCAAGAACACAGAAAATGTTCCATTAAATTAGAAGTTGCGACTACAGCTTGGTGACTTTGTATTCCTCATGCAAGTTAATCATCAGGCAAAAGAGGGGGTTATTCTACTGACTAGGATGATTGATCCTGTCTATCCAGTGGAATTAGGTCATTCACAACTACAGAATGGAGAGAAGGAAGAGTATGTCAGAAATGCAGATTTCCTGTAGCATATTTTTGTATTCCATATTGTTATGGATTGAACTATTTTTTTCCAAAGAGATATGTTGAAGTCCTAACCCCTGGTACCTGTGAATATAACCTTATATGGAAATAGGGTCTTTGCTGATATAATCAAGATGAGGTCATATGCAATTAGGGTGGGACCTAATCCAATATGACTGATATCTTTATAAGAAGAGAAGAGGCCAGGCGCGGTGGCTCAAGCTTGTAATCCCAGCACATTGGGAGGCTGAGGCAGGTGGATCACTTGAGGCCAGGAGTTTGAGACCAGCCTGGCCAACATGATGAAACCCCATCTATATTATAAATACAAAAATCAGCCAGATATGGTGGCGTACACCTATGGTCCCAGCTACTTGAGAGGCTGAGGCATGAGAATCGCTTGAACTCAGGAGATGGAGGTTGCAGTGAGCTGAGATTGTTCCACTGCACTCCAGCCTGGGTGACAGAGTGAGACTCTGTCTCAAAATAAGAAAATAAGAAAAAAGAAAAGAGGAGACGAAGAGACACAGAAGGAAGATGGAAGATGTCCATGTGACAGCAGAGGCAGAGTGGATTTATGCTACCACAAGCCAAGGAATGCCGAGGATTATCGGCATCCGCTAGACACCAGGAGAGAGGGAGAACAGATTTTTTTTCCCTCTGAGCCCCCAAGAAAGAACCAACCCTATTGACATTTTTATTTCAAACATATATCCTCCTAAACGGTGAGAGAATAAGTTTCTGTTGTGTTAAGCCACCCAGTTTGTGGTAATTTGTATAGCACCGCAAGGAAAGTAATAGATATATCCTGAGATTAATATTCATAGGAAATTCCAAAACCCAATTTAGGTAGGGCAGCAAGTGGCTCAGATCCTTCAGGAATGTGAAGGGATTGGGTCACCCCAATAAGCAAAGATCTAGGACAAGATTAAACATTGTCGAGGGAAAAGAGAATATAAAATAGATATAGTCAAAAAACCAAACCACATAATGGCTGCAGAAACAAGGACAATAATAGTTATGAGTATTTTTCTACCTAATTTTGGTATGAGTGTATCTATATATGTAGTAAATGTTTCTTCCCTTCTCCCATTCCCCTACTTCTGATATAATAGTCATTACTTTTATATCTCAGTATAAGTTACAGGATATCAATGGGGAGTACGACTCAGCTAAAAGAAGAATGAACAAATTTGCTGTCCTAGAAAAATGTTTTCCAGAATTCCCATATCTTTATGCTTCTGAGTTAGCAGTGACCATAGGAGAAATATGTAGAAGGTTTATAAATTAGAAGGGGGGTTGCAGCCCTATTGTTTTATACTGTGAAAGTCAATGTAGGAGGCCAGACGCGGTGGCTCATGCCTGTAATCCAGCACTTTGGGAGGCCGAGGTGAGTGGATCATCCGAGGTCAGGTGTTCCAGACCAGCCTGGCCAACATGGTGAAACCCCATCTCTACAAAAATACAAAAATTAGCCGGGCATGATGGCGGGTGCCTGTAATCCCATTTACTCGGGAGGCTGAGGCAGGAGAATCGCTTGAACCCGGGAGGTGGAGGTTGCAGTGAGCCAAGATTGTGCCATTGCACTCCAGCCTGGGCAACAGAGTGAGACTCTGTCTCAAAAAAGAAAAAGAAAAAGAAAGTCAATGTAGGATGCCAGGCATCCTGTACACACTGTGGTGACAAGCTGCTCACGTTGTCTACATAAGGCAGCACTTGGGCCCACACTTCTGGTACCAGAATTCCTTCAGCTTCACCTAATCCTAGGCCAAAAGCATGGGCTATTCTATGGCAAAAGGTGCCAACTTCTTCTGCAAGTGACCTGCAGCATCAAAGGTAGAGACAGTCTGAGACTGATGTGGATTCCAGTTCATCCTCACAGTTCCAGCTCATTCTCAGGAGTTTTAAGTTCATCTTTACTTTTCTTCCCACTTGGTCTGGCTGACTTAGAACAACTTCTGGCTCAACACCTAATGCAGAGACAGCAGCCTTGCATAGTCCCTTCCATTGGTAAAACTGTGTAAGGTCTTAGCCCTATAATAAATCCCTTTTTCTATATAGTTGTAACAGTGTTTAGCCTGTTTAGGAATGTTTGATACGCTTATTCAAGTCTATAATTTGCAAATTCTTAAAATAAAAATGAATTTGACTTATAGCTTCCCTTCAAAAACTAAGTTGTTTTATGATGTCTCATACCATTTAAAAATATTCCTTCTTAATAAAAGTTTCAGGCATAAAGTTACATACCTAAACCCTTAGGAAAAAAAATGTACCCATGTAAAATAAAGCTCCATGATGTTATATGTTCATGTGGGACATCTGATTATACCAGCTTGCCTTCATCACTGTACACTCCTCAAAGAATGGGTTTTGGTAGGAAAGAGAAGACCATTAGCTGGGGTTTTGGAAGAGAATTTAATAAAGGGACTATTTACATTGGTGTGAACAGGGGTCTGGGAATCAACAAGGGATGGTGAAGCACCAAGAACTAGCCCCAGAGGGAGCCCTTATCACCTCCATGCATGAAGACACGAAGGACAGAACCAATGTTACCACAGTCTACTGAGAGCTAGAGCCATGAAAGGGGCCGCCAGCAAGGGCTGTGGATGTAGAGGGATGCGGCTATTGCCACACTATGCCATAGCAGGACAGGTGTGCCAGGCGTGAATACTCCAGCCCCTCTTCAACTCCCACCTTCTCGTCTCCAGCTGATGTTTCCCATTGGCAAGGGAGCCTGGGGAATGCGGTTAGTAGGGTGGGTCAGAGAATGGAGAAACGGAGTGTGGAAGAGAACAAACTGAGAATGTCAGCAACATGTGGGACAAAAGGCATTTAGGGCTCATCAGGAACAAGGGACCTAGAGCAATTCCTACTGTGCCATGGGAATCAGAGGGAGAACATAGGAGAGTAAATCATTTTTTTAGCCTGTACCTAGCTGGAGCAGTTCATTTGCAGGACCAATAACAAGTATCCCTTCAGAGGCTCCCCTCAGCCAAGGAAGACAAGGTGCTGAAAATCCCACATTGGTAAAACATCCAACTCTCACTTCTTTAAATAAATTGGAACCTAGAACAGTTAAGCAGGTTAGTGGGAAGAGAATTTAGGTTGCTTAGTTCGGGCTTTTCCTAATCTATGAGGATCTTTCCAGTATTGAGGAGAATAGGCAGTACTTCTAAATACTTCAAAGTACTTGAACATTGAATTACTGCTTGTGAAATATTATATAACATGATACTCAATCCAATCATTAAGGTAAAATAGGCAACAAAATCCACACTAATGAAAGAGCTGTTAAACGACTTCAACGTTTTATATTCTGACCCCAGAAGGCTTATTTGCAGCTCTTGTTCTGCTTTAGTGTCAGTCCTTTTGAGCTGTTAATCCTTCAGGTGGTTCTAATCACAAACAGCTGTACTAGGTGGAGCTCTGCTACCCAGGAAATGCCCTTGTAATACTCAGGAGTCTTGACCCCTTCTTTCTCACTCTCGCTTTCACAAATGATGGTTTGGAAACCTTCAAATACAAAGGGTGAGGCCAGCTCCTAAAGTCCCTTCATTTTCTACTGTCTAACAACTACTGCCTTATCTCATTTAAGTAAAATGTTAGCCAGTAGAGGCAACCTCAAGATCCTAGAGACATCTTTGCCTCCTCTCTCTTTTGATCCCCGTATCTAATTATTTCAAGGCTTCCTATTTTTTCTTTGGCAGTTGCTTTCCTCCTCCAGTCATGCTTATCACCCTGGTCCAGAACCTCACCCTGTGCATTCTTAGATAAGCCTCAATGCCTTTTAACTGAAATATCTGCTTCTAGGCTCTTCCCCTACATTCTATCTTGTTTTCTAGGAATTAGTACTATTTTTAGAACATTACCTGGAGAGACTATAGTGGCTTCCTGTCAGAGCCTGATCTCCTCAACCATAACATTCAAGCCCTCCATCAACCGGACACATCTCACAACCTGATTTTGCCACTCCAGTCAGGCTGTTTAATAAAAGATCATGCTTAATTCTGCCTTTTTCAGTCCCTTAGAATTTACCATCCCCTCCCCTAAATAAACCACGTTCTTTATCTCATGTCCTTCTATGTCCTACCTCTTTTCCAGGGTTTGAATTATAGGCCCCAGTAGTACTTTTCTTGCACAATCTAGCCCTTAATTTCCCTTCTGCTAGGATCCAGGTAATCCTTGACAATCATGGGTAAGAAAAAAAATATTTTGAGGGCTTACTATATGCCAGGTGCCATTCTAAGTGGTTTATAGCTTTGCATGTATTAAATAGTTTAATCCAAACAATTTGTGTGGAGTTGGTTTCTATTATCAGCACTTTCCAGGTAAGGAAATTCAGGCATCGAAAATTTAAATAACTTTCCCAAATAAAAGGTGGGATGTGAGTTGGAACTTGCGTGGAATTCATCTCCAGAATTCACATTGTTAATTGCCATGTAATCCTGCATCCCACTAGGAACGGGGGCAGGATTTTTGTGAGCCTATTGCATTGCAGAGCACCTATTACACAGGACAGCTTCACAGTTAACTGCCATTTTCTCCCAGTTAGTTGATGCTATGATTCTGATGCAAATTTATGCGTCAAGTGTTAAACTACCCTATTTGATGAGGCATTTGATTGAAAACTGTTACAAACGCATATTAACTTCACACCTGTGGTTCTTTCAATAGAAGTCTTTTCTGAGCAAAGTCTATTCAGGTAGCATAAGCAGTTCGCCCACTGAAGGGACTACCCCAGCTTTCAGTCATTTGATGGGTTGCCTACACAGCCTTTTTTTCTTTGGAGCTGATTTAACTCGCTTAATTTTGTACTTGTCAAGCACAGTGAACATGATGAATCCCTCCTAGGTACCAATTTATTAAAAACATCTATTAATTTAAAAAATGTGCCACAGCTTGAATTTTCTCTTACAAAAGCAGGAATTTGTTCATTTGTAAACAAGCTTCCTGTTCCTTTCTCAAGGTTTACATCCATGATGTTGTAAAGGCTGGGACATCGCTCCTTATCAACTTGCAGGTTTTAAACAAGTCATTCTTGCCCTTCTTTCTGTTCTCAATAAGAGGGATATTTTAGTCCTTCGGAAAATGTAGCTTATCATTTTTGATATGGTACAAAACAGCATTTCCTCCCTTTCTGTTGCATGACCCTGCAGTGACAATCTCTGTTTTACAACTTTGGACAATGATACAAAGTTGTGTTTATGGTCAACCTATGCTGCATTCTACATAAAACTGGAAATTTTAGTAACTCATATGGGACCACTGAAGGAAACATAAGACTTGAGGAGACCCAGACATGCTAATTTGGTCTACTATTTAACCATTACTGCAATCCTGCAAAACATAAATAAGCATACCTGAAGGTGACCAACTATATCACCATGTACTCAAAATAGGGCATTTGTCTTTCATAAGATTCATAATCCTCAGTGGAGGCTTTCCTGTGTGAAAACAGTTTTCACATTTGTTTCTGGGTTCACATAATTCTTAAAACATTTTGAGAGTAGTTTGTCAAGTTTTAGGATTGTGGTATGTCAAATCATTTTCACAAAATAACCTTTGATATCCTAAGAACTAAGTATTTTATTATTGCTTTGTCTTGTGAAATGCCCTATGAACAATACCACTCATAACTGTGATATTCCTGTATCCACACAGTAATTGTAGCCTTTTCCTGAGAGGTTTGAGCAAATAGAGCCCCACTGCTTCCCTAACCAGGCATAATAACCACACCTCTAACGACTGTTAATTACTTCTCATAAGAATGTTGAGGCTGAGATAAACAATGCAATAGTGAGTTTCTTAATTTTGAATAGGAGCTGCACATGGTCTTAATATTGCTATAATTTCCTTTTCTTACCATAAATAACTCATTGAAGTGTCCCTTTGTGGTAAAAACTGATTGTTTATTCTCTGACAAAACAAAATTGTTAATCTTGCTATGACATGGCTGAGTTATCTGAGCTTCCGGCCTTCTTACTGAAGAGTTTGGCATCTGAGATATAATACTTTTTAAAGGGTGTAAACTGAATTCCCACTTAATATTAGTAAATAACATTCTGTACTAGTATGGACCAGGCAACATTTTTTATTTTTATTTTTCTCCTTCTAAATATATCCTAAAAGTTGAGGACCAGTGAGGATTACTGGCATAAGACAAAAGCTGATATTTTTCCTTGGTAATTCAGTCAAAGCATCACTTTCATCTGGATACTTTGTACTTTGTATGTGGTCTGGAACTTTTAGTTTAGTAGTCTAGACATTATCAAAGTAATATGTTGAATGGAGAACATTTATGAATATAAGTGATTAGGAGTTTGAGATTCAAAGTATTTCTTCCAACACAGCTATTTTATATAATAATTTATCTGTTATTTTACTTATAGGAACTGAGAGCTCTACCTAGTTGTACGATCTCTATAGATATTTCTGCTACCAAAGAGAAGTGCAGAGATTCTCCATTTATGTGCACTGCCATCTGTCACATGGAGACATAGTGTTGTGTCCACTACGTAACATACAACTAAAGCTTGTACATTACAATGCTACCATACAACCATCCTGGAGGGCAGGCATGGTTTATATCAATGGAAGTGGGCAAATGAACCAAGCAGCCTGTTGAAACGTTTGAGAAATTTAATGATTGATCACTCACTTTAGTTGCAGCAGAGGGTCTCCTACGGATGCATCTTATGGCTTCCATATAGGTAATACAAAATATAGAGCTTAGTGGCACACAAAGCCAGCTTACTATTCCTGGATTGCCCATCTTACCATTTCTTCTGATTCTGAGTTATGCTGCAGAGAAGAATCAACAAAGCCATCATCTCTCTGCTGCCCTTTAATTTTCCCTTTTGCTTACTTTGCTTTATTTCATCAACATTTTAAAGATGATACTGTAACTCCAAAGTGGAATAATTTTCCTGAGATCCTTAAAAGTCAATGGTGGAAGCAGGATTCTTCTACTTCTCCAGACTAAGTCAAAGGCACTGTCTATAAAAACACAATTCCTCCAACAAGGCTTTCAGTACATAGGATAGCCAGCACTTCAGTGTTCAGTATATTTGTTTTTGTTTTATTATTTTTTAAAAAGTATTTTATTTATTTATTTTTTTTAAGATGGAGTCTCGCTCTGTCACCCAGGCTGGAGTGCAGTGGTGCAATCTTGGTTCACTGCAACCTCTGCCTCCCAGGTTCAAGCGATTCTCCTGCCTCAGCTTTCCAAGTAACTGGGATTACAAGTGAGCCACCATGCCCAGCTAATTTTGCATTTTTAGTACAGATGGAGTTTCACCATGTTGGCCAGGCTGGTCTTGAACTCCTGACCTCAAGTGATCCACCCACCTCGGCCTCCCAGAGTGTTGGGATTACAGGCATGAGCCACCTCACCAGGCCATATTTGTTTTTAATCCTTACAACAACCTTGAAGAAATTACCTATATTGTTTTTAATTTCCATTTTAAAGATGAGATAACTGAGTTTCAGAGGTTAAGTATCCTTCTTAAGGTCACACAGCTAATAAAGCACCTGGGATTGAAATTTAGCTCTGTCTTCTGACAAAGCTTGATCTTAACCCTTGAGCTAACTGGATCAGAATTATATGAAATAGCTGTGCCACCGCATGTGATTATGGTGTGGTAAGTTAGCCATTACTCTTTAGACCATTTGAAATCTCATGAAGTCACATGCCTTGGTCCATTGCTTCTTTCATTTCCTATTAAGAAAACTAGCCAAACCTCTTAGTCTGTAACATTATGATGCCCTTTGTAATGCCAAAATGATTTCTACCAATTCCAAATTGCTTCTGTTCTCTGAACTATTACCTTGGAGGCAGCCTGAGAAGTAGGAAGATATGGTATAATATCTAGCATGCTGTTCTTCCTTGATGTCTTCCAGCAGGTCTAATAGTACCACAGGCACACCATCAGTCAGCCATAACGTGTACCAGAACATACACACACACAAAGGGAATAAAGAGAGGCCTTGGTGGAATAAGCACGTCCAGAACACGTCCATTCACTGATGTACTTTGGCAGCAAGCATACAGTACTGTCTTCTCTAGCTCTCATTTGCCCAGAGAATTCAACACTACTCAGGTACATAAAAAACCACAATTATGTTAGAGATTCCTATTTGAAGAAAAGCTTCTCAAGGACAAAGCATTACAATGAATCAGTCTACATGGCATGGCATTAAACACAAGATGCAGGCAAAGACTTCAAGGTCATGGCAAGGAGACAGGGAAAGCATTGGAAAAGCTTGGCTCTCATGAATGTGTTAGTGTCTTTCATGAACCCATTAGTTAATTAATTATTAAGATAATAGTTAATTCTTATGCAATTTTTTTTTTCTTAAATGCCCTCTTTTCTTTCTAAGAAGAGTAACGTCAGGTTTAAGCAATTGATTTAAAAGTAAACTGTCTCTGGGCCAGGCACGGTGGCTCATGCCTATAATCCCAGCACTTTGGGAAGCAGAGGCAGGAAGATCGCTTGAGGCCAGGAGTTTGAGACTAGCCTAGGCAACATAGTGAGATCCTGTATTAACAAAAAATTTAAACATTATGTGGTCCCAGCTACTTACAAGGCTGATGTGGGAGGCCCAGGAGATCGAGACTATAGTGAGCTGTGATCACACCACTGCATTCCAGCCTGGGTGAAGTGAGACCCTGTGTCAAAAAATAAAAAAATGAAATTAATTAATTAATTAATTAAACTGCTTCTGGAGTATTAAACTTTAAAATAATTTATTTTGAAAGCAAAATTAAATCACAAGGATTTCCTCCTTTGTTTCATTATAGGCTTTGCAGACTAGTACTGAATGGAAAGGCACATTTGAAGGAATGAGCAGAAAAGGAGAACAGTAGTATGCCACGATTAATGCATTCAGGAAGGAACACAGTTACTGGTGTGGGTGCGCACAGACTCCTCCAGTCTCCTGCCAAAGAGAACCCTGAACTTAGAAACTCAATGCTTTGCCTTTTGCTTCCAAAAATTATTTCTTGCAGTATTGACAATGAAGCCAATATACATAAAAGGAATTGTGGTCAGGTTAGAGAGAAAAGAAAAAAACAGACTGATGTGTTCCGTATTGTCACAGAATAAACAGATCAATAAAACAGAGGAGAGCTCAGAGGCAGAGTCATGTATAGAAGGCATTTTATGTAGGTTAAGGGTTGGCTCCACCTCACTGGAGAAAAGAATGAATTGTTTAGCAGATGTTTTTGGAAACCTGGTTAAACAGATGGACATAATCTCAATTTAACCCCACATACAAAAGATAGACTAACAATGGGTAAAAGACCCAAACATGAAAGGGAATGCTATAAAGTTTACTGAAGCTGTGGCTTCTTGATTTTGTGGTAGGAAAGGACTTTTTTAACTTCAGCAGCACCAGCCCTTAGGTTTAAAGTTGGTGGAAGAGATTACATCAAATCCAAGGATTTTTGTTCAACCAGGGACATCATGGACAACGTTGACAGGTAGCAAAGTAGGAAAAGCACATCAGGCATATTGGGATGATTTCCTGTTAGAGGAAGGAACAGGAATTAGTTAAGAGGGATTAAAAGAAATAATTAAATAGAGAGAGGAACGCTGTTGTGGACCAATGATGATAATACAGGGTACCGTGAACTGAGGAATCAGGTCCATTCAACCCTTGTACCTTGAGTACCATGATAATAAGTTGGGAGAATCTCAGGCATTTGGTGAAAAAAGGCTTCTAAACAGCGAAGAAGTGAAGGATAAATAATTATATGGGTACTTTTACAAGTGTTATGGATCATGCTTTGGACATTTAGTATTCAAAATAAGTAGAAAATGGACTCCCTTTTCAAATACTTTATGCCACTGAATCAGGCTTCTTTAAATATGACACTTCAGGACAGTGGCTCATCCCCAGCCCCCACTGACAATGTATTTTGTGTTATTTAACAGACACTGAAGTAGGCTCCAAAGGTGCACAATCCAATGAGACAGTTTCCTTCCTTCAAGGAACTCCGACTAGTGGGAGAGAGAATGAAAACAGCAGCAGCAGCAGCAGCCAACACTTACATAATGCTTACTATGTGCCCAGCACTGTTCTAATGTACGACATTAACTATTAATCTCAATAATCCAGAAGGTTGATGATGTAGCTATTTGTTTCCTACCTATAAAATGGGGTAAATAAGTTACTGAGATGTTAAGTAGCATGCCTAAGGTCACAGAACTAGAAAGAGGGAAAGCCAAGATTCAAGCCCAGGCAGACTGGCATCTGTGCTCTTAACCACTATACACAAAACAGTATGGTAAATGCCAACAGAAATATGCAGAAGACTGGCACTTCACTCACAAAAAGGAGGGCACTCCCCTCAAATTAAGAACAGTTAAGAAATGTTTCTATACAGTGTGCTCTGTGATTTCAAACGTTATTGTTTGTTTTAAATCTATAAGTTAAGTTGGGGAGAATTCACATCTCTACAGTCTTTCCATCCATGAACATCATATCTCTGTATTTTTCTAGGTTTTTAACTTCTCTCAAAATCTTAAAGTTATAACAATTATTCTTAGGTGCTTTTAAAGTTTCTACTTTAAAGGTCATTTAAAAAAACATATTCAAAAACACATTTCCTAACTTTGTTGCTAAGTAACTAGAAATACAATTCATTTTATATTGATTTTTAAGGAGTAACAGATTTAATTTTAACTTTAATAATTGATAGGCAGATTTGTGTTTTACATACACAACCACAATCTGCCGATGAATTGTTTCTTTCTCTCCATTCTTTATATTTTTTCTCTGGTTATGCTGTCCGGGTTCTCTAGTATAATGTAGAATAGAAGCTGTGATAGGTGACACCGTTGTCTTGTTTCTGACCTTAAAGCACACTTAAAGTTTCACAAATGAATATGTTTGCTTTAAGTTTTTTGTAGATACCCTTCATCAATCGGAATAAATTCCCTTTTACTCTTAGATTGCCAACCATGAATGGTGTTATGGACTGAATAATGTCTCCCCCAAATTTATATGTTGAAGCCTTAACATCCAGTACCTTAGAATGTGACCAAATTTGGAGACAGATCCTTTAAAGAGGTAGTTAAAATGAGGCTGTTAGAGTAGGCCCTAATCCAATAATCCTAGGGTCCTAAGAAGAGGCAATTTGGACATACAGAGAGACACCAGGGGTACACAACTACAGAGAAAAGACAGAGCGAGGAGGCGCCCATCTGCAAGCCAAGGAGAGAGGCTTCAGGAGAAACCAAACCTGATGAAACCTTGATCTCGGACTTCTAGCCTCCAGAACTGTGAGAAAATAAATTTCTGTTGTTTAAACCACCCAGTGGATGGTATTTTGTTACGGCAGCTCTAAAAAACAAATACCAATAGATATTTAATTTCTAATGGTTTCTTTTTTGTATATGTTGAGGTGATCCTGATTTTTCTTCCTTAATCTGATAATGTGGAGAGTTAACTGATTTTCCAATGTTAAGAACATCTGGCATTCCTAGGATAAGCCTGGCTTAGTCACAATGTGGTTTTTTTTTTTTTTCTACTTTTCTTGGATGTTTTGCAATATTTTTCCATCTGTGTTTGTGAGTGAGACTGATATATAATTATTGATGTCCTTGATCAGGTATCAAGATTATTATAGTTGTTTGAGATGACCTGGCAAGCACTCCCTCCTTCTCTACCCTGGAATAGTTTCAAGTTGGGACATTTTGTTTAGGGAATGTTTGGTAGAACTTGGTAAACTTGTCTGGCACGGTGCTTCCACATGATGGCTTTTAAATAGCTGTTTATTTAATTTCCCACCTCAGAGAACCAGGTGGTGCTTATTGCTGAGCTGATGAGAGTTCTGCAACAGGAATCAGCTTGTTTCTTGCTGGCTTCCCCCGCCTCTTGAACTTAGCCTTCAGCTTTCTCTGTTCCGCTACGTCAGTTGCCACTTCTGTATCCACTTTCTGTTTTCCTAAATGGTTGACCTCTTATATGCTGGAGTCTCTCCTTTAATTCTCTGTCTTGGTGGATCTTTTTTATTCCTTTACTGGCCTGTGGGGGTGAGGGTGGGGGAGATAAGCAAGTATATTTAATATGTCATGTTTAAGTGGAAGACCTCCATTCATATTTTTACTGCATACCTTCATTGTTCAATACAGTATCCACTACCTGCATTTCTAGTTCTCAATAGCCATGTGTAGCTAATGGCTACCATACTGGGCAGTACAAGTATAGGCCATTTCCATCATTACAGAAAGTTTTATTGGACTGTATCACTTAGCACAACCCAGAGATGCCATCCACGACTACCTGTCTAGAGTATGCTTCCCTGTTACTCGCCAGCACATCTCTTTAATTCTGTATAGCACTTATCACTAGTTGATATCTTTCCTGTCTCCAATCACTAGAGACTAAGCTTTATGTGAGCAGGGATAATATTTCTCTAGCATCCCTAATATATAGTAGGTGTTAAATAGGTATGTAGAATGCATGAATCCATATTAGCCTGCCCAGAGTACCTACATGCCTGTCTTTCTCAATTTAAACAGCATAGAGTCAGAATCTCAAGTCTGGATGAGATAGGAAGCATTATTATCTAGATGGTATATGATAGCCACTTTTTTCATTGGCTTTATTTTATAGTTTCTTGTTTCTGAGTTTCTCGTTTCCTTGCAAGCTGCCTTGAATCAATTGCCAGCTTGGATTAAGGCTTCCTTATATGTAAGCCTTGAAAGAAGAGATCAAAATTATAAATCACGGGCATTCAAGATGTTTCCAACTTTCAGTGGAATACCTACAAGAAAGCAATTTGAATAGTTTCTATATTATCCCAATAGGTGATGATCTCATAAGAAGCAGGCAAGAAAGCAAGTGCCCAAACACTTTTTTGGGATTTGCTTCCCTCTGTAGTTGGCACATCTTTATGCCAGTCTTAGGGACCAGAATGAGGGAGCAATTACACTGGATGGAGCTGCAAATCAACTTCCACCAACACCACATGGGGAGTTGGGAAGCAATAATCTGCAGAGAAGCTCCTAGCTGAACCCTGATTTGCACCAGTTAGACTTCCCCAAACTAAACTGTCTATACCTCCTATACCTTGGGCTCAAACACTCATCTTCTTTTAAGTATGTAATGCCTCATCCCCAATTTGTTGCTATTGATTCTTTATATGCTGTTTTCCCATCTGGAAAGTTCCCCTCACAAATCCTCCAAGATAAATTTTTTCTTTCTTGGAGAGTTCTATTAGAACTCCAGAAACTTTGGCAAACCCTCACTGAGTTCTCATCCCTTAAACACTTTAGTAACTCCTCTGGCACCAGGTTGACTGTGTGCACATTTGTATCGGGAAGGGCTTTGTCTATTCGCCTTTCTTTGTCCTGTTATTTCTAATAAGCGGAAGTTTCTCCGTGGTAGACTCTAGGCCTGCTTTATTTTCTTGTCACACTGATCCCAAGATCTTGTCACTTCCATAGTAGTATAGGGAAGAAATAGATATTCCAGGGTTATGGAAGGAAAGTCCTTAGCTCTGTTACTTAATGTGTGATCTTGGGAAGGGTATTTTATCTGTGATTTTTGCTGTGAGATTTCAGCATGGTGATCATGAGGCCTAATGGATTTGTTGATTTTTCTCCTTCACTTGGAGCTGACTGTGTCAGGAAGTACTAACAAGTATGCTCAGGCAGTGACATATTGACACAATGAGGCTGGCTGTAAATAGTGAGGTCTATGCTCTAAGCAACCAATCAATCTTTAGTGGTGCCAGGGCTACATGCAAGGTGTCAAGCCAGGCTGTTGAGGGAGATTCAGACACACGTGTGTGGCAGAAAAGGAGATTCACAATTCAAGAAAGGACTTGCTGCCCAATTGCAATGAGTGTGATTCACTAATGGCCTCCATCTATCTATTAACTCTTTTAGCTCTTCCAACACCTTTATTTTAGTTCCATAAGGCTCATAACTGGCTTGCAGAATAGGAAATTAATACAATCAGCAATGTAGAAATGTATCTAAGAGATTAAATGAACTTGCTGGGGTTGGTATTGAGAGGGATTTACACAGCTTCTTGATATTTGGTGCTTGAATGGTGGTTGCTTGTGAGATCTAGTTATCTTTCCCTCGTATATTTACCATTTTCAGTGGATGTCTTATCTTGCTTTAAAACCCCAAGACCCAGCAAAGCCCTTTTTGGAAAAGGTGAGTGACCCTTAATCATGGTAGGGATTAGTTGAACTCTATCCCCTGGCTGAGTAAACAGGAGCCTGGAAGGAACAGGTGACCTGTCCAAGCTCATCTAGTTAAGTAGTTACAAATCTTCATCTTGACTGCCAGGACTGATCTTTGAAAAATAGACATACAAGGCCTTAAGATCTACCTGCAGGAGAGAAAACAGGTTTAAACTGACATGGAGATATTTTAGATTAAAAACTTCAGACTTAGCTATTTCAGTGAGGGGTTCCTCTAGTTTGAGTTGCAAGTAGGTCACCATGCTAAGAGCAGAAAACCCTACTCTAATTCCAACCTCTGACCTCATTCAATAATCATTGGCTTGATTCCATTTATGAATCAAGCTCTGTTAGCGGCTTCATGTGGGGACACCCTGTTCTGATGAAGTTCATCTTCTGGGACACAGTGATACTTCATTTAGGTTTAGGAAGCAGAGAAGAGGACTGGGGTAAATCAGAGGTGGGTGTCAAGGTATCCACTGGAGAGAAAGGGAAAAAGGACTCAGAAGAGAATTTTAAAGTCACAGGAGTTATTGGATGTGGTAAGTGAGAAAAAGTGCCTGATGACCTCTGCAGAGCTGACCACTTTTTCTGAAAAAGAAGTGTCCATGATTTAAGAGTCATTATAATGAAAGATACCATCTTTCAGCTATTAAGGAATAATATTAAGGCAAAGATGAGACAAGATAATCATTCCCTACTTTGGAGCTGGGGGGTAGAAGGAAGAAGACTACATAAGCTAGGTCAAAACTGAGTATTAAAAGTGCTCAGCTGGGCGTGATAGCTCACGCCTGTAATCCCAGCACTTTGGGAGGCTGAGGCAGGCGGATCACGAGGTCAGGAGATCAAGACCATCCTGGCCAACATGGTGAAACCCCGTCTCTACTAAAAAAAGATACAAAATTAGCTGGGTGTGGTCACGTGTGCCTGTAGTCCCAGCTACTCAGGAGGCTGAGGGAGGAGAATCACTTGAACCCGGGAGGCGGAAGTTGCAGTGAGCCAAGATTGTGCCACTGCACTCCAGCCTGGCAACAGAGCGAGACTCCATCTCAAAAAAAAAAAAAAAAAAAGAAAAGAAGTGCTCATACTCTTTGTACCAGTAATTCTATTACTAGAAATTATTCTTAGGATAATAAGATGTGGATAGTTTTATAAGCAAACATTCACTGTAATATTTATAATAGTAGTAACTAATAAAGGATTTGTTAACACAGTAGTACATTTTTACAATAGTTTTATGTATCCATTAAAGATTTATGAAAAGTTTCAGTGAGATAGTGTATGCATGATACAAAACTAGTGAAGGCAGTATTCTCCTTGGAAACAACAAAAGAATAGCTGGAAATAACCACTAATATGTTGATTTTTCTGGAAAGTTGGGAGACCAAGTTGCAAAAATGCATTTCTGTTTTCATTCCTTGCAAGTGACAGTTTAACAAAAAATTTTCCTCCAAATTTGGCTAGCCAGCAGCCTTTATGGAATTTTAGAGTATGGACTGTCAAAATAATTTCTCTTTGCTTTTGACAAGCAACAGTGATGGCCTCTGTATTAGTCTGTTTTCACGCTGTTGATAAAGACATACCTGAACCTGGGCAATTTAGAAAAGAAAGAGGTTTAATGGACTTACAGTTCCACATGGCTGGGGATGCCTCATGATCATGGCAGAAGGTGAAGCAGGAGCAAAGACATGTCTTACATGGCGGCAGGCAAGAGAGAATGAGAGCTTGTGCAGGGAAATTCCTCCTAATAAAACCATCAGATCTCATGAGACTTACCACTATCATGAGGACAGCATGGGAAAGACTCGCCCCCTTGACTCAACTTCCTCCCACCGGGTCCCTCCCACAACACGTGGGAATTCAAGATGAGATCTGGGTGGGGTCACAGCCAAACCGTATCAGCCTCTTTCCTCAAAACCTATGCACTAATGCAATTGCCTCATGAGTTTACATGTTTCTTCCGCATCTGGAAGAGGGTCATTCTTTTCACTGACAGCAAGGGCAGAACTAGGTTAATGAGATCATGTCTTGTTCTGGATTGCAGTCTGTTACTTGGCATACAGTATGGTAGGTTGATTAAATGCATTCTAACTTCTCTACACTCTTTTAAAAAGCATGTATTGAGGTGATTACCTCAATAGGTGCTACCAACCCTATCAGCTATGACTGCAGCTTCATGTAGTGGGTAGTGTATTATCTGTTCATACCAATTCAGTCAAGTTAGCCTCTTTCCTCTGTAGGGGCGGACTCACTGACATCTCAGAAAACATCTAATTGAAAAAATGTGCTCCATATGGAGTTCAAAATCTACAGGTTGTTGTTGTTGTTTTATAAGGACTCTTTCCTAAAATGCAATATGTGATTTTTTAATACATTACACTGACTACAAGGTTTTCATTGATGCCAGTCACAATGAATGTGCAAATTGTGTGGAATAAAGTGAATATTATGGTGCAGTCTTTGGAACTTTTCCTTGAACATATTCTTTCATCTCCCTGCTTTGGCCCCATATACTAATTCTTAGAGGCAGCAAGAACCATACTGACCCTAATGACATGTTCAGGACTATCTTTCCCTAAGCTTAACTTTTAAAGGAAAGGCAGAAGCCACCTGCTTCTGAGTGGCTATCCTCCTCTGCATAGAGACTGATAGGCCTCTCGAAAGCCTGACTGGGCAGTAGCCCACACATCATTTATCACTAAGACAATGGTCCATAAGGTGTCTCTTTGCTAACTCAAGCCCTTTATCTTATTTTAAATATGCTTATTCACGAAGAAAAGCAAAACAAACAAAAAATGTTCCATGACTATTTCTGCTCATTGAGAGATTTTGTTTTCCAAATTAGTTTCAAACAAATTGTGCTAAAGAGTGTACGTTTATGGACGTCCATCTCCTCCAAAATCTAGGTGAAAATCTCTTCTAAACCTACATGTGTTTGAATTAACAGAATGCCAAGGAAAATCAAAATTGGATCTAATAGCACTTTGGGAGGCCGAGGTGGGCGGATTGCTTGAGTCCAGGAGTTAGAAACAGGCCTGGGCAACATAGTGAGACCTTGTCTTTACCCTTAAAATACAAAAAATTAGACGAGCGTAGTCGTGCACACCTGTGGTCCCAGCGACTCTGCAGGCTGAGGTGGGAGGATGCTTGAGCCGGCGAGGCGGAGGTTGCAGCGAGCCGAGATCGCGCCACTGCACTCCAGCCTGGGCGACAGAGAGAATCCCTGTCTCAAAAAAACAAAAACAACTTCCCCAACCCCGCCCCCCGCCCAAACCCTCACAACTTTCTGGCTGTAGGAATTCTCGTTTTGCAGCTGAGGAAACAGGTTTGGAAATTAGACTGCATACCTAAAATCACTTGGCTCATCAACCTACAGCTCCCTCTAGGGGGCTGCCTCGCCCTTATTGGTTATGTGCACATTTGGGGTGAATTCCACGGTCATCTAACAGAACTGTTTTGGTAGTCCCAGGTAAACTTACGGTACGGAAATTTGTTTCTTGAGGATACAAAAAAGAAAGGTGTCAGGGGGAAAGTAAAAATTCAACTCCTAAAACATCGCGTGTAGAGTCAGGCAGTCACTTCATAAAGAGTTCAGTCGATGAAGTTTCACTCTTGAAACTTTACTGTATGTATGCAAGCCCTAACTATTAATACAGGTGACAGCATCCACCTTATCTTCCATTCTCCCTAAGCCCTGAGGGTGGGGATGGGGGGGGGGGCACTCCAATCACCTGAGCCTAAGAACATAGCCTAAGAACATGTGTCTGGCATGGTCTGGTTATTTATAGCCTAAAAAAAAAAAAAGCCAGCTTCTTGTCCGATTCAGGCTTTCCCTGCCCAAACCCACTAGCTTAATGCGATATTGACATTACCAGGAAATGCATACGTCCCAAATGCATCTGCTTATAGATGTTTTTACCTCCTGAAATAATACCGGGTCACAAATACTGTTGTGTTTTTTGCAGAGAGCTTCTACTGCTCATTTAATTCAGGGGCGTTGGATTTGTGCTGAGCGTAATTTGACTCCAAGCATGCAAACTGATCAACTTCTTCCCGTGTGTTTGGGGAGTACAAGTGACTACTGCGACTCCTCAAATGTTTTTCTTTTCCTTTTCACGTGGAGGAAAGCGAATTCTCCGAAGACTGTTCGGCGTTCTACGCAGGGGTTGGAAGGGGGGTTCCTGAGTCACCTCTGGCTGCGCGGGGGGCCTGTGTGTACCCTCAGGGACACCAGGCTGGAATCGTCCACCTTACTTTCAAATGATAAAAGTGCGGAGGGTCTTTCTGCCCCTAAGTCGCGTACAGGATTGCCTGTTTACGGAGTACACTTTCACACACTTCTTTCCCGGTGGTGCAGTCTCGTGGCGGCAGAGCCTTTAGGAAGGCTCTGGGGGGAGACAAGATCAGTGGCGACCACGCCTCCCATGTTACAGCGCTCGCTTCCTACTGGGGGTTGGCGGGGACACCAAGGCTCTCCAGCCCGGGAACACGGAGTTCGGCTCCGTTGTACCCAACTGGAAAGCTGTGGAAACACAAAACTCGGGCGGCGACAGCACCAGCCGATTTTCCGCTCTCTTGGCTCTTTCTTCCGCTTGCACCGCCCCCACCCCGGCTCCTCCGCTCAGCACACAGGAACCCACATCCCCCACCACTCCCGCGTTTCTCTCCTGCCACCAGCTGGGGCCTGCCTTTTATAGGCGCCGCAGCCAATGAGCACGCTTCTTTCCTTCTGCCCGCCCGCCTGGCCAATCGCCGCGCCCCTTGTGTAATCTCCGGCTAGTCGGCTGCTTTCGGCTATTTTCGCTGTTGCTGGCTTTTTCAGGAGCTGCTCGCTCGCAGCCAGAGACGCTGCTTTTTTTTTCCGGGTTCGGAGCCGTTCCGGATGCTTTAGGCTGCCGGATGTCTGATCTCCGAATAACTGAGGCGTTTCTGTACATGGATTATCTGGTAGGTGCAGGGCAGGGGTGGCATGTCGCCTCTCGGATCTCGGCGTGCCCGATGGCCCCCTGCCTTGAGGAGCAGCCTTTTTGCTTTCTTTCTTTGGGATAGGATGCCTCTGGGGTTCTTTCTCCCGCAGCCGGCTGGTAAGCCTTTCCCTGGACTCGGAGGGGCAGCCTCCAGGGCGGGTGGGTGGTGGAGCTGACAGGTAAAGGTGCGGCCTGGGCCAGCACGGCTGCAGGGCGAGGGTCGCGCTGGGGCTGCTTGAGAGATGGGGCGGCCGCGGCGGCGCGTCCCCTGCCCGCGATCGGCTTCCTGGCTTCCCTCTGCGCTCTCCGCAGAGGACTTTCTTTCCGGGGGAGCAGGAGTTTTCCTCTCTCCCTGGAGCAGAACTCCAGGTGCTATTAAAGAGCCATAACCAGAATGGCTCACTAAGTGCCCAGCAGCCCTGGTCATTTGATTGTTATTAAATCTCTAAAGCTATGACCTCGGTCGTGGCGGGGTTTTAAAAGCACATTACCATAAAGCAGACGGGTCTAAACTACCTCGCAGGCTGGCACGAACAGGACTGAGTAGGGACAGGTATAGCCCCACCATTCCGGTCTTGGGTGCGTGCCGCGGTTCCACTGTGCACGGATTGGAACCCGGCTGTTTAGGCCAGGCTTGTGCTGAGAAGTTTAGGTGGGAAAAGTGTCAGCACAGTGCTGGGACCGAACATCATTTTAAAAATGGACTTCTATGTGTCTTTGTGGAATTATGCGAGCACCATGTTTTGTTCCAGAAATTATATTTCCCCAGAGTTGCTTGTTTGCGTTTAAGGGGATCCTCATTTACAGAGACTTGTGTTCGATCCTATACGATTATTGTGTTTACCATGTTGGGCAGAACCGCTATTGCCATGCAGAGTTGAAGTAGACGGTTAGAAACATTGACCCTCCTGTCATCTTGTTGGACACATGCACTCGGTTTTCGACTGCAGATTGGCCTGGCAGAGATTTGCCAGTGCCTTCTAGGAATTACACTTAAGGCTGTACTGAGAAAGTCTGTGCATGCTTTGATGGCCAAGAAACGCCGGACCGGCTTTGTGCTGTTATCTGTGTATTTGGGCTTATTTTAGTGTACATAAAGAAAATGTTTCTCCTAATGCTTCAGAGCTTGATGGTCTTGTGGGAAAGGATGGTGACTGCAGTTAATGCATAGCCTTGTGAATGGAGCTGGATCTAAAATTCTGAATTCAAGTTCTGTTTTGTTGTTCATTTGTTGATGGCAGTAACTTCCTTTATCTTTGTGATAAAGGGATATTATTCACCCAGTACTGTAGCTGGTTACGGGGATTATCTGATTATGAACATTCTTCACAATACAAGGTGCCCTGTAAGTTAAGAGAGCTGCCAGAAGATTATTTTCTAAGTTAAATAACTGATTTAATTTGTAATTTATCTTATAAAATACAATACATGGTTTTTGTCTTGCAGTCTGCCTAAATTAAAGCGAAAGTTTGTTGGGATAATTACCAAGTAGGAAAGGGTGACATTGCCTGTACTACTAAAAGCTAATTTTGAATACTTAAATAGTTCTTAAAAAAGAAAATCAGGTGGTTCTGACATTTTATTATTTTCTTTATTTACCGGATGTGTTTTAAATTTATAAATTGCATCACAAAGCTGTCTTTGAGGTGCCAAACCTATCAAAATGCTTAGTGAAAACAAAATTGATAACTCTGGTTAATTACTCAGGCTAACCTCTAGATAGGCATAGTCTAAAGGTGAGTGGATGAATGTTTGTGGGCCCAAGGTTACCTTAAAAGCAGATTAATTTATTTGCCAATTTACTAACAGCTTTGTGTCAAAATCAACAGGTCACAAATTTGACTTGGCCTTTTTGTTTTACCTGGGCTCAAGTTTACCCTAAAAGCAGATTAATTTCTTTGCCAATTTACTAACAGCTTTGTGTCAAAATCAGCAGGCCTCAAATTTGACTTGGCTTTTTAAAAAGCTTTACTTGCCATACATCTTAGTTTTACTTTTATATTTAAAAAAAATCATTATTTTGCCACTTTATCCATCTAAAATTCACAAGTGCAGTGACCAACCCCATAAAAGCCAGTGGCTACTCTTTGGAGGTGAGAAAAGAAATCTTAAAGGAAACAGTTTAGTTTTTGTGAGTGTGCCAAGTGTCCCCTGTGAAAAGATTTCAGAAAATTCTTTAGCATTAAACTGGATGGAAACAAACAGAAAAACCATCTCAAAACAAAAAACTAGCCCTCCCGAGGTAGCCTTTTTGTGTTCACCTTTTGCTTGTCGACTTTCAGAGAAAATGATGTGCCACACATTATTTTTCTCTTCCTGTCTTTCGGATTGACTTGCTTGCTTATGCATACTCTGTGTGGCGTTTATTAAAAGCCCTATTTCTGAGGAATAGAAATCAATTTATTTGCATCTGGTATCTTATTTTATTTTTAAAAAATTCCTGAGTTCTTTTACTTACCTTGCAGGGAAAAAAAATGCTCCTTTCATTCCAAGTTTGACTCCAGATTTTGCTGAATGGATTAGAGTAAGTTCCCTTTCCATGCACTGACAAGAATGATGGTGTGTGTCATTTCTTTTTAATCAGTATTTGACTTTCTTGTGTTGTTCCTGTTGGAAACTGGAAGAGAGAGCTGTGTGTGTGTATGTATCTATTGTTCATTGTTCTTTGGGCTGGATGTCGTCACTTAACCTTTTTATTTGGAGGAGAGTGGAAAGGAAGAAGGGAGAGAAAGGTGGAGGTGCTATTTTGTCTTAACAGGATTAATCCTTTTAATAAGATTGAGATATTAAAACAGATGAAGAAGCTCTACTGATCTTCGGGTCGCTGTTGATTTCTTAAAACAAATGTTCTCAGAAGTGACAGTCAAGGTGAGGGACAGGGATAGTACTTTAATATTTAAGACAGGGTTTTATTGATTTCAGTCGAGAGAAAGAATAGAAATTTGCTAATCCTAATCAATTAGATGTATCACCTGGTGCGGTGCCTGACTTGGTTTCTGGCATGTATTAATAGTTAGGGCCCGATATTTTATTTGTTGAATCAGATGAATATGAAATGGAAAGGAAAATTCTGCTTTTTTTCACCAGTTTTTAAACTGAGACAAGATAAAATCTGTTTGGATTAGGTGTTTTGTTCAGGGGAATGCAGAATGTATCCTTTACTCTTAACTTGAAGATGATCAAGATATAATCCTTTTAGCCAGGGTGGCAATTTAAACATAAAAATCTCTGTTTTCCAGTTGATGAGTGAATCTTCCTAGAAGGGCACACAACTTTTCCCCTTTCCATGATGGGGTTTAAAGGCCATGTTTACATCTGCCAAGTCTCTGGGTAAACATTTAGCTGCTGTCCCAACAGGCAGTACCAGCATCTTACTCTTTCTTCTCATAGGTAGAACTAGTAACACAATGTGCAGAGCTTTTTGGATAAGGTAGGAGAAAATAGTCAGGTTAAAATGAAAGAGAAAAACACATTTCTCGAGTTTTCCTGGGAGGTTGGACAAGATCAACTTCTAGATTCCTTTCAGTTCAAAATTTTCTGTCTTGACTCATGTGATGATTGATCTGGAATTAACCTTTTTTCCCTCTGCGCCATCAAAACAACAGTGGTAGAATTGGTTGTACTCTGTGTAATACCTATGATGATTAAATGAGATAGTGGAGGGAAAGCCATTTGTAAACAGTACGTTGCTTTTCAAATATAAAATGTTAACGTATTGTGTGGCTGGGCGAGGTGGCTCACGCCCGTAATCCCAGGACTTTGGGAGGGCAAGACAGGCGGATCACTTGAGGTCAGGAGTTTGAGACCAGCCTGGCTGACATGGAGAAACCCCATCTCCACTTAAAATAGAAAAATTAGCTGGGTGTCGTGGCGCATGCCTGTAATCTCAGCTACTTGGGAGGCTGAGGCAGGAGAATCGCTTGAACCCAGGAGGCAGAGGTTGCAGTGAGATCGCACAACTGCACTCCAGCCTGGGCGACAGAGTGAGACTCCGTCTCAAGACAAAAAAAAAAAAAAAAAGTTAACGTATTGTGATTATGTTGCTGATGTTACTTTTATACCTCCTGTAGAATGACTGTTACTGCTTAGTGGTATTGAAATACCTTTTAAACTAGTCTCAATTTATGGAAATACTGGGAGTTGTAATCAACAAGCAGGAAGTCACAAGACTCTTTTAAGAATCTTTTAAAAGCTACGAAAATAAAACCCATTTGAATAATTTATCTATTCAACAAATATTTATGGAGCCCTTACTTTCTGCATGGCCCTGAAAGTCATGCGGGATGAACCCTCAGCTGTAATATCCTCCTTGACTGCAGGACTGGCAGTCGTGTGGCTCTAGAGGAACCTGTGGCAGGACAGGTTAAGTAAGGCACATAGGGGAGGGGGTAGCTTCTGATGTGCTTCTTTGCTTTCTAGTACATTTCTCTCATTTTGTGTGTTTTATTGTGAACTAAAATATAAACTTAGACTTGAAAATGTGACAAGTAAAAATGGTTGATTAGTCTTGGATGCTAATTGTCAATTAATATTCATTGCATTTGTTTATAGTAGCCTCCACCCTCCCATCCACGGTTTTACTTTTCAAGGTTTCAGTTAACCATGGTCCACCGAGGTCTCAAAATAAGTGAGTAAAGTACAATAAGATATTTTAAGAGAGAGAGAGACCACATTCATATAACTTTTATTACTGTATATTGTTATCATTGTTCACTTTTATTATTAGTTATTATTAATCACTTACTATGCCTAATTTACACATTAAACTTTATCATAGGTGTGTGTGTATAGGAAAAAATATAGTGTGCTCTGTGCTATGTTAGTTAGTTCTATGATAGCTCAGTACTATCTGTGGTTTTAGGTATCCACTGGGACTTGGAATATATCCCCCATGGATGAGGGGAAACTACTGTACCGTGTTGGGGATTTTTTATTTATTTATTTTTTTTTTGTGACAGAGTTTTGCTCTTGTCATGCAGGCTGGAGTGCAATGGGGTGATTCTCCTGTCTCAGCCTCCTAAGTAGCTGGGATTACAGGTGCCCACCACCATGCCCAGCTAATTTTTGTATGTTTAGTAGAGACGGGGTTTCACCATGTTGGCCAGGCTGGTCTCAAACTCCTGACCTCAGGTGATCCACCTGCCTCGACCTCCCAAAGTGCTGGGATTACAGGAGTGAGCCACCGTGCCCTGCCAGTGTTTGGGATTTAATAAGATTAGATTTGATAGGTTAGTTTAATAAGATTTCTTTGTATAGACTGGTGGACTTGACCTATTTAGTTTCTTGGTTATAGGCTGTATCTGCCATCATAAAAATGTATGTCTCAGTGGGGAAGATGTGGTGAGAGAATTGGGTTGATCATCACAAATCTGTCACCATTTGCAGGATAAAAACCAGCTAACTAACCAACAATAGAAACCCATGATGTGCTACAAAGGGTAGAGCCCACAGGCACTATGAAATTGTAAAGGATCCTACTTGAAAAGAGGAGTGAAGGTACATTTGTGATTTCATATTATGTTCAGTTATCTGTGAACTGAACTTCTTTATTGATAAAAAAAAAAGTACATTGTTTCGTTGTTTTTAACCCTGAATATCTATGAACATTGTAAGTTGTATTTATTGTGACTAACTTTAAAGTGATAATGTAGGTCACTTTTTAGTCTAAATGTCGAGTGGATTAGGCAGTCATATTAAATATTCCTTTCTTAATAATTTATAAGATAAAAATTATCTGAGCACAATAAACAGATCTACCATATATGGAGTTCATATAGCAAAAATGTTTTGAGCAAATCCGTACCATTAGGTAGGAACTTTTCTACAAAGGTGTTAAGTCTGGTTCCCAAACTTCTGTGGCTCCAGTCTAACAGTATGAGCCCTAGGAGAGGACACATAGGGACCTTGATTCATGCCCTCCAGGGGCTTGCATTCTGAAAGATGCCAAAGCCACATGCTTGTTGGCATGTGGGCAGTGCTCAGGTCGGGGGTGAGAGGAGATAAGTATATGAGTTATAATCAGGAGGGCAAAATCAGTTAACATTTATTGAACACTTACTCTGTGCCAGTGTTCTAAGTGCTTTGCATGTGTAATAGCATTAAACTGAGGCTCAGGGAGGTTGTGTAATTTCCTCAAGTTCACACAGCTAGCAAGTAGTTGAACTGCGCTTGTGGCCCCAGGGCCCTCCCTCTTCATTGCCTTCCACCTACAAGTAGTTCCCTTGTGCTAGGCAGAGGCTCAGGCAGCTTGGTGTTAAGGCAGTTGGGATGCACTCAAAATTTTTAGTATATTGCTTCTTAAGTAAACAGGTACAGAAAAGTGGTCCTTGACCACTACTATGTTAAAGAAAGCAGTGGCCATGAGCAGGCAGGCTGATGCGCCCTTGTCCCCAAGGACTCTGGCAGGTGATTGTTACAGAGAAGGCTGGCTAGGAAGAGAACTATGTTGTGTGCTGGGAACTCCTGCCTTACAGTCTCCATACCCTGGTCATAGCCACTGAGGTGATCTTCAGCATCTAGTGTTCCACCAGGTGACCACATATAGATTTTCAGGCAACCTCCTTACTCAGCCCCCTAGTGTCACTTTTGGGGGCACATTCCTACCTGCCCCAAGCCCCAGTTTTGTTTTGTTTCGTTTTTCTTCCCTCCCTTCCCCTCCTTTCCCCTCCCCTCCCCTCTCCTTTTTCTTCTTTTTTTCCTCTCCTCCTCTTTCTTCTTTTTTTCCTCTCCTCTTCTTCTTCTTTTTTTTTTTTTTTTGACAGGGTCTCACTCTGTCATCCAGGCTGGAGTGCAGTGGTGCGATCTCCTTACTCAGTCCCCTAGTGTCACTTTCAGGGGCACATTCCTACCTGCCCCAAGTCCCAGTTTGTTTGTTTGTTTCTTGCTTTTCTTGGTTGCTTGCTTGACAGGGTCTCACTCTGTCATCCAAGCTGGAGTGCAGTGGCTTGATCTCAGCTCACTGCAACCTCTGCCTCCCGGGTTCAAGCAATTATCCCACCTAAGCCTCCTGAGTAGCTGGGACTACAGGCGTATGGTTAGTTTTTGTATTTTTTGGTAGAGACGGGGTTTCACCATGTTGCCCAGGCTGGTCTCAATCTCCTGACCTCAAATGATCCACCTACCTCAGCTTCCCAAAGTGCTAGGATCACAGGCGTGAGCCACTGTGCCCAGCCCCATTTCTTTTGAAGAGGTACTGAGACTGTGCTATGTTCTTTTGCCACGCACTGCCTGGGAAGTCAGCTGTTCCCAATAGATACTAGGCCATAAGCAGCCTGTTGCTTATGGACTTCAGCTGGGCAAAATCTCCTGATGGTATTAACTTTATAAAAGGATTTATTTCTAAGGTAGACTAAAGAGAAGGAAAGCTTGTTAGGGAAGGTCTCATAACTATTGTAGGTGACAAGAAGTGGGAATTTCCTCTGATACTTCCCACAAATTAAATTATTGAGGGGCTTTTGTTTTGGATCCTGCAGCCCCCTGTGTTATGTTGTGGCTCTCCCCTGTCATCTCCCCAAATGTCCCAATGTCCCAGGTGTTTGGATGAGTCTAAGAAGCCCAGTTCTGGTTGACCCTCATTTTCCGAGTGTCTGTAAAGTACCAAGTCACATCTACTTTTAGCAGGGCTGGCTTCCCAGCCATGCAACCGCTGGGTTCAGAAGAGCCCCATGCCTGGTTTACTGCTCTTTGGTCCCCATCCTGGAAAAAAAAAAAAAAAAAAAAAAAAAAAAATCTTAATTTTAGAACAGGTGCTTTGCGTTTTCATTTTGCACTGGGCCGCACAATTTATAAGGCCAGTTCAGATTTCTAGCGCTAAATACATGGCTGGCATCTGAGTCTGTAACCTGCATCATTGCTGGTTCCCTGACCGTCTTAATCACCATTTTATCACTGGAATCTAGTCTAGTGTCTGGTAAATACAGGACTGTGTACCATTTACAGTGCTGAGTGTTTTCCTTGGATCACCTAATTTAATCCTCCCAACAGTGCTGTTAACCACAAAGACATAGCAACTTAGAAAAGAGGAAACTTGAGACTCTGAAAGGTTGAGTGTTGCCCAGAATTGCATAACCAGTGGAGGGTCAGGGTCAGGATCAGTGTATGAGCTTGTCTGATTCTAAGCCCATGGCCATGAGCATTCTTCGGTGCTGCTTAACTATTATAATTAATAATTGTTGAGAGGATGAGTGAGAGAGACTGTGTGAACCATAGATAACAATTCTGGAAATTGAGGGGTCACTTGATTGTTTCTGTCACCTGGTTGCCTGTGAGAGGCCCTCTGGGAACTCAGTGACAGTGCAGCTCCCACTGGGAAAGTTGTGTGGGTTTGTGTTTGAGGCGGGAGTCTGCTCACTGATTTTGCTTTCATTGATTACCCACTCTCTCCTTCAGTGTGCATAAAGGTAGGTGTTCTGCCCTTTGGCTCATAGAGCCAAGCACTCCTACATGATTTTGATAGTAGCTCACCATCTGAAAAGTTGCATTTGCAAGCCAATCTCATTTATCAAGTTCCTCTGTACCTAGATTTGCTGGGAACTGTTTTAACCTCTGGACTGCTGCTTTCAGAGTTGAGGACTTATCCCACTAATTATGTCCATGTCTCTCCAAGAGGGATTCCCTTGGGTTCTTTTTTCAACAGGAGAGCTGCTGCTCTGGCCTCTCTCTCTCTTTCTCTTGGGGAAGGGAATGACAATCTGGAGGCACTCCAGGACCACTGATTGAGGCATTGGAGGTCTATACCCGTTCCTAATCAGTATAGACATGGAGTCAGGAGCTAAACAGAAATATAATTCTTTCAGAGTTTTATTTCTAATTATGAATTATTTTAAGCATTCAGAAAAGTACAGAAAATAATATAACAGACTTCTGTGTACCTGCCTTCCTGATTGAACATTTTGCCATTTTGACTTCAAAATTCTGGTGATCTTTAAATGAAACTAAAGACTCCTGTTCCCTGCACGCTTCCTCCTCCACCCTTCTCAGTGGTGACCACTATCCCGAGGTTAGTGAGTAACAGTCTCATGCATGTTTTTGGCTTTTTATCATATATGCATGTGGGTGTAAACCATATATAGTATCATTGTGTGTGCTTTAAGAATTTTACCAAAATTGTAACATAATGCTCTATCTTTCTAAATTTGCTTTTTTCCCTAAAAAAAAATGTTGAGTGAATAAGACATTAGTCTGCCCTCAAGGTACTTATGCTCCTGTACGATGAAAAATAAACAATTACATTTTGGAGTAGCATAGTCTATCTGGAGGGAAATAAAGACGGCTAGAGTAGCACATGAAAGGCAACCTAACCTAGATTTCAGGGCCAAAGAGAACTTCCCAGAGGAGTCTTTTAACATCTGCAACATTAAAGCTGAGTAAAGTTGGCCCAGTGACAGGCAGGGCCAGGGCCAGGCAAAAGGAATAGCTGTGCGGAAATTTGGGGGTGAGTAACCCCATGACTTCAAGGGACTTCAGGGGTTCTGTGTTTTTGGAGCAGGGTTTGGAGCAGTGCTAGAAATGAAGCTGCAGAGCCCAGCTAGGGTCATGGAAACTCTGAAAGTTTGCCTGCAATGACATGGTCAGATCTGTCTGCAGTGCAGAGAAGGATTGGAAAGGGAGGGAAGACTGGAGCAAGACTAGTTAGGAAGATGTCCTGATCCAGAAATGAGATGATGGTGTTCACAACCAGGAAGGGGCAGGAGGGATGCATAAATGTAGATGGATTTAACAACATTTAAGAATTGCCAGAATTTTGTAATTGGATGTGGAAGATGACAACAGAATAGATCTCAGGGATAATTCTTAGGTTTTTGGTTTGAGCATTGTTTTGGTTATCTGAGTAATGAACCACCTTAAAACAATAGTTTAACACAATAACAATGTATTTTACTCGTGAATCGGGGTTTGACTGGGTTCAACTAGGCAGTTATTGTTCAGGATCCCTCATGAAGTTGTAATCAGATGGAGGGTGGGGTCACCTCAAGGCTTCATACACATGCCTGGCATCTGAGCTGGGTACATTGCAACAGCTGGGTGCTGGACAAGGGTGGCCCCCTGGGGCATCTCTCTTCATGTGGTCTTTCTATGTGATGGCCTCAAGATAGCTGGACTTCTCATATTGAGGCCGAAGGCTTACAGAGCAAACGTACCAAGAGAAACTGGCAGAAACTGCCTGGTCTTTTCTACCCAATCCTCAACAGTGATTCAGTGTCACTTTTACTGTGTTCTTTTCATCAAGGCAGTAAAAAAGGCATTGCTAGGTTCAAGGGCAGAAGGGAGATATCTCTTGGTGGGAGGAAGGTTGAAGAATTTTTGGGCATGTTTTAAAACCACTGTAGGTATTGAGGTGGGTAATGGGGTCATGCACTATGATCTGTAACCCTGAAGAAATAGCAGGTTTGGTGGGAAAGGGAGAAGTTTGACTTTAGAGTGACTGAGTTTGAACTGCTTGTGCAGTAATTCAACTTGAGATTTCACATAGGTAAATGGAAACTCAGAGGTGAGGTTTGGAGATGTAGTTAAAACTAATACCTAGGGCCAGGTGCGGTGGCTCACGCCTATAATCCCAGCACTTTGAGAGGCCGAGGTGTATGTATCCCGAGATCAGGAGATCCAGACCATCTGGCCAACATGATGAAACCCCATCTCTACTAAAATACAAAAAATTAGCCAGGCGTAGTGGTGCACACCTATAGTCCCAGCTACTTGGGAAGCTGAGGCAGGAGAATCACTTGAACCCAGGAGGTGGAGATTGCAGTGAGCCGAGATTGCGCCACTGCATTCCAGCCTGGCGACAGAGCGAGACTCCATCTCAAAAAAAAAAAAAAAAAAAAAAAAGCTAATAGCTAACATTTATTGTTACATACTGTATACTATACTATATTATTAATATTTTGCAGGAGGCACAGTGCTCAGTATTTTTTATATGCTATACATTTACTATTATCGTTTTAGAGATTAGAAAACTGAAGCTTAGAGAAATTAAATGTTGTGCCTAAGACATGGTGGAGCCAGAATTTGAACCTAGGTCTGGCTAATGTTTGAGCTCACATTTGCAACCACTTAGATGGTAGCTGAAGCCATAGCCATGCATGAGGGTTCAGTTGTGTGGGAAAGGAAAATACTTGAGGATGCCTACGGCCTCAGCCACTGCTGGCGTGTAGTATACATGCAGCTTTTATGGGATCACCAAAAGTAAAGGAACCAAAGAGGAACTTGGCAGCCAGTCATGGTGGCTTGTGCCTGTAATCTCAGCACTTTTGGAGGCCAAGGCGGGAGGATCACTTGGGGCCAGGTGTTTGAGACTAGACTGGGCAACATAGTGAGACCCCTGTCTCTACAAAAAAATAAGATAGCCAAGCATGGTGGCATGCACCGGTGGCCCCAATTACCTGGGAGGCTGAGGCAGGAGGATCACCTGAGCCTGGGATGTTGAGTCTGCAATGAGCCGTGATTGTGCCACTGCACTCCAGCCTGGGTGACAGAACAAGACCTCATCTCAAAACAAAAAATGCAAAGGAAAAAAAAACCAAAAAACCAACAGCAACCAGAAAGAGGAGTCTGGGAGAAAGAGAACTGAGAGGTTGGAAGGAAACCTGGAGAGTGTGATGTCAAGCAGGTGAGGATAGAGACTTTCCAGGAAAAAGTGGCCAATTTTGTTAAATGTTGACCAGAGATCATGGAAGATAATGACTGGAAAATGACCACTGAATTCGTGTCAGTGGTGACCTTGGCCAGAGGGCTGTCATGGGCCTTGTTGCGGTGCCGATTAGTGGAGGAGTGGGGAATGAGGAAATGATGCTGCTCCAATGAATGTTTTATGAGACATTCACCAGGAAAGAGAAGAGAAAGGGCTGGAACTGGAGGGGCAGGAAGGTTGGGGGGTGGCTTTCCTTAAATGGGACTAGAGATGGCGCAGTGCTGGTGCAGTAGAACGTGAGGTCATTTTGCCAAGTGTGACTGAAATGTGGTCAGGTAGCGGTTTTAACTGAGGAGGATAGAAGAAGCTGCAGTGAGGACGGAGGGCCGAGGATGACCAGAGACACAGAGGGTTGGTAGTTGTGTCGTGCTGAAGTTGCAGACCGTCTTGGCACACATTTAGATGGTTGTGTGATTTCTTTTTTCTTTCCTTGTGTAGCCTTTGTAGCCATCTAGATGTAGTTTTAAGAAGGTGGGCCGTTAGATTGGTAAGGGTTAGGGTTTTTCCTAATCTAAGGTGAATCCATAGGTAGACAATGGGGTGCGGGAACTTAGTACACTGGTAAGAAAATATTTGAAATTATAGACTGAGATCTGAGTTATAGGAAAGGAAGGAAGGGCACATAGAAAGTAGAAGATTTCTACTTTCTTCTACTTTCTCACGCCTGTAATCCCAGCACTTTGGGAGGCCGAGGCGGGCGGATCACGAGGTCAGGAGATCGAGACCATCCTGGCTAACACGGTGAAACCCCGTCTCTACTAAAAATACAAAAATTAGCCGGGCGTGGCAGCGTGCACCTGTAGTCCCAGCTGCTGGGGAGGCTGAGGCAGGAGGATGGCGTGAACCTGGGAGGTGGAGCTTGCAGTGAGCTGAGATTGTGCCACTGCACTCCAGCCTGGGCGACAGAGCGAGACTCCGTCTCAAAAAAAAAGAAAGTAGAAGATGGAAGGGCCTGGTGGTCTTGATGAGGCTGAACCATAAATGTTGTATGGAGTAACAAGTCAGAAAACTGGAGGGAAAGAAAGTTCAATGTGGTCAGACAATAGGGGTGTGAATTGAAGACTGCAGAGGTCAGAGGTAGACTCTCCAAGGGGAGGGAAAACTAAAAATTATTTCCACAATACTATGCTCCTTATAATTTTAATTAGATAGAAGTCATGATCACAGAGCCCATTTTAGCTTTACTGACAATGCATCCAGATTACTATACAATTGTTCCAGACATAACATAAGAGGGCTAACCTCACAAACTGCCCTAACAAAACAGCCCTAAGCAGGCTGCCCACAACAAAACAAACTCCAGGCTCCAACAACTGCCTGCAACCAGATTTCAGTCCTGTTGGAAAGGCCTTGGCCTGGGCCATCTTCATTAGCTTCTGGACTCAGCACTTCAAACTACCAATTCTCTGCCCCAGGAACCTGAAGCTGGCAGGACTCAATCCCAGGGACCCCTCCAAAGAAATCCAGCCTAGTGATAGATCCAGACAGCAACTGAGTCCCTTGAGGGGGGTCCAGTCTGCCCATTCATCAGGAACTAGAACTCCCCTGGTAGTGCAACCCCTCTTAGTAGAAAAAAATAGGCCGAGAGTCTTACGAATCCAGTAATTGAGCTGTGAGTTTAGTAATCTGAATGAGGACCCTCTGTAGCACAATAAACCTGGGCCTAATCTTCTCCCAACTACCTAAACCAGGGAAATGCTAGATGAAATAGCATCTTTCATATTAAGGTCATCCTTACTGTACACTGCTCTGTGCCTCCTTTCCAATAAGCCCATCTCACACTAGTACCTGCCCTCTCCAGCCTTTCCATACAACCCTCTGCCACAGTGGTGGTGGTGCATTAACTCTGCAGAACTCGTTAGGAAAGAGGGCTTCTCTTCTCCCAACCTTTCACTACCAAAACAGAATTGAGGGTCCTTCCAGGGCCACTGCAGGGCTGCCTCAGACAGTGAGGCCTGTTAGACACTGCACAGAAGTGCCTGGCCAAGGGGGCAAGTGGGGCTGAAATCCAGCCCCTGCTTGGCTTGCCCAGATCCCCATTGTGAACTGGCACAGAGGTGCCTAATGTGCTAGCCATAACCCAGCCTCGGGCCTTTGTTCCTGTCTGTGTTATAGGACAGAGCACATTGTGGCACAGTGCAGGGCTGGGTTGCAGGCCTCTTAATATGCCCAGAACCTGGCACAAGTACACCTGACAGGTGCTGAGTAAATATTTGATTGGACTGAGATGCTGCACATAATAATGGTCAGGGGCAGAGCCAGACTGCCTGCATTTGCATTCTAGCTCTGTGACTTACCTGCTCTGCAGCCTCCGTGCCTGTTTCCTTGTATGCAAAGTGGGTGTAATGATAGTATTAAATACCTACCTCGCAGAATTGAGTTAATGTGTGTATAAAGCATTTAAAAGAGAGCCTAATTCTGTAAGTACTACAAAAGTGTATATAAAACAAGGACTTATGGTACTGTTGTCACCAAAAAGATTTTGCTCCATTTCGATTCATTTTCCCCCTACCAGCCTTCCAAAAATCTCCCTGCCTCTGCCTAATACGCATAGTGTAGGGTAACTGGGTTAAAGACACTTCAACTGCTTGCTGGTGTTTTAAGTGGCAGCTATTTCTGATTCACAGGGTGAAAGGTCCTGGCAGGGAAGAGGGTGGCCCACATCTCTCCTCAGGCCAGTTATGCTTACAGCTGTTACCTAAGTTCGGCCACACGAGCCGACTCAGTAGATGAGTTTTCTGAGGTGCTACTCTGGAATTCTGTGATTGTTTGGAGCCTTCAGTTCCTATTTCATTGGAGTCAAACAATTTGAAAGTCAAGTTTCTGCTTTTGAGAAGCAGAGCATGTGATTTATTGGCCAGCTCTTTTATCCCTTCTTCCTGTATGAATGTTTCCTGAGAGGCAGGGTATGGTAGAGGAAGGAGCATTGGGACGATTTATTGGGTAATGTTGCCGTTCTTGGTCATTTCGAATGTTTCCTGAATGAGGCTGGTTCTCTTTTCAAGTCACTGGGCTAAAGTAGAAAACCTCTTTGGATTATTGGATTTCTCTCTTTGTTTCATTTTGTATAGAAATGTATATTTTATATTGTTCACCAGTAATGTTTTTTTCAGTGTAACATACTTTTTCCTATAATTTTTTGGGATTTCTATGTGTGTTTTAAAGGTTGGGTCATTTAGATGTGATCACGCGATTGCTCCTAGGTTTCCTTTGCATTTCCTGACTCTTTCAGGGTCCCTACTGACCTGGCCTTGGGCTGTGGGTAGCATCACTTTTTGAGCCTGGAGTGCAGCCCCTATTTATTATTTCTGTGGATGTAGGCTGCAATTTTTGTGCATCCTGAGATTCCTGTGCTAGTGATGTTTTAGTTTCATTATGTCATTATTTGGGGAGAATACCTAACTATACTGGGGATCTTTGTTAATACCCATAGGTGACTATTTTCCATTTCATGTCTTCTGAGTTCTTCCTGTTTTATCATAAATAATTATGTGTACTTAATATTCACGTGAAATAGTTTCATAAAATGGACTCAGTAAAAATTTCGATTCCATGTTGAGAAAGATCTTGCATTGCTAATTCTAAAATTCTTCACATCAGATTCTTTGTAAGAGAACACAAGTATAATGAAACAAGTTGCTTAAAAAGTTGAAAAGCTGTGCAAGATGTGATGCATATTTTAATACTTTCTACAAAGGTTGTCTTGAATAAACCATCGTAAAAGTGAGTGATTATTAAACCATGAAGGAGATGAAGAATCAAGAGTTATAGTAAGCTCATTGATGATTCAGTCTTTTCCTCATCTGTCTTAAAGCAGTTCTTTTCTATTTCCCCAAATCCAGAGTGCTTAAGAGTTCATCTGAGGGAAAGATTATTTATCCCAATTGCTTTATATAACTGCAGTGAGTGATATTAAGACAATAAGCAGTAGCAACAGTAACAAATACATATGCTTCTAACACTATGAGTAGTATTTTCCTGTGCATTCAAAATTAACAAGGACTTTTGTTTTATTAAATGATATTTTAATCAGTGTTTATGTGCCTGAAATAAAACATAGTCGCTTTAGGTCCTCAATTTTAATTCTGCTGTGTAGCCCTGTGTTAAAAGATCTTGCAGCAAGACAAGGATCTGTCAGGTTTTAAAGTATTCTATAAGGCTGGATTTCAGGTTAGTTTTGGGAGAAGAAAAGCCCTACCTTCCCTTCTTTCTAATCTCCCTCTTTCCTTTTCTGACCTTCCTTACTCAGCAAATACTTATTGTGAGCTTAATGTTTGGCAGGCATTTGGGCATCCTAAATAATACAGGGATGACCCTTGTAACTACTGAGACGGTAGCCTGTAACACTGAACGTAATATACATATGTCTTTCTTTCAACTACTGAACTCCACCTTAGTAGTTTGAAAGCAGCTGTAGATAATAGATAGGCAGATGGCTGTGGTTGTGTTTCAACAGAACTTTATTGGCAAAACCAGGCAGTGGACTGGATTTTCCCACAGATTGGAATTTGCCAGCCGCTGGGTTAGTAGAATAGGATTTACCTACCTCCTCAAAGAAGAGAGGCAGTATTGCATGATACTTTTCGTTGGCATTGGAGTTTTGGCTTTTGGACTTGGGGAGAACCTTTAAAGAAGAGCAAGACAGTTTGGGAGGCCGAGGCAGGCGGATCACATGAGGTCAGGAGTTCAAGACCAGCCTGGCCAACATGGTGAAACTAAAATACAAAAATTAGCTGGGTGTGGGTGGCACGTGCCTGTAGTCCCAGCTGCTTGGGAGGCTGAGGCAGAATTGCTTGAACCCAGGAGGCGGAGGTTGCAGTGAGCTGAGATCGTGCCACTGCATTCCAGCCTGGCGACAGAGTGAGACTTCGTCTCAAAACAATAAAAAAAAAAAGGATGATATGATGAGTGGCTTTAGTTGTTTGAAGGGCATAAAGTCTTCTATGAATCTGAGCAGGTCATGATCATAGGAAGGCCAGGTATTGGTTCAGGTAAAGAAGAATTCTCTTAAGATTTGTTCATCTTCCTTGAGTAGGAAATGACAGAACAGAAGCTGGGTCCCTGCCTGTTAGGGACATCACAGAAAGGGGTTCATGCACTGAGTGAGAGGTTGGAATAGATGCAAAGTTCCTTTCAACTTTTTCCTTGCTTCTAGGTTGATCCTAATGTATCAGCCAATCTCTCTTCACTTTACTATGAGTTATTTAAGAAAACATTGTGGTATAGGGGAGGAACTAACATGTTTCTTTTCATTTAGGCAGTGGAGTTTTTTCCAACTAATTTTATGCAGAACTATTAAACAAGTGATATTTTACTATATTTGACTTTTTACAAGCCTATATTTATGATATTTACTTACACGTTTATTATTATTATATATTAATCAGTGAGGACAATGAAGCTGTTCTGATGAACACAAAAACTGCCTTTAGACATGGTTGAGAACTGAAGGCTTATCAAATAGTTTATTTGGTTCTGCATTTTGTTCTCTTTTTGGTGTAGCATTGAGGAAAAACAGGATTCCAACAGAATCATAGTTGCAAATGTTACAGATTGGAAAGTAGCTCACTGTGCAATGTTGAGCTGATCTTCAGTGAGAAGGCAGAACATAGGTTTTATCATGAAACTTGATCTTTCCCCCCACCCCAAGTTACTCTGGCAGCATGAGTTATGTGTGGGTGGTGTGTGTTAAAATTTTATATACAGTACATTTGAACATGTTGTTTCTCATTTCAGTCTCTAATTAAAATTCAATTTCTACTTAAAAGTATTTCTTGAATATCCAACTGTCTCTTTGCAACACCGTGTGAGGTTGCAGAGTTGGAAAAGGACTGGCTTAGAATTAGACCTGGGCAGTAGTCTACCTTCTGCCACTTGCTAGCCTCGGGCTAGTATCCTTTTGTTTTTTTAATATGAGAAACAGGCCTGGAAATACCCACGTTGCTCTAATTGTGAGCGCTGAGTGAGACGACAGTATAAAAATACCTAGCGCATAGTAGAACCTTAGTAAATGCCTTTTTTTCCTTCTCTTGTGACTTGTAAGATAAGGCCATCCTTTTAAATTGAATTGTGCGTGGTTCTACTCAATTTCTATAGGTATAGTTACTAGACATTATTCACTATCTTAATGAAACGCTTGAATAGGAACTCTGCCCTCAGAAATGCAAACTGTTCATCTGAAAGGAGTGGGCTTACGAGGGTCTATAGCTCACCTGGTTCATGGGTTGTGATTCTGCCTTCTGGTTTGAGAGTGAAGGGAGGACTTTGGAGAGATCCGCTTGCTGATAACAGGTGGAGGGCAGGAGTTTCAGTGGCTTGCTTATCCACACGACATGTCAGAAACATAGGCAATGACTATACTGCCTTTAGTTGTTAGATTTTTATATCAACCTCCACATATCTGTTCCCTTTAGTCCTTAGCACTAAAACCCATTCATAAAGAAGGGCCAGTGTGCACATCTTTGGAGAAGCAAGAACATCAACAGCAAGGGAGGGAGGGGAGGGCTCCTGCCACTTGGCAGCCAGGCTTTAGGGATGGGGTAAGGAGAAAATCTACAAGACTTAGGAAAAAGTGGTATCCCTTGAAAAAGAAAAGGGAAATAGGGTGAGTCCCTGGGGACAAAAGTAGGTAGATACTACCACCTGAGTTGGGCACAGGGATCCCTGGGACTTACAGAAAACCCCAAGTAGTTCCCTGAGCATATAGATTGGGGCTATTTGTCTTCAGCAAGTATGAGACAGTGGTATAGCTGCTCATAGGAATCTCAGAGGTTGGGGTATCAGATGCTGAAGAGTGGCTCAAAGAAATTGGCTGTGAACCCAAGCCCCAGGGGAGCCCAGTTAAGATTCCGTAGGGTCTGGCAGTTGTGGCTGGGAGTTGGGTTTCTGTTAAGATTACTCTTAAACTATTAAATAGTTTTAAGCAGGAGGTGATAGCACCAGATTTACATGTTGAAAACTTGCTCTGGCTGTTGAATGGAAGATGGATTATACAGGGATCAGATGGGAACTAGTGGGGCCTGTTCAGGAGACTCATCCACATTCCAGTAGTAGATGTGGGCGGCTTGGCTTTGGATTCACTAGGTGTGAGAAAATATCTTCCCTTTGCTAAGCACCTGATGCTTGCTTATTTAATTCAGTAGAGTTAGTAGCTTTAGTATTATTATAGTTAGCCTTCTGTATCTGCGGGTTCTAGATCTGCAGATTCAATGAACTGCAAATTGTAAATATTTGAACAAAAAATATAAAAAATAATACAAAATAAAAAATACAGTCTAATAATTACACAACATTGTCATTGTATTAGGTATAAGTAATCTAGAGATGATGTAAAGTATACAGGTGGATATGTGTAGGTTACATGCAAATATTACAGCATTTCATATAGGAACTTGAGCATCCACAGATTTTAGTATCTGCAGAGGGTCCTGGAGCCAATCCCCCATGGAAACCAAGGATTATCTGTTCTCTTTTCTCATCTGAGGACCACTTATTGAAGTTCAGGGTGGATGAGTTTTCTAAAGTAACTTATTGAATGGTTCAAACCCAGGTTTGTCTAACCTCAAAGCTTACCTTTCTTTTCCCTCCACAGTTAGAAAAACAAGAAGAAAAGTTGAGATTGTCTAATTAATAGGCAAATAGAAATTTTTTTGAACCTTTAAGTGGTTGTTAGACCACGTTCTCCTGTAGTCAGCCTTTTCCTGGCAGTACAATAATTTTTGTAAGTTAATATAGAAGTACTGATTCAGTAAAAGGGGTTGGCCATTTGAATATTTTGAGGACTTTAAATATAGATTTGACAGTGTAGGTATCATGCCCAAAGAAGTGGCTTAAAAAGATAAATTCAAGGAAAGAACCCCTAAACAATGATTTCTAAGGTTTTAGTAGAAGGACAGTGCTGAAAAGTTGTGTTCATTTAATTATATTAAAAACGAATGGGACGTAGGGAATGGAAGATGAATTCATACTCTGGATAATTGAATAAATATAATTTTCCTTATGATTCTAATTAATTTTGCTTCCAAGTGCCTAATGGACAATGCATGGCAAAGTAGATGCCTATCATTATAATAGCATTAAAAATATTAAATATTATTGAATATTAAAATATTGAGTGATGCTGGACACGGTGGCTCATGCCTGTAATCCCAGCACTTTGAGAGGCCAAGGAGGGCGGATCATGAGATCAGGAGATCGAGACCATCCTGGCCAACATGGTGAAACCCCGTCTCTACTAAAAATAGGAAAATTAGCTGGACGTGGTGGCACTCACCTGTAATCCCAAGCTACTCAGGAGGCTGAGGCAGGAGAATCGCTTGAACCCAGGAGGTGGGCAGAGGTTGCAGCGAGCCGAGATCGTGCCACTGCCCTCCAGCCTCATGACAGAGTGAGACTCTACCTCAAAAAAAAAAAAAAAAAGGTTGAGTGATAGTTGATATAATCTTATATAATGTAGACTAAAACTTCTTCAGTTTAAACATGTCGCATTGCCAATCTGGACAATATTGTGAGGCCTGGCTAAAAAATGGATGTTGTTTATTGTTTTGCATCAGTTGCTGGCTCTGTTGAGACAGAGTGGTAAGAGAGAAACTTGGATTTGGAATGTTTACTCCTTTGGGGAATCTCAGAGTTACCATTCTGGGTTACAGTATTTGCAGTAAGAAGTCACAGGAGTTAGTCCTGGTAATGCAGGTGACAGCAGGCGGAGACACCAAGAGTACAGACAAGGCCTGAATGCAAGGCATCTGTAGAAGCTGATGGCAGACTGCAGCCCCTGGGGCTTCCTGGTGTGTGGGGCCCCATTATGCAAATGCTTAGAGGAAGTTGTGTGCCTGGAACATAGCAGATATTCAATTAAAATATACATTATATGTCAATTACAAAATATATAAAACAAAATACAAATCTGAAGCTTACTGTATTTCCTTTTATAACTCATTGAATCCTCTTAGTACCCAATGAAATAGGTACTACTATGATCCTCATTTTACAAATGACAAATTAAGATGCACAGAGGTTAAGCAACTTGCCCAAGCTCCTACAAATAGTAAGTTGTATGGCTGGGATTTGATTCCAGAAAGTCTTAACACTGAAAGCTGTTAGATTTGCTCTTAATGTCTCCCAGAACTGCTTCTCAATAAATATTTGTGGATTATTGAATTGAGTGTCTAATGCTGTGACTTTTTACGGTAGAAATACTGTGTTTGCCTATGCAAGGGGTTTGGGAAGCAAAGCTGTTGAAAGCTTTTTTGGCATCTCTTTTATTGTCTATAATATTGTTAGAATGACCACGTCTGCTCTTAAAAATAGCAGTACCGGAAATCCACCCTCTCCTGCACATTCTCTCTTTTTTTTTTTTTTCTTCATAGGACTTGTCACCATCTAAGTTGATTTTATTTGTTGTTTTGTGTGCCACTACCACTGGAGTGTAGGCTCCATAAGAGCAGGGACTTTGCTCTCACTGTTCCGTCCCCAGCATGGGACATGGCTGGGCACAAAATGTGTGGTCAATGCAAATATGAAATTGTTTAATTAATGAAGAGAATTAATACAAAGTTCATTGGTGCTTCAGCTTGGGCATCTAAAATCCTTGAGCCTTTCAAAGGAATTGCCGATCTATGCTACACTTGCCACCCTGGGGCATCAGTGGTTTAGGGAGTTACAATGCCTGGGCTGAGTTCTTCTAGTTGTTAATGACGTATGGAAAATTCTTTTGCTTGAAGTTAATGAGACAGGCCTCTTACTTCCTTGCAAAATATGCTGTAGGCTTTCCAGAATCCCGTGTGCTCTTGCAAGTCTCATCTACTCCTTACAAATCTGAATTTGATAGGTTTCTGCCATGCATGAGAAGCTGGTGCCTATATTCAGTTTTTATTGCCCATATGCCTTATTGTAGGTACTTGTATTGAGGGAAAAACCTTATATGTCCAGGTAGGCTACAGAGTCAAAGAGGCTTGTCCAAAGTGTTATTTGTAGTAGGTGAGTGACACTGCATCTGCGTGTTTTTCTTTTTTATTGGCCTTTGGTAGTCAGACTTTTATGATTTGTTGAATTATAAAATACATGTAAACTGTAAACCTGCTTTACTCAGTTTGTTTGACTTCATTTGCACTTGCTCATAATGATTGAGTTTGGCCCCCACGTCCAAAAGACTTGAGTTCAAATTGTGGTTCTGTCACATTCTCTCAACCACTGTATCAATTAGGACTGGAATTGGTTGGAATATAGTGGCTTTGACAGTTTCATTTTTTGCTCAGGCAAGTAAGTCCAGAAGTCATTAGGGCCCCAAGAAGCTTCTGCCCACTATATGTAGACTTTAAGCTTATGGTCCAAAATTAGTGCCAGAGCTCCTGCCATCACTTCTGCATTCCAGATAGCTGGATGGTGAAAGGGCAGAAGAAGAGTGTGCTTCCCTCCTGGAAGACTTGTAAGACTTACTAATTATATCTCATTTACTAGAATTTGATCATGCTGCCATTCCTAGCTGCAAGAAACTGAGGAATATAGTTTTTTAACTAAGAAACAGACTTGTCTGCAACTGCACTCAGCCATTCTTCACATACTGATTTCTCTCTGGGTCTACTTCTCCTGGGGTTATTAGCAGGGTTGTTATTCTCCTCTGCTTTGTGTAGCTTTTCTTTTTTGTATAGTTTCTTGTTATTCATACTAGTAGCTTTGTAAATTTAGATTGCTGTGATTCTTCATGGTTATGAAGTTATTTAATAGCTTTGCTTTTTGTATTCCCTCAGTTTTATTTTGCACTATGAACTGCTTCATCTTTTCAGTATTTTTCAACTCAAATTTGGGAGAAAAAGAATATGATTAGGTTAGCCTGGCCCTTCCTGCTAGGCCACACCATGGTTGTTGGTCAGCTACTAAGGCTAAACTGCCTGCTAGTTCAATCAGCTGTGGCATCTTGCTTGTGGGCCTTTGCATCTAAAAGGGTGGGGAGGCAAAACAGACTCTATGATGTGACCATGCTAAGTCCCTGACAAATGGAAATTCCTTTGGCAGGGAGTTAGAGATAAGTCTTAAAATGAGGATGTTTTGTATATTCATATGAATGCATTTTAATTAGTATGTAGATTGTCAGTTAATAGTTATCAATAATTGATATCGGACTGAGAAGCAATTATTTGCAAAGACTAGGAAGGTGTCTAGGGCATGCATTAGCAGCCCTCAGATGCTTGCGCATTATGGGATGTTTCTTGCTTTCACTTTTATCTGGAATGCCGTTTTCTTCTGTGCTCCTTTGAACTTGGATACCTCTCAATCTTTTGAGACTCAAAATTCAGGAGATGCTTCCAAGTCTTTCCTGACATGCCTATAAGAATGACTTTGATGCCTCTACTCTGTTTCCCTAAAGCCCATTGTGCATACCCCTGATTGTGCTGAACACATTTACATTGCACTTGTCTGGCACAGGTATGTTTAATTACCGCTTTCTCCTGAACTGGAAGATCACTGATGCTAGGGTTTGGTCTTCTTTATGTTTCTATACTTAACACTTACCTAGAAGTGCTTGCCACATTAAGGATGCTCTGGGCCAGGTACAGTGGCTCATTCCTGCAATCCCAGCACTTTGGCAGGCCGAGGTGGGAGGATCACTGGAGCCCAGGAGTTTGAGACCAACCTGGCCAACATAGTGAGAACTCATCTCTACAAAAAAATAAACAAAATTAGCTGGGTATGGTGGCGTGCGCCTGTAGTCCTAGCTATTTGGGAGGCTGAGGTGGGAGGATTGCTTGAGGCAATCCTGGACAGGAGGTCCAGGCAGCAGTGAGCCAAGACTGCGCCACTGCACTCCAACCTGAGTGACACAGTAAGACCCTGTCTCATTAAAAAAAAAAAAAAAAAGCCCTGCAAATGTTTTTTTCGTTTTCTTTCTTTGAACTGAGTTTTAAAATTCCCAGTGCCTGGTCAAAAGTGAAGGAATAAATCCTCCAAGATAAGTGGTACTCATTATTTTACTCTAAGTTAGAAGGGGATTTCTCTCCCTCCATACTTTTTAATCAGAATTTTCAGAACGAGAACTATTCTTACCTTCACCATTTCAGCCAAAATCTGCCTGGATATTACGTGTGATTTTTAGTGATGTTTTATAGAAGATGGGCTAACATTTTGCTGGATGAAATCTGTAACTTCTGATATGATGATTTATGCTTTCATTTGGTTATTTTTGCTAGATGACTTTTCAAATCTCAGGTTATTTCTGCTAGATGGCTTTTCAAATCTTTGTGATTGAATTTCACAGAGATCATGTGCTAATCATGATGATTGTTATTTTTTAATAGGGAGAGGGTTGATTCCTTTTTGAATACTGATTGAACTCTTACATATTCCATCCATGGACATTGGTAGATTGCTTGGAAGTATAGATGCTCTTGGCGTGCTGTTGGCACTGTTACCACTGAAAACATTTTTAGAAAATGTTGAGAGGCCAATTTTATTAGCTTTGCTTTAGATTGCAAATGTTTCTCTTTGGGTAGATTATCATCATCCTTTCTCCTAATTTGAAGAAGCTATAAAATATATGCTGAGGAGCAAAATGCTCTACATTTTGTAAACAAATCCTAATTTTATTTTGTAATTAGTTAAAAAAAAAACTTACTTTTTTCCCATTTGGGGAAAATTACTTTCAAGTGTACTAAGGGAGTTGTGAAATAATGCACTGTTAATGTTTTCAGTGACAATACTAACAGAAGGAGATGCCAGTTCTGAAGTAGGTGGCATTCCCAAGTGTTTATTTCCACTCTGGAGGAGTGACTAAAGCATAATTGACAGACGCGACCTTTACTCAGAAAGGATTCGACCCACGCGGCACTTTAGCGTTCCCATGTACCTTGGAACGGGTCGTCACTCTCTGTATCCTCCATTTATTGCATCTTTGCCTTCAGCCCATTTGTCTGCTATTGAGAGGAAATGCTGGATCTTTGTTAACCTTATTTGGAAATAGAGGACCCAAGCTAGGGCCTCATTCGAAGGGGTTTTACTGCTCCCGTATGCCCTTTCTTGTTTTACCAGTTTTAACATACTGCTTGCAGGACTCTGAAGAACTGGCTTGGCTGTTTTAACTTTTTAATTTTCATCAAGCAGAATTATAGAGGAGAAGATAATATAACTGTCATCTTGCTTTGTATCAGGATGAGGGATTGCACAGGACATCAAAATTAGAACTGTCAATTATGTTAAGTATAAAAAATAGCTCTCTAAAAGAATATTGTGTTTATTAGCCCTCTGATGGAACTCAAATTATACCTTGATACCATTTTTTGGACTGTATAGTAAATAACGTTTATTTTCTGCCATCTTGTTGAAGTTTTGTTTTCTCCTTTATTTTCATGCTTACCTTTGAAATTTCTTAGGGAAAACAACAATAAACTGTAAGTAATCACATTAATTTCAAATTTAGTATTCTTTTTCTGTCTTAGGCATTCTTTTTCTATAGACCTCTCTTAAACAGATTGTAACCAATCTGTCTTGTTTTTGACATCTTTTTTGCTGTTTTATTAGATGAGGCAGCAAAGAAGATGAGATTCATCTTTGAAATAATATTCTTTAGTTCTTCCTCAGGGAAGTCTAGATGTAGATTTATGAATATTACTGTAGAGGCTACCGGGTCAGAGTTTATCTGAGATAGAAACTCATTCTTTTATTGGAAATAGTTAACTACTTATCCTTCATTCCAAGTTATGCCTTATGTCTCATGGGTTTACAGTTAAAATAGTTTCTTGCAAATATAGCATCTATATAGGGAAATAATATAATTATTTAAAATTTATTACCAGTTCATATACTGTGATCAAAGGAAGTTTGGTTATGTTTTTAAATATATGTATCCGACTCCTAGTAATTAGAGGGAAGAGGCCATTGTTGAGAATATTATTGTTAGAATGAATTTACAAGCTGGGGCAATAGACATGCCACCTGGCCTGAGGTCGGATGTTCAAGGATAAGGCAGTATTTGTAAGGATTAGAGATTAGAGAGAATGAGGTAATATGGTTAGTCAGAAAAAAAGTTACACAAAATAAATTGAGGGTTTTCAGGGTAATAATTTTAGCAATCCCAACAACAATACTTGTACATTTTGAGAATATGAAAAGGAGTGGAAAGTAGGTTTTTAGTAACTAAAGAGTAAATATTTCTCCCTCCTTAAAAGATAAAGCTCATAAAAAGAGTTAATTCTCTCATGATAGGTGCTAGAGCCCTTTCATATGGCACTGGGAATACCTACTTTTTAAAAACAAACGTTGCTCTGTACTGGTTAGGATTAGGTTAGGCTGTGAGAGACACACAACAATTTTTAAACAAGTTAGAGGGCTGGGTGTGATGGCTCATGCCTATAATCCCAGCATTTTGGGAGGCCGAGGGAGGTGGATTACTTGAGCTCAGGAGTTCGAGACCAGCCTGGGAAACATGGCAAAACCCTGTCTCTACAAAGAAATTAAAATATTTGCTGGGCATGGTGGCATGCTCCTGTAATCCCAGCTACTTGGGAGGCTCAGGTGGGAGGATCACTTGAGCCCAGGATATTGAGGATACAGTAATTCCAGATTGCACCACTGTACTCCAGCCTGGGCAACCAAGTGAGACCCTGTCTCAGAAAACAAAAAGTTACAGGTTGATTTCTATTTCATGTACAAAGTCTGGAAGAGGAGGGAATGGCAACTCTGCTGTCATTTGCATCTTTGGGTTCTCTTATCTGTATGGTCTACTTCATGTGTCCACTGTTCTCATTGTGCCGTCACAACCCAAGATTGTCACTGGAGCTACATTAAGTCTCCGTTACAGCCTGGAAAAGAAGTAGGAAAGGCAGAAGAGCAAAAAAGGGCTCTTCTCAGAGTCAGTTCCCTTTAAGCACCTTTCAGTTACATCTCATTTTGGAGAACTTAGTCACAGGACAACACTTAACCCCAAGAAAGGCTGGTAAATCTTTTATTCCAGGTGGCATAAAATAAGAGTTATCTTTCAGTTGGGGAAGATAACTTTTCCAGCTTACTCAGAGAGTTGTTCAGTCATTCACTATTATGTTACAAAGGTACAACTTGGGGTAATTTCCAAAGGTAGATGGGAAGAATGATCTTGGACAAGGCAATGAGCGTTCTTAGTCTTGGGCTCTGAGGATGCCAGGGCATGGCCCCTGGTTTGTTTTCAGTAGTGTATTTCATTCAAAATAAACCCAATAATGTTACAGTCATGATAGTAATAACTTAATAATAGATGTGATCATGATCCCCAGTATGAAATTATCAGCCATTTGTTTTGAACAATAGCACCGTTGATATTTGAAAGTTTAGATTGAGTTTAAGTACTTCACTCAACAGAGTGTCCTAAGAGTTTGATTTTCCATTGCTGTAATTTTTATTTTTAATGTCCACGCATATAGCCTTTGGCTTTCCAATCTTTTATTTACCAAATTCCTTCAATCATACAGAATTCAGTTTCTTGTGGATATTGTCTAAAGGGGCAAGAGCCTTTGGCAGAATGGGTCTGATGCGACTTCTTGGTCTTCCTCAAGGACTGCATCTCTGGAAGCCTTTTGGCTACCACAGAAAGCCAGGGATCCTATGTCTTTGCCTCCTTGCCACAATGGATAAAACCGTGATTGCTGAGATTTATGACATTATAAACTTTAGGGAGAAGCTTTAACTTGTCAACAATAAACCATAATAACAGTGTTCGACTGTATAAAGTTAGGGTTATTTTGACTACATGCTAATTTAATGTGCTAAAAATATTTCTCCAGCTAAAGAAAGGAAAAGAAACCAGTAGTCATGTTTGGTATGCATGGTTTTGTGAGTGGGCATGTGTTTTAGGAATCTGAATTTGATTTGGGAGTTAGAAGTTGTGAATTCTAAGTTGAGTACTGCCATTGATATTCTGAGACCAAGGATCTCAGTCTTCTGTCAAAATTTAGCCCATTCATAACTTTCAGCATTTAACTATGAGCATTTCCCTTTTATAGAGATTTTTTTCTATCCATTATAAGGATTATAGACTTTTATGATCTAATAAGAATTGAACTGAAAAAGAATGCTTAAAAAGCTACTTATAGCAGCCAAATATTTATTATTAAAATGGGATATTAGAGCAAGATTTGAAAGAAGTAAAATTAAACCATTACAATAAGTTACACTCCTTAAATGATGCTCTTGTATTAGAGGACAAAGTATCTGCCTTACAGTCCCAAGATAAAGCCACATGCCCCAGACTTTATTATCCCTGTCTTTGAGCTAGCCTAGAAAACAGACGGAAGAAATTCAGCCACTTCCTCATAAAACAGATGTTGGAATACAGCAGATTTTCTTTAAAGAGGGAAACAAGAGCAAGGGGAATGAAGACAGTTCTTTGGTACAAACATTTCTTATTCTCTTATTCTTATTTTAATCTTATAGAGAATGTCTGAATGCATCCAGATCTCATTTGCTGTTTGTAGAATTGGGATTTACACGGTAAGCAATGTATATTTTTGTGGTACCACATGTTGTGAAAAATAAGTGAAGACCCTAGTGTTGGAAATCATGTGGAGTGATGGCAATTATCCTCTACTGCTGATGGGGGTATAAATATATACAACCACTTTAGAAAGCAATAAAGCTGAACATGAGCATATCTTGTGACTGAGTAATTCTACTCCTAGGTATATAGCTCAGAGAAATTGTTGTGTAATTACCAGAAGACCTGTGTAGGAAAGGTTCCTAGTAGAAATATTCATAAAAGCAAAATGTTAGATGCAATACGAATGTCCATCAATAATAGATTGGATTAAACAATTATGGAGTTTTAATTTAACGGATTACAATACAGCAGCAAAAATATATGAAAAAATGATTGTGTGAATTACAGCTTGTAATAATACACCGTGGATGTATCTCACAAACAATGTTGAATGTAAGAAACAAGTCACGGGAAAATACATGGAGTACAATTTCATTTCTATGGAGTTCAAATACAGTAGAACTAAGCAATACATTGTTTTAGGGTTACATATGTTGATATACTATAAATAAAAGCAAAAATTCATATTGTGATTACCTCTAGGGCAGTAGTTCTCAACAAGGGGTGACTTTGCCCTCCAGGGGATATATGGAAGTGTTTGGAGACGTTTCCGGTTGTCACAACTGGTGGTGATGGTGGTGATATGCTACTGTCATCTTATGGGTTGAGGCCAGGGGTATTGCTAAGCATCCAAAATGTTCTGGTTAAGAATTATCTGCCCAAAATGTCAATAGCGTGAGGTTGAGAAACTGTTCTAAAGCAGTGGAGGGAAGAAAAAGTGCTTTAAAAGTTATAGTAGGCCAGGCCTGGTGGCTCACGCCTGTAATCCCAGCACTTAAGGCAGATCACCTGAGGTCAGGAGTTTGAGACCAGCCTGGCCAATGTGGTGAAACCCTGTCTCTACCAAAAATACAAGAATTAGCTGGGCGTGGTGGCGGGCGCCTGTAATCCCAGCTACTTGGGAGGCTGAGGCAGGAGAATCGCTTGAACCCAGGAAGTGGAGGTTGCAGTGAGCCGAGATCGTACCACTGCACTCCAGCTTGGGTGACAAGAGCGAAACTCGGTCTCAAAAACAAAAAAAAGTTATAGTAATATTCTGGGTTTTAACTTGAATGGTGAGCGCACAGTGTTTTTTTATGTTATTCTTTAAACTACATATTTACTTTATATACTTTTTGTATGTAAATATTTCACAATACAACAACAACAAAAATGAATATTTTAAGATGTTTGAGGTTTTTTTTTTTTTTCCACCAGCCTGTGTCAGTTGACCCAAATGCCTTGAGCTCATTTCTTAACTTGGGATTTTGGAGATGTATCTATGTAGATGAGCATGAAGGACTTTTCTAATCAGATTAAGTGATAAAATGTCTTGACATTTTCCCTTTAGAGGCCTAGGGTGGGGATTTGGAGACTCTAGATGGAAATATAGTGATACTTACTTTTAAAGACCAAATTATTTTCTAAGTAAGGACTTAAAAATATTTACATGAAGTAATCTTGTTTACTCATCTGCTTCGTACAGAAGAACATATGTATGTGTGTACAAAATGCTTAAGGAATTTGTTTAAAATGAATGATGTAAAAATTCTGAATAAAAGATAGGAGTGCAGCTTGTAAGTTCCTTGAGGGCAGGGAGTCTATCTTGTGTTTGTCTTTATAGCCTTTACAATACCTTGCACAACGTCTGGTACTTGGCAAATGCTCCATAGCTGTATGCCCAATTATATTAAGTTATAGTGAGAATAATTTTCTGTTTTGCCTTTATTTGAATGTAAGAAAAAGCAGATTTTCTTTATTTCTTCTATCACCTTTTGCTTTAGCTGTCTCAGATGAGTATTTGTCCCCGGTTAGATGAACAGGTTACTTGAAAGCTAAACATGTTTTTTAGTTATTTTAAGTGAAGTTAATTCCTGAGTCTGTTTTCCCAGATCCTCTGAGAAGCAGTTGCCAAGCTGGGATTTGAATGCAAGTTGGGGAATGTCTATGAAGTGGAAAGAGGGAGGAAACCACAAAAGGTAGAGAGAGCCTTCAGACCATGCTGTAGGTCTGACATCTGTGAAGGAAGAGTGGGAAGGAAGGAGGGATGGGGAAGAATTTTACAATGCCATGTATTCCTGAGAAGTCTTGGCTGGATGGATGGGGCTTCCCTAAGCAAAGTTGCCTGTTGCTGGAGTTTCGCACTGGGCAACAACAGCAGTGATTCCAGTACCTCTGCACACTTGGGCGCTGGCTCGCAGCCCAGTAGAAACACAATTTCTGCACGAATGCCATGGTAGACCTGAAGCTGTGGCAGCAAGAGGCCGGCAGTTAGTTGTGCTTCTCCAGAAAGGGAGCTCTGACTGGCATATTTCCATGGCTGCTGCAGTAAGCCAGCACAATAAGGTATTTCCATCTAGAACTTGGGAATATTGGAACTGCTGATATCAGAAATTGTATGTATTCCTCTTTGAATACCTAGCACTGAGCCTGGGCCTGAGACCTAACAGGTGTTCAGTCTCTGTCCCTGCTTATTTAATGAAGAAAGGCTGGTCATGGATTCATTCCAAGGCAGATAAAAATCGGCCCTAAAAGGAGAGAGTGTGATGATCTTAATTGTGTCCCACACAAAACTCATGTGTTGAAGCCCTGACTCCGAATGTGATGATGTTTGGGGATGGGGCCTTTGGGAGATAATTAGGTTTAGATGAGGTCATGAGGGTGGGGCCCTCCTGATGGGATTAGCACTCTTATAAGAAGAGACACCGAAGGGCTTGCTTTCTCTCTCTCTCTGTCTGCCATGTGAGGACATAAGAAGGTGGACATCTTTAAGCCAGGAAGAGATCCCTCAACAGAAACTGACCATGCCGGCACCCTGATCTGGGACTTCCAGGCTCTAGACCTGTGAGAAAATAAATTTCTGTTGTTTAAGCCACCCAGTCTAAGGTATTTTGTTTTGGCAGATTAACACAGGGAGGAGAAAAAAAAAATTCTTGTAAATTGCAGATAACATAAACCAGAAAAAAAAAAACAAAAACAAACTCTTATTAGCTCCTGTTGCAAAGAAATGCTGAGTTATGAGTAAAACAAAAAGTAGAAGAGGAAACCTAAAAAGATTATGGGTTAGCTTTTGGGATGAGAAATAGTGTTAGATTGTTGAGCTGAGTTGTTTTTTTTGGTGCTTTTAATGTTACTGCCAAATAGCAGTGAGTTAAAATACTTAGAAGTTAAGGAGCAAAAAGCCTTATATTTTACATATTAGGAATCCATATCTGAAGTGAGCAAGACCAAATTGGAACATATATAGGACAGAAAGCTTCCTAGGTTAAGTGTGTGATATACAGGTAAATGTATGCCTCCATTAAAAGGTTTAATAAAGATCATTACTCAGAGACAACAAAGGGTATCCAGTGCATGCCGTCCACCTTTCCCACTGAGGTTTGGAGTAGACAGACCTTTCTCCAGACCCTGAAAAGCAGTGATGCTTATTTAAAGGGCCTTAACTCAGGAAGATGTGGCAGGAAACTTAAGGTATAGGTAGAAAAACTTAGACATTATCAGTGGTGGAGATATGAAGGCTTCCAAAGCCCAGAACAAATTGAGACAGAGGGAAGCAGATAAAAAACAAACAAACAAACAAAACAATCTTTAAAACCAAGCATCTGGTCCAAGGAGATAACTCCACTTCCTATGAGTACAGCACAGGAGATAGTGTTATTCTAATGTAATGTAGGGATGTATCACAAAGAAGTAATTTAGTTTCTGAAACAAAAGGAGTCCTGTTATATGGATCTGTTTTGGATCTTAAGCAACATTCATTTGGTTCTGTTCAGGAGGAAGGAGGGGACGTAAATTTAGGCCAAGAGTTTATAGTACAATTGTGGTTCTATGATTTTATGAAATCCTGGCAGTGAAAACAGGCCATGCTTAAGAATGTGATCTTGAAGTGAACCTTCTACCATCAGGCATGGTTGAGCTCCAGGCCAGAGAGGCACACAAGGGCATTGCTTTGGAATGCTCTTAGGAATGTCAGGGTAAGCATTTTCCAAAGGTGTTGTGCTGAGACTTCCCTGCGTTGGGAACTATAATAACACCATCATGGAGCCAGAAGCACAATGGTGGGCAATTAGCTGGTGCTGACAAGAAGCAGGTTAAGGGAGCAGTGATAATTTTAGCTTCTAGTGACCTTCCTGTGGGTTGTGGACCCTTTTGGCCAACATTGAACGGCCCAGATGAATGAAGCTAGGGCCAGTGAATCTTGCCCTTCTCCAGGAATGGTACTGTTTGAAGCATACGGAAGCCACAGGGGTGACTGTTTGGTTTTCTGTACCCAACAGCTGCGTAAAACTGAAACAAGTGATGGAGATTTGAACTAAATAATACCAGGGGAATGTCCTGCATGGTTACAGATTTTGGTTATCAAGAAGAGCTTTAAAAACTCTTTAAATTCTTCTTTGGCCTTTGCAGAAATTATTCTTTTCTCTTTTTTTTTTTGAGACGAAGTCTCACTCTGTCACCCAGCCTGGAGTGCAGTGGCACGATCTCGGCTCACTGCAAGCTCTGCCTCCCGGGTTCACGCCATTCTCCTGCCTCAGCCTCCCGAGTAGCTGGGACTACAGGCGCCCGCCACCACGCCCGGCTAATTTTTTTGTATTTTTAGTAGAGACGTGGTTTCACCATGTTAGCTAGGATGGTCTCAATCTCCTGACCTCGTGATCCGCCCGCCTCGGCCTCCCAAAGTGCTGGGATTACAGGCATGAGCCACCATGCCCGGCCTGCAGAAATTATTGAACGCGTTTTACTAGCAGAGAAAGCATTCATCCTTCAAAACAATAGCAGTAAAAATGGCATTCAATTTCATCTTGAGATGAAGAGTCATTTGCTAGTGGGTAGAAATCATCCTTTTATCTAGTTACAAGATTTGCTTGTACCTACTTATATTCAATTTCTGTGACTTCTTTTTCTTTTTTGCGGGGGGAGGGAGGCAGGGAGAGCTACCTTTGTGATTACAGTAAAAAGGCAAAACAATTGTATGTTACTATTGGTATTACTACTGATAATATTAGTAACAATATTATTAATAAGATTATATATTATTAAAATTGCTTATTTTCATTTAGCTCTTTAGGTCTGGACAAATCCTACCCTAATTCAATTGGGTTATTACAATATACAGTGCTACATGTAAGGACACTGTATTTCCTATGGATGCTGTAACAAATTATCACAAACTTTGTGGCTTAAAACAACATAGATTCTCTTGTAATTCTGGAGGTCAGAAGCCTGAAGTGGGTTTCACTGGCCTAAAATCAAGGTGTTGGCAGAGCTGTGTTCTTTCTGGACGTTCTGGGTAGGAATCCATTTTTTGCCCCTTTGTGCTTCTAGCAGCTATCTGTATTCCTCAGCTCATGGCCCCTTCTGGCAATGGCATACTTCTAGCTTTTGCTTCCATTATCACATCTCCTCTATGACTCTGACACTCATGTCTCCCTCTTTATAAGGACGCTTGTGATGAAGTTGGGCCTACATGAATAATCCAGAAGAATCTCCCCATCTCATGATCCTTAATCATATCTGCAAAGTTCCTTTTGCCATGTAAGATAACATATTCACAGTTTCCTGGGATTAGGAAATGAACGTGTTGGGTTGTGATGGTAATTGACTCTATGGGAGACATTATTCTGCCTACCATAAGCACCTTAGTACGATCTTAGGCCTTAGTACAATCTGTCCTCTTCTAGAGAAAAAAGAAAACCAGTGTAGCCTAGTCCTAATGCTGGGTGTAGAATGTTGTCATCATATATAAAACCAAGGTTAAAAATTTGTCAGATAGATCGGAAGTCTTGCACTCTGCAAATACTGGTTCTAGCAACAAATTAAAGAGCAGATTTAATATATGACCATTTGGAGAAGAGTGGTATTAACTGTACCTGTTTATTATGCCCCTTGGAGATTCCAACATAAGCATTTATTGTCAACTGTGTGGGATGCTGAGATGTCTGCAGTCATTATAAAGGAATGCAAAACTCTAAAACAAAGTGAGACACACCTTAATTACATAAATTCTGCATAATCACACATTTTAATGATTTGAGTGGAAATGAATTAAGGTGTTGGCTTGGCTGTTTTTATAAAGACCAAAATAATAGTAGCTTAAGCAGAATAAGTTTCTCATATAAAAATCCAAGCTGGCCAGGCATGATGGTGTGTGCCAGTAGTCTCAGCTACTCAGGAGGCTGAGCCCAGGAGTTCAAGTCCAGCCTGGGCAACATAGCAAGAATCTGTCTCTCTTTGGGAGGCCGAGGTGGGCGGATCACGAGGTCAGGAGATCGAGACCATCCTGGCTAACATGGTGAAACCCCATCTCTACAAAAATACAAAAAAAAAAAAAAAATTAGCCAGGCGTGGTGGCGGGTGCCTGTAGTCCCAGCTACTCGGGAGGCTGAGGCAGGAGAATAGCGTGAACCGGGGAGGCAGAGCTTGCAGTAAGCCGAGATTGCACCCCTGCACTCCAGTCTGGGTGACAGAGTGAGACTGTGTCTCAAAAAAAAAAATAAATAAAATAATAATAATATAAAATTTTAAATTTAAGCCAGTAGTCACTTTGGAATCTAGCTCTTTGCTTCATGAGTCAGGCGCTCAGGCTCTTTCTAGCTTGTTGTTCTTCCATTGCCTCAGTGCTTCTGCTCATGTGCAGGCTGCAGGAGGTTCACCACTCCCGTATGTTTGTTTATTCTGTGGGAAAGGGAAAGTGGAGGCCAAGTAGTTTCCTTCTGGGGGCATGATCTGGAAATCACAGACATCACTTGCCCTCACATCCCAGTTGCCAGAACTTAAGGTACGTGATGATACCTGACTACCAAAGAAGCTTGGAAAGGTGAACTCTAGTAAGCCTCCAAGACTCTAGGGGTTCTACTCCTAAGGGGGCATATAGAATGGATATTGGGGACAATCAGTCATCTTTTTCACAAGTACATGAGCTAAGGCAGTTTGATCTGAGATTAAGCCAACAGACGGTGCAGTGTACCTCAAAGACAGTGTGTAGGCAGAGAATCAGTGTTGCCCGTAGCCATTGTCAGGCACACACTGAATGAGCACATAGTGTGGCAGCAAGACTGGTTTTGTGTTGTGTGGCAAATCCAGCTTCAGCTTCTGATTGGATTGATAATTGAGACTCTATGGGCCAAGATTGAATCTAGTGTTTTCTTTATGATATCAATATAGTTTATGTATTTTTGCCCATAGGCACATAAGCACACAGAGTTGTTCCTGGCAGTTTTATTTCTGTGGGTAGAAGTGAGGGGTTATGTGTTTTATAACCTAGGAAATGAGAGTTTATAAAGGTTTTTTTTGAGACAGAATCTTGCTCTGTCATCCAGACTGGAGTGTAGTGGCGCAATCTGGGCTCACTGCAACCCCTGCCTCCCGGGTTCAAGCAGTTCTCTTGCCTCAGCCTCCTGAGTAGCTGGGATTACAGGTGTGTGCCACCATGCCTGTATTTTTGTATTTTTAGCAGAGTCGGGGTTTCACCATGTTGGTCAGGCTGGTCTTGAACTCCTGACCTCATGATCCACCCGCCTCAGTCTCCCAAAGTGCTGGGATTACAGGCATGAGCCGCCGAGCCTGACCTAAATGTTTTCTTTCTTACCTTTAGTAAGCAAAATAATGTTCTCAATTAGAGTGAGAACATCTGGCTAGCATACCACCTTTCTGGCAGGGGAATTTACAATTTTAGGTTTAATGAACCTATTGAGAGCCACAAATGTCCCTCCTAATTTCTATTTTTACAGTAAAATAGTTACACTGTGAAATACATAAGATTGATAGGACTGCTGTATTTTTCTTTATCATGTTTTGAAATTAGAGTCCAGGCAAGAACAAGATAAAATCTGTTTGCTTTAGGTGTTTTATTCTGGGGAATGCAGAATGTATCCTTTTCTCTCAAGATCAGGACTTCTCTGCCACATGCCTTTGTGAGTCCAGCACAAGTCCCCTTGGGTGGCCCTTCTGGTTGAGTCTGACCCAGCGTCAGCCGACTCTCTTGCTGCCCCTAAACCTGCTCATGCCCTGGGCTCCTTTTTCTCAGTGACTGGCACCACAGCCCGTTCAGCTGCCAAGCCAGGAACTAGACTCAATCTACAGCACTCCCCTGCCTCACGATCCTAGCAGTCCTCAAGTTTGATCTCTTCTACCCTAGTTGCCTCACCTCTCTGTCATTACCTGGATTCCAATGCCAGCATTCCTTGCTTAGAAAGACCTAACGGCCTCCTTTGAACTCTAGAGCCTTTCATCAGCCAAAGTGCATCTATTGCACTATCTTAGAATTGCCTGGTCATTTTTCTGTAACTCACATCTCACTGTAAGCACAGTGAGGACGTGACGATGTTAGTCTCTCTGTTCCCCTCCCCCAGCATCTGGTGGCTCTTCACCATCATCATGGTCATGATCACCACTGACATTTACCGAGCACTTATTAAGTGTTGAGCAGTGTCTGTGCTAAGGCTTTTATAGATGAACTCATTGAACTCGGTATAATCTTTTGAAGAAGGTACTGTAATATTACTATCCTCATTTTACTGAGAGGAGACCAGGACATGGCATGGTTAGATGTCTTTTCCATCTGGTAGAGATAGGATTTTGAGGCAGAATTTGATACATTCTTAGCCACCACACACTGCCGTTATCCAGACAGTAGGTATTCAATATGAATTTATTGAATTTAATCTGGAATAATTTCTCAACTTTTTTTTGTCTTTTAGTCCTTGACATTTTTGAAGAGGCCAGGCCAGTTATTTTGCAGAATTTCTTTCAGTTTAGATTTGTCTAATTGTTTCTTCGTGATTAGGTTAAGATTAAACATTTTGGACAGGAATATTCCATAGGTGACACTGTATCCTTCTCAGTGCATCTCAGCAGGAGCACAGGGTGCCAGTTTATCCCATCATTGGTGTTGCTTTTTTAAGTTCATAATTAACCTAAATTTCAGAGGCTGGTAATTTCTGGCTTTACCCCAAATTCATGGACTGTACCCTATTTAGAGCCTACTATATCTCTTATTTTTCACTACACAATCTATTTTTTATTGTATCTTTATAGCATATTTAGAGGTAGATATGGGACTATGTAAGTTTAGTACGGTTTGCTGAACTTTGGAATGTTTTTATAATCATAATATTTTGATCAAGATGGAACCTTAGAATTTTCCTCTCATTTGGATTAGAATGTTAATTCTATACTAGGTAGTTCTTGTGGCTAGACTGTTGCACTTTTGAAGGCAGATTTAAGAGTTCCACTTTCATGTGGTCCAGCCAGCTTTCTTCTGTGTCTCAGAGGTCTCCTTACTCTGCTAGCTGCCTTTACTTTTAGGGATTAATGGTATGGAATAGTGGCTATAATTGCAAGCATATTAATTACCACAAGTGGAAAATAAGTTCTAATTATGTATTCTATATTAACTTCATATAGGAAAAAACAATTTTTACCTTCTGACTGTAGATGTTATAATGATAATTTTAAAAGGCACCACAGAAGAGGGAGTGGGAAATTGTTTAGCTACATGAGGATCATCCTTTACAAAGGGCCATTGTGAGGTTTCTTTTGGTAATTATAAATTGTAGCTATGTGTTTAGGTGGAGAGGCTTTTTTTCTTGATAAGAAACATTTGGGGTTATTTAACTTAGGAACTTAAAATACTTTGAATTTTGCAACTTAAGTGACATGGTGACCCTTGATTTTCACCAAGAGTATATCTGATTGATGGAAATTTCCACCCTAGGAATTGTACATTTTTGTGCACTTTCTTTTCATGGATGGTCGACTTTGTTTTCTTGACAAACATGTAGTGTTTTATCCTCAGAACTAGTACTTTTTTCTTGATAGGAAGAATAATTTGTTTTGTCAATGATTAAAAATTATCCTAGAACGCAGTCACTGCCAAGGATGTGGTTTACTCATATCCGTAGTTTGGGAACAAAATTATGTTTCAAACTGTAAGGTTGGACATGCTGGCTCCTGCTTGTAATCTCAGAACTTTGGGAAGCCAAGGCAGGAGGATCGCTTTAAGGCCAGGAGTTTGAGACCAGCCTGGGGAACATAACAAAACCTAGTCTTCAAAAAAAAAAAAAAAAAAAAAAAAAAAGCCAGGAGTGGTGGCACACACCTATAGGCCTAGCTATTCAGGAAGCTGAGACAGAAGGATCTCTTGAGCCCAGGAGTTTGAGGCTGCACCAAGTTATGATTACACCACTGCATTCCAGCCGGAGCAACAGAGAAAGGCCCTGTGTCTTAAAAAAACCAATTTAAATAAATAAATAAATAAATAAATAAATAAATAAATAAATGTTAAGCACAGCCAATAGATTAATATTACATAGGCAGAGGAGAATCTGCTTGACCCTGGTGATGATTTGGTCTTTGCTTTGTAGAACATAAACTTATTTAAACAGTGACTTAATGTATTATATAAGGTGAATCTGAATGAGAGGTTTTATGCTTATTGTATACTGTGGAGGACCAGTCTGCATCCTCTCTATTCTTTTGGGTTTAGCTAATGTTCTGGCACGTAGTAAGTACTTCCTGGCTCTCTGTTGACTAAGTTAGCATATTAGAGTTCTCCAGAGAGAATAAAAAGGATATATATATGGTCAGTAGATTCCATATCCATGAATTCAACTAACCACCATTGAAAATATTTGAAAACAAATTTGCATTCGTACCCAACATGTATAGATATTTTTCCTTGTCATTCCCTAAACAGTATTTCCCAAACAATGTAACTATTTACATAGCATTTGTATTGTATCAGATACTCTAAGTTATCTAGAGATGATTTAAAGTATGTAGGAGGATGTGCATAGGTTATATGCAAATACGATACCATTTTATATCTAGATTTGAGAATCTGTGGATTTTGATACCTGAAGGAGGTCCTGGAACCAATTCCCCTTGGATACTGAGGGACAACTGTACAACTGTTTAGATCTATAAGAGGGGATTTATTAGGGGAATTAGCTTATGTGATTATAGAGTCTGAGAAGTTCCACAACAGGCCATCTGCAAGCTGGAGACCATGGGATGCTGGTAGTGTGGCTCAGTTCAAGTCCCCAAGGCCTCAGAACCAGGAAAGCCAATGTTGTAACTTTCAGTCCAAGGCTGAAGGCCAGGCAACCCGGGGAGCCACTGATGTAAACCTTGGAGTCCAAAGGCCTGGGACCCTGGAGTTCTGTTGTCCAAGGCAGGGGATGAGTGTATTCCAGATCCTGGAGATAGAATGACACATTCACCTTTTTCCTGTTTCTTTACTGTCTTCACCACCATCCACCAGACTGGATGGTGCCTGCCCACATTGAGGGTGGATCTTCCCCACCTAGTCCGCTCAGACTCACATGCCAATCTCCTCTGGAAACATCATCCCAGACACATTCCAAAACAATGCCTTACAGGTTTCTAGATATTCCTTAATCCAGTCTAGTTGGCATTTCAAATTATTACAGTGGGAATACAGTTCTTTAGAGTAGAGAGAAGAGCAGGCCACAGGAGGCTCAGGCAGGTGGCCGTAGCACCCAACACAGACCTAACAGATTGTGTGCTTCCTTTAGAAGGGCCATGAGGGCAGGGGATTTCTTGTTTTGTTCATTGCTGTATCTCCAGTGCCTAGATAAGTGTCTGGCATGTTGCAAGTGCTTAATACATGTTTGTGGAATGAATGCATGAATGAACAGAGCTCCAATTAGTGTGTCGAAACCAGGATACACATGCCCCTGGGGATACGTGGGCATTCTAAGTTATGGTAGGTAGCAGTGATAGGAGTCTAAGAAAATCATTGTTCATTTGTGTGGATTCTCCTTTATCGCTTCCCCTTTCACGACTACTCTATTTTCAGTTAGGAGAGAAAGGCGCTACTCTCTCATCCTAAATCTTGGTGCATTGGCCTTGGAAATAAAAACCTCCAGGGCACAAGCCAAAGGAAAAACTCAAAATATGATGTTAGTGTTGAGAAAGTGAATGACTCTAATATTACCAGATAACAAACCATTTTCAGTTCTTTGCTTTCAATAAAACAAAATATACTCAAATTGTCAGCTGATCTTTAAAAATATTGATAATTCATGTGCAATTTTTTGTTACATAATTAAGAAGAAGTCCAAAGAATTGAATGATTTTACAGTCGCTAAACTTCTATTCCTATTTTATTTATGAGAGCAGGTTTCGTATATTTTATATCTACATTAAAAAATGTGAAAAATAGGAATAGAACTGATGCTGAACTGTATCTCATCCTAGTGATAAATAATAATCCTCAGGCCGGGCGTGGTGGCTCACGCCTGTAATCTCAGCACTTTGGGAGACCGAGGCAGGTGGATCAGGAGGTCAGGCGTTGGAGACCAGCCTGGCCAACATAGTGACACCCTGTCTCTATTAAAAATACAAAAAATTAGCTGGGTGTGGTGGCAGGCATCTGTAATCCCAGCTAATCAGGAGGCTGAGGCAGGCGAATCGCTTGAACCTGGGAGGTGGAGGTTGCAGTGGGCCGAGATCGCGCCACCGCACTCCAGCCCAGGCGACAGTGCGAGACACCGTCTCAAAAAAAATTAAAAATAAAAAAATTAAAAAATCCTCTATGTTGTGTAAATAAAAATATAACCTATCCATCTCATTAAGAGATGTATTACTGAAAAGTTTTACTTTTTATACATTATGGATTTGTCAACATTTATTATATATTAATTTTGATCAATTGTGGACCAATAATAATTTTAGGAACTTAGTCCATAAGAGAAAATTTAAAAATATTGAAAACTTACGGCCACAGGAAATGTAAAATGTGAGACTGCAATTATGTACACAGTTTATTTGTGGGGAGCATGATAGAGTGATCAGTAAAAGATTTACAAGCATAAAAATATGTTATTGAAGTTCTGCTGGGGATATGGAAAAGATGTATGAATTCAAGAAAAAATTAAAAGAGGATATATGACTGAAAAGGAGCTTGTTCTTTTATTTTATTTTATTTTATTTTATTCTTATTATACTTTAAGTTTTAGGGTACATGTGCACAATGTGCAGGTTATTTACATATGTATACATGTGCCATGCTGGTGTGCTGCACCCATTAACTCGTCATTTAGCATTAGGTATATCTCCTAAAGCTATCCCTACCCCCCACCCCTACCCCACAACAGTTCCCAGAGTGTGATGTTCCCCTTCCTGTGTCCATGTGTTCTCATTGTTCAATTCCCACCTATGAGTGAGAATATGCGGTGTTTGGTTTTTTGTTCTTGCGATAGTTTACTGAGAATGATGATTTCCAATTTCATCCATGTCCCTAGAAAGGACATGAACTCATCATTTTTTATGGCTGCGTAGTATTCCATGGTATATATGTGCCACATTTTCTTAATCCAATATATCATCGTTGGACATTTGGGTTGGTTCCAAGTCTTTGCTATTGTGAATAGTGCTGCCATAAACATATGTGTGCATGTGTCTTTATAGCAGCATGATTTATAGTCCTTTGGGTATATACCCAGTAATGGGATGGCTGGGTCAAATGGTATTTCTAGTTCTAGATCCCTGAGGAATCACCACACTGACTTCCACAATGAAACCCATCTGTACATCACCATCATCAAAGACCAAAAGTAGATGAAACCACAAAGATGGGGAAAAAACAGAGCAGAAAAACTGGAAACTCTAAAAAGCAGAGCGCCTCTCCTCCTCCAAAGGAACGCAATTCCTCACCAGCAATGGAACAAAGCTGGACGGAGAATGACTTTGACAAGTTGAGAGAAGAAGGCTTCAGACGATCAAACTACTCCGAGCTACAGGTGGAAATTCAAACCAAAGGCAAAGAAGTTGAAAACTTTGAAAAAAATTTAGACGAATGTATAATTAGAATAACCAATACAGAGAAGTGCTTAAAGGAGCTGATGGAGCTGAAAGCCAAGGCTCGAGAACTACGTGAAGAATGCAGAAGCCTCAGGAGCCGATGCGATCAACTGGAAGAAAGGGTATCAGTGATGGAAGATGAAATGAATGAAATGAAGCGAGAAGGAAGTTTAGAGAAAAAAGAATAAAAAGAAACGAACAAAGCCTCCGAGAAATATGGGACTATGTGAAAAGACCAAATCTACGTCTGATTGGTGTACCTGAAAGTGACGGGGAGAATGGAACCAAATTGGAAAACACTCTGCAGGATATTATCCAGGAGAACTTCCCCAATCTAGCAAGGCAGGCCAACATTCAGATTCAGGAAATACAGAGAACGCCACAAAGATACTCCTCGAGAAGAGCAACTCCAAGACACATAATTGTCAGATTCACCAAAGTTGAAATGAAGGAAAAAATGTTAAGGGCAGCCAGAGAGAAAGGTCGGGTTACCCACAAAGGGAAGCCCATCAGACTAACAGCGGATCTCTCGGCAGAAACTCTACAAGCGAGAAGAGAGTGGGGGCCAATATTCAACATTCTTAAAGAAAAGAATTTTCAACCCAGAATTTCATATCCAGCCAAACTAAGCTTCATAAGTGAAGGAGAAATAAAATTCTTTACAGACAAGCTAATGCTGAGAGATTTTGTCACCACCAGGCTTGTTCTTTTTTTTTTAAAAAAAGTAATGTTTTTCAAATCTCTGTGATACCTAGAGAGATTTTTATCAATGTAAGGGAATGATTAACAGTTTTATTTATAAATCTGGATATTTATAACAAGTTGGAAATTATGTCCTTATGCAACTTATCAAACTAGATGTCAACTTAAAAATGGATAAGTGAGTATAAGTATATAGCTTCAGAATATTAATGCAGAGGATGCTGAAACAAACAATTTCGAGGATCATTGCTTTAAAACAGAGCTCTGGCCAGGCGCGGTGGCTCATGCCTGTAATCCCAGCACTTTGGGAGGTTGAGGTGGGCAGATCACAAGGTCGGGAGATCGAGACCGTCCTGGCTAACAATGTGAAACCCCGTCTCTACTAAAAATACAAAAAATTAGCTGGGTGTGGTGGCACATGCCTGTAGTCTCAGCTACTCAGGAGGCTGAGGCAGGAGAATCGCTTGAATCTGAGAGGCAGAGGTTGCAGTGAGCTGAGATCCCGCCACTGCCCTCCAGCCTGGGTGACAGAGTGAGACCCCAATTCAAAACGAACAAACAAACAAAAACAAAAACACAGCTCCATCCCCAGGGAGTGATTCTGTAGCTCTGTGTTGAGACCCAGGAATCCACCATTTAATAAATATCCAGATGATTCTGCTGCCTAAAATCTTTGAACACAGATACAGGGAATATATGGAAATTACTTTTTGTCTGCCTGAAAATAGAGCCAATTATTTTTTGCTTCTCACGTGTGTGTGCATTTTATTGTTAGTAATGTGATGGCAAGAAGCTTGCTTTTTTTGGGTCATCTTCTATTGCTGCTGCTCATTGTGTTTTAGTATCTCACATGGTTTTCCTGTAAGTTCATTTCATCTTCTAACTCTCCAAGATAAAACCATTTTCCTGATGTCTTGAGACTATCACAATTTTATTTTAAAGATACTTTGTTCTTTAGATTAATTGACTATATTTCTAAATGCCAGCATTTCAAATCCTTCTATGTTCTGTTTTCTTTTTGCTCAGTGAAGATTATTTGGTTTTCAGCCCCATGTATAAACCCAGATCTGAGTATTGAATAACCAAACTTTTAGTTGAAGTAACAGGAACCCACTTAAACCACTAAATACAGAGAGATAATAGATTTTTCCGGTTTCTGGGATTTCTCATGAAATCCAAAAGCAGGGACATACCCATACTCAGGAAGACTTGGAACCAAACCCAGGAGGTCTTAGTGACTCTGGGATTTTTGTCTCTACTTTGTGATTTTTCTCTACACATCTGCTTCTTTCTCAACAAACTGACATTTTCTGCTACTTTGCCTACAAAGCAGGCAGAAGCTGGTCCCAAGGTCATCTATTATGTACAGCCACGGGGAGAGGTCTGCTCTCATTTCCAACTCTGAATTCCCGAGGAGGTGGATTTTCCTAACTCTGTTCTAGTCAGTTGAGGTGGGATTCTGTTGTTCAAATATGGCTGCTATGACTCTGGGACTAGTGAAGGTGCTTAGGCTCAAAAGATGTTGCTGCAACTGGCAGTTAATGAAGTTAGTCGTTTCTCTTTCATACATTTTAAGTGTGAGGCAAAGCAGTAAGCCTGACATGGAGCCGTTTAGAACAGGGATCTGAAATAAAAAACTGGATATTTAGTAGTTCTGTGACTTTGGGCAAGTCACTTAACATCTCTGAACCCCTGCCTTCTCATCTGTAAATACGAATAGTAATAGTTCCAACCTCACAGGGTTGTGGTGGAGGTTAAACGAGGCTTAATATGGAACCTGATATATAGTAACTGCTTCGTAAGTGTCAGCCATCATTCTAAAACTCATACACAAAGTCAGTTTGTAGTGTTTTATAAAATGTGTTAAGGGGCTTTCTTTAAGTATGTCTGTCTAAATACAAGTATTTCTAAATATATGGAATAGATGTGCTTGTAAACATAAACAGAAAATCTGAGTCTAAAAACCTTTTGTTTCACTGAAATTTTCTTGGCAAACTTAGCTACAATAGTTAACATTTTTTATATAAATTTGAAAGGGCATGATAGAAAGTACCATAAAAGTGCAAAATCTGAAATAATTCGGAGTCCCTCTTCAATTTAAAAAGAATCACTATGATACATTCAATTGCAAAGTGCCTGAATACAGCTCATGGATGTTACCATCGGCTGAACCTTATCTCTGGCAGAATTTTTGCAAGTGTACCATGCTCTTACTTTAATATTTGTGATTATTTAGGATTGTTTTTATGTCCCCTAAAATGTCCTGTAAGTAGTCTTTAAAGTGGCAGCACTCGTGCTCAAAAAGATTTTCTTTTAAAGTCAGTAACTTTCTAAAGGAAACTAGGTGAGTTAAAATGTCATACAGAAGGCCAAACAACCACTACATTCCAGAAAGAGTATTTTGTAAAATATAACAATTGTACTAAGAACATTAAAAGTGATATTAAAGCAAAAATGTTGAAAGGGATCAGCAAAAAGAGTTGGGTTTTTTTAGGGGAAGTCTGATTTATACTTTTATTTAAAAAAATTACAGCAGGGAGTTGATGTCATGAGCTGTGCTTGAAAAAGATGACCTTGGGGCAAAGATCCTGCAACCAGGGTGATCAGTCCATTCATTCAGTCAGTGTTGAACATTTAACTATGGCATGGTACTTGAGGCAGTTGGCATAAAACCCTGAACAAAGACAAAATCTCTCCCCTTGTAGAGTTTACATTCTAATGGGGAGAGACACAGTAAACAATAAAGATGGTAAGTAAACTACATATTGTATGTTAGATGATAATTGCTTTGGGGAAAAAATAGCACATGATAAAGGGGTTGTGAGTATATAGGAGGAAGTTGCATTATGAAATAGGTGGTCAAGGTAGGCTTCATGGAGGAGGTGAGATTTGAGAAAAGTCTTGAAGGAGTGAGGGAGTTAGCCATGTGGATATGTAGGGAAGAATGTTCCTGGCAGAAGGAACAGCCTATGCAAAGGTCCTAAGACAGGAGCAATTCTGTGTTTGAGGAATTTTTAGGAGCCAATGGCTGAAGCAGAAAGAGTAGGGTGAGTGACTGAGAGAATAGAGGAGATGAGGTTAGGAAATAAGAGGCCAGATCATCTAGGGCTTTCAGGCCTTTTTAAGGACTTTGGCTTTTACTCTTAGTGACTGTGGGGGTACCTCATAGGGTTTTGAGTAGGGAACAATATTGACTAACTTGCATTTTTAAAGGATCACTCTCGCTGCTGTTTTGAGAATAGGCTAACCTAGGGCAATGTTAAAGCTGGGAGGCCAGTGAAGTATTATAGTCATTGTAGAGATGAATTTGGTTTGAACAGTGTGATAAGGGGAGAGGTGACAAGTGGTCAGAATATGGATGTATTTTGGAGACTGAATCAATAGAATTTTCTCATGGAGTGGATGTGCGGAAGAATGAAGAGAGGAGTCAAGGATTCATATGGGGGTTTTTTAGGGAGGAGAAAGGATATGATTTTCATCAAGTGAAATGGAGGATGTATTGAGCAGCTTTCAGAGGGAAGACCTAAAATCCTCAGGAGGCTTGTGCAGTAATCTAGGCAAAAGATGATTAGGTCCCTAATGGTACAGGGAATGAAAAGGTGGAGACAGAGTCAAGAAACTTTGTAGATATTCAGCAATCAGGTATTCTGTGATATACTGAAGGAGTTGGTAGAGGTAAAAATGGAGAGGTTGGAGTTTAACATGACAACAATTTGGTGGTCAGAAGAAATGAGTGGATGGTAATGCTTTTAACTGAGACAGGGGACACATAGAAGGAGTAATTTGGGGAGCAAAGAAGATGATCTTGCAACTAGATGTGTGAGTTGGAGGTGCCATGTTGGAAATACATTTTTGCAGCCTAAAAGCAGTATTAGAAATGGGGGTTGTATGGATGGGGTTGCTCTCTGCTTGGTTCACTGCTCTATCCCTGTTGCTCAGAATATTGCCTCACTCAAAGTAAGCATTCAATGATCATTTCTCAGATGGATGGATGCAATTTTGGAAGTCATCCAAATGGAGAGGGTTGCTGTTTTACCCTTTTGGCCTCATTGGTTCATTAGATGGCTTGCTCCAGTTTCCTGTTTCCTTTCTTCGTGGAACCATAGGGTTATAGACAATAATGGGCTGGGAAGCATACATACATGCATCTTCCTTATTATTTTACACTCTGTGATTAAAATGCTCCCTTTCCCCTTCACCCTTATCTTTTTAAATTATGTGATTCCCTTTTGTTTTTCTCTCTGCACTGTAGGGGTAGAAAAATCTTTAAACAAAAGTTGCTTCATTGTGTCTTACTTTTATCTAATCTTTTTTTATTTGTTAACAGTGACAGTGGTTAACTGGGAGATTCGAACTGCCATTTGACTTCAGCTTTATCTGCACAGGTTCAAGATGCAAATTATTAATTACAGTTGTGTTATTACAAAACCACTAATGATATTAGAATTCCTTTTTTGCATTTCTAGTTTTTATAAATGCATAATTCACTTCAGCCTGTGATTATACTTTAAAAAAAAAACTAAAATATTGTGCCATAAAGAAAAAAACTCTAAAATATTGTACCATGCCACAGGGCTTGCAGTCTCTGCCTTAACATTTTCCCACCAATGGTGGCAACAAAGTGGAAAATTTGCCATATTGTTATCCTACTTTCCCACCCCATCCAAATGAATTCAACCTGGATGAGAAGATAAGCCAGAAGTTTTACTGCCCAGTGACTCCCTTTGTGCCTATTATGTTCCCAAATACTTTTTGTTGCCAGTGCCCGGCAAACAGAATTAAAGTGCCTGTTCATTCCACTGAATTTCATTATCTGGTTTCCTGTCTAAACCTTTAATACGAAAGAAAGACAAATGGAAATTTTTTGTGGGGAAAAAATAAGTGAATTTAGAAATTAAATAAAACTTTTAAAAGTTTGGAACATGAAAATTATTTATTTTAATGAGATCATATGAGGAGTACAAGAAGGGGCTCTCAGCTCTGCTTGGCAAAAGGATCAGTATACTTTGCCATTATTTTACTTAATAGAGATAGGAGACAATAATTATTAGCTACAAGAAGAAGAAATAACAAAACTAGCAACCTCTAGACATAAAATATGAAGTAGAAATATAGTTATTAACAGGAATGAAAATAGGTAACTGGAGTTTGATCCATTTTTTAGGGAAGAGGCAGTTTTTCAGTAATAGGTTCTTTGAGAGTCTCAAAATCACTTCCATAAAGGCAGACAGTTTTGTGGATCACAAAGGCACGTTCTGATTCAGGCCCTGCTGTTTAATTGAATGACCTGGGGTAAAATATTTTATAATCTGGGCCTTCTCTTCTGAAAAACATTGAGTTTGAATGAAATTCTCACTATTCTGCTCCCAATTCTGCTTCTTAAGAGTCCAGTCTTGGCTATAAAGCATCATTGAAACCAGAGGTTTACATGGTGGCTTGGATCTTGGGGATGAAAATGTTGTTGAGAGACAGGAATATATATTTTAATCTAGGATTGTGTGTGGGAGGGTGATGTTTTATATACAGAAAGGTTAGGAAAATAGACTTCTTAAATGAGAGAGGTTGAGATACCAGATCCTTCCGAGAAATGGCCCTTAACTTACATGTGAGTATTTATTTCAAATGTTCATATTTTTCCATTGATTTAATGATTTTTAGAAAAGGTCTTATATTGAAAACATACATTATCCCAGATAAACTTAGTCTATTAACTAAATAATTGGATGATTAATTTAACTTAGCACATTATCCTCTGGAACACATTAATGTGAAACTTCAATTTGATGAGAACCAAGGTTACCAGCCTGTCATTGGAATTTTCGCTTGTTCATTCCTAGATGATAAGAGCAAGTGACCCCCACCCTCCCGAAAAAACGGTGTGGTCATGGGGTGTGTGTGTGTGTGTGTAAGATCTGGTTCAGTACCCCATATAACAGGTAAGTATGGAAGCATTCACTTATCTGTCCTGAGCCTCAATTTTCTGCTGTATGAATATAAAGGACTTGACTAGATATTCTCTGGGGATATTTTCAGTACATATGCTACATCATTACAAATTGTAATAATAAAACCCAGACTTCTGAAGTTCTCTCTTTTTTTTTTTGCATATTTAGTCCCAATATTAACATACCCAACATATGTCCAGTTCAGTTTGACAAATAACTATTGAATATCTACTATATGTTAAGTAAAGTGGTTGGCCCTAGAATCAGGACAGCATCCTGACCCTTCAGGAATCTACCGATTATTTTAGGAGACCTTTCTGAGTTAGCTTAATATATTTGAGCCGGGTGAGATACCTTATCAAAAATCCTACCCAGTGAATTCCCATGGTTCAACTGGATTGTGAAATGTAAGTACTAGATCACTTAAAAACAAACTGTGGTCTGTTAATGGGTGCAGCTGGCAAGGAAGAAAGTGTTATTGCCTATAGAATATCATAGTCCTGGTATCTTCCCATAGGATGGATGTGGCAGGCAATGCTGTCTTGCTAATGACCAGTTGTACCATGTGTCTCTTACTGGGTCTACAAGGAAACTCATGGTGAAGTTACCTTCTGACATTCTCACACTTCCCCACTTGCAGCCCCTCATTCCTCACAAATGAGGGCAAGACCTGCTACCTACTGGCCTGTCTTCTAGGGGTTTAGATCAGAAGCGGGGGGAACTAATTTATTTTTTTCTTTGGCTCATACTGTTGAAGCCTATTCAGAGAAGCATGGAGTTTACTCATTATCCAGGCTATATTCCAAGTTCTGAGATTGGGATACTTGGGGGATTGGTGGTGTCAATTAATGATCGAGTATAGGAATGTAAGTGCTGATATGACTTTGGACACATTTGTCACTTGTCCTAATCTGCTTCTGTAAAACAAGAGGGCTGGACTGTAGCGTGGAAGATGTCTGTGATTCTGTGTTCAGAAGAATGCCCCTTGAGTCATTGTCAGAGAGTTTCATCCTGTTTAGAGCACTCTGCCCTCTTGAGATAGGAAAAATATGCATTATATAAAGAATTTTTTCAAATCAGGGTTGAAACCAGTAGGACTTTTATTTCTTTGTTAAGTGGTAAATCAGCCTAACTAGAACCCTGTGGTCTCTTGGGATTTATTTCTACTTGGAGCATTGTGGTCTTTGAGTTGGGTTAATATGAATGGAGCTTCTAGGACTTGTTCAACTCTTGAATTAGTTCCTGAGGTACCAAAAGTGACAGACCAGACTCTGAACAGCATAGACATATCAAAAGAAAACGATTTGGAATTATGGAATTCATTTTAATGAATCTGTAATGTCAAATAGAGTGGTGACTTAGTACCTATGTAATTGTTATGATAATGGTTGAAGGAATCACACTTTCATCCCATCTACCCTGGTTCTTCCTTTTCTGCTAGTACAGAGAAGCTGGTTTGCATTTAAGCTCAGAGTGGCTCTGAGTAGGAGTAGGACAAGGAAAGAAAGAAGAGTGCAGAGTGCAGGATGTGCATTCCAGAGTGGCACCATTAAAGATGCGCATGCTGTATACCTCACGCTAGGATGGCCAAGGGAACATTAACGTGCTTTAATAAATGTGCTTTCCTCTGAGACTATGGGCTTAGACAATGGTTTGCATCACTCTTGAATTCTAACACATTCAGGGTTTATTTGGGGGAAATTATTTCAGGTTGACGAATGAATTCTAGCATTTCCTGCATTCCTGTTTGTCTGTATTCACAGAATCAGTTGTACCACTAAAAGTAGTGGAAATTCTAAGTGTTTTGGGTAGGCATCCTCTTCCATGATTCTTAAAATATTGGGTATCTGTATTACAATCAAGTTGCTGGCCAGGAACGAAAAGGATTTTTGCTCATTGTAAAGCAATGTTATAATTTTGCTGTGATGTTGTAAGACCATGTGATAATGTTGTATACTGCTGATTGTCCTATTTGTCAGATAGCACATTACTTGGCCATTCTTTATGCCTGTATGTTCTCTGAGATACAGAAGAGTTATTGTAGTCATTTACCTCCCCTGCAGTGTAGGGGTCTATAGATATTGTTGATTTTTGGGTGTCTGAATGTTGATGACCTCCCAACCATGAAAATCTGTTAAAATCCTGGACTGTTTCTTTTTTCCACTCATCTCTAACCTGTTTCTTTCACTTGCCGTCACTTCAGGGAATTTCAACTAGTTTCAGTATTGGGAAGGAGAAGATGTGTGGGATAAATAAGCTAATAGAAATGTTGAGTTGCTGAAAAATCACATCCTCATTCCTGGAAAGAAATGATTTAGGGGTGATTTGTAGTTTTCCAGTTTACTTATATATCTATTTCTCTGGTGTGAGTCATCAGGAATGGATGACAGAACTGTTTGACAGCAGCCAACCCCAAGGTTAAGTTTATATGTGTGTGCATATATCAGTATGTGTGTGTGTGCATATATGAGTATGTGTGTGTATGTGGGGTGAGTGAGTCCTGCCTATTCAAATGGGTGAGTGCCCATGGTTGACCCCAGGCTGTTCTGTTCTTTGTTTAGAGGCCTGATGAATACTGGGTCCAAGATGAATGATCATAGGTGCACCCTATTAGGCTCTAATCATTCAACGTAGGCCTCTCTGTCCTAAATTGAGAGCCAAGAGGATAGCTTGGCTGGATTGAAAGTGTCTCCACTGGACAACAAGGGTTGAAGTAGCTGTCTAGACTGAATACAGTCTTGCCCCTTTCTTTGAATTTGTCTATATGGTTGTTCATGTTTCAAAATGTGTGTTTTCCTTACAGAGCCTGAGGCAACCACCTCTGGCATCATGTTCTCCCCATTCCATGACACTGCCCCCGTTTCCCCACCTCAGCTTAGCCTGGAGGGGCTCAGGGTGGGTGCTTTGGGCCTGTGATCTTCATGTTTCTTGGCAGCTTTGGCTTGATCACTGAATCTTAGGGAGAATCTGTTTTTCATTTCATGCCCCTCTCCTTCCATTCCCCTTCTGATCTGGTGGCTTTCCATTACTCCAGAGGATGTTGAGCTGCATTGGGGACTTTTTTGGCCCCAGGTAGAATTAAGTGCCCTGGGGAATTTGTACATTCTGGAGCTATTCTAGGGACAGTATGGGAATTATAGTTGAATTAGGATCAGCTTGTGATCTAGGACTTCCTTTCAAGAGAAGGTGGACTCTCTTAGAGTGTAGTTCTTTAAGGATTAGTAATTGCTCTTTTCCCAGCACCTTGATTTTTCTCTATGAATCTCTTGCCTCAGATCCCCTAAAAAAATGGGGCTAGACAGACATAGCTCGTGAATAATGTGAAAACTTGATGTCCCTCCATGAGTATCCATCTGTAACGGGAGGATGGGTTGATTTCTTTTTGAGACAGGTTCTCACTCTGTTGCCCAGGCTGGAGTGCAGTGGCACAGTCACAGCTCAGCCTCCCAAGTTGAAGTGATCCCCCTACCTCAGGCTTCTGGAGTAGCTTGGACTTCAGGCATACACCACCACGCCTCACTCATAAATTTTTTTTTTTTTTTTGTAGAAACAAAGTCTTAACTATGTTGCCCAGGCTCGTCTCAAACTCCTGGACTCAAGCGATCCTCCTGCCTCTCGGCCTCCCTCAGTGCTGGGATTACAGTCGTGAGCCACTGCTCCTGGCCTGGATGGGTTGATTTATAAAGTGCTTTGAGCTCAGCAGCCCGTGTGATTCTATGACTGTGTGTCTGACTTAGCCAGTGTCTACAGAACAGTTCCCGTACCTCCACTTAAGTATGTTTTGCAAATACAAGGTGTTTTTGTTATGGCAGTAATAAGTCAATACTCCTGTGTTTATAGACAGCTCTGAAAAAAACCAACAGGAAAGCAGAAACCAACAATTGTGGTCTGAAAACAAGTACCTATCCCTGTTTTGCCTCCAGCACTTTCTTTGTGTGGGCTTGGAATAGATGCAGGTGGTATTCACCAACAGGAAACCAGTATCCTCTTCTCTGACATGCAATCAGATACTTGGGTTATTTCTTACCAAAAGTTTTTGCATTTGTTTTTAATTTTGAAAGTAATATATGATTATAATAAAAATGCATCATACAACTTATCTGCTTATTTATGTTGAAATTGGCTCCACATTCCACATGGTCACTGGCTCTGATCCTGATTCATAGCACCTCAGATCCAGAGCCTACAAGCACGACTGGGCTTCCAAATAGGAATTCCTAATAAATAGAAATTTGGCCCAGTTTATCTTAGCAGCTCAGGTCAAAAGTCAAATGTTGGCTTTCCTAGGGGTGTGTTCCTCTTTGGTGAAGTGTTGGCTTTGATCCTTCTGCTGAGCCTGGATTTTGGGACAGAGATATATATATCTCCTAGTAGAGATCTTTCATCTCTTTGGTTAAGTGTATTTCTAGGTATTTTATTTTTTGTAGTTATTGTAAAATGGGTTGAGGTCTTGATTTGATTCTCAGCTTGGTCGTTTTTTGTGTATAGCAGTGCTACTGATTTGTGTAAACTGATTTGGTAAATTGAGACTTTACTGAATTCATTTATCATTGGCAGAGAGAGTTTGACATCGTCTTTTCCAACTTGGGTTCCCTTTATTTCTTTCATTTGCCTGATTGCCCTGGCTAGGACTTCCAGTACTACGTTTAGCAGAAGTGGTGAAAGTGAGCATCCTTGTCTTGTTCCAGTTCTTAGGGGGAATTCTTTCAACTTTTCCCCATTCAGTATGATGTTGGCTGTGGGTTTGTCATATATGGATGGATTTTATTATTTTGAGGTATGTTCCATCTATGCATAGTTTGTTGAGGGTTTTTATCACAAAGCAATGCTGGATTTTAGTGAATGCTTTTTCTGTGTCTATTGAGATGATCATGTTTTTTTACAGCTCTGTTTATGTGATGAATTACATTTATTGACTTGAATATGTTAAACCATCCCTGCATCCCTGGGATGAACCCCACCTTGATCATGGTGAATTGTCTGTTTGATATGCTGTTGGATTTGGTTTGCTAGTGTTTTGTTGAGTCTTTTTTGCATCTGTGTTCATCAGGGAAATTGATCTGTAGTTTTCTTTCTTTCTTTTTCTTTTTTTTTTTTTTTACATTCTTTCATGCTTTTGCTATCAGGGTAATACTGGCTTCATAGACTGAGTTAGAGAGGATTCCGTCTTTCTCAGTCTTTTGGCATAGTTTCAGTAGGGTTGGTACCAATTTTTTCTTGAATGTCTGGTAGAATTCGGCTGTGAATCTGCCTGGCCCTGTGATTTTTTTTTGTTGGCTTTTTTTTTTTTTTTTTTTTAAACTGATTCGATCTTGCTGTGTGTATTCTTCTGTTCAGGATTTCTATTTCTTCCTGATTCAAGCTAGGAGGGTTGTAGGTTTCCAGGAATCTATCCATTACTTCTAAATTTTCTAGTGTGTATGCATGGGGTGTTCATAGCAGTCTCAAATGATCTTTTGTATTTCTGTGGTGTCAGTGGTAATGTCTCCGTTTTCATTTCCAATTGAACTAATTTGAACCTTCTCTCTTCTTTTTCTTGGTTAGTGTAGCTAATGGTCTATCAGTTTTGTCTTTTAAGAGAACCAATTTGTTTTATTAATCTTTTGTTTTGTGTTTCAGTTTCATTTAGTTCTGTTCTGATCTTTGTTATTTTTTTTTTTCCTTCTGCTAGCTTTGGGTTTGGTGTTTTCTTTTGTCTCTAGTTCCTTGAGGTGTGATGTTAGGTTGTCATTTTGTGAACTTTCAGACTTGTTGATGTTGGCATTTAGTGCTATAAACTTTCCTCTTAGCACTTTCCTCTTGCTGTATCCCAGAGGTTTTGAAAACTTGTGTCATTATTATCATTCATCTTGAAGAATTTTAAAATTTCCATCTTGATTTGTTAACCCCAAAAATCATTCAGGAGGAGATTGTTTAATTTCCAGGTATTTGTGTAGTTTTGAGCGTTTGAAAGTAATTTTATACAATATTTTTAAATATTTCATTCATGAAACAAAGTTTTGACTGTTTTATGCTGCAGCCCATCACATGAGTTCAACTTTGGAATTCTCCATATGTGGTATCATGTTAGCGCTCAAAAAGTTTTGGATTTTGGAGCGTTTCAGATTTTGGATTTTCCCATTAGGTGTGCTCAACCTGTTATTTATACTTCCACCAGCTTAGTATGAGAGAAACTATCCTTTTCTTCACCTCCTTATCTCAACTCTAGATGTTATAATTTAAAGGGAGACGAAACAAAATCTTTACTACCTAAGATAAAGTATCTTGTGGATTTATTAAGTTAATAGTAATTATTAATTTGCATCTTTTACTACCAGTGAATTAAAATTTTTTATGTTTATAGGGTGATTTGTATGTTTTAAGCATTCTCCTTTGTTTTTTATTTTTTATGTTTATAGGGTGATTTGTATGTTTTAAACATTCTCCTTTGTTTCTGGCACTTTCCTTTTAAACTTCCCTTTCCAGCCATTAAAACAAACAGTAAATGCAAGGATAAAAAAAAAATGACGTGGAGTAGAGTTTGGAACATTCTCTAAACTAATTATACGTGTGTCCATTTCAGTAACTAGCTTTTCCTGGGAACATAAGTTCCTGGAATTGAAGGATTGGAGCAGTGAAAAAACAAGGTTACAGGGTCATGCCTATAATTGGCCAAGGTGGTTAGCTATACTCTGTGCCATGTTTCCAGACCTTGTCTCTAAACAGGCGTGATAGAAAAACATTCAGATCACAACGGGACTGGAGTGAGGATTTGAAAGCACAGCACGGAGCTGTGAAAGACTGGAAACCAATTTAGAGTTGCTAGTGTCCAAAGCAGAAAGGAGAGCACAGTTGCTCTAATGCAAAAAGCAACCTTCACTAATATGATTTGCAAATGATAAGTTCCTATTAAACTTTAGGTAAACAATTTTGTGATAACATTTATCCCCTGCCCCTCTCCCCTGTTGATTTTTTCTGGATGAGGAAAGCAAGGCTGTGCCAGCCACGTAACTCGTGTAAGGACACACAACAGTGCTTATGTCTCCATCTTCAGGTCAAACCACTTTATGAAGGGCCTACTACATGCCAGGCACCAGGCTAGGTGCTAGGGAATTGAAAGGACCCTTTTCATAAAACCATCATGAGGGTCTTTGTGATTTAGAGCTCTTCTACTAAAAGAAACTATGCATTTACTCCTGTCAACTTCTTTATGATTTATGTATTAAGATTAGTCATAAAAGAAAATACAGACTACAGACTGTTGCTCTGGTTGGTCCTCAAATTCATTTAGTGGTGACAGAGCCCCTAGAAGTTTTAGCATTCTTCCTGTGACACCTCAAAATGTTAAAAAATAAGCTTCGAATAGCTAATGTATAATTTTGTAATAAGTCAGACTCCTTATATAATAGAGGCTTGTGTAGACAAGCTATATAGCAAGTACCCAAGGTTACAAAATGTGAGTGCATCATGAAATTGACAACAATCTTCTTAACTATTCCTCCGTGTTAGTTGACAAAGGATCTTCATTATCTGATTTTGGGTAGTAGAATGACTCTGTTCAGGGCACAGAGAATCAGTGATCCACGGAAACAGAGTTTGAAGATCCTTATTTTAATCTGCAAAAGATTGTCTTAATTTTGAAAGAAAATTTATGCAGAATAGAGTCCAGTTTTTCTGGCTCTATTTCATCACCCCCAAGCTCCTATCTTGCAATGCTCCCATGTCTTAAGAAACTTGTTAGTGATCTTCAAAGATTGCCAAAATTTGTGGAAGTTCTTTTAGTTTAGGAAAATAATCTCACTGGTTTCTTAACCTTATGTAGGTACTTATAATGTATCATCTGGGCTGGGCATGGTGGCTAATGCCTGTTATCCCAGCACTTTGGGAGGCCAGGGTGGGAGGGTTGCTTGAGCACAGGAGTTTGAGACCAGCCTGGGCAAGATGACGAATCCTGTCTCTTCAAAAAATGGGAAAATTAGCTGGACGTGGTGGTGTGCACCTGTAGTCCCAACTACTTGGGAGGCTGAGGTGGGAGGATCACCTGAGCTCCGAGGTCGATGCTGCAGGGATCTGTGATCACGCCATTGCACTCCAGCCTGGGTGACAGAGTGAGACCCTGTCTCAAAGAAAAAAAAAAAATCTGATTCCTTAAGTCAATTACATAACTAACTGTAACTTTAAAATTAACCTATTTCCAGTTTTCTCTTGAGGCTTGGCAGGGAACCCACTTGTGTTTGAATTGAGTGAGTACAGATTTTCATTTGGTGGTACTTTGTTTTTATCAGTTCTTCAATCTTCCTAACCTCTACTCCCAGCTCCCTGGGCTGGTGTTGATTACATGGGGTTACATGTTGATTACTTGGGCTGCTCTTGGTGCCCTGTGGAAGTGGTATGACCCAGCTTCATAATCCATTATTTGAAGAACGTGAGCCCCTTTAAATTTTCAGGCCCAAGAGAGGCATTGGAATGAAACAGGAGTCATATCACTCCCCTTGAGCTAAATAATTACCTCTTGAAGCCACTTGCTATTTGAGTGCTATGCTGACTGCTGCCGAGAAGCCATAAAATGCCGTATACCTATAGTTCAACAATGTATAGCCAATAATCAATGTTATTTTTGTAAGACAATGAGAATTCCTGGTGAACAATGATTGTAATTGTCCCCTCTCCTGATTCTTGCTTTTTTAAAAAAAAAAACTTGACCTCTGGGCCAGGCATGATGGCTTATGCCTGTAATCACAGCACTTTGGGAGGCTAAGGCGGGTGGATCACCTGAGCTCAGGAGTTTGTGACCAGCCTGGGCAACATGGCAAAACCCTGTCTCTACAAAAAATAAAAAACATTCCAGGCATGGTGGTGCGCGCCTCTATGGTCCCAGCTGCTCGGAAGGCTGAGGTGAAAGGATTGCTTGAGCCCGGAGGCAGAGGTTGCAGTGAGCCGAGATTGGGCCACTGCACTCCAGCCTGGGTGATAGAGTGAGACCTTGTCTCCAAAAATACAAAACAAAACAAACTTGTTCTCTCTTGAGTTCTCTGGAGCACCCCCTAAGGCAACTTGGAAGTGTCCCTGGCTGCAGTCTTCAGCCTTGGCCCAAATGAACTCCATGTTAATTTTGCCTCAGCTTCTTCCTTTTAGACATCACTTTGACCAATCCTGATTGACCCTCATCCTGTGACATGAACCCTGTCGGTGGTTAAACTGGTGAGAGAAATCTTGTCCTTTGTTAAATGCATGGTATCTTTATTAAAGACTTGTTTGCTGAAACTTCAGAAAGTCCAGGGAGCAAAAGCATAGATGAACTTCTAAGTAGCAAGTGTTTTCCTTTTAAAAAGAGCAAAATAAGTATCTAAAACCTGGACTTCAGAACTTTCTTGATGCTATTTTGCAACAGAAAGGTTTGAAGAAATGAACTGGATTGCACAAGGTGACTTAATGAGGCAGTCTCTTCCATAAAGAAAATTTACCTTAACTACTAGATCAACATTCCTTTTGCCTGGAGTGATGTCGAGATCCTTTTACTAAATGTTAAATGCATTCAGGAGTTTCCTAACACATTGCCACCTGCTTAGTTTGGTTTCTGTTGTCTGCCTGATGACTCACAGACAATCTCTCCAGTTACTATAAGGTCCATAGCCCTTTGATCCTAGTCTGCATGTTGCTGATAGCATGGAATATCATTTCTTGTGTTCAATAAGGAAAAATTCAGAGAATTTTAAATTAGTCTTTTTCATTTATTCATTAAACAGTTGTTTGACGTGGTCCTCTGCTTCACTGGTTGTCAACTTTGATTGACTATGGGAATCCCATGGGCAGCAAAAGGCCAATATCTAGGTCTTACCCCAGGGATTCTGATGTACTAATTGGTTTGTGGTGTGGCCTAGCATTGGGATTTTTTAATGTCCTCCAGGGTGATTCTATTGTGCAGACAAGGCTGAGAACCACTGCTCTAAAGCTGATTGTGTTCTTAATTGGGGACACTTCATGCTTACCTTATTACACTACAGGTGTTCTTAAACAGGACAGTGTGGTGGACACTGAAGAAGTTAAAATCTACTTGTTGGATCCTTATTCTTGGAGATTCTGAATCAGTAGGTCTGAGGTCTTTAGGAATAGCTCCTTAGGTGGCAGTTCTGATGACATCCCTTTATGAGACACAGATACAGAATAACCATTTAAATAAACTTTAGAAATCTAGTAAGGGTACAGATAAGATGCCAGTACAGTTTATCAGCAGCCTCCGTTTTCTGCCATCCCTAGGTGCTGCAGTGGAAATACCATATTACAAACTGTTGCTGTTGACTAATGCTAATATTCAATTACTTTTTAAAAAGCCTGGCTTTCCTTAATTTAATTCTGCTTGTGGAAAAACATACTCAACAAACAAGAGTGGGAAAATTAAATGAAAATACCTAGATGTTTGTCAAAAGCCTACAGACGTATCTCTTTCTTTGCACTAAAGTTCAAAGCATGCTTAAGAGTTGTTTGGCCACCTTAGAATTTTGCAGTGTGTGTTTTATCATAAAAAGTGTGAGCCAGTAATTAAAGCTTTACATCATTGTTTACTTATCTTCTTCCTTCTTACCTGAATTAGGGGAGGGGCTTTCAAGTGAATCACTTTCTAAGCCTCTGTGCAAATTAGCAGTGTTGTGTTTCCTTCAGCTTTTCCAAGCCATGCTTAATAATTAGGAAGATAGGCTGATTCAATTTAATATAGCATCTGATTGAAAGCATTTGAAGTTAGATTACTAAATATAGTAAAACTATATTTAGTTAAATAAAGTTAGCCTGTCACTGTTAGGAGGTGGACCTTGCTTTTTATAACTTCTTTCAGAGAGTGAATTGTGTTTCAGGTAGACTAAAATGGTGACCCTAGTGACCTTCACTGTGCCTACTTGTAAGTCTAGATCTCTCCAGAGCTGGGTTGTTCTGGGATCAGAAGATGTGGGATTTCCAGTTAGTTTCACAGCCAACATGGTTCTCCCTCCAGGCTGCCCCCAGGACCTGTGGACTCTGCTCCATCTTCAATGGCCCTTTGTCACCAGCTCTTGGTGTTTTTTTTGGTCCCGTCCCTACTACCCATGTCCCTGTACTTCTCCCTCTCTCCACCATCATGTCTCTCATCAAGACCACCAAAATCACAGACCTTCGTCTCTTAGCGACCTTCATTTCTACTCCTCAGAACTTACTGAACCTTGTTCTTCCCACTTCAGAGACTGCACAATCAGGTATTTTCTTCTCCAACTTTAACTAAACTTGCTTCTCATCATCATGCTGATTTTGAAAATCTGATCTCTTTCCTGTTCTCCAATTCTGTCAGCCTCACCCAAACCTGCTGCTTTTATTTCCCTGCTTAGCCAGAAGCCCTGTGATATGGTTTGGGTGTTTGTCCCCCCAAGTCTCATGTTGAAGTGTGGTTCCTCGTGTTGAAGGTGGGGCCTGGTAGGGGTGGTTGGATTGTGGGGGTGGATTTCTTATGGTTGATTTGATGCTGTCCTCTTGGTGCTGTCCTCATGATAGTGAGCTCTCAGGAAATCTGGTTGTTTAAAGGTGTGTGGTGCCTCCCTCGACCCCCACCTCTTGCTCCCACTCCTGCCATGTGACAGGCCTGCTCCCTGCTAGCCTTCTGCCATGATTGTAAGCTTCCTGAGACCTCACCAGAAACAGATGCCAGTGCCATGCTTCCTGTACAGCCTGCAGAACTGTGAGCCAATTAAACCTCTTTTCTTATAAATTACCCAAACTCAGATATTTCTTTATAGCAATGCAAAAATGGTCTGACACACCCTATGACCAGTCATTGAATATATTCTCCACAGGACCCTTGAGATGCAGTCCCAGGCACAGCCACTCTAACTCGGTTTTTCTCCTGGCAGGCTGCCAATTGCTGTGTGACAGAAACTGCTATAGCCCTGTTGGCTGGCTTTGATACTGATTAATTACTTACAAGCTCTCCTGGCTCCTCTGTCGTGCCTTAGGAATTCTGTGTATTCCTCAGACAACTAGGGATTGATTTCCTTCTTTTCTCCTACAGCTGTTAAAGTTTTTTTTTTTTTTTTTTTTGCTCTTAACCACAACCACACTTCTCCTTTCTTACTCTCAGATATGACCTCATGAACTCCTTCACTTAGAAACTAGAGATGGGAATTCTTGCACTTTTACTCTCCTTCAAGTGTTTCTGTATATTGTTACCTATCTCTCTCCTTCCTTATTCCCAAGGTTAATTGGTTACCTCTACTCTTCCCGTTCCCTTCTGAACTTTTTTCTCTGTTATCTTCACTTCCTCTTATATCTTCTTCTGTCTTTCCTTCTTCGTTGACTCAAGTATCTTCTATTCTGAAAAATACCTTCTCTGCTCTATTTCCCTGCCATTGCACATTTGACTCTTCCTTCTCTTTACTGATGGACTTTCTAAAAGAGATGTACATAGAAAGTTCTACCTCCACTTTTTTTAGCCAACTGCAACTGGGTCATTAGTTGGACTCTACTACCTCAGCTCAACTAATTTTATATGCATCCACTTCTTTTCAGCCCGCATCCTGTCTGCCAAGTTATGATACTACTGATCATTTTTCCTTTGGCTTCCATAATACGCTATCCTAATTTTTCTTCTAATTTTTGGGTTGCTCTTCTTCTGTTTCCTCCACTGGCTTCTTTTCCATCACTGATTCTTTTTTTTATTTTTTATTATTTTTTTTAGAGACAGGGTCTCACTGCAGTGCCCAGGTTGACCTCAAACTCCTGGGCTCAACTGATTCTCCCACCTCAGCTTCCCAAAGTGCTGGGATTACAGGCGTGAGCCACCACACCCAGCCGTCAGTCTGGTTTTTTAAGTATTACCAGTCTCTCAGTGTTCCATGCTTGGCCTTTTTCTCTTTTTCTGTCTTGGGGAGTGAATTCATCTATTCCCATGACTTGCTTCCTTTGAATACTCATTAGTTCAACATATACACAGCTAGCACCAGGCACTAACAGTTCAGAGATGAGCAAGACCAACTCATTCAGCAAATATTAAAGAACACCTAGTATGTGTAAGACATTGCTCTGATGAGCCAGACAAAATTCTTGCCTTCATGGAACTTACATTCGAGTAGAGAAGACCTACAATTAGCAAATAAGTAAATGAAAGAATGTCAGATGGTGGTAAGGGCTCTGGTGATTAATAAGGCAGTGAGAAAAAAGAGTGTATGGGATGGGAGTCAGAGAAATTTATTTCCCTGTAAGGGAAGAAGCTATAGGAGTAAGCCATGCAGACAGTGGAGGGAAGTCCTTTCTAGGCAGAGGAGACAGTATTGCAAAGGCCCTGAATCAGAGCAACCTTGGTTAGTAAGTGAACAGCCAGGAGGCCAACTATGGTTGCAGGAGAGTGAGTCCGAGAAAGAGAAGATGGAGATAGGTAAGGTTGGAGGTGGGGTGGGATAGGATGGTGAAGAGAGATGGTCTTGTTGGTCATGGTAAGAGATAGTTTTGTTGGTTTGACTTTGATTCTGAGTGAGACAACCCTCATGACCTCTCAAAACCCAGTTATTTCCCAAATGCTCCATCTTCAGAAACCATCACTCTGGGGGTTGGAGCTTCAACATATACATTTGGGGGGAGATACAATTTAGTTCATAGCAGGTTACTAGAAGCCCTCCATTTTTGATGGTGTATTAAGAATCTGGTCTTTACCATCAGCTTTCTTCCCTTTATTGTTCTTAATTTTTTTTTAATCAAATATGCCCTCATGTTTCAGAGACCCACTTCCAAAGCTAGGAATTTTTGTCTTCGTGCTGTAAAAAAGCTCCATCATCTTTTTCTCCTTCACATTCACCAGCTCTCCCCATTCATGGAAGTTCCTCTGCTGTTGTTAGGTTTTTATTATTTCATTTTATTTTATTTATTTTTTTCTGTGATTTGAGGTTTTCATTTTTATAACTGCCCAACCTGACAAGCATTTGTCCATAAATTAGTATGTTATATTGAGTAAGGATGTTCTATACACATCAAAAATACGTTGCTAATGTGATATTTGTTTCTCTCATAGACTCACCTGTTCCATTTTTCAGATTTTGAAGGGGAATTTTTAGCTGAATTTAAAAAATATGAAAGGACTCTTAATGTTATCTCACAATGTGCCTTTGTTTCTAAACGTGTTCGGGTTTTTTTTTTTTTTTTCTCTTCCTTTCCTCCCATTCTTTGTGTTTTGGAGTTTGAAAACAGGGCTTTGCAGAGGAAATGGGACAGTGACATTTGTTTTTTGTTTTGAAGTTGTTGAGTTTAGCAGAGTATGCGTTCATAGGGTGTGAATTGCAGGATGTAGTTCTGGGGTCCTCCCTACCAGCCGACCCCACATCAAGGTTATTCTGGGAAGCCTTATCCAAAGCCGACTATAAAATATGGGGCTGAACATTGTCAAAAGGCTAAACAGGAAACAGACATAAATAACTATTCAATCTTAATTCAGTCCTAGCTACTTTCTCACACATATTTTATAATGTGTTTTAAAAAACAATTTCCTTAAAAAAAAAAAACAAAACTTTAACTCCTTAATTTCTAGGTTACTTTTAATAGGAAATTATTCATCTTCATGACTATCCAGTGGCATCATCCCTTTGGCAGAGGGCAAATTACATTCAATAATATCCAAGATACAAAAGAAATTTTTGGAGAAAACAAAAATGCAAATTATTTTAATTTGAATTATTTATCTTAGAGATTTTATCATGTACATTTATACAGTCTTTGCTGATAAGGAGCTATAAATCCAATAACTGTAGCATTTCTCAACCTTTTCATCATTATGCTTCCCCGACCATCCTGGGCTTTTTAGACATTTTTTTCTTAATCACCCTCTCCCTTATGACATTTTAATACCACAGAGATACTGTGTATATGTTTTATGTACTCTGTGTGTGTGTGTGTGTGTGTGTGTGTGTGTGTGTGTGTGTGTGTGTGTATGCATGCTTTGTATATAAAAAGAGGTTTTGCCTCTTAAGCAGGAGGTGGTGAGAACCTAAGCTTGATGAAAACATGTGAATAAAAGAAAAGTTACTTGAACTTGGTGATGGTCGCAGGAATAGAGAGAAGGGGGCAGTTTCAAAACACATGTAAGAGATAAAAGCCTTGTCTGTGTATCATGTGTGTTGAGTCAGGGAGATGAAGGAGTGGTGAGGTAGATTCCCCGTCTCTGGCTGGGTGCCTGGGATGGTGGTGGGCATGAGGTGCTGTGAAGTGGGATAGAGAATTTGGGAGGAGGAACATGTTTGGGGGAGGTTAGTTTTGGACATGTTGAGTTTGAGGCATCCATGGGATGTCCATGTGGCTTTGTACAACACATAGTTTCTGTGAGAGTCTGAAGCTTGGGGGATAGGTCGGGGCTACAGAGCAAGAGCTTTGAGAGTGTCTTCTGAAATGTAGGGAGTGGGCAAGTTGTCGGAGGGATCGTGTAGATGAGAATAGCTTCATGTTAGTGAAAAGAAAACCCAGAATAAGGGCGCATAGAGGAGTTTGTAGACCCTTATTTGTGAAGTTTACCTTAAGGGAAATATTTTAATTTGACAGAGAAAAAGAACAGGAGGAAGAAGGGAAGGCAGTTTTGTTTCAAAAAAAAAAAAAGTGAGTGAAGATCTTTATAGACTTTCTAGGACACACCTAATATTTCTGGGATATTGTTATGATTTAAGGGATTAAGGCTCAGAAATCTATCAATGACACTTCCCCTGGGTGGATATACAATGAAGAACTGACAAAAGGGTGCAGTGTTGATAACTCTTTGAACTATTTTAATTACCCTGTGAATTGGATACAATATTATCAGAAAGGGGCTTACCATAGAATTATGATGGACTTCAGAAGTCCACATCCTAGGCCAGGCACAGTGGCTCGTGCCCGTAATCTCAGCACTTTGGAAGGCCGAGGTGGGTGGATCACTTGAGGTCAGGAGTTCAAGACCAGCTTGGCCAACATGGTGAACCCTCGGCTCTACTATAAATACAAAAATTAGCTGGGCATGGTGGCAGATGTCTGTAATCCCAGCTACTTGGGAGGCTGAGGCAGGAGAATCACGTGAACTCAAGAGGCGGAGGTTGCAGTGAGCCAAGATCGCGCCAGTGCACTCTAGCCTGGACAGCAGAGCAAAACTCCATCTCAAAAAAAAAAGAAGTCCCCATCCTGATTTCACAGAGCAAGAGTGCTTAGGACCCAGGGAGCATTTTTGAACTTGCCTGAAGTTACATCATAGCCAGTCAGCAGTAGCACCAGCTGGTACCTGAGTCCAGATCACCAAGCTTCTGTTTTGTTCTTTTGTTAATACATCAGATTGTCTCTTTTAAGAGATTTTAAAAATTAGAATTCTGTTAATTCAAAAAGTGTCTGCTCATTTAACCTGAAAGAAGTTTTTAAAAGTTTTCACTGAAGTCTGATTTCTGCCCAGTTGAATAAGGCAAGCAAGGTGTGACTATTTGTTTGACACATACTATTCCATAGATTTTCTTTTTCGTAATTCCTGCTAAGATTCAGTGGTTACTAATTACAAATCCATAATTACTAATTTCTTGTGATTATTATAAAACATTCTTAAAGATTTCTTTGAGAGATTATTTTAAAGAAGTAGGATAAAGGAATAGAACATTATCATGAAGTTAAATTTATAAAGATGTCAGGAGGGAAGATTGAAGTTAATGCAGGCAGCCCCAAACATAATTATACCCAGACAGAAGAATATTCCTCTCCCGCTGAATTGATTCTGGTTACATAAAGAAAATTTACTTGGGATCATTATTAGAGTATTTTCTTCATTTTAGAAATAGCACACATTGAAAATTAATATTGATATTAATATTAAAATTATACTTTTAATTTTAAAATTTTCAAATTTAAAAATGCTGAAAACACCAGTAGTGCTATTAATTTTTAATAAATGCTGATGATTAACCTTCTGATGTTTTTTTTTTTTATGGCTACCTTTTTCTTTGTTTACGTAATGTGTGGAATTAGGGAAATCATTAATGGTGATAATGATGGGGAGGGACAGTGCTGGAGAGAGGCAGATAGTGTCCACCTTGGACTCAATTTCCAGAGCCTGGTAGAATGGCCTTTCTATCAAATTGCATTTCTGATTTGAAAGCCCATTACTTTATATTTATAACAGGAAGTTATGGTATTGCTGCCAGTCTAGATGATTCTTTAGCTTGACCTTTATTGTGTTTGATTTTGTGATTTCACCTTTTTTTCCCGTTTTAGAAAAACTTTTGGGTGTATACAGGAGAGAATTCCTTCCCGTGTTTTAGGGAGTGGTATTAAAATACATTCATTTTGTTCAGTAGTTCTGTTCCATACTTCCTACAGATAAAGACCCTTTCTGTGTGATTGTGAGACTTTTGAGGTTGAGCGTGGTTTCTCTAATGGTATTTGACATGAAAAACTTCATAAAATTCATGAAGCTACTTAATACACAGGTCTGTGAATTACATTAGTTTGTCAGTTATTTTTACACACTCATTTACTAATATGAATAGTACAGGTAGTGGGTGTTTCTCTTTTGTAAACTATTTTGTACATTATTAGTTATGGGTGAAATCTAGAATTTTCACTTATAGGGATGCTATTTTAGGGACTTCTTATAGAATGATAAAATTGTATTGCTGAAGGAAACGTTCATATTATTACTTAATCTAGTTTTGTCATTTTATGGAAACAGGCCCAGAGAGGGAAGATGACTTGTCTAAAATCTAAGAATTAGAGATTTGTGCATAACTGCTGGGATACTTGCTCTTTGATCGTTGCTCAAATTCCAGCCCATACTTGCTCAGTCCTAACTTTGAGCTTCTTTAGAGATTGGTCCGAATCTCTCACCCTTACATCTTGGACAAGGTGGCAACAGTCACTGCAAAATTTTGTGTGAAATCTCTAGATCTTAAATGTCTGTGACAAATGTTAAGAAATTGTGTGTCAAGCAAAATACTTTAGAGGCCAATGGGCCACATGTTTTTGATATCAAGAGATTACACACAAAATTTGTTTTCTAGCTTCTTTTGAAAAATCAGAATTGGGAAGATGTATTCATGAGTGACTGCTGCCCCCTTTGGTTGGGACTCGTTCCTTCAGGTTCATTACATGGTCATCAATAACCATTTCCTTGGTCCCTGCTTTTGTCTTGTCTGGACTCTAAGCATTTGAATTTTTAGTATTATAAGAAAACTTAATACTTTACTATCAGTCACCACATACATGTGTTTCTATCTGTACTACGACTTATTAAAAGCCTTTTATCAATAGCCTCCATTTTGGAGGGGGGGATTTCAACTGGTGCCTAGACTAGCAAGGATTTGTTTATAACACAGTCTGTGCTTATGAGGAGAATACAAAGGGCGGATAATTTCAGCTTGTCAGCTTGAATATGTTATATTTATACAAATAACAGGCTTTTGAGTTTTCCTAGATTACATCTATTTACAGAAGGCTGTAATCAAGGTTTAGCAGCATATTTTCAGGAATTCTTTGGTGCATATTTTCTCAAAAGATACTACCAGGACAGTTTCATGACACTAATAATAGTTTTATAGAAATGATTTGTCATGTTGTTTTTAATGGCCTGCCACCTCCTTTTAAAATCTTTTTGAATCTGTCTATTCCTAAGCAGGTAATAATATTCTATTATTGTTGATACTTGGAGATGTAATCTTCAAATAATTAAATGATTCAAAAATTGTTGTAGCAATGTTTACAGGAGGATGTTTTTCATACTGGGACAGGCAATCACATTTTTATGTTGGTAAGATTGTCTACATCTAGGGATTGGTATTCAGATCTTGATTTATATTCTCTATATTGAAAAGGTATGAGCAAAGAGATTTTTTTTCCTTTGTGCATTTTGCAATTTTAATTTCATTTGGAATGCTCTAAGGAGGTGTGTTCGTTATAATTTTTGTTTGCAGCCCCAAACTGTAAACTGACCTAGGAAAAAAAGGGGTAAGTGCAACTTTAGGCAGTTCTGTATTCAGAGGCACGAGCGACATCATTCAGTTGACTTGCTTACCTAACCCCGTTTTCAGGTCCGCCTCATTCTATGCTGTCTCCATCTTCAGAAGAGGCTTCCCTTCCTGGTGGCAAGATGGCTGCCGGGAGCTCTGCGTTTGCATTCTGGCCTCTCAGCAACCCTTCCAAGAAAATATTTGTTCCCAGTAGTTTCAACAGAAGTCTTATTCTAGAGTCTCATTTCCTCTGATTGTCTTGGCTTAGGTTATGTGTCCTATTCATGAACAGACCCTGTGACCAGGAGGGTGTATGAGACTATGATTGGCCAGGCCTACATCCATGCTTATCTTCGGAGTTTGAGGTTGCTCATCCCGGCCCAAATCACGTGGACTGAGTGGGAGTAAGTGGTCCCCTAGGACCAATCAAGGCACTGTTGAAGAAGAAAAGTATAGAAGGCCTTTCCCTATGCAGGATTGTAAAAATACTTCCCTATATATTCCCTAAATATTTGTTATTATTGCTGTTATCATTATTACTTTACCATTTAGCCCTTCAAACCATCTGGATTTAACATGTAACTTATAACTTAATTGTGTGTGTGTGTGTGTGCGTGTGTGTACGTGTACAGGTTAAAAGTGATGCAGGAGAAGAAGAGGGGCACATAGGTCCCTCAGGAGGCATTGCTGGGCCATCTTGCTAATCGAGGCAGGTAAGGACACCGTGAATTGGGTGTTTACCCAGGCTGTGTGCAGTGTTTGACTAGGTCATTCAGCCCGATTTCTGCCTTTGTATGTGTCTCAGGCTATACGTGAGGCTATTCCTTTATACTTCTGTCAAGTCCTTTATGACTTAGATATTAAGATTAGCCTTAAAAGAAATACAGATTCAAAATTATTGCTCTAGTTGGTCCTCAAACTCAGTGGATGACAGAGCCCCCAGAAGTTATGGCATTCTTTCTGCAACATCCTGAAATCTTGAAAAAGGAGAACATTTAATATGACTTTTTGTCCATTTCAAGATGTGCTCATGTTTTTTAAACCTTAGGTGCTTGCTACATATCTTGTCTACACATGCCTATTATATAAGGAATCGGATTCAACACGGAATTATATAATTAGTTATTTTTAAGATGACCTACTCTCATGAGTCATAACAAAAAGTTGAATTATGTTGAATGTATTCTACTTAAGAAGGTAGCAAATTATATAATAAACACTATTATTTTACCTTTCATTGAGAGAGTATTATTTGAGAAGCACATTAAAAATCATGTGGTCTTGGAAAAAAGAACCTATGAGTAACTATAATTATCTCTATAGGTAAAGAAATAAAAGACAAAAAGGCTGAGTATATTACATTTTAGAAAGAATATTCTTATGTAGAGTGGTTTATTTCCTTATGATTCTGAATAATAATGACATACAGGGTGATATTTTTACTACCACAACCATTGGGTGAATTATATTTAGATTACTCTGGTAATCTGGATTAGGGATTTTTTAGATGTTAGGTTTTTTTAGGTAATCTAGGTTACCAGGGTAATCTAAATATAATTCTGGTACTGGTTGTTCTGCTGGCTTATTTTTTCTTTCTTTCTTTATGGACAGAACGGTATAAACATAGGCAGGCTTATTTTTAGTAAAATAGTTAAGAATTGGGACTTTGATTAAGTATCATTATATAGTATTAAGCATCATTAATAATTCAGAAGTTTGGAGACTTTGTTAAAATGACTGTTTATTTATTGTCAGATTACTGATGGGATGTGAGTAATTTCAGAACTCATTTAGTACCATATCTAACTAGTACCAATTGAGTACTTTTTATCTGAAATGCGTGGGATCAGAAGTGTTTTGGCTTTTGGATTTTTGCAGATACTTTAACCGTTTGAGCATCCCCAATTCAAAAATCTGAAATCCCAAAACCTTCAATGAACACTTTCTTTGAGTGTCATGTTGACGCTCACAAAATTTTGGATTTTGGAGCATTTCAGATTTCGGAGCTTTGTGGATTTCGGAGCTTTGTGGATTTCGGATTAGGGATCCTCAACTTGTATTTTGAGAGGATTTCAAATCATGAGAAGGGTCCTTATTGCGAAGGCCAGTCTTTCACATGTTCACCCAGTTTTTTGAGTGCCTGGCACAATGCTAGGCATTGAGGATTTGATGGTGAACCAGAAACTTCCTAGTCTAGATGGCAGGGAGTGGGAATGGTGTTGGTAAACTCCTAAACGAACACTTGCAATACAGTATGTTAGGCAACACAATCTTTTAGGTGTTGTGAAAAGGACATAAGTAGGTTTCTGTGCAAGCGTGGATCAACGATACTTGATGTACCTTACAGTGGGACTTTTGATCCTTTTTAATTCTGCAAGTGTCCCCACTCTACCTGCATGTATACTCAGACATGTGCTTGTGGAAAATATTTTTTAATTTGAAGTAAATTAAAATTTTGATGATTTAATGACACCTTTTGAGCCAACTGATGACTTGAATATTACAAAGCAAAAAAAAAAAAATTATTGGCGATGTGTTTTTTTTTTTTTTATTTTTGAGATGGAGTCTCGCTCTGTCGCCCAGGCTAGAGTGCAGTGGCGCGATCTCGGCTCACTGCAAGCTCCGCCTCCCGGGTTCATGCCATTCTCCTGCCTCAGCCTCCCGAGTAGCTGGGACTACAGGTGCCCGCCACCACACCCGGCTAATTTTTTGTATTTTTAGTAGAGATGGGGTTTCACCGTGTTAGCCAGGATGGTCTCGATCTCCTGACCTCGTGATCCGCCTGCCTCGGCCTCCCAAAGTGCTGGGATTACAGGCCTGAGCCACCGCGCCCGGCCGATGATGTGTTAGAATTAAGTTCTACTCTCCAGTGAACAACAGTTCAAACAAGTTAGAAAGTTATTTCTGTCCCAGGGAAACAGACTTGCAGGTAAATAGTCTAGGGCTAGTATGGGGATTCCTAACCTTCCAGGACCCAGCCTCCCATCTCGTTGCTTCACCATCTGCAATGGTGGCTTAAACATCATTGTCCAAAATGGTTATTTGAGCTAAAGCCATCACTCCCACGTTTCAGACAGTAGAAAGGAAGAAGAGCAAAAAATATGCCCCCATTTTTTAAGGAAACATTCTAGAATTTAACTTCTTTTTGTCCTCATATTTCAGAACATAGACATATGGTCACACTTAACTACAAGTGAGGCTGGAAAACACATAAGCCTATGTACTCAGTTCTCTCACTACAAAAGAGAGGAGAATATATATTGGGGAACCCCTGGCAGCCTCTTCTACAGGGACACAGACTCCCTTATGCCAATCCAGAGAAACCAAAGACTTACTGAGCATTTCTTTGAGGTGATTCTTTACTCGTGTAAGTCTTAAGTGTATCATCTTAGCTACACTAACAATTGGGGGGTGGAAAAGAGTCTTTTCCAACTGATACATACCAATATTTTACTTCAGAAGAGATACCTGAACTGTATATTTCAGATGGCATTTTTAAAATCCAATGCCTAGGATAATAGGGTTAGTTACTTTTCCAAAAAAAAAAAAAATGGCATTCATAAAAGCCTTTTCCCTTGCCATTGCCCAAAGATAAGTCAATTTCCTATCTATTAATAGTTGTACAGCTAGTCTGTCTTTTTCGGATGTTATAAATTGACCTAAATGTCGTTTCCACCATGGAGGGTGCTAGAGGGATGGAGTCAAACACCTTTGATTGTAGAGTCAGAGGACCTCATCTGAGTCTTGATTCTGTCACTCACTAACTGCTGTATTACTTAGAAGAGTCATTAATGGCTTAGTTCCCCATCAATGACTATAAAAGTGGCACCTTGGTATTTTACCTCAGGATGATTGCTATGGATTAGATTAGAAAACTCTAACTTGAATGTCAAAATGAGTTCATTTCATCTCGGTCTTTGCCAGTCGTCAACATCAGGCCCCAAACCTTTGACAGAGTCAGTCTACCCTGAGTCAAGCGTTCCTGTTTCTGAGGATACCTTTTTAGCTCATGAAATGAGTTGATTACATTCTTTATTACAACAACCTGATCTGTTTCCTTTGCGAGTGATTTGGAAAACACTTTTCATTTAACTTTTACTCAAGGTTTTTCTTGTTCTTTGAAGTGACAGTTGGTCTGTGAAGTCGGCTTAATGTCAAAGTCAGGTTATTGAGTCAGCTGCTGAAGAATATAAACTTAAGATGGCTTTAGAGATAGCCACTCATTCTAGTGCTCTATGTTCCTAAAAAATATTCTCTGGCGGAGTGATACAGGAAGAAAGGGGCATCCTGCGAGACTCAAATTCACAGACTTGACTTGGAGCTGGTTTTAGAAGTCGGGAAGGTTTCACTCACCGTCGGCTTCCTCAGGGTTCCAACGGTTGCTGGGTTCTTTATTATTCTTATTGTTTTTTGTGATTGTTGTGTGTATTAGGGCCAGGTTTAGGCTAAAGAGTATTTCAGGCTCAGAAGCTGGAGCTAGCAGTGCTGGGGTCACGTGCAGTGTTTCCAGGGCACAAAGGGTCAACCCCTGAATCTGGGCTTATAAAAAATTGAGTGACTTTGGCATGAAAAATTAAGTGACTGGGTTGCTCCCTCGTTTTCCATTCCCATTTTGTTTTTTAACTTTGTTAAACTCAGGGGTGGGGTAACCATAATGCCAGGAAGGATGTTGGGGAGTTAGTGATATGGAAAGAATGGTCAGATGCTTTCCTTCATCCTTTGAATGCTCTTCCCTGCCCCTAAAAATATAAAGATTTAAAAATTATTATTATAGTAAACGTCCTCTGGTACTCTTGTGGATTTGTTTTTTCTATTTAAAATTCAAATCCCAGTGGAATTATTTTAGAGTAAGTAGTGAAGTAGGGATGCAACTTTGCTTTTCCCCCTCATATGGTTAGTTGGTTGCCCAGCCCCATTTGGTGAGTCATCCATCTGTTTCCCGCTTTTTGACATGCTACATTAACCGTAGATACGACAGTGATCATTTTTGGCTAAAAAATTATTTTTGAAGGTTTGGCAAATTCAAGACAAATTCTACAAAGGATCACCCGCATTTCTTCTAGTCAGCTGAAGTAGTGCCCTCAGGTGGTAACAGTCTTAAAAACACAGTTTGCATTCTCTGTGCCAGGTTTCAGATTGTGTTATTCTTGATGCGTTTTTACTGACTTTATTAATAGTCTTCTTTCCTTTTAAATAGACAATACTAATTTACATAAAATGCTACTGCTTTTTGTTATTCCCTGTATGTACTTAGATGTATTCCCCCTTTTTGGTGTCTATATTGATCTACCTGTCTGATCATGCATTGTCAGCATGCTGTTTCTATTAAGATAATTGTATAATGTTCTAATACTTCAGGGTACTTCTCTACCAATAGGGAAGTTGTATTAGTCCATTCTCATGCTGCTAATAAAGACATACTAGAGACTGGGTAATTTATAAAGAAAAAGAGGTTTAGTGGACTCACAGTTCCACATGGCAGGTGAGGCCTCAGGAAACTTACAATCATGGCAGAATGGGAAGGGGTAGCAAAGGCATGCCTTGCATGGTGGCAGGCAAGAGAGCATTTGCAGGGGAACTCCCCTTTATAAACCCACCAAATCTCTTGACACTTATTCACTATCACGAGAACAGCTGGGGGAAAACCCACTCCCATGATTCAATTACCTCCCACCAGGTCCCTCCCACAACACGTGGGGATTATGGGAGCTACAATTCAAGATGAGATTTGGGTGGGGACACAGCCAAACCATATCAGAAGTGAAAAGAGTGGAAAAGGAGAACAAACAATTCCTTTGTACACATCATTTTCACTCATGTTCCAATGATGTCGTACGGCCATACCTGGCTGCAAAGGAGTCTGGAAACTGCATTCTGTAGTTGAGTGGCTATGTGTCCAGCTAAATTTTATTCACAAGGAAGATACCAAGGTTCAGCATGCTCTGGTGGGACACTTTTCACTTTAGACAAATGTCTAAATACAAATATTAATGGAAGTAGGCTTAAAATAGATAAAAGATTAAAGAGTTTTAATTACTTGAAGAAAAGAAGGATTTTGTTTAAATGAATGTATGCACTGGGCAATATATGATTAGAGAGTGAAACACTGGCACATTATAAAGGACCAGTAGAATTTCACAGAAGTGTTGCCAATAGAAATTTATTTTTGGCCAGTCTGCTCCATCTACCTAAGTTGTTGACTTGAAGACATTGTGTGTTCAGATTAGAATGACAGACGAAGCATACATATTGTTTCTGTCTTTTTGCGTCTGATGCTCAAATTAAAATTGGATGAGTATGCTCCTTAGTGGTTGTAGTTTGGTAATACTACTGATTTGTGTGTGTGTGTGTGTGTGTGTGTGTGTGTGTGTGTGTCTGTGTTTAGTTTCAGTTCAACTCGGCCACTTCCAGTTGAGATTAATAAAGCCAGTTATTCACTTAAAGTACCTGTACCCACCAGGCTGTATGGCTGAGGCTAGATCTATAAAAACTCAAAGCTAGAAAATGCTTCCATAACTATGACAGTATCTCAGCACTTCAGAAATTATAGAATTTGAGAGTTTAAAAAGGAACATAGTTATCCGATCAGACACTATCAGTTGGAAGGAGTAGCTATCTCTGCCAGAGTTTAAAAGTGGCAGAGAGGATTTTATATACCACTTCAGCTTGCATTATCATCAGAGGAATCAGACATTGTGTTCTGGTGATAAAGCCATTTAAAAAATTTTCTTTTCCAGTCTAATGATTTAAAAACCAAATAGCTATATCAAATTTCTTATTGTTACTCAAACCTTTTAATGTCCTAGTTGATGAAATAACAATTCCCATTTCATACAGTTCTTTGAATTAATTATAACTGTAATTTCCTTAAAAATTCCATATTTGATTATTTTGAATTAAAAATGCTCACAGCATCTTAACAGTATAGAAGTATAGTCAAATGCCCTTCCATTATTTTTGCTACTAATGCATATTCCTTGCCAGAAATAACAAATGTTAATACTTTACTATAGCCCGGGGTGGTGGCTCACACCTGTAATCCCAGCACTTTGGGAAGCCAAGACAGGCAGATCATTTGAACCCAGGAGTTCGAGACCAGCCTGGGCAACATGTTGAAGCCCTGTCTCTACAAAAATTATAAAAATTAGCTGGGTGTGGTGGCACATGCCTATATTCCCAGCTACTTGGGAGGCTGAGCCCAGGAGCAAGGCTGCAGTGAGGCATGAGCGAGCCACTGTACTACAGCTTGGGTGACAGAGCGAGACCTTGTCTCAAAAAAAAAAAAAAGGTTTAACTATAGAATTAACGTGCATATGTGCTCATAAACATGGGTACACGTGCGTACATTTTTTAAAACATAAATTAGATCATGCCACCCGTTATTCTGTGACTACATTTTTTAGTTTAACCATATATTTCAGACTTCTTTCCATGTCATTACATTATTTTATCTGATAAGGTTGAGTGTATTTTTACACTGTTTTTCTTATGTCATCCTAGAGAAAGATGCATAGAATTAAATCCTTTTAACATTAACATACAGAGTTAAAAGTATACCCCAAGCATTGGTTCTTATCCTTCAAAGGTCCTTTTTCAGATTTTGTGAAGGCCATTGGAATGCCCAGGTTGTAAGTTGAGTGTAGTTTTAATATTTGGAAATTGAACTAATAATAATCCCAACTTTATCCATGTTAATGCTTCTATGTATTTAAAGTTATAAGTAGTTAATAAGACATAATTTGAACAGATTATTTTGGATAGCCGATGTATAATCAATTCATAGGAATTTAAGAAAGAAGTTTTTTGTGTGTGACCTCAGGTTTACTTTTGCATTTAGTTATGAACTACATTCAAACTAGATTTGGTTTCACATTTTCTTAGCTCTTTTAAAAACATATTATCAAAAAATTAAAATTAATTTCCCTATGCTCATATATTATTATTTTATAATCTGAATTTTCTGGGACGGAGTTGTAATTCTTCTGACAATCCAATAAATTTATTTTGTGTTCTGTGAGCTTACAAGTCCACTAGAGGGTGCATTTTACTCTTTTTTGACACAGACAGAAATTTAAGTCCATAATTTTGTTTCACTTTCACAGAGCTAGTTGGGTTAACAGCTTTGGAAAGCAAAGTCCCTTAAATTCTTAAACATGGACACTAGGAGACTGTTGTACAAAAACATAATTCATTAGTATAAAGCAACCATATCATTATTAAAATAGTGGCCTTACCAGTGGATGCTATTGTAGGATGCAGAAGGGAGCACGGTGGGGTGGGGATGTCTAGGGAAGCTTCATGGGCAAGATGGGATCTGTAGTGTTCAAACACCTGGTGAAGTCAAACTTTTTGGTCTCAGGACCCCTTTACACCATTGATAATTATTAAGGCTCCCAAATAGCTTTTATTAATGTGGGTATTGATATTTAATGTTCTAGCAATTAAAATTTTTTTTTTTTTTACTAATGCATTTAAAAATAACAATAGTAACGGGCCAGGCCTGGTGGCTCAAGCCTGTAATCCCAGCACTTTGGGAGGCTGAAACGGGCGGATCACCTGATGCCAGGAGTTCGAGACCTGGCCAACATGGAGAAACCCCATCTCTACAAAAATAAAAAAATTAGCCGGGCTTGGTGGCACGCGCCTATAATCCCAGCTACTTGGGAAGCTGAGGCAGGACAATTGCTTGAATCAGGGAAGCAGAGGTTGCAGTGAGCTGAGATCTTGCCGTTGTACCAGCCTGGCAACAGAGCGAGACTGTCTCAAAAAATAAATAAAAATAAACCCATTACATGTTAATATGAATAACATTTAAATGAAAAAGAACTATATTTTCCAAAACAAAAATTAGTGAGAAAATGGCATTGTTTTACCTCTTTGCAGATCTTTTTAATGTCTGGGTTAATAGAGGGCAGCTAGAGTCTCATATTTGCCTCTGCATTTAATCTGTTGTGTGTTTTGGTTAAAGTATGTGAAGAAAATTCAACCCCACGCAGCTATGAAGTTGGAAAAGAATATTTTAATAGCCTTTTCTGATAATTGTGAGTAGTCTTCTGTGATTCTATATCTAAACAATCAAATGGTAGTTCCTTAGGGGCTAGTTGCCATGTGGAACCTGAAACCATATCAGTGAACTTATTCTAGTTAGTTATGTTAAAAGCCAGTAGTCTCTCTTGGACCTTGAAAGACTCTTTTGCTCAGGCATGACTTTGTAATATTACACATTGGTCTTGGAAAATATTGGTTCATCTAGTTATGTAAATCTTCCAAATGTTAACACAATATCAGTCTTGTAAATATGTCAAGTTCATGATGGCAGATACAAGTTTTCTAAGAATTTAATTTTCATTTGAAAGCTTGAATTTTATCACTGGCAACAAATACTAACAGTTGTTTTCCTTGAATTGACATGCCCACTTCATTTATTTTTAAGAAAATATCTGTGAAATACCCAAGTTCGAATAATTATAGTTTGCCTGTAAGTCATTTTTTCAAGTAAAAATGGTGTTCCATGAAAAGAGAAGTTAGTTAGGTTCACGAGTACTTTTCCTTGAGACAACCCTTAGACTTTTACATAGAGCAGAAATGTTTTGTATGTATTTCATCACACAGAATAGTAACGTGTCAAGATTTAATAAAATTGATAGTTTACTGCTTCATCAAGGCCATTTTTATGTAAAACACAATGGCAGCTGGTAGAGTTTGGTGCCACCAGCATGATTTGTGCTAAAGGGCCAGCAGTTTCACTCACTCACTCTCTCCATCAATGTTAATGCAAACACAATGCAAGAGGTAAATAATGTCTTAGTATGATGACATTAGTTTTGATCCTGCAGATCCTCTGAAAGGGTCTTGGGGACCCTCAGGAGTCCATGCACACATTGAAAACGGCTGGACTAGGAGAAGCATAGAACTGGGTGTTGTGAAGCCATTGCAAACAAGGATGGTGTATGAGGGCAGGGGTGAACATGAGTGTCAGCCGAACAAGGGGCTGAGGGTAGACTCCAATTGATGGCTCTTGTGGGAATAGAGGAAATCAGAGGAGAAAAGAATGTGTCTTGAAGGCAGAGCAGACCGGAGAGGTCCCTGAACACAAGTTCTGAGAAGCAATTTTGTGGCTTTCCTGGTAGGTGGGCATGCGTCTTTAATTAAGCACCCCTGCCCTTCCCACTCTGCCCTGTTTCTCCCATATTTCTACCTGTTGGTTCTATTTTTACCCCCAAATGCAGCATAAGGCTCTGCTTTCTCCTGTGCAGCCTTTCAAATATGAACTTAGGGTCTTGAGGCCCAGTGGAAGGGAGCTTCGAATGTCAGAACAACTGGAAACTTTTTTCCATAGATAGTAAGGAGCCATTGCTTACTCTGGTCTCTCCTTCCCTTCCTGTTTTTCTGCCTACCTTTTTGAGAATGGCATTTGACAATGATATTTATTGAAAGAGCACTATGTATTAATAGTGCTCTTGGGTTATGTTAGGGTTGCAGCCGTGAACAGACAGCCTCAGTACCTGCTGTCAAAGAGCCAAGAATCTAGTAAAGGATACAGGCAAATGTGGTCAGGATCATGGGAACATTTGGTGAGGGCCTCTAATCCCAGAGGGGAAAGGGCTTGCAGGTCAGATTGCAGGACTTTTTGGAAGAACTAAGACTATGGAGGCTGAGACTTAAAGAGTGAGGGGTTAGTTAAGCAAAAGGTATAGGGAGCCTAAGGAAAAGGAGAGGGTTCTGGAGAGGGCTCCACAAGGATTTGGATTTAGAGACAGCACATGAGCAGTCAGTGTGGCCGCAGCGTAGACTGCTAAGTGGTCAGGCCTTCACTTGAGATTGGAGAGGGAGTATGGACTGAATTGTGTCTCCCCAAGTTCATATGTTGAGGCTCTGTCCCCCAGTGACTACGTTTGGAGATAGGGTCTATATGGAGGGAATTAGGGTTAAATGAGGTCTTAAAAGTGGGGCCCTAATCTGATACTACTAGTGTCCTTATTTTAAAAACACCAGAAAGCTCCCTCACTCTCCACACTCATGCACCAAGGAAAGGCCATGTGAGGACAAAGTAATGGTTTGCTAGCCAGAAATAGAGCCCTCATCAGAAACTGAACCCTCTCAAACTTTGATCTTGGACTTTCCGACCTGCAGAACTGTGAGAAAATACATTTCTGTTGTTTAAGCCACCCAGGGTCTTGGTATTTTGTCATGGTAGCCTAAGCTAAGATAAGGAGTTACCACCCAGAGAAGCTGATGAGCTCTGCCAGCCTTGTTAAGGAGCTTGGTTTTTATTTTGAGGGTTTTGGTGAGACATCAAAATGTTGTAAGAAGCAGAGTGAAAGATTATTCAAGGTGAAGTGTGAGGGATGGATTGACTGGGGCTGTGCAGATAAGAGTGTTATGAGAGAGACAGAGAAGTGGATGTTATAGGCTGGATGAGGGTGGCAGAAGTGGGCAGTGGGGATTGAGAGAAACTTGGTTTCGAGAAACAGTTTAATAGTTTTGTAGACTTGAAAATTGGTGACTGGATGGGTCAGTGAAGGAGAATGAGGAGTCAGGACTTCCAGGTTTCTAGGTGGGTGATCCTTGTTCACTGAACTAGAGAACAGCAGAGCAGCAAGTTGAGAGGAGCCAAGGGTGCATTTGGTTTTCATCATGATGAGTTTAATGTGTTTGTGGGATATCCACGTGGAAACATTCCCCAAGCAACTGGCTTATACAGTGCTGGAGACCAGAAAGAGCAGGGGAAAGAGGGAGAGAGAGAAAGAGGAACAGAGAGCAGGAGAGAGAAATGGGCTACTGATCTAGGTAAAAATGCTATTAGTGAGATTCTGTAGTGGCAATGGCCAAATCACTTAATTCCTCTCAATATTTCTTTCATCTCCTGTAAAATAGAAATAGTATTTTTTTTGCTTACCTACCAAGCTGTTATATACTCAAAAATAAAACTAAAATAGAAAATATGGCAAAAGCACATTGTAACTACAAAGGACTGCACATATTTGAGTAATTTATTATACTGGGATCTCTAAGGGAAAATGCTGGATGCATAGGAACAAGAAAAAGGCCCTAGGGAGTGAGAACCTGGATGAGGGCGCACAGAGGGAGAGGACAGGATTACAGGGAAGACTTGCTCATACCTCACAGAGGAGGAGAGGGTCCAGATGACACCTTTTCCAAGTCCAGCTGGCTGGGAAAGTGATCATTTCTTTGAGAGAAATAGGAAAATCAAGAGCAGGAGCTGGTTCATTGGAAAGATATATATATATTTTTGACGTAGTCCCATGGCATTTGAGGAGACCGTATTGAGGCATCTGGGTGCATGTCTTTGGTGGTTGGGAAAGGCCATTCAGGACATTCTCTTCTTCCTTCTTTGTGCTTTTTTGGTTCACCTTTTCTTTTCTTTTCATTCTTTCTTTTTCTTTTTCTTTTCTTTTCTTTTTTTTTTTTTTTTCTGAGATGGAATCTCACTCTGTCTCCAGGCTGGAGTGCAGTGGCGCGATCTGGGCTCACTGCAACCTCCGCCTGCCGGTTCAAGCGATTCTCCTGCCTCAGCCTCCCAAGTAGCTGGGACTACAGGCACCTGCCACCATGCCCAGCTAATTTTTGTATTTTTGGTAGAGACGGGATTTCATATTGGCCAGGCTGGTCTTGAACTCCTGACCTTGTGATCCACCTGCCTCAGCCTCCCGAAGTGCTGGGATTACAGGGGTGAGCAGAGCACTGCTCTAAAAATGTTTTTTGGGCAATGTAGAGTTAATTTTAAACAATGGAGTTTGAATGCCTGTAGGAAGCCATGTTCCTAGTCACCACAGGTCTCTCCTCAGTCTCCTTTACTCCCCGTATTGCTGCCTCACAGGCTTAGATTTTTCCCTGTCCTGAAGGCATCTATGAATCCAGGTTTAAAGTCACCATGGACAATTTGGCCTCAAAGGGGAGAACGGGAAGTGAGATTGCCGGTGGGGATCAGAATCGGCCAGAGCCAGTTGAGACCATGTCCCAGAGGGAGCCCCTATGGTGTGGAGCAATGACCACAATTAAAATGTGTTTCAGTTTCCAAGCTCTTAGCTTGAGATATGCTAACCTAGACTCCTTCTTCCGAATAACAATAATCTTAAGATTATAATTTAATTGGAAGAAGCTAGGACAACAACAGGTGCACATAGATACTTAGCACAATAATTGCTCATAATTTGGCAGGAGGAGCCTGGGTTAGTGTATCTCAAGCTAAGATCTTGGTGACTTGTCTCTAAAACTGTTTGTTAGTAATGTTTTCCTTTTTTAAACTCTATTTTATTTCATTTTATACCAGATCTTCGTAATACTCCACTACAGCAAATTCTGATTTGTGTGCTTGCTTTCATATCTCTCGTGTCTGATTCTGATGCAGGTACCCGAAGGATTTCTACAGTGTGTCCTTCACCCCACCAGCCACCAGGGGGCAGGCACATTCAGTCAATACTTTGACTATTACCATCTCAAGGTGCATGTTGTAACTGCTAGAGAAGAAAACAAAAATTAAAAAGAAAGACAAACTTTGAGATCTTATTATAACTTGATGTCGTTAGCTGACCCAACAGGCTTTTGCTACTGTCCAAGCATTGTTTTCTAGGAAGGCTATAGTTGGATGATCTAGTGTAAAGGAAATGTCACCATGGTTGAAGTCTTGCCAATAGCTCAGAGAATGTTTAATGAATTGAGACGACTCAGTCAAGCAGTGAGTAGTAAGAAAATCTGTGTGACTAGTGACAACCAAAGTGGAAAGAGGGGCCCTTGTGTTCCTAGAGTGTCCCAGATGCCCCCCAGAAACATGGATTAGAATAAACCCCAGAAATCTCTCACAGACACCTTAACATGCTTCTCCCGACAGGAAACATGTTATTTTCAGGGATGCTATGTTTGGTGCTTTTAAAGTAATACTATGATATCCTTTTAAAAATGCTCAGCTTCTTTAAAGGAGATTGAGGAATAAGGAAAACAGATCTCTTAAGTAAAGAATTCTTAGAATCCTTAACATGAGATCCATGAGACTAGCGCAGTTTTCTTCCTGATTCCTGAAATTCATTAAAGGGAATATTTTTCTTACCATGAAAGTGAAGGTTGTGTTTTATTTACATGGGCTAGAGGAAAAGGATGAACAAATAAGCAAACTACTTGTGGAAGAGGTTAGAACTATTTCAGATAGCTATAAATTTTTATTGCAAAACCTCATAAAAACTCCAAGAAACAGTAATGGGGGAGGTGAGAATAACCTTATATCATAATTATTAATTGACTTTCTCTTTTGTTGTCTGGGTGGGTGGGGGTGGGGGGGTCAGTCCTCGTGGTAATAAGGACTTTAGAAGATGAGATTTCATCAGTTATCTGAGTAAATTCACCTGTTTGAGCTAGTCCTGAATATTGAACCTATTCTACCCCCTGGGTTTATGCAGAATTTGGTGATTTAGTTACAATTTTGGTTCAACACTTCTTTAGATTAGCAGTATGTATCTCAGGGAACCTTTTCAGATTGTAGTATTCTGTGATAAAATGTGGCTTGTCATAGAATATATTGCCAGGCTTAGTGGACACCAGGCTTTCTGAAGATAATTTTTGTCCCCTTTGCCTCTATTTTTAGGGATGTGAGATGTGTGAGGCAGAGACTGAAATTGTAATGTGTTTGGCACCAGGTGACCTTAGAAATTAGCCATCTGATAATTTGCATTTCTGATAATTTTCATGTAAGGTGCCCAGGGTCCTCTGGCGTTACAGACATACAAGTCCCAAGTTTCCTTCTCTACTTCTATCTTGTCTTTCTCTTGGTTTGAGAAGATGTTGTGGTTTTTTCCAACCCATCCTCTTATCTCCTGCTTCTGCCAGTCCAGTCTCTTCTCAGAAAAGGTGTTACTCTGTAGAAAATGTTAACTCCTTCTGCACACCCAGAGACCACTTACTGTTTTGTACCTACAGCTCTGAAATGATGATTCTGTCACTTTTGATTTCTGTAGACTCTGGGTTTTCTTGTCTTCTCATGAATTGTGAGCACACTGACAATTGTTCAATGTGCTCAAATGTGGAAAAGTTATCTTTTCTTTCAGTTGTAAGTGAAGTATCCCTAAGGAATACCTGCTGATGCTGCTTATCTTGCTTTATGTTTTAGCTGCCCTGTGTGACTTTGAGAATGACCCAGAAGTATTCAGGCCTTTCTGAACTGCGCTGTCTCCTGTGCATCTGGCCCTTGCAGTCATTCAGTTGGTGGGATTTAGTGGAAAGGGCTAAATTCTGGAGTGGGAGGGCCTTGGTTTCTGCCAGACTCAGCGTTTGAGCAAGTCTTCTGGCCCACAAGTCTCTATTTTTTCACTGATAAAAAGCCGCTCATAGTAATACCTGCCTCCCAGAGAGCCTGTGAGGATTAAGAGAGGTAATGGATATGAAAGAGCTGTGTAAAGGCAATGAGGTTAGGTCTTGTGTTAGTCATGCCACCTTGCTTGCTGCAGGAGGATGTGCTGTGGCTCACCTGTGCTTGAGCAAGCTGTGTAGGGATCCTGTCATCAGGCCTCCTCCTTCCCCAGTGTGTGAAGGGAGAAGGTGAGCTCAGACAACTTGGCCTCAGTGCTTACAGAAGCAGCGTTATTTCCTTCAGTTGTTACCAGTTACTTTGCCATCTTGTTTGAAATAGTGTATTAGTCTGTTCTCATGCTACTAATAAAGATATACCTGAGGCTGGGTGATTTATAAAGGAAAAAGTTTTAATTGACTCACAGTTCCACATGGCTAGGGAGGCCACACAATCATGGGGGAAAAGCAAGGGATGTCTTACATAGCGGCAGGCAAGAGAGAATTGAGAGACAAGTGAAAGGGGAAATCCCTTATAAGACCATCAGATCTCATGAGACTTATTCACTACCATGAGAACAGAATGGGAGAACCACCCCCATGATTCAGTTATCTCCCACTGGGCCCCTCCCACAACACTTGGGAATTATGGGAGCTACAATTATTCAAGATGAGATTTGGCTGGAGACATAGCCACACCGTATCAGATGTGTTGAGTTGAAGAACAAAGAGTCAGGTCCTTGATTTTTGCTTCAGTTGAAGACATATAAATGGTGAAATGGCTTTTTCTGCTGTGGATTTTAAAGGTTTTACTCATTTTTTTTAATAACTTAGACTAAAAGCAAGGCATTATTTCTAAAGAAAGATTATTTTTAACAGTCTTTGAAATTAGTCTATTCAGAAAGTTATATTTTTTCTGTTTCCTCCATTTTCTTCTCCTTTGGATCTCTTCCTCTTTGCCTAGCTTGGTCTTCTGATATTATCATAGCTAACCACGGCTTCCAGTGTCATGAATGGCTGGAGGCCTGGCCTCTCGATTCCAGGAATTTCTGCATTCCCTTTAATCAGCCAGCTTCAACCCTTTCCATGGCCTGGAATTGCCTCATTTCTAAGGATTCAAGCTTGGAGCTGTCTTCCAGTCACAGCCTTCTGTTCTTTCACTTACTCATTCCTTCATTTCCTCTAAACGTGCTTGTTCCTCATCTTAAATCCAATTAACGGCCATTTTCCACCTGCCGCTTTTCTTGTCACTCAGTCTCATCCTTCCTTCCCTGCTCAACCTTCAGGCCTTGACCTCCCCAGTCCACCGTGTCAGCTGTTGGCTCACTGGCATCCTTAGAATCCCTTGCCCTTTTAACTTCTGCTTTGCCCACTATTATGACTGCCTTCCCACTCCCCCCGTGTCTATATCCCAGGCCACTGAAAATCACTGGAGGAAATCACATTAGCCCAATCACATTGGGCTAAATGCTTAGTATTGATGTGTGCCACCTCCCTCTGCTGGAACCTCACTGCTCCTGGGAAAGTCTTTTTAGTTTTCGATCCTTCTTCACCCTGGGGTCCCATTTCCATCAGCTTTCCTTATTTTGCTAGTAATCTTGCTTCCTTTTTCAATGAGAAGGTAGATGGTAATCCAATTGAATTTCTTCAGCTCTCCTTTACACCTGAACCTTTGTCTGTATTTCCAGCCTACTTCTCACACTTGCTTCCCGATGCGATGGTGTGTCCTTACTCCTTCCCAAGGTCAGCCTCCTCACTTTGGGCACCCTCTTGTCAGCTTCAGGGCCTTACACTGTGAATGAACTCTGCCACCTCCTCCCTGCCATCACTTTCTCCCTTTCCACAGACTTTCCTCCTTTTATCCTATGAGCTACTTAACTTTCCTGAAACCTTCGCTTCACAAGAGCCTCTCATTCCCTTAGTTACAAATTTCTCAAAGAACTGTCACTTCTTCCTACTGTCACTCTTCACCACCCAGTCATTCCTTAGCCCTCTGGCCAAGTAGTATCTTCTCCTGCTGTTCTGCTGGGACTCTTCTTGCAAGTCGGCAAGGACCTCTTTCCTAGTTGTCAAATAATCTACTTCTCACCATCTCCACCACCTTTGACATAGTTATCCACTCCAGCAGGTGTTAATGCTTAGTACATTTATGTTGAGTGGATGGATAAAGGCGCTTTGCTTCTCTCCGCTAGTCCCCATGACATGGTGCCATCTTTTTTTCTGCTGCGGTCCCTCTGATCACTTCTTTTCAGTCTCTTTTTAAACCTGACTGAAATTTTGAGTTTCCCCATCTTGGCAGAAGGATGAAAAATCAGGGAATCTTAATTGAGTACCTACTGTGTGCCAAATGCTACCCTTTAGGGGCTTTAATTACGTTAACTTGTCTCATCTTTACAGCAACCCTATGAGGTATTGTTTGCCTCATTTTTAGAGAAAAATAGTTGAACTTGAGGGAATTTAAGAATTCACCTATGTAACTATTAGTGGGAGAGGAGTTTGAATCCTGTTTGACTCCAGTGCCTTTATTTTCCCATTAGATTCACACAGGACTTGGGTTGAAATCACCTTTGTGTTTCTCAGTTCCCACCTGAGTGCTTGTGTACATTAACTGCACATATTTGAGAAGTCAATTTGTGATACTGCCTGTTCCTATGGCTTCAGTCTTTTTGCTTTATTTTTTTTAAAACATTGGCTTTTAAAAGACCACAAAAAGTAGTATGTGCTGTTGATAAAAATTCAAACAATAAAAGTTTGTTATAAAGTAAAAAAATGAATATTCTCTCCCTTCCCTTCCCACCACTCCCACTCTCAAGGGGTGGTGACAACTATCATTTTTACACTGATGATGTCCAGGTTTTCAGTTTCAGTCCCTAGATCCCTCTTGAGTTTCACAATCCAGTATCTGAATGTTGAGCCCAGATGCTGATTTATAGTTATTTATATTTTTCCGTATAATTTTCTGGACTCCCATAGTTGAGTCATTGAAAGTCTGTTGGATAGTGGATGTGAAATCAATTAATCAGTCAACTGATTAATCTCTAATTCCGCCTATTGCACGTGTCTGTCCTGCTGGCCTCGTATACTTGGATTCTTCAAGATTAAATCCTTCTCCTTCTTCCCTCCATCAGTTCCATTTCCTCATTTCCTGTGCCTTATCTCAGTTGTGATGCCATCTGCCTTGTCATCCTTGTCTCATCCCCCTTCTTCACATTGCCATGCAGTCAGATGGTATCTCCTTTCAGTTGCGTGCAGGGTCACCACAATGCGTTCCCACTGCCGCCTTTGGAGTTCAGCCCACATATCCTCTGGCTTGGACGGTTACCCCGGCCTCCTTGTGATTGCCTTCGCTCCTCCTCACTCCACTCTGCTGAGTCTTAACTTTCTAAAACCTAACTTTCATTGTGTCCCTGCGTTGTATGGCCACAAGCACACAACATCCTAATATGATGTAAGCTCTGGCATGTCTGTTTGTGGATGATGCCCTGAATTTTTATTCTCCTGCTTGTACTGATGCGTACTTTTTGCTCTGAATGCAGCCAACATTCAAGGTGCTGCTCAAGTGCCACAGCATTCTTATAACCTGCTCCTGACATGCCTCCAGTACTCAAGTCAAGGAAGCTCTTCCCAACCCCGGCGCTCTCATAATTGCCATTTATTCTCAGTATTCAGTCCATTCTGCCTTGTGTTAAGTTTGTTGTTCAGACAGACCGTGGAGGTAGATTGTAAATTTTTCAAGATGACCATGTTGCAAGTATTTTTATGCCATTTGATTGATACATAGTAAGTTCTTAGTCATATGCTATTTGGATCTATTTTCTTAAAGCTCTGATTTGAGAATCATAAAATTGATTGTTATTTTATTGTTATTTTCATATTTAGATAATGCTGTTACCAAGGTTATCTGTGAAAGCCCCAATAATCTATCTAATAGAAGTTTATGCCTAGTGGGCCAAATAGTTTGTCAATTGTCAATCAACCTGTAGACCCTTTTCTATCTCTAAAATGACCTATTTAAAGAAACTCTGGGATCGCATTCAACTTTAGCTCCTAAACCACAGCCTACTGTGTGCGAACTCTAAAACGCCACAAGAAAGCTACCATTAAATTATTGAAAATATTCTTTAATAAAGAATTTTAGTTCTTTAAATCTCTGCATTTTAACAAATCTGAACACAAACATATCCTAGGTGGTCTTTTTTAACCAAGCCGTTTTGGACATAATTTTTTTACATGATGTAAATTTTAATAAAAAATATAAGTAGTTTTTTTTTTACATGGTGGGAGGATGGTTTAGTGTTCTCATGAAAGGAGGAGGGAGGACATTTACCCTTCCATGGTCACTGCCTTTTAATAACATGATGCGTGATAATTTTAAGGCCCAGTTTGACTATCAAGTAACTTGTCTCCTTGCCGAGGCTGGCGGATCATGAGGTCAGGAGTTCTAGACTAGCCTGGCCAATATGGTGAAACCCTGTCTCTTAAAAAAAAAAAAAAAAAAAAAATCCAGGCATAGTGACGCGTGCCTGTAGTCCTGGCTGCTCGGGAGGCTGAGGCAGAAGAATCACTAGAACCCGGGAGGCGGAGGTTGCAGTCAGCCGAGATTGTGCCACTGCACTCTTGGGCGACAGAGTGAGACTCCGTCTCAAAAAAAATAAAAAATAAAAAGTATTATACCTTAAGCCAAGGCTTGAGATAAAGGTGTGGGGAAGAGTTTTCCCATTTTTCACTAGAGCCCTCCAGTTTTTTCCCACAGTAACTGGGTGGGTGAACAGTTTCCTACTGCTCCTCCACCCTGGGAAGATCAAGAGAACCCGAGAGTGGAATGGGAAAGAAGGAATCCTTATCCTTGCTCCTCCCCTCACCCCATTCCCTACCTTCTAACAGCACAAATACTTTCATACCATTTAAGGTGATGATTTTACGTGCTTGTATGACGAGCATAGCTTTGATTTATTGCTGACCAGCAGTGTCAGTGTTAACCTAGACGAGAAGCTCCTAGAACACTCTGATGACTTCTGTGGAACAAGTACTACAATATCCAAACAGGCTGCTCAAGTGTGTTTGCTTGTTTGTTTTTTGTTGTGTTGTGTTTTTTATGTGGTGAGTCCTAGCCAAATCATTGACTAAATAGAATCTTAGCTTTGAAGGTTTTGGGGGGCTCCTTTTGAAACACAGTGCCACTTTATTGCCACACTATTCCTAGATGTTTTGGGGAAAATAATCAGTATCACTTTTTGAATAAAATCCCAGGTAGCTGACTTAATTATATTCTTAAATATATTCTTTAAGTTTAAATTTTTGTTCAAAGGACAGCTCAAGTAACTGAATTGTGCTTCTTAGAAATGCAAGATTCATTGGGGTTCAAGAGAAACTTGCTTTCTGATTCTTTCAGGATTGATATTTCCACTCCAGCTTGGCTCATTTTTACTTTCCATCCTCTAGTATTTAAAATTTGCTTTTAGAATTTATTTTGTTTATGCTTATTTGGCACAGGAAGAGTATTTCCCAAGACGCTTAAATTTCTCTTGCCTTTTCATTGTTCAAAAATGTTCCAAACGAAAAACTGTGTATGTGTGCGCACACACTGTGCATGCACACATGTGCATGAGGGTTTTGTGTGTGTGTGTGTGTGTGTGTGTGTGTGTGTGTGTGTGTGTGTGCATGTTTCTTGCCAAATAACCTAAAAATTACTTCTCTGGCCCCCATGACTTTTTTTTGGTCCTGTTGTAAGCTTGACAGAGATTTTATTTATCCTTATTAAATGTGGCTTGTTTATATCTAGTTATTTGTGTGAAGTTTATGCTTAAGAAGAGTGGGATTCGTTTTGGATATATTATCTCAGAGCCAACTGGACTCTTATTAGCGCTTGTTTGAAAATGGATGTGTGTGTACATGTACAGATGTATGTATGAAGTGTGTGTGTGTGTATACACACCCCATCTTCTTGAGTGGTTTCTCAAATTGTAGGATTTGAAAGAAATAAAGGAAAGAAAGGAAAAAGAAAAATCCCTTAAGTAAGAGGACAAAGGAATGCTCTCATAACTGGGCTGGAATTGGAGTTTGTGTTTCATTTAAAATGACAAATCAGCAAATCCCTCTTCAACTATGTTACATCAAGGTGAATTTTCCCTTCATTCTGGGCTTTGGACACAATTTGCCTGGACATCTTCCCAGGAAAGCCCCTGTGTAAAACCCCTATTAAAGCAAAGTCATCATAAAATCATTTCATTTCCATAATGCTTGTCTTCTGACCTGTGTGAAATGTACCACAACTCTTGAGGTACGTATTTTGAGTCCTAACATACAAGAAAGTTGTTAGTTGTTCTTAACTAGCAAGAAAATTAAAAGTGAACACAAAATTCTCGTATATGCCCAAACTGTGATACAGATTGAAGATAAAAGGTGGAGATTCTTTCCTTCCATATGGTGAAGCAATTTGGGGAAAGAGAAATTAGACTTTCGGCAGAAAGAAAATGTCAGATTTTTTTGGCGGGGGTTGGGGAAGTGTTTTTCACTCCCTAAATTCTGGAATTTTATTCAGAATTAAAGGGAAAAAAAAAAGACACATGTCTACTGATTTCACTCTTAGGACTTATCTATCTTAGTGCCAGGACGAGAGTCGGCACTGCGGATCTCACCACGGCAAAGGGGGTGCTTTAGGAGGACTGCACAATTTATTGGTCACCATGAATTAGTTCCCAGTAAATTATACAACACACATTGTCTCTTATCTCTTGCTAGGGGACACTGCTGATTTCAGAGATAAATGGGATTGACTGTTTAATTTCACTAGTAAACAAACTTGTAGGAAAGTGGAACTAGCATGCGGCGTCCGAAGGTCTCTTAGTACCATGAAACATAGGATGAGTGTGAAGGTGCTTATTATATTAAAAAATTAAGGTGATTATCATATTTAAAAAATCAAGCAAGAAGAATGTTTCTAACTTAAGACCAGTAATAGCTGCATTTAATGCCAGAATTTTCCAAGGAAATGAAACAGGTCAAACAGAAACTTCGGTGAAGACGTGCTCTGGGGAGAAACCAGCTGAATAAAGTTCAGTAGCTGACTCCACTTAGATTAAACCATTGACTCTGGAAAGCTGTATATCTCTTTAGAAGTTTCTATTTTTCCTTCTTTCATCCACAGGAAAAGCAAACAAAACAGAGGTGGGGGAGGGGAGTGGAGATAAATAAATCACGTTCATATGCTAGGTCAATTTTTAAGCCAATTTTGATCTTTATGGTAAAGTATTTTCCACATCTGCCAACCACAAGTGTCTACATATGGTAACAGGTAACTTTCTTTAGTACTATATAATCTGTGAGACATAAATAACTAGGCATTGTAATTGTATGGCAGTTACCCTACAGTTGAAAGAGTTACATGATTATTAGTAACCCATAAAATAAGGTGGTAGTGTTTTTTTTAAATAATCTGTTATAGGAATTTCTTGTTTCCATACTTTTCTTAAAGACTGTAAATAATCTTGTTATGCTCTGACATTCAGCAAGTCATTGCAAAGAAATATGTTTATTCCTTCAAGATACCACTAGATTATCCATTTCAAGAAATGAATATTAAATATGGAAGGACACATTTTGTCCTTTTCATTTTAGTTCTAGATTTTGCCATATGGTTGCCCATGGCTTTTAAAGAACAGTTAGTATCAGGAATGAACTTTTTAGCCACAACATTTCTGTGATTTTTGGAAGTGTGATTTTTGGAAATTCTTAAAAACCACATTTTGAAATATTGGTAGTTACTGTTGTCATTCTGTTTCTTTTCTTTTTCCCCCTTTCTTTCTCCGTCTCTCTTTTTTGTGACCAGTGCCTCTTCTCACAGATAAACCAGTATGATACAGACTTTTTGTGTTTAAAAACAAAACCTAGACTTACAAAAAAAGTTCCCAAATAACTTGTATTTAATTAGTATGTAATTTATTTAATTAGTTCCCTGTCTCTTTCTTTGCAGTGATTGTCTTGATTTCTAGTTCTAGTTTTAAAACAAGGAAAGTTTTAGGCCTTTCTTGATTCAACTCATGTTGTCCATAGCACACCTCACTGTCCCTACCAAAGAAAGGCATTGAATTTGAGATTTGATGCATTTTAGTCTTTTTTTTCTTCCACCCTGATCTTCTATATATGGCTGCTTTGCAAAACAGTTTTGTGCAAGCAGACATGACTTAACTCCATTCCCTACATAGAGAACTATTCAACTTTACTTTTATGTGTTTTGAATACTGCCTCATGTGAGACTGTGACAGCAATAAAGTATGCATGGCCAACCTTATTTTAATAGCGAAAGAGAGCTGCTTTTAATTAATAAGTGGATCTCTTTATGTCTGGGGTTTTCAGTTTATTTTGTGGTTCCTTGGAGTTCTTCAATTATGTGGCCTAAAAGGGCTATGTTAGTGCCGACTAAATCCTTTTTAAAATCTGTCATTTACATGTTTTCTGTCTGTAACCTGTTTTCAGATTACTGTCTTAAAAAAAAAAAAAACAGCAGTAGCAGTTTTTCCGTAAAACGTTAAAATCCATAGACCAAAATTATATATATATTTTACATTATTAATGGGATGCAGCATCCATGTACAAAATTAGAAGACTAGCTGTGCTCTTCAGCTGCTCCATCACATAGGTTAAAGAGTCTTTATATTGCATATTTCCCCACTCAACATCTACTTTTAAGTTACAAAACTGATAGAACTTGTGTAAAGCATCTACTTGGTATCTTGAGCATTATAGAAGGTGTGCAATGGCTCTTCCTGCTGGTGATGCCATTGCCGTCTTTGGTATGTATAGAATTTTACTGAGTTCTGTCAAATCTGGGATGTCAGTGTGCCCCACGACTTCCCCACCAACTAAACCCTAAGGGGTTTTTATGCTACCGCGGGAATCCAGTGCCAGACTTGGACCCACAGTGACCCCAAATAAAGTGATTCCTGGGTGGTAATATGGATGCTTTATGATTGACATACACATAAATACATCCAATCTTGCTTATGAAATTTTGTGATCTGCTTTTGTCATTAGAGGATATAGTGAATCTAATTCTGCATCGGGGATACGGGATACAGTGTATTACTGCATTGAAGGAGATTTGTCTGTAGGAGCATGAGCATTCTGTAGCAATAGGCATAGCCGTCTTCTCGGCTGGATGTTAGTTACTAGGAAGTATTCATTGTGTGGGTCACTATATTTTAACAACTCAAAATTTTTTAAAAAAACCATGCTCTTTTTGAATAGAAAGAGAGAAAATATTAAGTCTTTAAAAGTCAGAGGTAAAACCGTGGCCAATCTGAATGTTACTTCTTTCTGGTTACTTGAACAGTGTCTCTCTGAAGTCTTCCTTGGGTCAGACACAAATAAATGGGAGGTTGCTCTTGGAAACACTCCCTAGGCACTGGTAAAAGTTGTCGGTAGATGGCAGTACTGTTCTACTACAACATTTTTTAATCCCTGCAAATACTGCCTAACATTTCATTCCCAGTCTTAATTTTGAAAATGCTTGATTAGTTACATTAAGCAATGTTTGGGTGATTTTTTTTCCCCCTTTTAAACTTAACAGAATTATAGCCACAGCCTGAAAGAAAGCCATTACTGGTAGACAACAAATTCTTAGTCGTAATTTAGTCCAACATAGAGAATGACATACCGATTTTTAATTATATTTGTAAAATGGCTATATAAATATATAAAATGGTTAACAATAATGATTATAATTTCTCACTTAAACTTTGCATCAGTGTTTTTTCCTCTAATTCTACCGAGGGTAACATCTGATCGTTACGGTGAATCATCTGAGATGTACATTTCTATGAACATGTTTATTTCTTTTTACCCCTACAGGTCTACATGTATGCCTTGCAAATGGAATACTTTTGAACTCTGCTAAGATATCTTGGCATATACAACTAACTTGTAGATGAAGAAAGCTAATATCTCTACAGTTTTTATTTGGAAAGTCAGGGAATAACGCTATCCTTAGGGAAGGGTGGTTTACCTTCTTATATTAGTTTTTTGCAGGTCCCTTAGGAACATGCATTACAGAAAAATAGGCTGCTCTTCTGTTTGTCTTTGTGATTCAGATTATAATAATTAACTCTCTAGGCTAAATATAACTAACGATCTGTGATCATCATTTAAAATGGAATCTTTCACAGTAAATTTGCAATTGGTATATTTCCTGAACTTCTCTTATTTTAAGATATTTTTAGGGAAGATTTCATATAGGATGGGAGGTGAAATTGGTAGTGTTTTCTCCCTTTTTAAAAAAAAAAAAAAAGAAAAGCATTGTCTTACTAAAATTCCATTGGAAAAGATAAATATATTTTGTTTTACAAAATACTTTGGGAGGATAAATCTTCCTTTTAAATCGAACTGAATTTTAAGAAAACTGTGGCTTAACTGTTTATCTCGTTTTCCTATTTCTTTACCTAATTTCTATCTAGAATTGTAAAATGATTGATTAGAGACTTAATCTGGCTTTTGTTTTTACCTTAAACTATTTAAAAAACTAAAATGTAATGTTAATGTTTTTTGTTCTCTATTGTCTTTAAAGGCATTAGCAGGTAGAATAGAAAGAGATAAAACATCTGGGTAGTCTAAGTAGATGGGTTCTGTTTCAGTTATCATTTTATGCTTAACTTGTACGGGTCTAAGGTATATACATTCTCTTAACTACTGTATAAACTAGAAATTTGCAGCATAAGCCACAACCTGTGCTAGCTGAAGCACTTAGTTACAGCATGTAATTCCCAACAGATTTTTCTGTTATATTTTTTTACTCACCCTCCATGGAATGATTAGTACATTTTGGGGATTTAATTAGGTGTGTGTGTGTGTGTGTGTACACATACATATACATATACCCATAATATAGAGACAACTATTATAACTGCTATAAAATAAAATGTGCTGGTGGGAATTTGCGCATAGCTTATGCTGAGTATGTGGAAATTTGGGATATAACATATGCAGTGTCTCCCAGCAAACAGAGATAAGTATAGTAATAACAAATTTATAAGATATTTGTTAGTTATGTTCTTCCATCAGATACTGATAGACAATATAAGCCAGCCAAGAAGCACATGAGTCAAAGTTACTTTAGAAGTACACAGTGGAATAACACCCCCGTGTAGTAAGAACTTTGTTTCCTTGAGAAGTTTGGATCACAGGGTGGTGAGGATGAAACCACTGCCTCTATGATTTGCAATTGAAGTGATGCTGTTGAGTGATACTTTTTGAAAGAGTAGCTTAAAGTTTTGAAGGAGTAACATATTTACTGAAAAATTTCTGTCAAAGTGAAATTCTAGAGACTAGTATTCATTTATGCCTGTTAAATATTTGCGAGAAGTAAAGTTTCTTCGTGTTTGACTTACAATAGATTTCTCAAGCAATGTTTCTCTCCAGCCAGCTATAGGATGAGGGTGGACAAAAAAAATTGGCTTTGTTTCTATTTTATGCACAGCCAGACTTGCTCTTATGTTTGTAATATTTAAAGGAGTTCAATAGGAGGCCCTTGATTCTTTGATCTAATGCCACAGTGCAGTTTAATGAGAAAGGTTTTTAATATTGTATGCAATATTGAAAATTTGTGCCAGCTCAGACCAATATAATGTAATGTTAGATTTACACCTTGGATCCATTCTTTTATTTCTTGTCATGAATCCACTCCCCCAGCCCCCCACCCCTGACTGAAACAGGTAATTACAAAGGTCTTCAGATCAATTTTTGTAAAGGGGCACCCTGACGGGTACCATGACTGAAGTGTGACATGAGCCTTTTCCAATACAATGGGTGGCCTAACATTCCTCTGGAAGCCCAAGCTCATTAAATATTCAGTTCCTTTTTCCCCCCCTCCCCCCTTCGCGCACTTAGCTTGAGTCGCACTAAGTCTGGGGTTTCTTCGCTGAAGACTTAGGAAAATTGCTTCGAGTTCTCAGATTGAATTTTTTATGTGTATGACTTCATGATAGCATTAGCATGTGCTTTGATCCATGTGTGAATGGCGCTGGGTCGGCGCTTATTGCCATATCCAGATGGTGTTACAGGGAACAAACAGTTGTGTTTTAGGATTTCTCAATAGACTGTCTAGACTGGCCGTGCAGCAGACAGATACAGCCACCCATCAAATTAGCGTTTGTCAGATTTATGGTAATGGTTCACCAAAGCCTTCCTGTCATTGACATTAAGATTTACGCCTCCAAAGTTATTTTGTCTTCCACAGAATATAGCTTGTGATTGCTTGGATTTAAAAAAAAAAAACTTTAAGACAGAAAAGTCTTGTTGAATGTGAGCTGTTTCTGAATGAAAAGAAAAATATAAAAGGCATTAAACAGTGGCTGCGGCTTAGGAGCAGTATTGATTAGGGAAAGGCCTCCTCCCCACCCCCAAGCCCCCTCAAGTGATAAGAAGGATGTTCTGCTCTGGCTGGTGTCTCCCATTTGCCCTTGTTGGAAAGAAAAACACGTATGTGGGTGACTATGGCCAGATTTTGCCCTTTCATGTTGTTACTCTGGAGTAACGTGATCTGCTGCCCCAACGCGGTGGGAATAACCTTTTGACAGGCAGTATGTCCATTCTCAGTGGAAATGTTTTCCCAAGTCTGGCCAGGCTGCCTTTGATCATACCTCCTTCCAATGTGGGGTCACAGCTACTATGCTATGCAAGAGTCACAGGTTCCTGCAAGGAAAGTGAGAGACATGAGGGTTTAAAATAAATAAATAAATATGACCCAAACCTTCTTAAGTTCTCAATCATTGAAATGAAGTCAGAAGAATGGAAATGGCCACAGGAAGTGTTCAGGACGTTTCGTGTTAAACATGGTGTGCGTCTTTTTGTGTAAGTGGGTCAAGCAATGCATTTCACACATTTTCGTGTAATGCGGCTTAGTAGTGAGGGTGCATCTCATCCTGGACACGCTGAGGCATGTCGGAAAATGTGTTTTCCTATTGTATGTTGGTGCAAATGACAAATGGTGAAGAGGCTGGGAGCTGATGAAAATGCTGAGATGGCCACAGAGGACAATATGTAGGGAAAAAAGCTTTGCGGAGGTGAAAAGCTCCAGCATTTTTCAAAGGAAGTTCTTTCATCTGTCTGAGAATGGGCATTTGGGGAAACTCCTGCTAACCCCTTTGGTATGTCAGGATTGAGAACTGCTGCCTGTTCTAGTACAGGGCAGAATCTTTGCAGAATTTTTACTGGAAAGATATCTCTTATCTACTCCAGTGGCTGTAGCAAAGTTATATCAGTTAGTGAATAAAGTATTCTCTATTAAATGTGCTGGAGCTGAAGGCTTCTTATTAACCTGCAGCAGCCCCTGCATCTCTGGGTAGTGGTCCTTCTATCAAGCCCCCTTCCTTCCTTCTCTCCTTTTTTCCCCCCTTCCATCTCTTCCTCCTTTCCTTCCTTTCTTTTTTGCTCTTGCCATACAGTAATCATTTGATTACTCTGTTTGGGACTGCTATTTTGGCCTGTTTTAAAAGACTTCTCTCTCATATATGTGTTCAAATTTAGTCGTAAGTATATCTGATAAGTTGTAGCAAAAACAATTGTTGCTCAACTAAATTAAATCTCAAAAGATTACATTTTTTCCAAACAATAAACTGATGGATTTTTTCAGTTTTGTCCATCTTCAAATCTTTGAATATTGGGTTAATGGTACTAAGTTAAAATAATTTTCTGCACTAATTTCTTGGAGTGTTAGAGCTTTCACTTAGTTTGTGGTATTTTTTTGGATAAATTATGACCCATTTATTGAAGATTTTTATTATCTCTGCTATATGGATATAAAACTGGAAGACTTCTCAAAAAAATATGGGAACATTTTTGCTAAACAAAATTTTCCTCCAGAACGTTCTCTCCCTCTCCCTTCCTGCCTCTCTTCTTGTCTTCCTTCTTTATTCCTGTTTTCCTCAAACTGCTAAAAGAGTTATTCATTTGGATTCCTTTTGAAAAGTCTGTTTCTTAAGGAACCTCAATGGTCCTGACTGTGTTTTGATTAATTTCCAGTGCATTGTTAAAAGGGCGGTTATTTGAGAGAGCATCTCAAAAGTAAATCTACTTCCTGCCACCTTATCTTTTGCAATGCTTATTTGGGGTTGTGGCAGTGGAGGGGGTGACTCGAGCATCCTCAGTTAGTCGTCTAGCTAGAACAGTTACCATTTTGGACTTGAGAACTATTTTAAGTTTGTTGTAAGAAACAGTATAATTTTTACAAGACACATTTATAGTGTTTTAAAAAAGTTAACTACCCTTCTTACACGTGTGTTTTCTTAGAAATTGGAAGGGTTGAATGGAATGCCAGTGTTTTAGCAATGTGTGAAAAGTTATTTCAATAAAATCCTTTTTCTTCTTTGGTTTAAAACTTTATTCTGCCTGGGAATCCTCCACATTTGTGATTTGGGCATTACTATTTTTAGGAGGAAATTTTAACTGGATACATTATGCTATGTTTGCTTGATCAGACAACATATTTAAAGGAGATACAGGATGTTAGTGTGTCAAGGGACCTTAGAGACATCTAATTTAACAACTTTATTTTTCCAGTTGGAGAAACAGAGGCATGGGTAGGTTAAGTGTTTTGGCTAAGGTCATAAAACTGGGCTGGCAGGACTGCTATTCAGATTTCTCACTCTGCATCTCCCCCCCATTAAATCACTACTTTTAGGTAGCTAACAGTAGATTCACTCTTATTTGTTCCCCACCCCTACCACCAAACATGCTTAATCTTTCTCAATCTCCATTTGACTAATTAGTTCACAGCTAAGAAAGCATATTTTCTTTGAGCAGATTATGCCAATAGAGAAAACAGAAAAAATAGTCCAACAGGACAAACACTGTTCATTGTACACCCAATAGCCATTTATCCTTCTTGCTAAAATACCCTGGTCTGAGGCAGCAATGTGTCTAGCCCCAGGCAATGAATGAACCATGATTGGTCTAAGCCACTTAGACTCCTGTGTTCCCTGTTTTCTCAGCTTCTCTTACAACTAGATGTGGCTGTGTTGCTCGGTTCTGACTAGTGATCTTATGGGGGAGGGGGTCTGCTTGAGGTTCTGTGGGGAAAGTTTTTGCTTTCCTGTGAAAAGGGACAGATGTGGCCTTTTCCCTTTTCTACCTTCCTTTTCCCTTTTCCTCTTCTTAAACAGAAATGTGACATCTGGAGCTGATGTGCCCTTCTTACTACCTTACAAAAAAGGCCAGCTTCTTTTTAATTAAGTCTCATTTGTTTAAACCAGGGATTGACATTTTGGTTAAACCATTGGTTGGCAAATTATGACCCATTGGCTGATTGCCTATTTTTGTAAGTAAAGTGTTACTGAAACACAGCCACGTATTGACTGTGGCTGCCTTCATGCTATGACAGAGTTGAGTAATTGTGACGGAGACTATATGGCCTGCAGGTCTTAAATATTTACTCTCTGGCCCTTTAGGTTTGGTGATGCCGTTTAAAGCACCTAACATGAATTTTCTGTTACTTGTAGCCAGACACATTCCTAATGGAATCAACCAATAACCAAGATCCTTAAACAAATTAGTGACTTGGCATTTCTTCCTACTCAAATTACTCTTTTCTGGTTAAGTAGGTGTGCTCCAGATAAGCATATTCCTCATTTTGGACTTTATCTACTCCTCTTTATTTCCTTCCTGAACTCTCTGATTATCATATTCTTTTTAAAAGTAAGATAAGAGTATAAAAGTATTTCATTTGGCCGGTCACGGTGGCTCGTGCCTGTAATCCCAGCACTTTGGGAGACTGAGGCGGTCGGATCACCTGAGGTCAGGAGTTCAAGACCAGCCTGCCCAACATGGCAAAACCCTGTCTCTACTAAAAATACAAAAAATTAGCCAGGTATGGTGGCGGGCACCTGTATTCCCAGCTACTCGCGAGGCTGAGGCAGGAGAATCGCTTGAACCTGGGAGGCAGAGGTTGCCGTGAGCTGAGATTGCACCACTGCACTCCAGCCTGGGTGACAAAAGTGAAACTCTGTCTCAAAAAAAAAAAAAAAAAAAAGTGTTTCATTTAAGCGCTGCCTAAAACTAATGTCAGCTCTTTGATATTCCAATCTTTTAACTGCCCAAGGAATTATTTTCTAATGCTCAGATAAAATTGTCAGGGCTTTCACTCGGTGAGTAGGGTCTATTCATGGATCTTAAAACCTGAACCGATAGAACAGCTCTACAGCTCCTTGTATTCTGCTCCCAACCTTCCTGTCCCCTCCAAACTTGTTGCCCTTTGTGGTCTGGTGGAAGCAGGAGAAAACCCTGCAATAGCCCCCACTCTGTGACATTTTGGAATACTTTGTGCATACCAAACAAACCACTAACTTGATTTGGGAAGATAAACTGAAAATACATTTCTAGTTCAGTAATAGCTATAATTGGACAGTCTGTCTTTTGAACAATAAAAATAATCCTAGTTTCGTTTTGTGTAAAGATATAACATCTTATGTGTGACTGCAAAAATAAGCAAAAACTACTTATTAAAATATGTGTATTTTCATTTTGTTTGCTGACAGTGTCAGGTAGTAATTGTGCTGGTTTTGCAGACTCTGTAATGTGTTATTGCAGAAAAAGCACTAGATTGGGTTCTATGAGACTGAATTAACCATGAGTTGTTTGTCAACTGAATTAACTTCTCTGTGCCACAGTTTTGCATCTCAAGGAAAAGAGATTGAACTATGTGGCATATAAGGTCTCTTTCAATTCTAATATATTTGTATTTGTAAATATTCTTCAGGGTGGCTAGAACCTACTTGAGGATTAGTCAATTCAAATAATAGCAACAGCAGCAACAACTGCAACAAAACTTCCTTTGGAAAATCAACATACTTTAGTCAGAATGGCCCTTTAATTTTTAAGGCCCAGATGCCTCAAAGGATTTGTCATGTACAGTTATCATTTGTTGTCAGAGGACTATTCTGGGGGATAGAATGTTATGGGTGAATTTGGGTTCTGTGATGGCCATTTGCAATGCTTTAGCTTGATAATCAAATATAATATATTTCACAATACATTTATCATTTTGTTGAAATAACGTAATGAGTGAAGCCATTGTCTTGAAGTACAAGTTTCCAAGAGAATATTCGGAGCAAATTGGCTGGAAAGTGAGTGGATTATAGTAAAATAAAATAGATAATAGGCATTATTTTTAATAAAATGTTCTTGCCTTGCTTAAGAAATATAGTTCATGAAAAAGAAAATTATAATTTGATTGGGAGGATTTTATGGTAATGATGCCTGTGTCACAGAATCTTACAATATATTTTGAAGTGGGTACGTTTAAAAATGTCTTGCTTTTTAGAAGAATACTTAATAACAAAGAAAAAGCATATTTTTGTTAATTTTACTTGTTATGCCTCTTTGCCTTTTCAGCTTTCATGGAAGACATTAAGGAAAAAAAAGTTGGCATTGTATTCAAGCCAAATATTAGGACACAAAGAAGAAATTAATGTTATTTCTACCATTTATTCACCTTTTCTTCCTTTTTCAAAGAACTCCTTAGCTCTTCTGTTTTATTAGCATTCTATAATCCTCTAAGTCACTGTGTATCTTTATATTTTGAAGAGAAAGTTGCCATGTAAGAAAAAGATAGCTTTCTTACTTCTTTGAGGGAGAAGATAGGCTATGAATAAATAAAAGATAAAAAATAAGAAAGGCTGTCAGTTTCAAACACTCTGGAAGAATGTTGACTTTGCAAGTAACTGTTCAAAAATTAGTCTCTTTATACAGCATGTCTGGCCAATGTCTAGGTAAAAGAAATGACCTGAGGTGAATGATTTTTTTTTTCATTATATGTGCTTTAAGCTAAAGACGACCTCAAAATAGTCCTTTAAAAAGAATGGTACTACTTGTGCTGTAAAATACAGGTATACATTTTCTAATAGTATAAGGGAGACAGAAATGGATATTCAATTCTAGTCCATATTTCTTGGCTTTTTATTATTTAGTTTTTATTTTTATCAGGGTTGTATATGAACATTTTCTAAAAGATCAAATAATCTTATAGAACTTATTATGTGAAAACCAGTGGTCAATGGTGAACTTCTTCTTCCTTCCCTCCCTTCAAATGCCCTCTCTAACTTCTCTTTCTCTAGCTTTCTCCATTTCAACTACTGTATTTAGCCTCTCTCTCTCTCTCTCTCTCTTTCTCTTTTTATATTTACCACCATCATTCTAGTTAATGTACTTATATAGCTACTTCTTGATTTTTCAGGTTTAGGCATTGTCTATTGGCTTCTGCTTTGGAAATTGAGGATTTCGCTCTTTTCTCTCTCCATTCACCCCAACACACATCTTTACCTCCCCCTACTCCTTCATTCTGCCCATATAGTTAATGTTCTCATTTTGGGTAAATCCATGTGTTTACATTATTATGCCTTTATAAATGCCATTCATTGCTGTCATATTATGATTTCTTCTTTATTAAACTCTACTTTCTCTTGAGTTAGTCATTGTCCTATTTTGTCATTTACTTAGTTTGCTACGTCCTCATCATTCAGTCAATATTCTGTCTCTCTTGAGTTGTATAAATCTCCTCTTCATAATTTCAAATAGGTGTGCTATAAAATTGTATCTAGTTCATCTTCTTGGTGACATTCTCTCAGAGCTTCTGATCTACGCCAATCTGGACTGGTTGTTGACCAGCCCTGCTGCATGGCTGTCGTCACTGGGGGGCCCCCTGAATTATCATGTTGAGGGGACCCTTTCTTCTGTAAGATGCTTGCTGGCTTCCAGGTCTTTGTGTTCTTTAGCTTACTCCAAAGTTCATGGGAAGTCGGTTTTTTTGAGATTTTGCTTATTGGACTCATGACTGATGGTTTAGTTGGTATAGAACTCTAGCTTGGAAATAATTGTCCATCATAGTTTTGAAGTCATGATGCCATTTATTTCTAAGCTTCTAGCTGTTGCTATCCAGAGCAGCATCATTGTTTTGATCCTGAACATTTTGTATCTGAAGTACTTTTTCTGGTGGTGGTGATGATTTTGTTTTTAATCCTGTTTGGCAATTCCAGTCTTCTGAAATTTCATGGTGTGCTTTGGTGTGTGAATATGTGTGTGTGTGCGTGTGTGTGTGCGCATGTGCATGTATATATGTATTAGATTTTCATCTCATTGTATAGTTCTGCATACCCCAAGTTTAAAAAATTTTTTCCTGTGTTAGGTTTCTGTCTTTCATATTAATGACTTCTTAGACGCCTGGCAGTTCTTGTCTATTTATATTTAAAAGTGGGGCATTTGAAGCTAATTCAGAGTTCTGTGTGCAAGAGTGAGATTTATCTACTGTGTGTTTCTCCCGTGGGTATTTGGCTGTTTTATCAGAGAGCTCCCAATAACATATCTTTAGGTTTTCTCTCTTGGGGTAGTTAGATATTCCAAAGAAGAATCTTTCAGGCTCCCACCTGGAGAATGTAAGCCTGGGCCTCAGTGGTGGGGGAAGCAAGGGGGAAAAGGGGCCTTGGGCTCTCAATATTCACTATGCTAAAGTTTTACTTAATTCTCCTTTTCTGTACAATACTCCTGCTTTAATATGTGCCTAGTGATCTTCAGTACAGAAAATAAAAGGTGTAGCCTTCTACCAGGGTGGCAGAGCCAGTTGCCCAGCTTGTGAAATCGGAGAGAGGATCTAGAACTCTTAAGTCCTTCTTTAAAGAGATCTGAACCAATCCTCTTGTTTTTAGTCCCTCCTTCATGCCCATTTATAAGGGATCTTGGATTCCAGCCATTCCTGAGCTTCTTGGGAATCCCAGGGAACAAACTGTCTTGTGGCCCACCTTTCTTTCACTGCCTGTTTAGAGTCAGCTTCTTGTCTGCTGGACCAGTTACCACTTGTTCTTCTGCTTTCTAGTTTCCAAAATGTAGTTATTTTTTATGTCCAAGTGTGTTTATCTTTTTTAAAAAAATGTCTTTTAAAATCATTTTAGTGCAGTTTTAGGAGAAAGTGGAACTAAATGACTGTATTCAACCTGCCACTTTAAAGAGGTCTTTTCTCATTTGTGTAACTGCAGATTGTCTTCTCAATAGGCGGTTTGGTCAGAAAGTGTAGGTGCAGTGTGAACAATTCTGTAGAGCAGGAATAAGACTAAATAGAAGCATGCTCTGTCTGTGTTTAGATGCTTGTAACTGTCATGTTTTTAAGAAGAGGTAACATTGGGGGTGAAGTAAAATATCTCTTCTGGAGGAGTTTTAAGTGCAGTTTGGCCTCTTTTTAAAATTCTCTTAGTCTCCCTGTGCAGACAGATACCCACATACATTTGTATATTGAAAGGGGCCATGGGAGTTAGTATCGTGCCACATCTTGTGCACCTACTGTCCAGTGGCTTCTGTGTCCCTTTTGTATAGGATATTGTCATCATGTGGTGTAGAAGAACCCTTCAGGAAAAGCAAGACTCCTCTCTGCTAGAGGAACGTGGGTGCTTTGAGAAAGGAGATTCAGAGAGGATGACAGCATCTCACGCATGGGCGTGGGGTTCCCCTTCTCATTTGAAAGATGTAGGGTTCATTGGACTAGACGAGCCTTTCCAGTTACAAATCTTGGTCACTTGAGAATTTTGAAAATGCATTGTATTTTAATTGCTTACTTTTTTACATCTGGGCTTTGTATATTCATTATGATTTTGTATCAGAGACATTATTAGAAGTCATTTGAAGACTTCTGGTTTAGGTGTGTTGATAAGGTTGGCTGCCCTTACATTTTCTTGTGTTTCTATTCTCCTCTTTCCCTGACGGCTACTTCTTGACCATGCTAGCTTTTTCAATTTCTATGACAAATCAAGTTCTTTTTCCCCTCTGGGCTTACACAAATATAGTTCCTTCTTTATGAAACGTTGTTCTCCTCATTTTTTTTGTCTGGCTAACTCCTAATTATTTCAGCTAAGATATTTTTTGTTTTCTTATCCCCCACAGAGGGTTTTCCTAACTCTTCATCTAAATAAGATCACTTACCTCTTAGATTTCTTTCCCTCTCAGCTTTTTGAAGTATAACGGTATACAATCTGGTAAACTTTTAAGAGGCACCCTGTTCTTTCCCTTCATAGTGCTTCTCATTGACAGTATTTAAACATGCATTTCTGACTCTGTTTACTATTGACTTTCCTTCTAGACTATAACTTCAATGAGGGCTGTGGGCATATCTTCCTTGTTCACTATAAATATCTACCTCTTGGCACTGGTGGGCACTCAGTCAATATGGGTTGAATGAATGAAGAGTACAAACTCAGAAGGTTGATCCTACTGGCACCCTTTTCAAGCTTCGAGAAGTCCTAATTATGGTATTTGAGGTGCTGGGATTAGTTTTTTACCCCCTTGCAACTCTACATAAACTATGTAACTACTAGCATTAAACAGACATAGACTTTGGGCCAGATCAATATAATCTATTTATTACTGCCACTGTTTGGTTTGTTTTGTTTTTCCTGTCCAGTTCTCTTAATCTGGTATCATTAATCTAGATTAGCCAAAGAAAAAATACAGATTCTGGGGGTGGAGGAGAAAGGGCCAAACCAGAAGAAGAATAAGGGGGAAGGAGGACAATTTAGTCTGTTCCACTAGATACTTTTTAAGTATTAAACAGTGTTCATGTCTTTCTTCTCCATTCACCAGAAAATTATGAATTTGAGGAAAAGGACAAGGAAGTTAGAGAGTTGGTCGGTCATCAGGTAACTTTAGTTACTGTTTCTGGAGCAGTCTTTGTTCTTACTGTGCCTTTGACCAGGAGTTCCTAGAGGACAGGAACATGGCTTTCACATATTTAGTCCTCCACAGCAGAATTTAAGTTACTTAACAGTTAATTATGGTGGTGCTCAAATAAGATTTGTTGAATGATTAATCATGAACACGATATCAGGTTTCAGTTTCTGGTTGGGATTCTAGCATAATAGTTTAACTAACAAAGCCCTCAGCTTCTGTAAGGTTATACTCTAAAGGCAAAGAACTGCTCTTCGGTAAGTGTCAGATGGGCCAGCCAGTAAGGAGAGGCAATGATTCTGGGACGTTGTTATTTTGCCAAGGGTGGTCCCTAAACTTTTGTTCTGTTTGGAACAAACTAGCTGGAATACCTTTTTATTCCCTGATGGGTTTTCCCTAACAGGCAGTGCAATGCAGTGGTTTATATTGTTTTGAAAGCAGATTAGACTCGTGTTCAAATCCCAGATCTTGTTAGCAGTGTCATCTTGGGCAAGCGATCTCTGAGCAGATGCCTTTACCGTCATGGGGGCCTGATGTAAAGTGTATACCTCCCAGGGGAGTTATGAGGATTAAAAACAATAATCCTCCCAAAGTGCTTGGAAAGTACTTCATCCAAAGTGAGCGCTCTTCATGCCATTGCAGTTGTTGGGATTTTTGAGGAGTGTGCAACCAAGGAGTTGGAAAAGTTCAAGGGAGGCCAGGCGTGGTGGCTCACACCCGTAAATCCCAGCTACTTGGGAGGCTGAGGCAGGAGAATCGCTTGAACCCAGGAGGTGGAGGTTGCAGTGAGCCAAGATTGTGCCACTGCACTTCAGCCTGGACAAAAAGAGTCAGACTCCATCTCAAGGAAAAAAAAAAAAAAGGCAAGGGAATTGATAGCAAAGATGATTCTTCGTAAATGACTATACATTCCTCCAGGTACTTCCATGAAAAACAGTGCACAAGCTACACAAATACCTGGATTGGATTCTGAGCGATAACTACTAAATGAGCTTTGTTTGCTCCAAAATCAGCACAATGTTCAGAACTGATCCTTTAATTATGGCCTTTGATCCACAATACCTACGGTGTGCTTTTAAGCATCAACTCCTTTACGTTTTAAAATCTTATTCATCTGCACTGAAATGTAAAGAGGTTGAGAAAAAAAGTGCAAGACTTGACTGGAAACTTTAGAGTGTGTACATTATGTTTAGTTTCTAGAAAGAAGTATGGGCATTGGGTAATTTGTCTGGATTTTAAGAAGGCCACAGTCTGGAGTTAATGTAATTGCCAAGGGGATAATGGAGATTCATATTTAGGCAATATAGGTACAGATGAGCAATTCGAAGCAGTGTGCATCTGCCAAAAGTCTTACCTTATTTATGACAGTTTAAGACTGGCTTCTCAGCAGAAACGTGCAGAGGGAAGGAAAAGTCAAAGTCCTAATTTCTGAAAACATGGGCAGTGCAGAATTCCTGCATGTCTCCTGTGGGAATTACAGCAAATAGAATGGAGTCTGGCGTAGATAATAGTTATATGTGATTTGTTTTTCATCATGTGTCTTCATGGATGGAAAAGTTCAGTCTTGTCTTCACCCTCACTGTTATTAATATAATTATCACAAAAAGATATTTTGTGGTTTGGTTAACATTTTACAAACACAGACATTGATTTCCTCTCTCGAAAAGAAAATTGTATATAACTTAACACTATGTCCTTTACCACTCAAATTTTCAAAGTTGTTTAGGTAGCAGCTTCCAGATTTTTGGATTTTATAGAACCATAATATTAAAAACAAACAAAAAAACCTTGGCGGGGTGGGCAAAGGTGGGACTTAGTTTGCCAATAAGGACATTAGAAAAACAACCCTCAGGGACTATTACTGAGTTCATTTCATGACCTTAATACCCTCCTGCCCCTGCCTGTAGGAACATTATAATCTTTGAATAAATAAGTCCTTTTAAATTGAAAAAAGGTAGTTTTATGGGAAACCAACCAACCAACCCTTTTTGTTCTTGGTTTTCCTCAGTTCACTTTGGATTACTGAAAACATTATTGACCAACAGTGAGTGATTCCTTGTATGGAATAGTACTAGCTGATGGTTCTACACATACATAAAAATGTTGTCATGATTAAAATTATCTTCAAGAATCTTAAAACCAGTGTTACTGAGGGGAGGTAGAAGCTTGTGTATGTGACATGGAGATCTCCCAAAATATAATTTTATAAAATTGACTTTAGTCATTGGATATTTTCTCATACTTTCAAAGACTTTATATAAGGAAAGAAAAACAAGAGATTATTATTTTTGTTTAATTTGTGCTTATAAAAAGACATCAAATAGTGTTAAATATAAAATAGTTGATTATCCAGAATCTATTCCAATAGATGAGAAAGGGGAGTTGTGATGCTGCGAAGTATTTTGTTTTTAAAAAAGTCGATATTCTTGGCGATATGCTATATAGTTAATGTTAATGGTAAGTGACCAAGAGAAGTTAAATGTTATTCAGTTTGGTTTTGAAATATATTAAAACTCTTTGTATCTGATTAGGGATAATTATATTTTCTGTTGGTATTAAAGCCGATTTGTGTCCTCTGAGGTTTACACCAAGAAATGTGTATTTAACAGTGAGGGGGGAGTGGGGAGCTGAGTATAGTAAGGGTGGAGTGGGATGGGACTTACTGTTGATTCAGGAGAGTAAATGAGGCCAAGTTGTGAGGAGAAAACAAGCTAGGATTATTTTAAAGATAATTTGGGAGCTTTATATAAGTACATGGAAAATAGGGAACCCCCTGAAATCATGGCATAGAATGGGGAATAATTACATTAACTTTTTCTATCCTTATAATGGAAAAATGGTGCTTCCCTAGGACTTCTGGTATATATTGCTTATGTATTGGATATATTCTGGCACATCAGAAATCTATGAAGACTTTTTTCTATTGATTTTATTCATGAAAGGTGATATTTCAGATAATAATTTGACTTTAGGAAACCTTGTAAATAGGTACAAAGAAAACAAAAGTACAACACCCTCCCCTCCAAATACTTTAAGGATAATTGCATATGAAATGACCTTTTATATAACTGAAAAGAGCTAGGTCTTTATTATTCATTTTTTGGCATCCCACTTGTATTAGTTTTCTATTGCTAGTATATTACCACAAACTAAGTAGCTTAAAACAACACCATTTTATTACTTTGCAGTTCTGGTGGTCAGAAGTTCAAAATGGGTCTCACCAGGATGAAACTAAGATGTCAGCCAGGCTGCATTCCTTTAGAGGAGATTCCCTTTTCTTGCCTTTTCCAGCTTCTAGGGGTCGCCTGAATTCCTTGGCTATTGGCCCCTTTTCATTTTCAAAGCCAGCAGTGATTAGTCAGTCTTTCTTACAATGCCATCTCCCTGATTCTGACTCTTCTGACTTCCTCCTTTCTGCTTAAGGACAATTGTGATTACATTGAGCCTACCTGGATTAATTCAGAATAATATTTGTAAGGTCGGCTGATTAGTAACCTTGATGCCCCCTGGCCATGTAACGTAACAGTCACAGGTTCCAGGGGTTAGGATATGGATATCTTTTGGAGGAGCCATTATTCTGCCTACCATAATACTGTATCACACAAATACATATAATTTTTCTGCCTTGATTATTCTACAATATGAGTGGTTGTTTCTTAATTATACTTGCCTAAGAAATAAGTTAAATAATAAACTTCTTAAAGGGACAGGAGTCATTATTGAGCTAAAGAGAGAGCTCATTCATATGACTTTTAAAATGTCAAATTTCGAATTTATTTGTGCCATATACTCTAGTTGGTACCCATGTTTTTGTGCTGTGAGGGAATTCCTTCTTGCTTTGAATTTCCTGCCAGTTACATAGCTTGCTCTCTTGATTTTTATCCCTATATAATTTTAAATTTCTGACTTGAGGTTTTCTAAGAGGCCCTAGTTACTAAAGTTAGGAGGTCAAGGAGATGGTCCATTGTGACTTAGGGTTACATGTTAAAGAAAAATTATTCAATGATGCTCAGTAAAGGCCAGGAAGACTATTCAGGACCATCACCATAGGTATAGGGACCACTGCATTGGGTTCTTGCAGTGCAAGAGGAAAGATTGAGTTCAATTTCAAGTACAGCATGGGGAGGTAGGAATTCATAGCCAAAGAGCAGGGTGGGGATCAGTAGATGGAAAATTACTAAGAAGAAGCATAAGGGGTAAGGGGGACTCTGGCTAAACCAACCTAACAGGATTCTTGCGGAAGACTGGCTGGGGTGATCAGACATCACCTGGGGGATGGTGGAGGAGAAGGATGATCAAATTAGATATGGGGGTTCTTGCTGAACTGACTTAGCCAGGCTCTTTGCTAAAATGGGATTTCACAAAGAAGTGCACAGATGGGTTTAGGAGAAGGTTCGGAAGCCTAACTGAAGTTTGACCAAGGAAAGAATCTTATTCATATCTCAGACTCTGAAAACACAAAAGCTTATTCCTTTCATGGTGATGTGGTGGGTATGGGGTAGTTGGTAAGGTGTAGGGTGAGGAGCGTGTGGGGTAGTTGGTGAAGTATAGGGTGAAGGAATTGAGAAAGATGGAAAGAGGTGCACCTGGGAAAAGAAACTAAAAGTGATTCATTATAGAGTCAGGACTAAGGCCACGGAGATATTGCGCTCTGGTCTTCTCTCTGGTAAGCCATAGATTTGAACTGAGGGTAAAACCAAGGAAAGCTATTGAGATAAATGAGAATCACTCAACTCTTTTTTTTTTTCCTAACCCACTGAATTTGAGGGATTTAATTGGAGACAAAGGGCGTAGGTGTTGTATGTATCGTGATCATCCAACTGAGCTGCAAAAAAGTGGTGAAAGTAAATCCGATTAGTTGAGAAGGTAGGCTTTTTGTTACTATAACAAGTGATGTTTCAATAAAGTGTGAGAAGAAGCACTGCAGAAGAAGTATAATTATGGTTCAGTTTATTGAGTTGTTGTTTTCGCCTATCTGTGATAGAGTATGGAAAGATGAATAAAAAGTTTGCCATCAACAGCTGAAGTGCTTATTGCCAGGGTGAAATGTATTTTCTGTGGCACCTAAGTTAAGATATTCCCTGTATTTTCTCTCAGTCATACCATGAATGTGAGGACAGAGCAACACTGACCTCTGCCTAACCCTAGTACAGGTAACCCTTTTAGGGTGTTGGTTTATGATTATATCAACTAATTTTTGAGATGGTTTTTTTTTATTATCCTTCCTGGTGTAACTTAAGTACCCTCAATTGGTTTGTAAACACTTGTTGTTTCTATAGCCTGTTTCTTATTGCCAGTCATGGCATAAGTTTTTCCTTCTCTAGAGTTTTCATATCTTGGCTGCTTCTCAAAGTTTGAGGTAAGCAAATTTGGATGCAGTGCCTCCGATGAGGACTTGTCATTTTGATACACAATTATGCTCTATTTTCTTTTTATTTATTTATTTATTTTTAAATTTTTTTTATTTATTTTTTTCTTTTTTTTCTCTTTTTTTAATTATTATTATACTTTAAGTTTTAGGGTACATGTGCACAACGTGCAGGTTACTTACATATGTATACATGTGCCATGCTGGTGCGCTGCACCCACTAACTCGTCATCTAGCATTATGTATATCTCCTGGTGCTATCCCTGCCCCCTCCCCCCACCCCACAACAGTCCCCAGAGTGTGATGTTCCCCTTCCTGTGTCCATGTGTTCTCATTGTTCAATTCCCACCTATGAGTGAGAACATGCGGTGTTTGGTTTTTTGTTCTTGGAATAGTTTACTGAGAGTGATGATTTCCAATTTCATCCACGTTCCTACAAAGGACATGAACTCATCATTTTTTATGGCTGCATAGTATTCCATGGTGTATATGTGCCACATTTTCTTAATCCAGTCTATCATTGTTGGACATTTGGGTTGGTTCCAAGTCTTTGCTATTGTGAATAGTGCTGCCATAAACATATGTGTGCATGTGTCTTTATAGCAGCATGATTTATAGTCCTTTGGGTATATACCCAGTAATGGGATGGCTGGGTCAAATGGTATTTCTAGTTCTAGATCCCTGAGGAATCGCCACACTGACTTCCACAATGGTTGAACTAGTTTACAGTCCCACCAACAGTGTAAGAGTGTTCCTGTTTCTCCACATCCTCTCCAGCACCTGTTGTTTCCTGACTTTTTAATGACTGCCATTCTAACTGGTGTGAGATGATATCTCATTGTGGTTTTGATTTGCATTTCTCTGATGGCCAGTGATGGTGAGCATTTTTTCATGTGTTTTTTGGCTGCATAAATATCTTCTTTTGAGAAGTGTCTGTTCATGTCCTTCACCCACTTTTTGATAGGGTTGTTTTTTTCTTGTAAATTTGTTAGAGTTCATTGTAGATTCTGGATATTAGCCCTTTGTCAGATGAGTAGGTTGCGAAAATTTTCTCCCATTTTGTGGGTTGCCTGTTCACTCTGATGGTAGTTTCTTTTGCTGTGCAGAAGCTCTTTAGTTTAATTATATCCCATTTGTCAATTCTGGCTTTTGTTGCCATTGCTTTTGGTGTTCTAGACATGAAGTCCTTGCCCATGCCTATGTCCTGAATAGTATTGCCTAGGTTTTCTTCTAGGGTTTTTATGGTTTTAGGTCTAAAGTTTAAGTCTTTAATCCATCTGGAATTGATTTTTGTATAAGATGTAAGGAAGGGATCCAGTTTCAGCTTTCTACATATGGCTAGCCAGTTTTCCCAGCACCATTTATTAAATAGGGAATCCTTTCCCCATTGCTTGTTTTTCTCAGGTTTGTCAAAGATCAGATAGTTGTAGATATGTGGCATTATTTCTGAGGGCTCTGTTCTGTTCCATTGATCTATATCTCTGTTTTGGTACCAATACCATGCTGTTTTGGTTACTGTAGCCTTGTAGTATAGTTTGAAGTCAGATAGCGTGATGCCTCCAGCTTTGTTCTTTTGGCTTAGGATTGACTTGGCGATGCGGGCTCTTTTTTGGTTCCATATGAACTTTAAAGTAGTTTTTTCCAATTCTGTGAAGAAAGTCTTTGGTAGCTTGATGGGGATGGCATTGAATCTATAAATTACCTTGGGCAGTATGGCTATTTTCATGATATTGATTCTTCCTACCCATGAGCATGGAATGTTCTTCCATTTGTTTGTATCCTCTTTTATTTCATTGAGCAGTGGTTTGTAGTTCTCCTTGAAGAGGTCCTTCACGTCCCTTGTAAGGTGGATTCCTAGGTATTTTATTCTCTTTGAAGCAATTGTGAATGGGAGTTCACTGATGATTTGGCTCTCTGTTTGTCTGTTATTGGTGTATAAGAATGCTTGTGATTTTTGTACATTGATTTTGTATCCTGAGACTTTGGTGAAGTTGCTTATCAGCTTAAGGAGATTTTGGGCTGAGACAATGGGGTTTTCTAGATATCCAATTGTGTCGTCTGCAAACAGGGACAATTTGACTTCCTCTTTTCCTAATTGAATACCCTTTATTTCCTTCTCCTGCCTGATTGCCCCGGCCAGAACTTCCAACACTATGTTGAATAGGAGCGGTGAGAGAGGGCATCCCTGTCTTGTGCCAGTTTTCAAAGGGAATGCTTCCAGTTTTTGCCCATTCAGTATGATATTGGCTGTGGGTTTGTCATAGATAGCTGATATTATTTTGAGATAAGTCCCATCAATACCTAATTTATTGAGAGTTTTTAACATGAAGGGTTGTTGAATTTTGTCAAAGGCCTTTTCTGCATCTATTGAGATAATCATGTGGTTTTTGTCTTTGGTTCTGTTTATATGCTGGATTACATTTATTGATTTGCGTATATTGAACCAGCCTTGCATCCCAGGGATGAAGCCCACTTGATCATGGTGGATAAGCTTTTTGATATGCTGCTGGATTCGGTTTGCCAGTATTTTATTGAGGATTTTTGCATCAATGTTCATCAAGGATATTGGTATAAATTCTCTTTTTTTGTTGTGTCTCTGCCCAGCTTTGGTATCAGGATGATGCTGGCCTCATAAAATGAGTTAGGGAGGATTCCCTCTTTTTCTATTGATTGGAATAGTTTCAGAAGGAATGGTACCAGCTCCTCCTTGTACCTCTGGTAGAATTCAGCTGTGAATCCATCTGGTCCTGGACTCTTTTTGGTTGGTAAGCTATTGATTATTGCCACAATTTCAGCTCCTTATGCTCTGTTTTCTAAGCCTTTTAAAATAGCTGAATGTTTTAAATAAGTGAATGAGCTGTTGTTTGGACTTGCATTTCCCCCCAAAATGTGGAAGTACTGATTGAATCTTGGTGCAAAACATGGAGATCTTTTTTATGTACTGTGCTGAACAGAGTGCTTGTAAGAAATGTAGGCAGGTAAAAGGATTAGTTTTAATTATCTTCCAAGCTAGTGTGATCATGAAGTAGGGGCATCCCCCTCCCAATCAGGTGCTTTTCTGTGACAGTGGCCTTAAGACATTTGCCTGAAAGGTGTGTTAAAAGAGCAGTCATTTAAAGTTCTTTCCCTGGCATTCATGAGATATTTCTCATTACCTGGAGAGCACCCAGACAAGTTCATGCTGCTTTTTTACAATGAATTGCCAGATAACATTGTGTTCTTGCTGCTGAAAGATGTTCAAACAATTTGGACTCTGCTACTACACTTCAGTCTAGTCTGTTCAAGTAAAAAAATAAAAAAAAAACAAACTGAAAACAAATACCACCAATATGAAAGGAAGTACAAATCTATGTGTTGTGAAGAACTGAAATGAACTTATCTGTTTCCCAAAAATATCCCAGGTGTTTTTACTATTGAAGAATCAATATATATTGACTAGTATATTCTTCAGAGTTTAAAGTTTTCATCCTTTATTGTGAAACTCATATGAATGAAAATGCAGTGGCACTGATGATTTTTATTTTCTTGTTTTCTTCCATTTCTCATTTGAAGGAGGCTTCTATAGGTAACAAACAATTCTGGCATAACTGTATGTTCACATTTCTATTTAGAATTCTATTTCAGTTTAATATACTCAAATACTTTATAATTCAATATATCCCACTGCAGCTGTTTAATCACAGTTTTATATTTTAATAATTAAAGAATAATGAAGAAAGAGCACTGAATGTGTAAATGCCAAAATCTCAAATAACAACCAAAAGTTTGTGTTTTCTGTTCTACCCACACCGAGAACAGAAATTTTAATAATTTTTTAAGGTAAGCTTGAACTAGTATGGCATAAATAATAATTATTGTTATTACCACTTACTGCTTTATTTGTAAGTCAATACTCTAAGTATTTTACATTATAACTAATTTAGTCCTGACCACAACTGTATATTAGTCCCATTATTGGGATGAGAAAACAGGACCATATATGTAACTTAGGTCATTTGGCAAAGGTGGCCCAGTTTTTTAGGTGATTTGGCAAATGTGGCTGAGTAAGTGTTGGAGTGGGAATCAAACTCAGAAATCTGGCTCTCAAATTTGAGTGTTCAACTTCTAAATAGTGGAAAAAGCTGCAGCCTACCTTCTCCTGTCTGCTACCAAGCAATCCTGTGATCTTTTTGATGAATGTGCTTCAAGATTTGGGGCTTTAGTAAGTTCATCTATGTTGAGAACTTTTGATGTCATAAAACATACTCTTTAAGGTATTTTCTAGCTCTAAAAATCTAAATTCTATATAGTTTAAAATTAACCATGTATTTAGCCACCAAATGGAGACTGATAAATTTTGGGGTAGCCATACAATAGAATTCTATGCTGACATTAAAAAGAGTCAGGTAGAATCCTTTTCTGCTTTGATGAATATGTCCTAGCATATTCACAGGTTTGCTTGGTAGCACACAGGAGAAGATGGGCTACAGCTTTTCTGCTATTTGGAAGGGGAGCACTGAAACTCTGCAGCCAGATTTCTGGGCTTGATTCCCACTCCATCACTTATTAGCTGAGTCACCTTTGCCAAATCACCTATTCTTTGGGTCTGTTTTCTCATCCTAAAATGGGACTAATACATAGTTGTCAGGAAAATAATGAGCTAGTTGTATAACTGTATGCATACTATGATTCCATTTTTGTACTAAAAGAAAAGAGAAAGATGTATATATATATTAGTATATGCATAGAAAAGTTGAAGGATTGAGCACTGATCATCTCTAGGAGGGTTGAATATGAAGGGACATTTCTTTTTTCCTTTACACATTTCTGATTGATCAACTTATTCATTACAGGTATTACTTTAGACATGAGAAAAAATAGAGAAAAATTAAGTGTGTGTCCTCATATGTGCTTATAAGTGGACTAGAGATAAAAGAAAAAAGGTCTCCTGAAATCAGAGGTTGGGCCAACTGTCAGATTAGTGGAAGGAGCAAATTATTTCCTTCTCTAGTTTGTGAAATGACTGTGGGGCCTTCAGTTGTTGTAGTAGCTATTTAAACCATCACCATGTTTTGTAACCTTTTAAAATTCTCCTGAGCTTTTTGCATGTTTCTTAATGAATAAAGGATAAATACAGTAAAGTCTGGGTTGATTTTTTTCTGTATTTTCATTGATGATGTCTGAATATAGGATCTATCTTGAGCCTTGCTGCCCAGGTATATATTGACCACAGGTGGCTTAATTTGGCTTGTACATAGTGAAGTACATAGTACATTAGCAACATTAACTAAGTATTTTGAGAGTACAGAATGTAGTGTAAGCCTTAAGTGGGGAGAAGTAGTTATGGACCTTGGGCCTTGAGAAATAAGAATGATATTGCCTGTTGGACAAAAGGAATGTAGATTTACTTTCTGAGTAAATAAACATCCTGAATGTCTCGAGATATCTCCTTGTGACTTCCATCTACTAGTAGAGGAGGACTGAGACACCCTACTCTTTGTGGCATACCTCACTACGCAGGCCTTTGGGATTTGAAGGAGCATGACTAGAAGTCCTCTTGGGAAGTTGGTAAAGCTAAAGGTAAAATTCTCCCTTGGTACAAGTTAGATCAAACATGGTTCATTTTGTGCCTGTGCTGTATCAGGTATCTGAAGTAGATTCTTTCCAAGCTTAACCTTTCAGACAGTTTTTAATCTATAAATATTAGTGTTTAAAAGTCAAAACCCTGTGAGGTCATTCTACCATTTCTGTTACCTCCCTCCTCTCCTCACGTTACCACAAAGCTATATGTTTCTTTTTTTGCCAGGTCTAAGATTTTTATTAGGGTGAGATTAGATTTTTCATATTAGGTGGCTGGAAAGTACAGCCAGCTGAAAACTATCAGCCATTTAGACTACATGCTTCATTTGAATTGTGTTTCTGGATGCAAGTCAAGTGTGACAACTGAGTTTCATAACTTTCTCTAGCTTGATTCAAAAATGTTTTAGGGCCAAAATACTTCTGAGGTCTTTTCTATCCTTTCTTGGTGAGGCCGTATGGAGGTTATTGGGGTTAAGACTATGTTGTGGGTCTCATAAAAATGATGGAGAGGTGAGGAGCCTTGCATATTAGGCTTGAATCATCTTTTATCCTTGCCTATGTTCTTCCAGGAATGACTTATCTCGTCTTGTTCAAAATGAACATCGCAGTGGGTCCATGCCTCTGATAATAATTGATGTCATGTATTTTGTTGGCTTTAAAAATGCTTAAGTTCTTTGATTGAAGTTATAGCTTTTAGACAATATAGAGCTAAATTATGAAGGGGAAACATGTTTTCAAAGAAGACTGGGTGGATAAGAAGGAACTAAAGAAAGTAATAGTCGGAATAATTCCAATGCATGGCGATTAGGATTTTAGTGTTCACTACCATAGTCTCCCAGGGGACACCCACATCCAACAGAACTTGTATGTTTTTATTTACAGTTATTAAATAACTGTATTTAATATCATCCATGCCCCCAATTATTTAATATCATCCTAGCCCCCAATTATTCAGTTTTTTAAAAAAATTCAACCAAGCTTTTTAAGGGAAAGCATTAATTTTATAAACCTAGATCTGAGCAATTTATAACAGAGCCATGTGAGCTATTTCAGGAAATCAACAAATATTTATTGAGCACCTATGATGTGCTAGGCAGAGTACATAAGTCGAAGTAGTTACAGTTCTGGAAAAAAAAAAAAAAATGAAGGCTTTATTGTAAAACAATAGGAATAGATTAGAGCACAGGTCCCCAAGCTTTTTGATGCCAGGGACCAGTTTTGTGGAAGACAGTTTTTCTATCGACTGGGGTGGAGGGGATGGATTCAGGGTGATGCTGTTCCACCTCACATCATCAGGCATTAGATTCTCATAAGCAACCTAGATCCTTCACATGTGCAGTTCACAGTAGGGTTCCCGCTTCTATGAGAATCTAATGCTGTAGCTGATCTGATAGGAAGCAGAGCTCAAGCCACAATGCTCCCTTGCTCACCTGCTGCTTACCTCCTGCTGTGAGGCCTGGTTCCGAACAGGCCATGGACCAGTACCGGTTCACTGCCTGGGGGTTGAGGACCCCTGGATTAGAGTATTACAGAAATATTTAAGAGGTGAAATCAATACAAGTAAGAGACTTGTATCAATTTTGGACATTGTGAGAGACACAGGATTGAGGATAAGCTTTGGATGATGGATTGGATGATGCTGCAATTTACTGAAATAGGAAATATAGAAAGAAGGAACAAGTTTCTTTTGTGGGTGGTAGGATTGATACTGAAATTGGATTTTTATTAGTTTGAGAGTACTTAAGGGAGATCTAGATAGAGATGTTTAACAGGAAGTTTAAAAACTCTAGTTTGGCTCTCCAGAGCAGGACGTTGAAGCAGATATGGGATTCAGAAGCCATCAAAATAGTAGAAGCCATGGGAATGGAAGGAATGTCCTACGTGAAACATGTCAAATGAAAAGTGTCACTGGACCTACATACATACTCTTGATTTCTGTCTTCACCACCCCAGTAAGATGGTGCTTGTGAAGATCACCAATATCCTCCATATTTCCAGATACAATGGTTATCTGTGTGTTCTGATCTAACTACTCAGAAGCATTCATCTTAGTTGCTTACCTCCTCCCTCTTGAAACACTTAAGTTTTCTTACTTTCATGACACTTACGTTTTCTGTTTTTTCTCTCAACAGACTGACTGGTTTCTCCTCTTGTGTCTTCTTGTAAAGATTAGAAAACTTTAAAACTCTGTCTAGACCCGCCCCCCACCCCAACTCTTTGTCATTAGCATGACCTTAGTGTTATAATTCTAGAGGAAGACAAAACACAGGAGGAGTCACATAAAAGTATAAGATTTGCCAAATTTAATAGGATGTGATTTAAAAGGATGCATGTTCCTTCCATTCAAGAAAAATGCGGCTAGAATATAGAATTCCATCAACCTCTGTCCAATGATAAAAGGTTAGGAAATAATTCAATAAAACAATTGTAAAAAATCTTGCCGTCATGGGACTTATGTTCTAGTGAGGGGAGACTGGCAATAAACAAATAAATAGTAAATTACTGAGTAAGTAAGAAGACAGTAAGTTCTGTGGGAAAACATGTAAGGTAGTTAGAACATGTTGTGGTGGGAAAGGTTGCAATTTTTTTGGCTTTTTTTTTTTTACTTATACTTTAAGTTTTAGGGTACATGTGCAGTTTTTAAGAGTAATCAGGGCAGGTCTTACTGAAAGGTGATATGTGAGCAAAGACCCAAACAACATAAAGGAGTGACTATGAACCATATGTATATCTAGGGCAAGAGATTTCTAAGCAGAGGGAATGGCAAGTGCAAAGGTCCTGAAGTTGGATGTTACCAAGCGTGGGCCAGGAACTGCAAGAAGGCCAGGTTGCTTGGAGTAACTGACTGAGTGAAGAAATAGTAGTAGATGTTGTCATAGAAATAATTAGGAGTGGGGGAGGAAGGAGGAAGGAGGCAGATTTTATAGGACCTTTTAGTCTGCTATAAGGGCTTTAATTTTTAGCCTGAGTGAGATGGGAGCCTTTGGAGTATTTTGAGTGGAAAAGAGACTTGATCTGACATATGTTAACAGGATCACTCTGGCTACTGTGCTGTAAATAGACTATACGGAGGTTTGAGTGAAAGCAGGGAGCCAGTGTGAGGCTTTTGGAATAATCAAAGCAAGAGATTGGGGTGGTAAGGGTAGAGGTGGTGAGAAGTAGTTGGAGTCTGTATATATATTGAAGCTATTGCTGACAGAATTTTCTGATTGATTGGATGTGTGGTTTGAGAGAAAAAGGGGTGCCAAGGATTATTCTAGAGTTTTTGGCCTGAGCAACTGAAAAAATGGAGCTGTTGTTAACTAAGGAGGAAAGTTTCAGGAGGAATAGGTTTGGGATGAGTTATAAATTGTGGGATTTTTTTTCAAAATTTTTTTTTATTTTTGTAAAATACATATAAAATTCACCATCTTAACTATTTTTAAGTATGCAGCTCAGTGGTATTAAATGCATTTATAATGTTATATCCCCACCATCACCAGCATACATCTTCATAACTCTTATTCATCTTGTAACACTGAAATTCTATACCCATTGAACAATAACTGCCTGTATCCCCCTCCTTATTTCCTGGTAACTACCATTCTACATTTGGTCTTTATGACTTTGACTAATTCTATCTTATATAAGTAGAGTCAAACTGTGTTTGTCTTTTTTACGGCTGGCTGGCTTATTTAACTTAGTCTTATGTCCTCAGGGTTGAAACATGCTGTAACATATGTCACAACTTCCTTCCTTTTTATAGCTAAATAGTAATCGATTATATGTATATATCACATTTTGCTTATCCATTCATTTGTTGATGGACATATGGGGTACTTCTATGCTTTAGCTGTTATGAGTGATGTTGCTATGAACATGAGTGTACAAACAACTCTTCCAGATCCTGCTTTCAGTTCTTTTGAGTATATATCCAGACATGGCATTATTGGATCAGATGATAATTCTATTTTTAATTTTTTGAGGTACTGCCATATTGTTTTTCACAGTGGCTATATCATTTTACATTCTTCCCAACAGTGTACAAGGGTTCTAATTTCTCCATATCCTTGCCAACACTTGTTATTTTCCATTATTCTGATAGTAGCTGTTATGGTTTGAATGTGCATGTCCTCCCCAAAATTCATATGATGGAACCTAAGACCCAATGTGATGGTATTAAAAGGTGAGGCCTTCAGGAGGTTATTAAGTCTGGGGGCTATGGCCTTATGAATGGGATTAATACCTTTATCCAATGCTTCCAGGAAACTAGCTAGGCCCTTTTCATCCTTCTGTCTTCTGCCATGTGAAGATGTAGCAGAAGGCCCTCACCAGACACAAAATGCCAGTGCTTTGATCCTGGACTTTCCAGCCTCCAGAACTGTGAGAAAATGAACTTCTGTTCTTTGTAAATTACGTATTTTGTTGGAGCAACAGGAACAGTCTAAGACAGTGGCCATCCTAATGATATCTCACTGTAATTTTTTTTTTTTTTTTGAGACAACGTCTCATTCTATCACCTAGGCTGGAGTGCAGTGGGGTGATCTTGGCTCACTGCAACCTCCACCTCCTGGGTTCAAGCAATTCTTCTGCCTCAGCCTCCTGAGTAGCTGAGATTACAGGTGTATACCACCACACCTGGCTAATTTTTTTGTATCTTTAGTAGAAACGGGGTTTCACCGTGTTGGCCAGGCTGGTCTCGAACTCCTGACCTCAAGTGATCCACCTGCCTTGACTCCCAAAGTGCTGGAATTACAGGCGTGAGCCACCACACCTAGCCCTCACTGTAGTTTTGATTTGTATTTTCCTGATGATTAGTGATATTGAGCATCTTTTCATGTACTTAATTAGCCTTTTGTATATCTTCTTTGGAGGAATGTCTTTTCAAATTCTTTGTCCATTTTTGAACAGTTTTTTTATTGTTCAGTTTTAGGAGTTGTCTACATATTCCAGACATTGATCTCTTATTAGAGATATGATTTAAAAATATTTTTTCCCATTCTATGGACTAACTTTTTACACTATTGACATTTTCTTTTGTTGTACCAAATGTTTTAGTTTTGATAAAGTTCAATTTGCCTATTGTTTCTTTTTTCATCTGTGTCTGTGGTATCATGTCCAACAAATTATTGCCAAATTCAATGTCATGAAGCATTTGCCCTGTGTTTTTTTCTAAGAAAAAACTTTCTATGTTTCTATGTTTTTTATACTTTTAGGTCTTACATTTAAAGCTTTTATTCATTTGGAGTTAACTTTTGTATATGGCATTAGGTAAGGGTACAACTTTATTCTTTTGTGTGTGCATATCCAGTTTTCCTAGCACCATCTGTTGAAAAGACTGTTCTTTCCCACTGAATGATCTTTTCACCCTTGCCCAAAATCATTTGACCACATATGCAAAGGTTTATTTTGGGGATCTCTATTCTATTTCATTGGTCTATATGTCTGTGTTTATGCTAATAACATGTTCTTTTGATTACCGGACGTTTGTTTTGAAATCTGTATGTGTAAGTCTGGAGCTCCAGCTTTGTTCTTTGTTTTCAAGATTGTTTTGTCATTTGTGATTCTATATGAATTTTAGGATGGGCTTTTTTATTTCCATAAAAAAATTATTTAGATTTTGATAGGATTGCATTGAATCCATTTGGGTAGTGTTGACAGATTAACATTATTGTCTTTTGTCCATGAACATGGGATGTGTTTCCATTTATTTGTATCTTCTTTAATTTCTTTCAGCAATGTTTTGTGGCTTTTATTGTACAAGCTTTTCACCTCCTTGGTTAAGTTAGTTCTTAAGTGTCTTATTCTTTTACGTGCTATTATAAATGGAATTATTTTCATAATTTCCTTTTCAGGTTGTTAATTATTAGTGTACAGACATGCAACTGATTTTTGCACATTGACTTTGCCAGTGACATGAACCTGTATGTAGAAAACCCTAAAGATTGCACAAAAAAAATGGTTAGCTTGAGACGTAAACCTTAGGCAAAGAGAAGTTTGTGATTTGTAAGAAATTTAAAATTAATAGGATTAAAAAGAGAGCTGTGGGCCTTGTTATGTATTTGCTTTGGAAGCCCTCTAAGAAAATTTCAGGTCAATTTTTTATTCTCTGCCCTACTGGAATGCCCCCAGATTATGTGACAATGAGGTCTTATTTTAATATGTGCAGAATTTGTTAAGACTGACATTCTTTGTTTCAGATTTTTACATATCAGAGAATTCTTGCATTTTTCTGGTGATGTCTTATTCCTCTTGTGTGGGTCCCAAGTGAGCCCTGATCCTCTCAGATACATTTTATATACTCTGTTGGTGATGAATATTTTATCTCTGGCAAATACTGTCCATGTCTAATTCCCTTGAGGACCTTGGTATCCAATATTATTGTAATTATAAAATCAATGTTAACACTAAAGTCAAAGAGTCATGAGCATGCCCTTTCTTGCTTGTGAAGAGCCATGGGGAGATAAGCAGTCTGTTCAGGATGGAGTCATAATTCCTTGTATAGAATATCATAAATTATTTCCACAGATTCACCAAGCAAATGAGGCCTAATGTCCTTTTCTATAAAATACATGCCTTTACCTAATCCTTTCCCTCCCACTCCCATTCCCCCACTGCTTTTTCTTAACATGATAGTTTACTGTGAGCCTTCAGGTTTTTTTCCTTTTGGGAAAGCTGAGTTTGTTAGCCAAGGACCTTTATTTATTTATTGCTAACCATAAATATGATTGCTCCATTTTTTGTTGCATGTTCCAGATGAGTAGTTTTTTTTATTCTTGTTGTAACAGTTGCTTCACAATTATGGTGTGATATGCAAATTGGAAAAGGGAGACTTGAGGGATTGTACCTTACTTAGACAAACATGTCAAAAACCAGAATGTTTTTATTTAAAAAAGAAAGAAAGAAAAGAATGGCTAGTCACACATCCTTAAGGAGTTTCTGTCTATCTACACTGCTAGTGACAAACAATAGCCCAGACTGTCCCATGGAGTTTTTGTGTTTAACAAAAGCTAGGTGCTACACATGGCTTCAAGTATGTCCTGTCCCATTTTCTCCCCATAAGACATTGAAGGTGAAAGGAAAGCAAAAATATGCAAGTATGAACATAAGAACTGCCAGGCATTTGCTTCCTCTACATTCACAGCCAGCCTCATCTTCTTACATGTAATAATGTATCAGTAGGAAAATAGAAAGGGAGAAGGGAATACATGTAGAATAGGAGAGCTGAGTATTAAATAACAAGTGGGACACTAAGAGGGCAAAACATGTTTGCTCAGGAAAATTCACTCCAGGGTTTCTACCAGCCCTCATCCTGTCACCTGCCTTGGTTCAGACTGACTCTTAGCCATTCCCAAGACTCTGGCACATTCAGTCAGAATCAGTCTGTGGAATTGGAAGATGAATAAATATGTTCTGTTTTATGTCCTTCAATTGTAGTACTAGATAAGTTCTGCTGTCTGTTGGGCCAGTGGACCAAATGTATAGTTGATACTGGTTTTGGCTGCCCTGCTTAGGAGAAAATCCCACAAGAACTTGGAGACAGGGTTCCCTCCTTCCATTGCTGATGGTAGGGGGCAGCAATTTTTTCCTCAACAACCTGGTAGCCAGGGCCCCAGCATGAGAGCCAGCAAGGTTTGGCTGGTTAGATTCTCCAGCTCAGTGGCACAATGCCCGGGGTTGGAGCCTTCTGATGTCATTCTCGTGGCTGCAGTGGAGTTTGGTGCAGGGTGGCAAGCAGTTAGCATAAGTGGCAACTCCTAAACTTATAATAGTGTTACCTTGGGCTGCCTTAGTTCTTGCTGTTCTTTAGCCTTCTCATCAATTCTGTGAATTATCAGTATCCTTCCAATGAATTGCTTTTCTGTTATTTGCAATCTGAACCCTGTTTTGTACAAAAGGAAAATGAGGACATCCCTTTTTAAGAAACACTTGGGATGTTCAAGAATCTTATTTTCCTGGTAGTTTAAGAACTCCTTTGATAGAGTGAGTGCTTTGTTTGACAAAAAAAAAAAAAAAAAGTCGATGCTACTGAGACTTTATTCTAGTAAAGCTCTAGTTAAATGTATAAGGCCCATGGAGCCTCTCTAATATCTTCATGAATCTGTATATGGTACTTGTATAATCTATGTAATTTGGGCTATAAATTCAAGAAACATAATTTAAGGCATTTGTGCCTGTACTAATTTCAGGGAATAATATAAAGCAAATACTAAAAGGATTAGTAATATAAATTAAGTCCACATGCTACATTTAATCTTGAAGGAAAATTTTTTTTGGTATTTAATTTTCAATAAGTGATTTGTGGGTGCTGAAAGAGATCAGCTGACATCTGATAGGTGACCCCACATAGATCTGCCTTTATCTGTGTGTTCAGCTTTTGCTCGTGAAGTTTGACAGTAGTCAGAAAGTGCCTCTTTAATAAAGCACACCTTTAAATAACTCTCACAGATTCATTCCAGCTTTTAAAGTGAGAAGATGGCTTGAACTCCCACTGCTGCCAGCTCAGCTGTGGATCTGAAATATCCAGCTGTGCCCTCTCTGCCTCTCTCATCACCAATAACAGACTTTGCAGTCAGAATCTGTCTGGCACGTGTGTTGATGTGTGAGGCGAGATAGCATTTTGCTCACCGTATTGGCTTCTCCGCGCTAGACCATAGTAAACATTTGTCTTTGTCAGCAGTTAAAGCAGTGTGATTTGAGGATGTACAGGGATTACGGACACTTCTGCTCTGTTATGCTTTTGTCTAGGTCTACATAGAAATTTATATTCAAAAAGAGTCGATTTAACTGTTAGAATAGACCAGTAATTCTTGAAAGTGTGTTTTTAGGGGTTTTCTTCACCTTTAGGGGAAGAAAATAATCCAACGATTGTCCCACTATATGTCATACTACGAGCTTTTAATTGTTGTTATTATTGCAAACCAAATGGACTGCCTCTGTGTCATTAGCCACCATTGGGATTTGGCATATCATATCAGATCTTTGACCAAATTGGTGTTAAAATAAGCCTAAACCCTGAATTATCTTTAATTATCTACTATGAGAAGAATCCTGATGTGTGGTCATAAAAATAAGTTTTCTTTGGGAAAACACTATTGTAACTGAAAAATCTAATATTAGCACTCATGATGATAATAACACCTATTGATTATTGAGTACTGTGCTGAGCATTTTGTATATAGTACCTTATTTGCTACTCCCAGCAATCCTGTGAGATGATCCCTATTTTCTAGATTAGCTATCAGTGAAGTAACTTGTCCTGATTGCCATAGGGTTTGATTTCAGGCTTGTCTAACCATGCTTTTAATCATAGCCACGCACATCACTGGGGAGCACATCTGGCCATGTGGCTTGGTCAGACACTCATGTTCCAAAGTTGAATTAAAAGTAGTGCCTGCATTCAAGTGCTCTAAGTCCAGTGGGGGAAGATGGATGGCAAATCAACTGTACTTGACAGAATGATGAGTGTTATGACAGTGAAATAGAAAAGATACTCAGGGAGTTTGGAGAAGGTCATCTAAATCAGAGTGAGGGTCACAGAAGTTGTCTTGAAAGAAATGATCATTGAGCTGAATTTTGAAGGGTAACTAAGAGCCAGCCAGAGGAAAATAGTGAGGAAGGATGTGTAGGCAGAGGGTCAGCCCCTTTACTGACATGGAGCCGGAAAGAGAATGGATCAGAAACTGCATGGAGGTGCATAGGATTGCCTTGAGGGCCATGTATTTGGTGGGAAAAATAATAATTAATATTATTATCAATTAAGTTTTGTGTGTCAAACCATGTTTTAGCTGTTATAGACGTTATTTCCTGTGGTCCCCATAACAACTATTGGATGCCAGAAATGAAGGCAAAGGTCAGATCATAAAGCTCCTTGTCTGCCCAGATAAGGAGTCTGTACTTTATCCTGACAGCTGTGGGTAGCTATAGAAAGATTTTAAATCACGGGAAAAACATGGTATTCTGGAGACTGAATTGGAGTAGGATAAGACCTGAACTAATGACACCAGTTAGGAGAAAAGATAGTGTGGTTATCCAAAGGACTGTGGTGATGTCCTGAACAAAGAAAGGCACTGGGATCCAGGAGGAACAGGGAAATAGTAGAGGCAAAGTTGGACAGATTCATAGGAATTGGTGACTAGTAGAATATATGGGACTGAGCTCCATCTTTATGGAGCCTAAAAGATTGTTAAGTGAAGAATAGAATAGGATTTCCACTTTTAGGGACTACAAGAAAAACAATTTTGGTTTGTTTTCCTTTTTTTTTTTTTTTTTTTGTTATAAGCCTTTCTAGCTTCAGTTCCAAAAGCACAGTGAATGGAAAGAATCTACTTTATTGAGATCTTTCCTCCTAGGGATTTTTGTGGTGATATTTAAATCCATTTGAAGGTCTACTTGTGGAACCTAGTCTCTCTCTCTCTCTTTTTTTTTTTTTTTTTTTTTTTTTTTTTTTAAAGACAGTGTTACTGTTGCCTAGGCTGGAGTGCAGTGGCACAGTCATAGCTCACTGCAGCCTTGAACTCCTGGGCTCAAGCAATCCTCCTGCCTCACCCTCCCCAGGACCTGGGACTACAGGCGCACACCATCACACCTGGCTAATTTTTAAATTTTTCTTTTTTTTTTTTTTTTTTGATTTTTTTTTTATTATACTTTAAGTTTTAGGGTACATGTGCACATTGTGCAGGTTAGTTACATATGTATACATGTGCCATGCTGGTGTGCTGCACCCATTAATTCGTCATTTAGCATTAGGTATATCTCCCAATGCTATCCCTCCCCCCTCCCCCCACCCCACCACAGTCCCCAGAGTGTGATATTCCCCTTCCTGTGTCCATGTGATCTCATTGTTAATTCCCACCTATGAGTGAGAATATGCGGTGTTTGGTTTTTTGTTCTTGCGATAGTTTACTGAGAATGATGGTTTCCAATTTCATCCATGTCCCTACAAAGGACATGAACTCATCATTTTTTATGGCTGCATAGTATTCCATGGTGTATATGTGCCATATTTTCTTAATCCAGTCTATCATTGTTGGACATTTGGGTTGGTTCCAAGTCTTTGCTATTGTGAATAATGCCGCAATAAACATACGTGTGCATGTGTTTTTATAGCAGCATGATTTATAGTCATTTGGGTATATACCCAGTAATGGGATGGCTGGGTCAAATGGTATTTCTAGTTCTAGATCCCTGAGGTATCGCCACACTGACTTCCACAATGGTTGAACTAGTTTACAGTCCCACCAACAGTGTAAGAGTGTTCCTATTTCTCCACAAAAACGAGAATTTTAGACCAATATCCTTGATGAACATTGATGCAAAAATCCTCAATAAAATACTGGCAAACCGAATCCAGCAGCACATCAAAAAGCTTATCCACCATGATCAAGTGGGCTTCATCCCTGGGATGCAAGGCTGGTTCAATATACGCAAATCAATAAATGTAATCCAGCATATAAACAGAGCCAAAGACAAAAACCACATGATTATCTCAATAGATGCAGAAAAAGCCTTTGACAAAATTCAACAACCCTTCATGCTAAAGACTCTCAATAAATTAGGTATTGATGGGACGTATTTCAAAATAATAAGAGCTATCTATGACAAACCCACAGCCAATATCATACTGAATGGGCAAAAACTGGAAGCATTCCCTTTGAAAACTGGCACAAGACAGGGATACCCTCTCTCACCGCTCCTATTCAACATAGTGTTGGAAGTTCTGGCTGGGGCAATAAGGCAGGAGAAGGAAATAACGGGTATTCAATTAGGAAAAGAGGAAGTCAAATTGTCCCTGTTTGCAGACGACAGGATTGTTTATCTAGAAAACCCCATCGTCTCAGCCCAAAATCTCCTTAAGCTGATAAGCAACTTCACCAAAGTCTCAGGATACAAAATCAATGTACAAAAATCACAAGCATTCTTATACACCAATAACAGACAAACAGAGAGCCAAATCATGAGTGAACTCCCATTCACAATTGCTTCAAAGAGAATAAAATACCTAGGAATCCACCTTACAAGGGACGTGAAGGACCTCTTCAAGGAGAACTACAAACCACTGCTCAAGGAAATAAAAGAAGATACAAACAAATGGAAGAACATTCCATGCTCATGGGTAGGAAGAATCAATATCATGAAAATAGCCATACTGCCCAAGGTAATTTATAGATTCAATGCCATCCCCATCAAGCTACCAAAGACTTTCTTCACAGAATTGGAAAAAACTACTTTAAAGTTCATATGGAACCAAAAAAGAGCCCGCATCGCCAAGTCAATCCTAAGCCAAAAGAACAAAGCTGGAGGCATCACACTACCTGACTTCAAACTATACTACAAGGCTACAGTAACCAAAACAGCATGGTACTGGTACCAAAACAGAGATATAGATCAATGGAACAGAACAAAGCCCTCAGAAATAACGCCGCATACCTACAACTATCTGATCTTTGACAAACCTGAGAAAAACAGGCAATGGGGAAAGGATTCCCTATTTAATAAATGGTGCTGGGAAAACTGGCTAGCCATATGTAGAAAGCTGAAACTGGATCCCTTCCTTACACCTTATACAAAAATCAATTCAAGATGGATTAAAGATTTAAACGTTAGACCTAAAACCATAAAAACCCTAGAAGAAAACCTAGGCATTACCATTCAGGACATAGGCGTGGGCAAGGACTTCATGTCCAAAACACCAAAAGCAATGGCAACAAAAGCCAAAATTGACAAATGGGATCTAATTAAACTAAAGAGCTTCTGCACAGCAAAAGAAACTACCATCAGAGTGAACAGGCAACCTACAACATGGGAGAAAATTTTCGCAACCTACTCATCTGACAAAGGGCTAATATCCAGAATCTACAATGAACTCAAACAAATTTACAAGAAAAAACAAACAACCCCATCAAAAAGTGGGCGAAGGACATGAACAGACACTTCTCAAAAGAAGACATTTATGCAGCCAAAAAATACATGAAAAAATGCTCATCATCACTGGCCATCAGAGAAATGCAAATCAAAACCACTATGAGATATCATCTCACACCAGTTAGAATGGCAATCATTAAAAAGTCAGGAAACAACAGGTGCTGGAGAGGATGTGGAGAAATAAATTTTTCTTTTGAAGAGATGGGGTCTCGCTATGTTCATCAGGATGGTTTCAAACTCCTAGCCTCAAGTGATCCTCCTCCGTTGACCTCCTAAAGTGCTGGGATTACCAGCATGAGCGACTGTGCCCGACCACCTAGCTCCTTTTAAATGTTTTCATGTCCTGACCCTTCTTAAGTCTTTAAAATATAGAAAATGCCCTTGGTAAGGAATGTTAAAAGTGTTTGTGTATTTTTATGGCCTACTTCCTGTTTAGAAATGTTCTGTTCAGGTAATCAGCAAAAAAAGAGATTTGCTGTAAAATGCATTAGTTTCTCATTCACTTTCCTTTAAATTGTATTACTTTGCTCTTTAGGAAAAAAATAGTACATGGTCTGAAACTGACCTAGATGAGGCCCTGATTTGGAGATGTTTATGAATATGGCATATAAAGGTTAGGTCTCGTTACAGACATTTATGCCTGGGTATTTTATTGCTGGTTTTATTGCATAATTCTGTTTTTATAAAAATTGATTTTTTCCCTTCAAGCCATTACAATGTAAGAATTAGATTTTTTTAAAAGAAACATTTATTTTTTTACTTAGTTTTCTTTCCTAGTAAAAGAAAAAAATCCTATTCCTCTGATCTATTTCCAATGTGAGAAGATGTGAAATTATGCATAGCTGGGAATTATATGAGAATCTTGAATTCATTTCTTTAAATCTAATCATCAGATACATGCCCTAACTTTTAAAATCTCACTTTTGGTTCATCTTGAATTCCACATACCGAGACTCTTGAAAGCCACTGATCGGGGATGACTGATGCAGACTGGGAGCCACGTGGGCCCCGGGTCTGGTTCAGCGCAGCAGCACTCTCTTCCATTCAAAGTCTCAGATGTCTGCCCCTCTGCAAAGCCGTGAGGCCAATGTCTATAGCTGCTAAGCATGAAATCCCCTGCTTCTGTTTGTTTCTTTTGTTGCCACGAGTTAATAGGGACAGAGACAGGAGACAGCCCAGAACAAAGCAGAAATAATGGAGTATTTCACCCCAAAAAGGAATGTGGATTGAGAAATACAAAGGGTAAGGCAAAGACAGATTTAGTGTCCTGAGGCAGTGTGATGTATTGGCCAGAAGCCTCAGCCCTGGGACAATTCCAGTCCAAAGCCTTCATCTGTGTGCTCCCAGCAGCCCACATGGCTGAAAGGTTTGACCCACCTTCTATAAAAACAATTTGTTGTTTTTTTCCCACTAGGGTCTTAAAGGATGACAGGATTTCCACCTCAAAACATAGGTTGCTCTTGGAACGTGGAGAAGTCTTCAGCTGGGCTGTGTCTGGCAGCCAGGGGCCTCTTCACAGCACTCCTTTGCCCTGTTTGTTATTTTTCTTGCTATAGATGCCATTTTGAACTTGTTTGCAAGAACCACTAGTCACCCTAAGACATCGAAGCATATTTGATTTTTGTTTCTCTTCTTACAACTAGAAAGATAGGATTAGCTAAGAGATCGCATGCTCATTATAGACCTTCTCCTTCACATGCCTTTCTGCACAACCCAGTTTATTCATATATTTCCTCCTATACTCTCCTCCAACATATTTTATTTAGTATTTGCTTATTTATTTTACTTTATTGAGATATAATTTACATACACATATATTTTAAGGTATAATTTATATATACATATAATTTGAGGCTGTTTCAAAAGAGATTTTTTTCCTTACTGCTGTGCTTAGGGTTGGAAATCTCTGCAGCTCACATGGGCTTCTCTTTTTTTTTTTTTTTTTTTCTCGAGACAGTCTCGCTGTGTCACCCAGGCTGGAGAGCAGTGGCGCGATCTCAGCTCACTGCAACCTCAGTCCCCCAGGTTTAAGCGATTCTCCTGCCTCGGCCTCCTGAGTAGCTGGGACTACGGGCACACACCACTACACCTGGCTAATTTTTGTATTTTTAGTAGAGACGGGGTCTCACCACGTTGGCCAGGCTGGTCTCGAACTCCTGACCTCAAATGATCCCCCTACCTCGGCCTCCCAAAGTGCAGGGATTACAGGTGTGAGTCACTGCACCTGGCTGGCTTCTCTTAATACATAAGTTTTATCCTTTCCAGAGGACAAAAAAGGGTTAAATGAAAGAAGCAAACAGTGTGAAAGAGAGAAGCCAGCAGCACTTTGGTATCCCCTTTTCTTCCATCCCAGTCAATCTCCTCTCCTCCTCCTCCCCTGCTCTCTAATTCAGCAGGGCAAGAATCTTAAGGATGCTATTTCTCACCCAACTTCTCTAACTCCAAGAGAGCTGCAGGTCCCTTTTGCCTGGAATGAGAGATACTTTGGCCATAAACCTGCTGGTACAAGTAAAGAAGCAATACAAAGACTTGTATCTTCGCCTTCCTTTGCCCGGTGTTTTTCTCTTCAGTTACAAAGGCAAACTTACTTAAAGCACTCTTTCACCTCCTCAAAAGAACAGAACACCCCACTTCTGATGCTCTGATCCCTGACTTGAGGGCATGAACTAGGGCTCTGGAGTGGAATAACCCTGGCTCGAACCCCAGCTCTGCCACTTAATAGCTCTCGGGTACATTTTCTTATCTCTTTGTTGCCCTCTATCAACACAGAATGGATCTAAAGTTTCCTTTGAATGACACGCCCTCAGAAATTAGAGGCTTATCATTGCAGAAGTTTGGAAAACAGCTCAGGAGCCAGACTGCCAGGGTTTGAATCCTGTTCCACGTAGGCAAGTTACTTAACTTCTTTGAGCCTCAGTTTCCTCCTCTTTAAATTGAAATCATATGGTACTTTTCTAGGGAATAGATGAATTAATACCCATAAGTCACTTATATCTGCTGTTCAATACAGTTTTATTTTTAATTTACTAGGACACCCGCCCCTCCCAATGTCTCCTACAGAGCTCAAGCAGCTCTGACAAATCCCGTAACACATTTTGTAATGTGTTGTATTTTGTACTGGGTTTACATTTTCAAAAGACAGAGCCATAACTGACTGTTACAGACCTGGAAAATATTTTGTTCTAAATCAAGTCATTTTACATATTTAAGCACTTCTTAATGTTTTACTCATTGAGCAACGCTTAGTGTTAGAAAACACTTCTAGAAATTGACTTCTTTTTAGAAGCTTCTTTTTTTCTTCATTATGAGAGTTGGAGAAGGGTCAGAATGAATAGCTGCCTCTTTTTGGTTTGGAAGCCAACTATGTAAGAAATATATCCACTTAAAGTTATGGGTGACTTTTCTCTTCCCTTTAGGTACTAACTCATGGATGTTTCGTTAATCTAAAAAGTATTTATCGAGTGTGGTCCTTGGCCTCACCCTTGGGCCACATAGAAAAAGACCTGGTGAGCTGTCATAGGAGACCTTGTGTTTCTGTCTGGCGAGACCAGTATTGAAATGAGAAGGGAACAGTGTGGGGCTTGGGTAGTCTGGCTGTGGAGAAGTCCCAAAGCCGACTGAAGAAAAGTTTCCAGCAACTATACAGAGCTTCAATCAAATTGAAATCATGCTCAGAATAAAATCATGTATTCATGATGAAAAACAGAGCATCAATTGAAACAAATGCCATGTCCCAAAGGGCTGGGAATTTAGCGAAACAGGATGGTAGGAAACACTGGCAATGCAGGGGCCAGTGCCAAAGTGGGAGGATTTTGAGCTAGATTCTCGTCTAGTAACACATATTTGTAGGACAACTTTGCTGTTCTGTTTTGGTGCCTGGCCACCCCTTGGTAGCTGTAAGATTAAGCTTTTTGAACCTATAATAGGACCAAGAATGGATATGTCTTTGTGTCTGTGTGCATATTTCTATCAGCCAGTGAATCTTAGAAAAGAATACATGTGTCATAGTATTAACTGTAGTGCTAGTCTGTACAGGACCAAGAAGTGGAAGAAAGGATTATTTCTCTCTGAGGGAATTGAACACTTCTCAGAGGAGGTGCCCTTTAAACAGAACTTTGAGCAGGAGTTTGCCAAGTAGGAAAGTGGGGAGGAACTTTTATTCTGTGTGCACAGGAACAGGGTGGCATAGAAACGTTAAGTGCTCAGACCATGTGAAGGAATAGTGGTGATTTGGAGGGTGGCCGGAGTCATTAAGGTAGAAATATAGAGGAAAATGAAATGTACAATTAAATGCTTGATTAGTGCTTTGCAATGTTGACATGAGGGGTTATTCATCAAGTACTGATTGTGTACAGTGCTCTGCTAGACCTACAAAATGTCTGGCACTGTTGGGGAAATAAATACCTTATTTCTGTTCCAAACAGAAATGGGAACATTTTAAGATAATCTTGCTGCCTTGGTGCTAGGTCATCAGACTGAAATGCAAGTCCTTATTTTACTCTAGTAATTTTATCTTTTGCTTTCTTTTCTTTCCAATATTTGTAGTCACCTTCCTTTTTAAGCACATATTTCTAAGGGGTTTGCTTCTGCTTTCAAGCTAATCCATTATTTCAGCTGTTGATTATATGATTACATGATTTGTCCAAAGTCTACGATATAGTCAGTTATTACTGGTGATTCTGGTCTTTGCCCTCTCTCAAGACCTAGGCACACCATTTCCTCAAATACAGCACTAGAAGTTTGTGGGTACACAGAATGGGGAAACATCCTGTGTCCTGACATAATATAGTAGATACACTGGGTTCTTTTAAAAAAGACCAAGTCATAACTTGTCCCGTGTGAAAAGGCCTGTGAGCTGAAGCAGTCTAGGCAGTGGAGACCATGACCTTGGTTGGCCCCCCAAGAGGGTATACTTATATTCAGACTGGCTCTGTTCTCTATTTGCTGCTACCAGGGGAGTGGGGACAGGTTGTGTGTGTTTAGTGTCTTGGGCTGAACTGGGATAGAATGGAGCATGTGGAGGCTGCTGTGGGCTGTTGGAAGTACTACAGTCTGGGCTGTATATTGGGTGGCCAGGCCCTTGTCTAAGGAAGCTAACTGTCACTTAAGATACCTTGGAAAAATGAAAATCGCAATGAGCAGTTATTTACCTGTATGGCGCCTTTCTTAGTAGCATGATGTATTGCACCCAGGCCTCATAACATCCTCCTGAAGAAAGGAAGCGGCAGAGAGTGTTAAAATGTTACTGGTTAATCGTGGGGAAACTGAAGCATGGATAGGTTTATGAGGCTTGAACAGAGTTACACAATGCCTTAGTGTTTGGCCTGGGAATGAGGCCTGAGTTTGCCGCTTGCTGTCAGGACTGCCGACAGCATTGTGTTTCGCATTGTACAACAGTGAAAGGGGCTTACTCTTAACAATGCAAGAGCTGCTGTAGGAGACACACACAATGAACTTTGGTACAGTATAGTCTAGAGGCCAAAATGAGTAATTTTAAGTAAATTGACTATAGGATCCAAAGCTTCATTAAGTTTTAAAACAAAAAACAAATGAAAACTCTTTACAGTTTTTAGGAACTGACTCAGAAAACATGACCATTCCTTCCCCATTGGAAGTAGCATACTGTTGAAAGTTTTATCTTGTTGACTCAAAATCTGACACTATTCCTGTTACCCATAGGATGATTTATTCAGTCAGTTCAAATACATGTTGATTTCTAAGAGTCTGTGATTTATGTCAAAGATTTTGCCTTGTAATAACTATCAATCTAGCCATTAAGTTCCAAAGAACCTTATTTCCACAGCCTGTGGTTTTGTGGGGAGGCTTTTGTTTTATTCAGTTTTGGTTTGGGTTCTTATAGAACAGCTGGAACTATAGAGCCTGGACTTAGAGAAAGAGCTTGGGGAGACGGAGGGGGAGATGTCATGTTGGATGTCCTTATGACATTCGGTTATATGATTGAAACCATGGGACTGGAGATGATATCACTGGTGAGAATATAAAAAGGGAAGAGAGACCAGGCTCAGTGGCTCACGTGTGTAATCTCAGCACTTTGGGCAGCCGGGGTGAGTGGATCACCTGAGCTCAGGAGATGGAGACCAGCCTGAGCAACATGGTGAAACCCCATCTCTACAAAGATACAAAAATTAGCTGGGTGTGGTGGTGCACACTTGTAATCCCAGCTACTCGGGAGGCTGAGGTGGGAGGATTGCTTGAGCCTGGGATTTGGAGGTTGCAGTGAGTGGAGATTGCACCACTGCACTCCAGCCTGAGTGACAGAGACAGACTGTCTTAAAAAAAAAAAAAAGAGAGAAAAAGAAAGAGAAGAGAAGGCTGGGCATGGTGGCTCACACCTGTAATCCCAGCACTTTGGGAGGCTGAGGTGAGTGGATCACCTGAAGTCGAGAGTTCAAGACCAGCCTGGCCAACATGGTGAAACCCCGTCTCTACTAAAAATACAAAAATTAGCTGGGTGTGGTGGCGCATACCTGTAATCCCAGCTACTCAGGAAGCCGAGGCACGAGAATCACTTGAACCCGGGAGGTGGAGGTTGCTGTGAGCCGAGATTGTGCCATTGCACTCCAGCCCGGGCAACAAGAGTGAAACTCTGTCTGAAAAAAAAAAAAGAAAGAAAGAAAGAAGAGAAAAGACAGTGGAGTAGAATATCACTGCTATCATTGCAAAATCATCTTTTATGTCAGAAGTGGCTTAGGTGACCTAGAATAAACAGGTAAAATAGATATTAATGGAGTTGGCTACAAAGTTTTTCTACTCTGGATTTTAAAAAGAACATGAAGATGAAATTCTGGAGTGTTTGGCAAAAATATGAGTGATAACGACATGAATAATTTAAACCGGATGCTCTAGCAATCATTCACATACAGTTTCATTTGATATTTAAGGTTTATGATAGTTTGGGCCAGGGTAGTCAGGCCAGCCCTCCTCCAGGAGATAGTCCAGAGGAATTCTGGCAAGGAGCTGAGTGAGAATGAAGGCCTCTAGGGCAGGAATGGGATCTCTCCTCCTTGAACCCCAAACAAGACCAACGCAGCCCAGTAAAAGAAACTGTGTGACTAGTTTTGTTGTCTGTCCTAATTGAATGTGGAAGACCACTTCTAAGTCTGAACAGCTGCTAGCCATGGCCATCTTTGAGGGAACAGACACATACACAAATAAACCTATCTCTGAGAAAAACTCTCATTCTGAGTCTGGGAGACAGACTTTATAAAAAAGCTTGTTAAAGTCAGACAGTATCAGCCAGCCTTCATATGAATCCATGAAGTGATGTGTTGGCGTTTAGAATGCTGTTAGTAGTTATGGTCATTAATCTTGTGGGAGAGGGTGTGCTGGAACTAAAGGAAGATCAGAGAAGAACATCTCATAGGATGAAGACAGACTGAAATAAGTAGGACTCCTCAGGCTTGAAAAGACTGAGAGGAAATACAATTAGCATGAATAAACCCATGAAGAATATGGGTCATAGAATTGTTTACCAGAAGCAGGCAGAACCTCTTGAGAACAGAGGAAAAGTGAATTTAGGACAAAAAGAAGCTCTAATTTACCAAGAAAGTTGATCCTGTACACCAAAACCACTCTTTTGGGAACTAGGCTAACTAATGGCATTGAAGCGAAGTGAAAAAGTCAGCGGTTTCTTATTTTGACAGTATTTTCTTGAAGCGTGGAGGGCTCAGAGAACATAGATCAAGCATCCTGTTAGTCTCTATGTTTTCTTTTTTCTTTGCTTAGGTAAAATTTAAGTGTCGTTCATTCTTCATTCAACAATTATCTGCTGAGGGTAGATTCTATGCCATGTTCTCTGCTAGACACTGGGAGTACTGAGATGAAGGGGGACAGACATGGTTCTCACAGGCTGGTGATGAATAAGAAACTGCAATTGTCTGTGTAATGAATTTATAAAAGCCCAGTAGAGCTGGACGTGAATTGCTAACACAATCTTAGGATTGGAGCAGACTGCCCTGAGGATGGGATGATTAAGTTGAGACCTAAAAATGATGAGGTGTTGGCTAAGTCCAGAATTGGGGGAAGAAGGAACAGCATATTAGATGCCTCAGTTGAGGTAAGAGAGGGCATGGCTGGAGGATGTAGGGGAGTGAGGGCAATGAGGCTGGTGAGCTTGGCTGGAGCAGATCATGGAGTGTGGGGTAGACCATGGTAAGGGTTTGGGCTCGAGAGCTGGGCAAAGTCACTGGGGTGGCTTAAGCACGTATGGTCAGATTTTCTCTTTATAAGCAATCCAGTCACTGCAATGTGGAGAATAGGGGGCACAAGAGCAAATATACTGGAACTAGTGGGAGGATATTGATGTTGTTCAGGTGATGATGGCCTGGGCTGGACAGAAGTGGACAGATCCTAGAGCTACTTCAGAGGTCATATGAACTAGATTTGTTGATTAGATGTGAGAAATGAGGGAGAGAAATAATCAAGTTTGATTTACGAGAGTATGACAGCCAATTAGTACTCAGATTTTATCTGAGTGAGATGAATCAACACAGGCTTTTTTATAGGTCTCTTCTCTCGTAATCTCCAGATGACCCAAAAGTGAGTGGATCTGCCTTCTTTCCTCCCTGTCTCCCCCTTTCCCTCTTTCTCTCATGAATCATTCAGGGTCTAAATGTTTCAGGCTCTATAAGCTGGCACATAGTTGGCCCCTATGGATATGGGATAAGTAGAAAGATCAAAAGCTGCACAAATGATACCCTGTCTCCCAAATCCTCTTGTTTTTCTTTCTTTCTTTCTTTTCTTTTCTTTTTTTTTTTTTTCTGAGATGGAGTCTCGCTCTTTTTGCCCAGGCTGGAGTGCAATAGTGTGACCTTGGCTCACTGCAACCTCTGCCACCCAGATTCAAGTGATTCTCCTGCCTCAGTCCCCTGAGTAGCTGGAATTACAGGTGCCTGCCACCATGCCTGGCTAATTTCTTTTTGTATTTTTAGTACAGACTGGGTTTCACCACATTGGCCAGACTGGTCCCAAAGTGCTGGGATTACAGGCCTGAGCCACTGTGCCTGGCCCAGATCCCCTTGTCTTTAACTCTTGCAGAGCAAACTATACTACAGTTCATAGTACCCTGGTTGATTGACCTGAAAAAGAATTTAGCAAAGGCCAGAAAGGCAGTGGTATGTATAGAGACTCTATTTAATGATTTTAAAAATTTTTGTATTTTGAAATAATATCAGTGGTAAGACCAGAACAAGGAGTTTTCCTCTATTCTCTTTACTCAGCATCACTAGTCATTAACATTTTGCCATGTTGGCTTTGTCACTCTCCTCACCAGATAAAGATGGAGCTGGAGATTTAGATTTTTCTGAGCCAGTTAATTGTGGACATCAAGACCCTTCACCTCTAAATACTTAGAGGTATTATAAATAATTAGAATATTTTCTCAGAACAATGATTTTTCTTACATAACCACAGTACATTGATTAAATTCAGGAAATTTAACCTTATACAGTACTCTTATCTAATATGCAGTCTATATTCAGTGTTCACTTATTGTCTCAATAATGTCATTTATGGCTTTTTTTTTCCCCTTTTGATCTAGGATCCAGTCCAAGATATATTGCATTTTATTATTATGTCTTTTTAGTCTTCTTTAACATGGAACAGTTCCTCAGTCTTTCTTTGACTTTTAAGACATTGATATTTTGGAGGAGAACAGGCCAGTTGCCTTATGGAATACTCCTTAGATTGGCTTTATCTGGTTTCCTCATGCTTAGATTCAGATTGTGTGGTTTTGGCAGGCAAGCTGTGGGATGATGTCATGCTTTTTGCAGTGCACCTGCCATAGCAGGAAGGGAGGCATGAAGTAGAAAAACATTTCATAACTAAGAATGTTAACTTTGATCACTTGGCTAGAGTGGTGTCTCCAGGTTTCACTGTTCTAAAGTTACCGTTTTCTTCCTTATAGGTAATACTTTATTCAATTACCTCTTAATACTTACTCAGTCATTTTAAATGTGACTATGGTTTATTTCCATACTGTCATTTAAAGGAACATTTTTTTCCCCTTCTTTTGGCAGTGTTTTAGAGCACTTTGCTGCAAGGGACCACCACCTGCACGACCAGAATATGACCTGGTTTGCATAGGCCTCACAGGTTCTGGCAAAACCAGTCTGTTGTCCAAACTCTGCAGTGAAAGCCCCGATAACGTCGTGTCGACCACAGGTGGGTACTGTGCTGGGGTTCTGTCCCTTCTTCTTTCTCATCCCAAGATGTCCTAGTTTCCTGTGCAATTTATCCCCTCCCTTCTACTTATAGTTTAATGCTTTAATCAGTTTATTTTAATTTTAAACACTATCTCTTTTTCAAAAAAGATTTGAAATGAATTTAATAGCATTAAATTGCTGTATCCTATATCCCTCTAGCAGGTCATTTCAGTGGCACTGAATAAATGAAGCTTGGGAAAATATTAATACAAATGAATCCTGAAATCTGGAACTCTGATATATGACAAAATGGATTCATCTTGGGCCCATAGAGTACTTTCCTTCCTTGAAGTGTCACTCCAGCCTATGTTTCTTGGCCACACACTCCCTGAATAGTAAACTGATGTAGTCTGAATCTTCTTTCCTTGTCATTTTTCACCTGGAGGAAAGTCAGTGCAAGAGATCATGCATCAGCCTTCCCCTATTGCTTCCTGATGGAGCCAAGCAAAGTCAGTCTAGGGCAGTGGTTCTCAATCAGGGGAGATTATGCCTCTGAGTGGGACATTTTGGAGTCATTTGTGGGGAGGGGTATTACTGGCTTCTGGTGGATAGAGGCCAGTGGTGCTACTAAACATCCTTCAATGTACAGGGCAGCCCCCACAGCAAAGAGTTATCAGGCCCAAAATGTTTTCAGTGTCAAGTTATTAGTGAGAAATCCTGGCTAGGGTTTTTCTTCACTTCCCAAATGTGTCCTCTTTCTCTTCTGACAATGAAGAAGGAAAGAAGAGTATAAGAGGAAATAATGGAAGAACAGCTGTAAGAGATAGAGAACAGAGCTGCTGTGCAGAGAGAGCTGAGAAGGAAGGAGAAGGGTGAGATGTTTTCTGGAAAGTTGAAAAGATTGTTCATCAGCCAGCTTATTTTGAGCACCTACTATGTGCTAGGTCCAGTGTTAGACATGAGATAAGCGATGATTTCAGCATTCCAGGAGTCTCAGTATACTGGCTGCATAAACATTAAGTTCATATCCAGAAATAGATGGGGCATGGAAGGAAGGGGCATGACAGTGTTGCCTGGACCTGGGGAAGGGAAGGATGCATGATTTGGTTTGCTACATTAGATTTGAGGTTGATAAGTAGGTCTGGTACAAGAAATAAGGTGAGGGGGTGGAAAAGAAAGAGGACTTAGGAGCAGAGGGGCAGTGTGAAGGTAAGGAGTGTCAAACAGATTGGCAACTCCTAGAAACTGCATTTGTGTGTGGCTGCAGTGTATGTTTAATAGAGTGCCAGGAGACAAATTGTATTCAGTGGTGGCTGAATCTTAGCAGACCTTTCATACTGTGCTCAGGAGTTTGGGCTTTTCGTGTAGATAGTGCAGAGACATCAGAGTATTTTAAGCAAGGAAACTACATGATCAGATGTCCATTTGAGAAGAATCAAGCTGGCCATGATGTGGAGGCTAAATTGTGAGTAGCGCAGTTGGAGGCGGAGGCAGAAGATTACTGTGATGGTGCAACTGAGATGATGAAGGCCTTGGCTGAGGCAGTTACAGGGGGAAGAAGAGGAAGGAATAGGTAGGATATATATTTGAGAGCTAGAATTGACAAAGCCTAGTGTAGTTGGGTTTGGAGGGTGAGAGTGAGAAAGCCATGGCTGTCTCAATTCCTGGCTTACGTGATGGTTGGATGATGGAATTATTAACTAGGATTTCCTACAAAAAGTAGAAAGGATATTGTTGATCAAGAACCTTACTTCAGTTCACGTCAGCTTTTGCCGGCAAGTAAGTTTTAAAAAAGTGCAGGTTTTGAGAGCTTTTCAGATTTTAGAATTGAGATAAGAAACTGTGGAGCTGTTAAAGGGTTAGAGACATTGCTTGATTTTAGGATGAGGGAAAGGATAAGGGGATTGTAATGAGTAGAGACCCCAGAGAAGATTAGCAGAGCTCATGTGTAGCCTCTTTGCAGGAAGCTGTTTCTGACTACCTTCTTTTCTCCTTGGACAGAACTGAGTACTCCCTCCTCTCCCCACTGGGCGTTGTCCGTATTTCTCCCAGTTAGTGCCTGTAGCACTGCTTTATGTATGTGCCCATCTCCCCATCTTGGGTTAGAATCTCTTAAGGGCAGCTAGAGCATCATATGTGGTATTGTATACCCAGAGTCTGTCACAAGGTTTAGGCATGGATACAGATGTCTGTTAATAAGCAAATGAAAGTAAATTGAATCTATATAGTCTTCTGTTAGCCTTATAACAGCCCTTATATGACAGGTAGGAATCTTTTTCCATATTCTGTTTCTAAATTACCTGAAGATCAAAGGTATGGTGACATGGCTATTGTTACATAGCTAGAGATAGGATGCCAGTTCAGGTGTTCAAGTGAAGTTTAGTGGTATCCAAGGTTTAGGATTTCTGGTGGAAGTAGGTACTTTATTGGTTGTTTATAAAACTGTGAATATCTTTTGAGTAATGTGCAATGAAGTTATATAAACTTTATTAGCTTAAGTCTTTTCAATCAAAATAGCTTCTAAAATATGTGTAAGAGTAACACAAAGTATGCTTTTCTTCACTTATCAGAGTTATCTTCTAGCACTATTGCTAGAGGAGCAGTTTTGAATTATAGTGTAAAAGATTATCTGTATATAATTTTCTTACTTGTAAGTTATGTTTTGTGTTTGTTTTTATGAAATTTTTTAATAATACGTTTTACCAGAATTGTGCACTAGTCTATTTTCTGATGAATTAGTTGTTAGGTTGGCTAATTTTTTGGATATCAAGCTTCTTTGAGTTGTCATTGTTCTGAACCTGGCATAATGTCTTTTTGGAGGCCTCTTTGGAGGAAGCTGCCATCAAGAAGTTTACACCCAGGTTAGGAAGATAAGTTGTGTATTGATAAAAACAGTTCACATATATTGCTTATTTAATATACTCCAGGCTCTGTGCTAAGACAGAATGTGATATGTGTTATATTAATGGTGTAAATATGAAAGTTAAAAGAGGAGAGTGATCATTTCTAATCTGGAGGGTCAAAGAAAGCTCATAGTTAAGGTTACATTTGAGTAGGGTCTCATATGATGGGTAAGGTCTAAGCAGAGAGGAATGGGGTGAGGAGAGTTAGGGATAGAAAGCATAGGTATATTCAGAGAAAGATTAGTGGTCTTACTGGGTTAAGGCACAGCATGCAGAGATTTAGGGGATGTTGGGATCTAAGGCTAGAGACTTAGAGAAGCTGTTGGGGGAGACCTGTTAGATGTAGAGGTGATCCAGCAGGGACAATACTTGTGGGGATGTTACTGCTACTGTAAAAGTGACAGTTATGCTGGGTATTCAAGAGGAAAGGAAGATAAAACAATCAAATATGAGTCAAGTTTATAGCTTTATGTTTTGGTGAATTGTTAAAAAAAAAAAAAGTAGGGAGAATGTGACAGAGTTTTAAGATAAAAATAATGAGTTTAGTTTGGGGCATGCTGATTTTGAGGTTTGACAAGACATCCAACAGTGATCCAAATGCTAAAAGCCAAGCAGACTAGAGAGATTTGAGAGACAACTCAGTCATAGATTTGGATGAGCTTGTCCAGGGGTAATGGGTAGAAAGCGGGAAGAAAGGTGCTAAGCACCAATTATATTTTGTTAATTCATTCCACATTCATTGAATGTCTGTTATGTGACTGCCACTGATTTAAGGACTGAGGATATATCAGTTAACAAAATATACAAACAACCCTGCTCTTTGGAGCTTACATTACAGCATCTGCTTTTGATAAGGAATATAGGTCAGACAGTTCTATATAATATCCTTTAAGTCAAATATGGGCAAGAAATCAAAAGAACCAGTCAAATAAGGTAAACGTAAGTCTAAAGTCTGAGAAAGGCCATTGGATGTGGTGACAACGTGGTAATTAATAACTAATGGTAGAAACAGTTTCAGTAGAGTATTGAGGTGGAAACCAACCTGAGAATTGAGGGGATGAAGAGCAAGCAAAGGAATTGAGGGGTAGACCATCGTTTTCACTCCTTAACTCTTTGGAATATAGACAGTTCTTTCAAGAAGGTGGACAGAAAAAGAGAAAATAGTGCTAAGAGAATTTGTTTCTATAAGAAAAGGTCTCTTGAGCATGCTAGTAGTCAGAGGTTTAGGGTGGTCATCAGGGGAAAAGGCAAGACTGAATATGCTCAAGAGAGGGCAGTGAGCACAAGGATGAGTGAGGACTTCTTGTTCTGGTAAGATGGAATAACTGGAACTAGTTTACTCTCCCATCTAAAAGAAGAAGAACAACAACAGCAACCAGCTCATGAAATATACAAAGCAACAATTTTCAAGCCAGGAAACGCAGTTATCCCTGAGAAATGAGAAACAAATGAGATGTGCTCTGTGATTGTCCCAGCTTAATGCCTTGAGAGTTTCCAGGCTGTGGCACAGTTCCAGAGGGAGCTGAGGTGGAGCTCAGTGAACTCCCTGCATTGAGGAGATGAAGCCGAGAGCAAGGGGAGACCAAGATGGCTAATGTTCATAGAATAGAATACCAGAGAAAAGAGTTGTACAGAGAGAGAACACTAAAGATTTTCAGAGTCTCCCTTGAGTATCCAGCAAAATATTCAATGCATGCATGTGAGGAAACTTCCCAAGGCCAGGGCAAGAACCATCTTAAAGGACTAGAGGGAACAGTGGTTGGTGTTCATACAGGGTTGAAAACTATGCCTGTAATCACCAGATGGACTGAAAAACTTATAACTCACAAGGAACTGGGTAGAGTACTTGGCAAGGTCAGCCGTAAGTGGAGTACCACTCTGGACTCACATGACAGATAATATTAGCAAGTCCCAAAACCTCAGATGGTTGTCTGGTAATGTAATGCATCTCAGCACAAAGCTGTATAGGATTTAAAGAAAAAATATTCATCACTCAACAAGGTAAAATTCACAATGTCTGCCAGTCAGTCAAAGATTATCAGGGATGGGAAGAGGCCAGAAATCATGATTCATAATGAGAATAATCATCGAATTGGAACTGACCCAGAACTGATGTAAATATTAGAAGTAGCAAAGGGGGACATTAAAACTGTTATTATCACTGTATTGTATCTGTTCATAGAGACAATCTGAGAGAGAAAAAAATGCAAAGAGCATCCAGCGAGCTATGGGACAACTTTAAACCTAAGCTAGGGTAATTTGAGTCCATGAAGGTGAGTGGAAAGGGACAGAAAAATATTTGAAGAAATAATGGCTGAAACATTGTTGAACATGAAGAAAACTCTACACCTACAGATCCAAGAAGCTCACTGAACCCCAAACAAAAGGAACATGAGCAAGGCTGGGCACAGTGGCTCACACTTGTAATCCCAATACTTTGAGAAGCTGAGGCGGAAGTATCACTTGAGGCCAGGAATTTGACACCAGCTTGGGCAACATAGTAAGACCCCCATCTCTACAAATAAATAAATAAATAAATTAGCTGCATGTGTTGGTGCTTGCCTGTAGTCCCAGCTACTTGTGAGGCAGAAGTAGGAGGATTGCTTGATCCCAGGAGTTTGAGGCTGCAATGAGCTGTGATCACACTGCTTTACTCCAACCTGGGTGACAGAGAGAGAGACCCCATCTCTTGTGGGGGAAAAAAAGAGAGAGAGAGAAAGAAACGTGAATATAACTATACCAAGGCACATCATAATAAAATTGTTCAAAACCGGTGATAAAGAATATGATGTTTAATTTTGTGTGTAACTGGCTGGGTCCCAGTGCCCAAATATGTAGTCAGACATTAGTCTGGATATTTCTATAAGGGTAGTTTGGGATGAACTTAATACTTAAATCTGCGGATTTTGACAGATTGTCCTCCATAATGTGGTTTGGCCTCATCCAGCCAGTTGAAGGCCTGAATAGAATAAAAGACTTGCCTCCCTGGAACAAGAGGGAATTCTTCAGTAAATGGCCTTTGGACTTGAACTGCGTATTGATTCTTTCCTGGGTCTCCAGCCTGCCAGCCCAAACTGTAGATTTTGGGTTTATAGCAACTGTAATTGTGTGAGCCAATTTCTTAAAGTATTTCTCTGTCTCTATTTATATATATATATATAAACAAAGGTATATATTTATATCCATACATGCACCTATACATACATATAAATATGCATATAAACACACATCCTTTTGGTTTTTTTTTTCTCTTGAGAACAAAGTAGTACAAAGAAAATACCTTAAAAGCAGATAAAAGATGTTACATGAGTAAGAATAAAAATAAGGATGGCATCACATTTTTTCACTGGAAAAATGCAAGTAAGAAGACATTGGAGCAGCATCTGAAAGGGAAAAAACTGTCAACTAATATCCAGCAAAAGTCTCTTTTAAAAAGAAAGTAAAAATAAAGACTAGACTTTTTCAGACATACAAAATCTGAAGGAATTTATTGCTAGCAGATAAGCATTATAAGAAATGTTAAAAGAAGTCCTTGAGTCAGAAAAAAAATGATACCAGATGGAAATCTGGATCTATATAAAATGGAGACTGCCAGAAATGCAAATTATGTGGATAATTATATAATATTTACTTCTTATTATTTAAATATCTTTAAGAGGTATGTCTTTAAACAACAATAATAAGCACATATTATGGGGTTAACAACATATGTAAAAGTAAAATGCCTGAGAACAATAGCACAAAGGTCATGGGGAAAAAGGGAAGTACACTATTGGAAGATTCTTGTACTATATGTGAAGTCGTATAATAACACTTGAAGGTAGACTGATTAAAGATTTACTGTAAACCCTAAAGTAACCAATAAAATAACAAAACAAAGGATGAGAGCCCATAAAGCAACAAATGAGATGAAAATAGAATTATCAAAAATAATCCAAAAGAAGGCAGAAAAAGAAGAAAAGGGGAACAAGAATAGATGAAACAAATAGGAAACAAGTAGAAAGGTGATACAGTCAAACCTAAACATCAATAATAATATTAAATATAAATGATCTAGACTCCTTAATTAAGAGACAGAGGTTGATATAATAGATTTTTTTAAAAACCAAGACCCAACCAAATACTGACTTTAAGAATCAAACTTTAAGTATAAAGACACAAATAGATTAAATATACAAAGGTGGAAAAAGATACATCATGCTAACACTAGTCAAAAGAAAGTTGGGGTAGCTATGTTAATATTAGACAATGTAGATTTCAGAGCAATGAATAAGGCTGGGGATAAAGAAGTTCATAATGATGAAGGGATCATTTATTCAGGAGACTGTAATAATTCTACACATTTATGTACCTAACAGAACTTAAAAATATATGAAACAAAAAAATGACAGAACTGCAAAAAGAAATGTACAAACCCACAATTACAATCAGCGACGTCAGTTTCTCTCAATACTTTATAGATCATGTGGGAAGAAAATCAGCCAGTACGTAGCAGACTTCAACAACACTAACAGCTAACTTGACCTGATTAACATTTTATAAAATACTCCACCCAACAACAGAAGACATTCTTTTCAAGTACACATAGAATATTTGCCAAATTAGGCCATAACCTGGTTTATGAAAGCAAATCTAAATAAGTTTAAGTGGCTTCAAGTTATATCCAATATGTTCTTAGACCGTGATAGAATTGCATTAAAAATCAATAACAAGAAGAAAAAAAAAATCTCAAGTATTTACAAACTCACTTACTTCTAAATGACCCACGAATCAAAGAAGGTAGCAAAAGAGAAATTATAAAGGATTTTGCACTGAATGACAATGCAACATATTAGAATTTGTGGTGCCTATAAAACGGGACTTTAAGAAAAGTTTATACCACTAAATGTCTATTCAGAAAAGAAGGGCCTCAAATCAATGACCTCAGCTTCCACCTTAGGGAACTGGAAGAAAAATGGATTAAACCCAAATAAGCAGAAGAAAATAAAGATCAAAGTAGAAATCAATGAAATAGAAGAGCCATAGAGAAAATTAGTAAAACCAAAAGCTAGTTCTTTGAGAAAGTCAGTAAAACTGGTAAAACTCTAGCCAAACTGATCAGAAAAAATAAAAAAGACACAAATAACCAATATCAGGAATAAGAAAGGTGACATCAATATAGATTCTATAAATAGTAAGAGGTTAATAAGGGAATATCATGAACAACCTTATGCCAGTAAATCTGACAACTTAGAGAAAATGGACAATTTCCTTGAAGGACAAACCATCAAATCTCACTCAAGAAGAAATAGAAAACCTGGATAGACCTATATCTGTTTAAGAAATTGATACCTTTTCTTTCTTTTTTTAAGTCTAGTTGGTTTCACTAGTGAATCCTACCAAACATTTTAAGGAAGAAATACTGCCAATTCTTTAGTCTCTTCCAGAAAATTGAAGAGGAGGGAAAAATGCCCCAACTCCTAAGACCAGCATGAAGCTGATACCAAAACCACACAGAGACATTACAAAAAAAAAAAAAAAAAAAAAAAAAAAAAAAAAAAAAAGCTTCATACCAATAGCCCTCATGGACACAGATACAAAAATTATAAGCAAAAATATACCAAATTAAATTCAACAATAATATTTTAATAGGATAATATGTCATGAACATGTGACATTTATTCTAGGAATGCAGAGTTGGTTGCACATTCAAAAATCAATCAGTTTATTCACAATATCAATAAACCAAAAGATGAAACTATGATCCTGTGAAGATATGCAAAAAACAAAAACAAAAAAAACTCAGCATCAATTTTTGACAAAAGCTATTAACAAAGTAGGACTAGAAAGGAATTACCTCAACTGTTAAAGGGCATCTGTGAAAACCCTACAGCTGTTGTCAGAGTTAATGGAGAAAGACTGAATTGTTTCCTGATCAGATCAGGAATAAGACATGGATGTCTGTTCTCACCACATCTATTCAACATTGTGGTAGAGATTCTAGCCAGTAAATCAGGCAAGAAAAATAAATAAAATGCTTTCATTTTGTGAAAGAATAAATAAAAACGTACTTGCTGATGGCATGATTGTTAAAGTAGAAAATTTAATTGAATCGACAACTCTTTGCTATAAACTGGAGATGGTTGATATGAATTAGAGCTGATAGTTTTAGAGATCTGAAAAACTATCAGAAACTTAGAGGATAGCTCTGGCTATTAGTTTTAAGAATGTTGCCCATAAGAATAGAAGCAGATAGGGTGTGGTGGACAACTGTTAGCCAAATATTGAGTTCATTCAGATAGATGAACAAAATCCCTGAAAATTGGTAGGTGGGAATGCAGAGGTCCATATATAAGTAAACGTCATAACTCAGGTAGGATGTTATTAACAAGTGGCTATGATGAAGTGTTCTAAAAGCGTAGAAGGAAGCAAAGTTTGTGCTGAGAGGCGCTGATAAGAGAAGGAAAAGCTCTGTTTGCTAGTGTATGGAGGAAGAAAAAATGTGCAGGGAAATGCTGGAGCATGGAGAAGACTTCTTAAGAAAGATAAGGTTCAATATGATTCACTGAGAAGGCTCTGTAATGATAAAGGTGAGGCTGAGTTGGCCATGGGAGGCAGGAAGTAATGATGTAGGAGAAAAGGGGTAGATGCTTGGTGTTTGGACCTGTGTGTTCATTATAGTGAAAGGAGGGCAAGATGTTGTAGAAACAAGTTACTGATGGTAGAGAAGGGTTGGCGAATAGGCAGCAGAGGAGGTCCCACAGGCTGACTTTAGTTATCGGGGATCCACAACTGTTCAGTGCTGGAGTTTGAGGTAGGCATTGCTGACATCTTCAAACTTACTGCCCAGGTCCAGAATTCTTTTGGTTGTTCATAGCAGGTGTGTATCTCTCTCTGTGTGTGTGTGTGTGTGTGTGTGTGTATGTGTGTGTGTAAGTAAAGAAGAACAAAGGGGGTGGAAGGAGGGTACTGAAATAAACAGCAAACTCCAATAGTAATAAAGGTAACTTGGAAAAGAATTGAGGAAGTCAGAAATCCACATGTGTATGTAGACTTCAGTGTGGAAGATGGCAGAATAGCTGGACTAGGCCTCCAGTGAATCATTCACAAGGGAAGGATCAAGGAACTTAACTATATAAAAATTTAAAACCATTGGAAATCTAAAATTAAGATAAATATAAAAAAATACTGTTGGAAGTATTTGCATCAGATATTACAGATAAGCATATGGCTGTCCCTCTTAGAGAATTCAACCACACTTACAAATAACATCTAGAATCTAACAGATAAACTGTGCCAAGTCTATAAAGAGATAATTCATAAAAAGAATAAATGGCAAACAAATTAATGGAAAAGTTTCAACTTTACCAGAAGTTTAACTTTACTAGAGAATAGATAAGTAAACGTTAGTTTTATACTTAAATTTACCAAAATCTGTTTCTTTATGAGACGAGTCAGTGCTGGTAAGATTGTAGTGGCATTGGTATGCACATGTATTACAGGTGACATTATGATTGTTACATTATGACTGTTATGATATCCCTTTTTTTTGGAAAGCATTTTTCTTAGAAAGCAGTTGTTCATATAAATCAAAAGTTATGAAAATGTTCACAGACCTAGTAATTATGCCACTGGCAATTTATTTTAAGTAAGTAACTTAAGGGAAACTATATGCATAAAGCAATTTCTTGCAACATTTTGTATTGCAACTAAAACTTTAAGGTAGTTTAAATGCCATACAACAAGGGAGTTTGTTAATTACATTATGGTAACTTGATCAAAATGATTATAGATTAGAAGAATATATACAGTCTTCTATTTAAAAATTAAAAATTAGATTTACATTTATTTTTTGAATTTAAACCATGGAAAACTATGCATTTGAATTAAAAAACTAGAGAAAAACTATAAGAATAACAGTGTACTTTATTGATGTGATTGAATTATGGGTAAAACCTTTATTCTTTTAAATTATTTCTCTATAATGTCTTGAAAATATAAAGCCAATTAAAAATGCAATATTTATTGAAGAGTTTTGAACATTCGAAAAGAGAATCTACCTTCAGAGTTGGTTTCTTAAAATGAAAACATATGAGAAGGATGTGTTCGTTTAATTTCAGCAAGGCGAGAATGTCTGCCTTTTCTTCAGAAAGAGAATTCAAACTTTATTGGTTTATTAACTTCAGCAATTTTTCACCTCTGACATAATTTTTAAAAGATACTTAAATTGTCAAAACTCAAAGAGCCAAGAAATCCTCCAGAGAGCAGGACCTGTTGGTGAGGAGAGAAAATTTGAGTAATTTGCACCTTAGTCTAGAAATAAAAGTGAACTCTATCCAGACTGAATTCCTTTACTGTATATGTATGAGGAATTTGTTGATAAGAGGGGTTGTTAAACTGTAGATTACATAAATGTTCACTTTTTTTTTTGAAGCAGAGGAATGGAATCTAAAGGCTTAGGAGAATATATTGATGGTACATGGAGAATAACCTAGAGAAAACTGAACACTTTGAATTGAAAAAGGTTGAAAACATCTTCTAGGGATATATACCATATTTGAAAAAGATTGAAAATGTTCATGAAAATTTGAAGAAGACATTTAAATAACTTCAGTATTAGCTTCAAATGTGTTAAGCCAACAAGAGAAACAAGTTAGAAAGTCAGATTTTGATATCTTTTAAAGGATTGTGTTTTATAAATGCCAGTACATTAAATTTCCTTTTATGATGTTGAAATCATAGTTAGAAGAATTTCGTTAGTCTGTTGTCCAAACATCACAAAACTGCTGTGGCATAAATCATGCCCTTGGTGCAGGTCAAAGCCACCAGATCTGTAGAATGTCTTTCCCTTCAGCAATTCTTAGAGTGACCCAGGAATTTCAGAAGCACACAAGTATCTGTGTGCGTGCACTCAGACTTGAGGGAAGGGGAGGAGGGTTTAGTCTGTAGGTCCAAGTGAAATACTTGTGTGTTCCACACAATGAATAAAAATAGACTAACCTTCCTCCCAAAACTAATTTTGTTACAATTCCAGGAATGCTTTCAGTGCATGAAAAACTTCAAATTCATCTTTCTTGTCTCACAGGTTTTGTTGGATTTAAGGACTGCAAAACAAAGACTGAAAGGCTATGCAAACAATTATTTCCCCAAAGAGTTACTAAGTCATATATTTATTAAAAATTTGTGGGGTTAAATCTTAGGGGAGGTTTCAGTCTTACTAATGTAGCTTAGATAGGCCAGGAAAAAATGACTGCGTAACTTAGGCTTCAGCCATCAAATTGTTTGAATGGAGCCTGGGGAGACTTAACCGTGAAGCCTTCAGCCAAATACTACAGGCCATTGATGATTGACTCAGTGGTTACTTTTATTTCCTTCTCCTTGTTTAATATAAATAATGGAATGCTAATTTTAGAGGACATCTCAAAGAGCTAATTTAGTCCTCATTTTGCACATGAGGAATTCAAGGCCAAGGCAAGACAAAAATGTGGCTGGTGAGTCTAAGAGCTGTGCTTCGGACTCCTAGGATAGTCCCTTGTCACGTTAGCACACTGACACCCTGAAGATGGCATCAGAGGACACTTCCTGTTTGAAGAAGCAAGAGAGTAGTTACACTGTCATGGATGAGTCAGTTGAACACTTTTTCCCTCCCCTCCTAAGTTCCTGATTTTATTAATTATTTCTACAAAATGTACCTTCTAAACTCATGCTATTATTTTTATTTCATTAATAAGAAAGCAATGGCATATAGACCTGAAAACCCTTATTTGGGTTTCTTGTGTTGGGTTATTTATAAACAGGAGGACAATGAATTAGTGGGTTTATTAGGTGTTGGGTTATTTATAAACAGGGAGGACAGTAAATTAGTGCATTTATTAGGCACGTGTGTATTTTGGTCAGTTGACTTTACCAGTATTTAGGCTCAAAATTGGACAAAATGCTGTGAATCCCTCAGTTTGTTGGTATATGGAGGAGACACTACAGTGTAGTGTAGGGCTCTGGTGATGAGACCTGGTTTTAAGTTTCGAATATAGCACTTAGTACTTTTTTTGAGACAGAGTCTTGCTCTGTCACCTAAGCTAAAGTGCAGTGGCCTGATCTCGGCTCACTGTAACCTCTGCCTCCCGGGTTCAAGCGATTCTCCTGCCTCAGCCTCCCAAGTAGCTGGGATTACAGGCATCTGCCACCACGCCCAGCTAATTTTTGTATTTTTAGTAGAGACGGGGTTTCACCATCTTGGCCAGGCTGGTCTCAAACTCCTGACCTCGTGATCCACCCGCCTCGGCCTCCCAAAGTGCTGGGATTACAGGCGTGAGCCACCGTGCCTGGCACTTCACTTTCTTCTTGGGACAGTAGTACTGATACCAACTTTAGGATTGTTATAGCAGCTAAATTAGGAAATAGATATTAATACTTAGCATATTGAGATCCTATTGTATGCCAAGCACTGACCTACAGAATACAGTGTAGCTTGTTTCTTCATTATGGATCCTTGCAGTCTAGCCAGAGAACAAATATAAAACAAATCAACCGATATGTAGTTACAATTGTGAAAATCACCTAGGAGGGGTACTGAATACTGGAAAAACATGGACTCAGAAAAATCAGTCTAGTTCGAGGACACCAGAGAATGCTTCCCTAACAAAGTTAGCTTGCTCAAAGTCAAACAGTTAATAAATGGAATAGGAAGAGTTTGAACCTAGACTTTCTTTCTCTAGAGCAAATGCTGTCTGGTAGCTTTTATTCCTCAAAGCAACCCTTTGAGAAAGGTATTTTGATGGTTTGACCTTTGGTATCCCTCCTAAATATTATATTAATTCTCCCCCTTGGCCTCATCCAACCTGATGTAAAGGGAAAAAAAAGTCTAATAATTTCCCTTCTTGGTTGTCCTTCTGGTGAACTGAAAGTATGACTTTAGATTTTTAGTTCCATTTAATCCTTTCAAATGTTTAGAATGACTAAAATAGAAAAAACATTGTTTCTCTTCTGTAAATAGTACATTTTCTTATTTTCTGGACTAATCAGTCTATCTAGACTTTGTCTTTTGAACATTAATTACTGAAGCTAAACCGTAAAAATAATATGGAGACAGCAACATGGATGACTGTGTATACCTTTGCAGTATAAATCTAACCACACAAGTTCTATTTGGAGAAAACATTTACGACTATTTTGTCGGGACATTTATATGCCTATAAATAATATTGTTAGGGGGCTGGGTGCGGAGGCTCGTGCCTGTAATCCCAGCACTTTGGGAGGCCGAGGCGGGTAGATCACGAGGTCAGGAGATCGAGACCATGCTGGCTAACATGGTGAAACCCCATCTCTACTAAAAATACAAAACATTAGCTGGGCGTGGTGGTGGGTGCCTGTAGTCCCGGCTACTCAGGAGGCTGAGGCAGGAGAATGGCGTGAACCCGGGAGATGGAGGTTGCAGTGAGCCGAGACCACGCCACTGTACCCCAGCCTGGGTGACAGAGCGAGACTCCATCTCAAAAAAAATAAAATAATAAAATAACATTGCTAGGATACTTTGCTTAGTGTGAACTTTTGAAGACGTTTTAGTAGTCAACTTATGAAGACTTTGCAAGAATTTAAAGACAATAACAGTGACATAATCTGCCTGTTGGGTTAATAAATTTCAAAAGTTGTATTTTGCACATAGGTGCAGCAATTTCTGGAAGGATATTACTTCCCTTTGAGAGCCTGCGTATTGTCAGCTTTTAAGAATCAAAGCAGATTAAACATTGGTGATGTGCTCCATAACCATTTCCTTTTCAAAGTTGAGGCCTGTGCCTGTCTTACTTCTCTAGAAAATCTACACTTGAGTTGTCCTGAGCATAACCACTAATAGACTGCTTAATATTTGCAGAGAGCTTTTCATTTTCAGGATTTCACCATCATTGCTTTTTAATCCATATAACACCCGTGTGAGGTAGGTAGATACATTCAGGCATCCAAGTCTCCTGCAGGTGAATTTCTGTGCCAGCAGGAATATTATGATTGGCACTGACTTTCCTTAATTTCCCAGAGGCCAGACACCTGGAGAGGCTTTCCTGCAGGCTCAGGTACATGCCAGTGTTTCAGCCACATGGGACTGCCTCCTCTTTCCTCCTGCTCATTTACTAGGATTCAGTGACTTCATGCACCATTAACCATAATGCTGTGCTGACTGTGTCAATCTGCATTAAGCCCACAAAGGAAGGGGTATGTTTTAGAAGATTGTTAGAGGGCCCAATGAACATTTTCCATCCTTTCTGTGCAGCAGACTTCAGCTGTTGACATCTTCGTCACTCCAACAAAAGTACTTTTCATTCAATGGTAACTTTTACATCTCCAACTACATACTTAGATTAATAAGTGAGCACCCAGAATCAAGTTTGTAATTATATTCAGGCAGGCAGAAAATATGTATACCTAATGATTGAATCATCAACGAAAAAGCATCAATGGAAACATAATGCCAGCAATCGTATATTATATGCTTATGGTGTACCAGGCACTGTGATAAACATAACACATACATTATCTTATCCTTATAACAACCCTATGAAGTAGATATTATCATCCCTGTTTTACAGATGAGAAAGTCGAGCAAGGCTAGTAGGTTGCCCACATTCACAGAGCTAATAAGGGACAGAGCTAGAATTTCAACCTAGTTCTGTCTGACTCCAAAGTCAGTTCTTCAAACATTATATACTATGTACTGCTTTAGGTGGAAGGTAATGTACAGCTTATTAAAGTACTGGGATAACATGCAGCAAAGAAGTGCAAAAGATAGGCTAGACTAAGAAGGTGTGTAATGATTTCCTTCTTTATAAAGCAAAACAAACCCATTTGAAAGAATTGTTTTTATCCATGTAATACTTTATATATTTTTTCATAACTTACCTCAAAGACTCATAATTTGTCTTCTTTGTTGATAAATTCTTGAAAAAGAAACTTTTTTAATCTTAAAATTATACATATTAAATAATGCTTAAAAACCTTAAGTAGAATGGTTGCTCAGAAACTATTGATACATTAACTCCTAGAAATTCATAGGGCTTTTAATTCAAAAAAGAAATATAAGTACATGGCAAAACATTCAAATGAAACAAAAGAATCTTCCTCCTATTTAAAATTTCCAGATTCCCAGTTTTCCTGAGAGTCATTAGCTCTGGTTTCTTGTGGATCCTTTCAGAAAGAATCTGTGTGTATATTTGCATGTGTGTGTGTGCGTGTGTGTGTGTGTGTGTGTGTGAATGGGTATATACACACTTGCATATGTCACAGTTGAATTTATTGTCTTGAATGGTAATAGTTAAGTCATAAATATATAGTTAATCATAGAACTGTATACTCTGAATATTTTCTTATAATATAAAACTTGTATTACATGTATTATAAAATGATTGCCTATGCATAAGTGGATAATTATGATTGTACTTTTAAGAAAAATAGATACATGACATATTAACCATGTCCTTTAAAGAAGACACTAACATAAATACTATGTAATTCTAATATGAAATGGTTATAATTTAAGTACCTTAATTTCTAGGGTTGCTGAGTTATATGTGAGAAAGAATTATAAGACATTAACTTTAAGAATTAAAGTTAGATGCAGAGGTCCTCATAGATTTAATATTTTCTTTGAAATTTCTCTATACTTTCAAATGTCTTTCTTATATCTGATAAAAGTTGCAGAGTGACATTACATATTAAATTAAAGAATAAGGCAATATTTTGAAGTAAAGGGGATAGTGTTATATATTGCCGTAATACACAACTATGTTTTTTGCTTGTTTGTTTGTTTGTTTTTGAAATGGAGTCTCGGCGTGTCACCAGGCTGGAGTGCAGTGGCCCGATCTCAGCTTACTGCAACCTCTGCCTCCCAGGTTCAAGTGATTCTCCTGCCTCAGCCTCCCGAGTAGCTGGGATTACAGGCGTGTGCCACCACACCCAGCTAATTTTTGTATTTTTAGTAGAAACGGGGTTTCACCATGTTGCCCAGGATGGTCTTGATCTCTTGACCTCGTGATCTGCCCGCCTTGGCTTCCCAAAGTGTTGGGATTACAGGTGTGAGCCACTGTGCCCAGCCACAACAACTATGTTTTGATAATGGCAGAAGATAATATTCAGTTATCAGTTTACCTTGGAAATTATGTGTTTCTAGTATAAATATCAGCTACAAAAAGTAAATAAATCTTAACCAGCCTAAAAAGAGACAATTTGAGCATCCTAAGTGTTTTAATTTAAAAGTTGCTAATTCTTTTTTTATGTTTTTGTTTTCTAATTTTAGGTTTTAGTATTAAAGCAGTGCCATTCCAGAATGCCATCTTGAATGTAAAAGAACTTGGAGGTATAACATTTCAAATCATTTCTATGTCTGCCCTTAACTTTTATGAATTTGGTAATAATGTATTATATGTAATTCAAACATAATGATAACTTATTTTAGTAGGTGGTTCATTTTTATCTTGATAATATATTTCCTAGAAATATTTCCTTCTCTTCGTATGTTTTAAAAATTGTTGAAGAGTTCTAAGTAACATAAACTTTGGGGGTTTTTTGAATGAATCAAAGAATTACACTATTATTGGCAATTTATACAGCTCATTGGTTTTACTTGTTCAAAAAATTCTTGAATAAAACATATGAAGAGAATTTTAATATCATTGAAAGATCAACTATTCGGGGAAAAGATTTGTATTTTAGAGTAGTTTGTGTTTATACTGCAGGTTTTATTGTATTAGATCTTTTTAGAATGTATTTGTTCCGATAATAAATCTTTGCCAATGGGTTCTTTGCTGGCCAAGCACATTTATCGGATAGGCTGTACCCCAAACCATACATCACTCAGTCTTTCATTACACTCTCTGTCTGGCATTTTTTGGTTGTGTTTTATGTTAGTCAGGGTCTTAACCCATGTAAATAGATTAACAAAGAAATCAGTCAATTCAGTGAACCCACTAAATTCTCTAATGGCGCATGAAAATACTAAGTGCTCTGGAGTTCAGTATGATATCGGTGAGTTTAATGACTTAGGAGAGAGTTATCTTCCATCTCTTTAATCACTTTGTGATATTGGCCTTACCTTGTTTTGTTTTGTTTTGTTTATTTTCCCTTAAGGTCATTCTAACTGTGACCTATTTTTAGCTCGATGAGATTGTAACACCAACTTTACGCCATTTTAATAGCGTTTGGTACCTTCTTATTTTTATCTAATAAAAAACTGGCTGATCTTTTCAGGTGTCTGTTTTCAGTTCGCTATGTGTAGGACAGGTTCGCTTCTGCCAGTCAATTTCATATTCACTTTTAGCTTTATAGCATTAATATATAAAACAACCATGATCAATAAATTCCGATTTTTCTTTAAGACATTTGGTTTTGTCATTTTGACTCCAAAAATTATAAAACATGAATGTTCTTATAATAATTTTTCTATGCAAAGTTTTTAAAAGACTGTGTTCTATTAGGGTATTTTAAATTATAATTGTACTTTTAAGAAAAATAAATGTATGGCATATTAACCATGCCATATGCTTAAAACCTTAAATACAATGGTTGCTCAGAAACTATTGATAAATTAACGTCTAGAAATTAGTTTAATTTAATTTAATTCAAAAAAGAAATACAAGCAGCTGGCAGAACATTCAAATGAAACAAAATAATCTTTCTCCTATTTAAAATTTCCAGATGCATGGTTTATAAAAAAATGCTTTTTTGCTTTGTGGCTTCTGCTGATTATTCCTTGGTGACAATAATATTACTTATGGATATTTAAAAATCAAAGAACACATTGTAAATGCATGGTTTGAGAGTTATATGGGTTTTAAATATGGCTGTTACTAAGTATTTTATTTTTAGGTTGGACACAAAGCTTTTATTGAACACCTTCCAGGTATAAGAAACTATTGGTTGGTTAATAAGACATTTATTACATATGATGTTTACTTGGATGAAACAAACAGTAACTGTATGTGGACAGTTTTAAAAAAAGTGAACACCAAGGAATTCGTAAGGTTGGCTCTGTGCCATCAAAATTCAGTACAATGAAAGATCAAGTTAGGGGACTAGAGGTACATAAGGTGGGAATAGGTCTGTTCTCAAGCACGGTTTAATTTTGCCGAAAGAGCTGTTCCCTGACAGTTGCTGAAATGGAAATTACAATGGAGAGGATACCATAGGATTTGGTGGTTATGTTTTAGTTGGTACCTATTTCGTAATGAGGTTAAGAGATGCAGGTAAAAGGCAGAGCCTCAGGGATCAGAGCAGATACATTCGTTCCAGGCTAGTGATACATAAGTTTTTGGCATGTGTTAGTATTGAAGAGCAAATTTCTAGCCTATGCATAGATTCTTTTACTTTCTCAACTTTAATAGCTCTGTTTCCAGTTGACACAGTGTCTGAAGGAAGAGGGGACTTTCTGAGTAGAATCCAATTGTGTATCCTGTGTCACATGCTCGGGGGCAAGCACTTAAGGGAGTTGACTTCTTGACAGCTCATTCACTAAGTCATTTCCTCAAATATTTTTTGAGGCTAGGTACTAGGTTATGTCTCAACCAGGAACACATGAAAAGCTAGGCTAACCTGTATAAAGTGTAGCTTTCCTAGGAGTTAACGTGTATGCTAGATATGAAGGGGATCATCCCAAAATAAGGTGTATGTGCACTTAGGGGGAATTATGACTGGCTGAAATCAAGTTGTCTGAGAGGGAGTTGCTTGACTGAGAATTTCTGGGAGGAGAGAGTTATATGTTTTATGATCAATGTGTGAAGATATGAAGCTTTTATTCACCAGTGGAGGGTTGCTCAGAAGACAGGTTAATCAGAGTTCAATCACATTGTCAATCAGAGAAAAATTCTGAATTCAGGGGAGGACCTCAAGAAAATAGGTGGTAAATATAGAGATTAAGAGCCAGGACAGTGATGAATTCTTAGTGAGGAATGCCCAGGTAGTTCTCCTTATCCTGGGGTTAATTCAGGAGAACAGCATGGCCCCTGTTCTCCCTGCTAATGTCCTTCCTCTACCCATTTCAGATAGTTCCAAGGCTCTTCTTCACTCTTTCCCAGTCTTAAGTTAAAATTCTCACTTCTTCAAAATAGGGAAGCGCATAAACCTGTGCTCATTATCTATTTAGAAGAAATGATATGGGGTGAGGAAACAATGAATAATGGAGTTACACTCAGTGAAAGTCACTTTTGGGGATCTTAATGACAAACTATATGTTTGCACACACAAACATATGTTTGTGTGTGAATATATATGTGTTGAATATATATTACTTATAAAAATTATTATTTCCTCTTACCAATTTTCTGTTTTGTGAAAGTGTTTTTATATCTTTTTCCTGAAAAATTCTTAAAATTCTCATTCACATCAATTTCTTTTCATGTGGTGTTTTCTTACTGTTCACTTGATCATTTTACCACAATTAATTATGGGTCTAGCATGGTCCTATGGGCAGAGAATGAAAGATCTAAGCACAGCCCTCATCTTCAGGGAACTCCTCATTCAGTGATGGAGACATTCATGAAAAGAGAAATAGGAAATTAGTGAAAATTTTGAAAATAATGAAATGAAAGGGAAAAAAATTAAGTGCAGAAGTACAAGGTAAATTATGACACAGTGATAGTCTAGCCCAGTGGTTTGGTGGGCCATTTCTATTTTGCTATTTTAAGAATGCCTTGTTCTCAACTACCTGTCACACCCTCCAGGCTGCAGTGATTATGCCTATCTTTTTGTGAAATTGGAGCTCTAAATTTTCTTCTTCTGTTTTGCCCTTATTCCCTTTTCTCTCCCCTACACAGTCTCAGTCTTTGCAACTTCATGCCTAGAGAGTAGATGCTATTATTATCTCACAGATAAGATAACACCAGACATGATGATTTGACTGTGGTCATTTGGAGCCGGAGGTTGGTATCAGTCTGAGCTCTTGTGCCTAACCAGTGCACTCTACACCTACAGCACTTTACCCAGGGCCTGGCACAAGAGAAGTGCTCCCACCTGTTATTTGCTGCTGTTTGTATCATTATTATTTGCATGATTTGAAGTCTTCACATGTTGGTTTGGTTTTTTTTTTTTTTTGGTTAACAGTGTGTTGGTAAAACACCATTTTTTATTTTTTATTTATTTATTTTTGAGACAGAGTCTTGCTCCGTTGCCCAGGATGGAATGCAGTGGTGCAATCTCGGCTCACTGCAACCTCTGCCTCATGGGTTCAAGTAATTCTCCTGCCTCAGCCTCCCGAGTAGCTGGGTTTACAGGCATGAGCCACCGCACGTCGCTAATTTTTGTATGTTTAGTAGAGACAAGGTTTCGCCATGTTGGCCAGGCTGGTCTCGAACTCCTGACCTCAAATGATCTGCCCTCAGCCTCCCAAAGTGCTGAGATTACAGACATAAGCCACTGCGCCCATCCCTAAAATACCATATTGACAAAACATGAATACCTTGCTCTCTGCTCAAAGACATTTATAGGACTTAATCTCTAATTATTTCTGTTGCTTTTATCATTCATTTTCTCTCTCACACTCTCTTATTTAGAGATCTTTCAAGTCAAACTCTTGCTCAGTTATGGTTCTGACTTCTGGTTCTGTAATCCTGCTTCCCTCCTTTGATTTCTTCAAGACTACCTTCTGAATCAAAGTCTTACTTCTACTTTCCAAACTATCTAAAACTTTCCACAAACATTTCACTGTTTTATTCGTTTATTCTTTGTAATTCATTCATTCAGCAAATATTTACTGAGCATGTATTACATGCCAGGCTCAGTTCTAGAAAGTTGTGGTGGTTATAGTGTCAAAACAAGCACTGTTCCTGCATAAACCAAGTAAGAGGTGCCAGAGGAAACTCTTCCATACTTGACTTCTTAAAGTCAACTATTACTTCTTATAGGCCTAGAACAGATATCCATTTAGGCCCTTTCACACCTGAAGGGGTTTTCTAATACCATCCAAGGTATTAGCAAGCCTGGATATTAGTCCTGATTCCTACGCAGGACATTTTATAGTATTACTTCGTGAACTTTTTGTTTTCCTATATAGTCTTTTATCCAGGAGGTTTTTGGTGAAGCTAATCTCAATTCCTTCTCTTTTAGTTTTAATTAGTTACTGTGCTTGTCTTGCTCTAGATTATTTTATTTTTCTGGATATTGTACAAGATACCTAACAAGGATGCTGAATGGACTGATGGATTACTCTTTAAAGAATTTTCCTTCCTTCTAGTGACTTGTTTCAAAGCTCAGAAATTCTGTATGATTCTAGGCAAGTCTACCACCTTCTTGTATCTCTGTTCCCTTATCTGTAAAGTGAGATAATAATAGTTCCTATGTCATATAATCCTTGTGAGGGCTAAATTAGTAAATGCAGGTCAACCACTGAGAATTTGCTTGGCCTATAGCTCACATTATGGAAGATTTGCTTTTATAATGATCATACTCTCACTTTGCCGCCTCTCAATTCTGTGCAATAAAGGACACCTTTCAATAAAGCCTTTTTTCCAAGGTCAGAAATAATGCAAATCATGTATTGATTTTTTTTTTCTCTTTGTGGTCATACCTCTCTTCCACTTAAACAAGATATTACACCTGTTTAAACTGAGAAGCAACTCGAAAAGGCCCTCACTGGAGTCTCTGTTTAGCTACCTAGCATAGTTTTGGCACTGTGCGTGCGTTAATATCAAATGATCTTGTCCTGCTCCACCTCATCACCTTTCCTTCTGTTTTCACATTTCACCTGAAAAATCTCTTCTATCATTGCCTCTTAATTGCTTTCATTTTGCATTTGCCTTATGTACTTTAACCGCATTATGAAAGTAAGTGAAGCATCTGGCATTTAGCTGAGTTGAAAGCAGTTGTCCACACTGCAGTGATGTCACGGCATTTAGCTGAGTTGAAAGCAGTTGTCCACACTGCAGTGATGTCACAGCTCTGATAATGTTGCATTTTAGAAATGTCCAGTACTTAAATTTACAAACAGGTTTCTATGCAGTCATGAATGTTTTCCTCTTGATTTTGAAATTGTATGTGTGAATTGATAGAATCCAGAGATGGAAATTTTTAGTTCTTAACATGTTTGGTGTGTTATTATTTATTGATAAGGACCCAGACATCATAATACTCCCTAACTGAATTCTGTAACCAGGACTGGGTGTGTCAAATGACTTGTTTTCTTCCTCTTAATATTCTAATGTGTTACATCTGAATTGTCTCCCCATGCCCCATCCCAGCCACCATCCTTACCCAATGTTCTCTTTGAAAGTGGTGTCTTCGCAATTGACATTGAGAAAGGCAAAGACCAGCTGAAAAGCAGCTGGCTGTCTTTTATGATTCAGTATTCATTGCTGCCTGTTGTCAATCAAAAGGGGAAAGTTCATGAAGATTTTTGTTTGCATTTTCATTTTAATTTTTTTCTTCCTATAAAGAAAAGACAACTTTTTTAGGGTAATATAGAAAGTGCAGGTTGTGTTCATTTACTCGTTTGCTTCGGCCCATGCAATAGTGATTGAATGATTTTTGTGGATTGTCAGCTAAGCCATTTTTTTAAGGTTTCTTCTGTCAGCAGCCAAGCTGTTATATGAAACAGATGTTGACTCTGTCCTGTTTCTTTGTTTGCCTGGAGGAATACGCCTCCTCATAGTGAAAGGTGCTGTTTGTTTGTATCCTGCTAGTTATCTTCGGGTGCTGTTAATCTGCCCAGGTTATTTGCATTTCTTAATTTCTCCAGAAACTGTACAGGACACACTTCTTGACAGGCAACCCAGGGGGCACTGCTGCCTATTTCTTTTAGTTTCTGTCTTTTGTACACATGCCATTTGATGTCTTTCACCAAAATAAAGCTTTCTTTCGTCAGAGTCTCATTTTATTAAATCTTACTTTAGAGGAAAGAAGACTTCTTTAATTTTTATCTTACGCATTTTCACAGTTCCATGTATATTATGCATCATCCCCCTCCAGATCCCCACTACCATCTCTCATTTTTTAAAACTCCAGCCAAATACTTATGAATGTAATGTAATCACTGGCTCTGAGACTCATGCCACACTGCAAAGCCAGAGGAGACGTAAAGACAATATAAATCAATAAATTAGTTGGGTATTAGAAAAAGAAACAGCATAGGCAGACAGACTTGCAGAGGTTATTGTGGCCACATTGCTTTGAGGGACAGGTGGAGTTGCAAAAATTTCTTGCTGGTATAGGAGAAAGCAACTTGCTATTCGAAAAGTGTTTTAGACATTTCCAGACATAGGTGTCCATGGGAGGGATGGTGAGAAACCATTTCCCTGGCAAAGGAAAATGACAGCACAGAAGAAGGGCTCAAGGAAGACCATGTCCATAGAATGCTTTTGACCTTACTATAGGTAAATCACAGGCAGCTATACACAAGTAAATGTACATATTCTGTATTTATTATATAATTCTAAGGAAGAAGTGTGGTTCAGCAAGTAGAGGATACCCTCAAGATCCTCTGCCACTCTCTGCAATTGATTTTCTTGTTGTTATTTTCTTATACGTAAAATGTAAGTTTTAATAAATCACCTCTATTTATTTCCCAAGGGATTGGGCTGGAAGAGAACATTTTCAATTATCTAAAGCTCCTTGGAGAGATGCTTTAAGAATAGATGGTGGTATTTCCACTAATTCTCTTTTTATAGTCATGGATCTAGTGTGATATGTAATACTGAATGACCGCAACTTCTTGATATAATATTGTTTCCTTATCAAGGAAAAGAACCAGGCCTTTTTGGAATGAGAACAGCCAGTTAACTCCTGGCTCCCTGAGCTGTGTACTTTCTCACTTAGGCTTAGCCTATACTAGGGGAAATGATATTGGTATAAAGCCAAGTCACTTGGATGTGAGTTAAAAGGCCACAGCTATCTGAATTGGTTGAATAGGATCCCAGGGTGGTGGTGTTTAAGTGTTTTTTACACTTGCTAAGGGAAAACTGAGCCAAACAGTCAGCAGAGCCAAATAAATGAATCTAGGGGCCCAGAAGTCTGTTACTGGCTGAGGTAGACCTGACCTTAATTTTTGTTTTCTTCTGGAGAAGTGCCTTAGGAAATTTTAAAAAATTTATCTTCCCAGTCATAGTCTAGTATAGCACTTAAGGGTCCACTTTTTCTAAGACTGTATATACATGTAGAATGTTCTAGAAATGATTTTTCTGGCCTTTTGACCCCCCTGGCAATGAGGATCTCATGTGCCTCTGAAGGTTGCTGCTGCACCACTGTTTCCTCTTCAGGGGCCATCAGGTCATTTCGTATCTTCCAGCTCTACTAAACTGCCTCACAGAACATTTGTGTTGGGTTCTTAGTTTAACTTCCTATCCCTCACAAGGGAATAAGTATTTGTTTCTCCCAGGGATTGCCATAATAGCAACTAATTTTCACTGTGTATTTAGTTTCAGTGTGGTAGTGCAGCAACAGCACTGGAAGTCAAGAGACCAGTATTTTCCTCTAACAAAACAAGCCATGGGATATTGGGCAGGGCGCACTTAACTTTTCCAAGGCTACTTATTTTTTTTTCCAGCAGTCGAAGATGCTGATAACAATTCTCTTGTTTAAGTATAACGTAACTAGTTTATTTTTATCTTGAAAGTCATAGTATCTATCTTGCTTTGGCCCCTACAAATCGTAGATCCTACCTCTAACCTCTGTACAGGATTATGTAGCATTGTTCACTCTATTTTTCTTTCATCCTGGGTTCTTCAATTATTGTTTTTTGTTTTTTTTTTGTACAGTAAACATTTGGATAAGTCTCAAAGCTCTTTGTGTGTATGGTGTGAGGCAGGGTATATACATAAAATAAAAAATAACTAATACTAACTTGACAAAGTTCCTATCACTCTGATGTTTTCCTTGAGAAGCATTACAGTCTGGTGTGGTAAGTCCTGTAACAAGACTGAGTATAAGATGCAGTTAGGATCATATAGGAAGGAGAAAGGAGACTTCACAGAGGAAAAGAGTCTACGAAAAGGGACAGATGAGACAAAAGTCATGGAGATACACTAAGTTTAGTTTACAGATGAAACAAGATTGGAGATTTATGAATCATTGAAAAACAAACCATAATCTTAAGGGTTCACTGTACTATAGTATAAAATATCTCAGCAGTTTCAAGCTGGAGGGAAATTTGCCAAATTATGACCCAAGATGCAAGAGTAATGCTAGACACTTCACAAGCAAAAGGTTGTTTTGTTATTGTTATTTAATTCACTTCAGTGAATATTTAATGAATACCAACTCCATGCCAGGCCCTGAGGATGCAATCCCTGCCATGCCCAGGTGTGGGTGAACACACACACACACGCACGCACACACACACACACACCATCCTCTGAGACTGTTTCTTTGTATACTTCGGTGGGAGAGTGATGTTGGCCATAATGATTATGGAAGTTCTCAGAAAAACATAAAACTAGATTCCCATAAATGGAATGGCAACTCGACAACTGTTGAAGAGGTAATATGCTTATAGCTATTTATCACTTAACAGACTAGATTGATTCTCTGACACGTTCAAAGCTGATTAAAATAGATCTGAGTAGTGTTCTTTTGAGGAATCAAAAATTTGTTGCATTTAATTTCTTGCGGTCCAAAGTATTGTTGAAAGATTCTACTGAAGATGCTTGATTATTTTAATCTTGAAATTCCCTGGTATTTATGGCATCATTGTGAGCAGCAATAATGCGAAGAATTTATGTAAAGTTAATTATCACTGTTGGTACAAGTGTGTGAAGCCCTTAAATTTAAGCAACGTACATGATTGAAAATTGGAAGTTGTTTTTTTAAATGTCTTTTGTTATATATGTCTTTATATTTTTCTTCCATAGCCAAAATTCTATTTTATGAAAAAAATGGTAAGAAAAGAAACAATAAATTAAATCTATAACAAAAATAGATTTAAATCCTCAACAAAGAAAAGAAAGCAAGACAAAGCTAAAGGTACAGACAATGGAAACACGAAATAAAAGAGGAATTCGTCAGGATTATTAATCAAAGGGCTCATCAGAGTTATTAATTGGAGCTCCACATTTGGAGCTGTGCCTTTATTTTTCTTTTCTCCTTGTGTTAAGTAGTGGATAGCAGCTGTGTTTACCCACAAACTAAATCCTTGAGTGTGGGTGCTAGACCCAGAGAGGTAGGGCAGTGCCTCAGTAATGTGCTGACTGCCAGGTGGGTTAGAAAGCCCACCCACACAGGAGACAAGCCACTTGTCTGTCCCTATTAATCACTGGAAACAGACAATGGTAAACAAAAGAGCTGGCACACAGAGATTCTCAAACAAAAGATGAGCATATAATTATGACACACCGCAATATGAAGTAAATCAGTACCATGAAAGAAAGATGCCAAATGAAAAATGAGAAGAAAAAATATTCAAGGACCTAGAGGTAATAGAGTGATCAGAAGAAGACATTCAGAGAGATGTATTCATGAAAAAGACTCAAGCACAGAAATTAAGAATTTAAAGTTTGACTTTAAAATTTAAAATGAAAATGGTCATTAATACAACTCACATATAAATTAGGGAAATGAAAGATTGAACTAGGGAATCTTTTTCAGAATGACATACAAAAAGAATACTTCAGAAATGTGGGGAAAAATTTGAGAGACATAGAGAATAGTTACAGAAGTTCTAGCATCCCTGTAATTCTCTTAGAGAAAAGAGAAACTGGAAAGGACAAAATTATCAAAGAAATAGTAGGAGAAAAAGCATAAAATATGAAAAAAAAATATTTAGATGTAATGAGCCCTCTCAATTCCAAATATAATTAATAAGAAAATAACCATACTTAGAAATATTATAAACAAAAATAAACTATTAATTACGATTTCTCTCTCTTTCACACATACACACACACATGCATGCACACATAAAATAGCTTTATTTCTGATTTTAACATGGAAGATGGCAGGGTCAGGTAAAGAGAAACAAGCATAAAAGTATATTATGTTCTTTTTTTATTTAGGGTATAGATTATGATTTAAAGAAGAAAAAAATTGAAGTTTATGTGTCTTAAAGGCAATTAAGAATAAACATGATAATAAAAATAGGATGATATATTCATAAATGAATTTTTAAGAAAGTTTTGAAAGTTTACCTATTCAGCTCATATAATAAATTATCTTAGGGAACGGAGTAAGAGTTCACCGGGATCAAATACAAATTTTGCTTTATCTGTAGTGCATGAATTTTTTTCCATAACTTTTTTTTTAAAGCATAAAGATTTTTTAAGAAAGGAAATGTACTGTAAGGACAAAAAGCAAAGAATATTTGATACATTTAGCAAAGTTCAAGAAAGAAAGAAATAAAACAATCAAAAAAGTTGTGATAAATAGAAAACACGTATATCTGTATCAATAACCACAATAAATGTAAGTAGATTAAATTCCCTTTTCTAATACGGATAGCATAAAAATATTACATATTCAGCTATATATGGTGACAAAAGACACTTCTACAAAAAAAGATAGGTTAAGGTAAAAATATATATAGGAAATGATACCCTTAAAAAAGGCCATAAAAAAGAAAGTACTTAAAGTAATATGAGATGAAATAGAATTCAAGCAAAGATCATTAAATAGACTAAAGAAAAAGATTTCATATTGATATACTAAGATAACTAAGTAATCATGAACCTTTAAATATTTAACTACATAATCCTGAACTATATAAAGCTAAAACTAAGAGAAATGTAAAGTCAACAGATCGATCCACAATTAGTAGGGAAATTTAGCTCTCCTTATTTGAGCAGATAACAGATCAAATAAATAAAAATATATAAAGGATTTAAATAGCCAATTAACAGACTTGATCTAATTGATAATTGTATATTTTTATAATCAAATAGAAAATATATGTTCTTTGAATTATCCATATAATGTTTACACATGTGACCATATTTTATGTGTTTTCTGGTTAATATCCAGTAAAATTAGAAATTAATAGCAAATAGACAAAAATAATGGCACAGCCAACAAAATTTAAAAGTACTCCAGTCTTGTGTCATGAATCAAAATGGATCCAAGGTCTAAATTTAAAACCTAAAACAATAAAACTTCTAGTAGAAAACATATAAGACAATCTTTGTGACTTTGGGTTAGGCAAAGATTTCTTAGACACCAAAGCATGATCCATAAAAGGAAAATTGGTAAATTGGATTTTTTTTTCACTTCCAGTAGACTCATTTATTGTCAGATGCTTGCTTCCTTTGTTTAGTTTTTATCCCCACACTATTAACATAAGAGCATGGAACACGTTGGCCTCCTAACAACTCCCGGAACCACAGTCATTTCGGATGGAAAGTAAACAGCATCTTGTCCTTATGAGGGGTGATGGGAGGTCATTGGAGAGGGAGGCCACAGGCATGAATGGGCCAGCAAGGTGAGTCCAGGAGAGCATGGGCTGTCACTGATCAACCCTCGTGGCTCAGTTTGGTCCTCTGTTCTGAGTTGTTCTTTCTGACTGATCTTTACTTTGTCTCTGTCGTCTAGGTTAGCTCCTGGTACCAATGAGATAGGAATTACTTAGTTCCCCAGGCTGTGAGCATCCTTTATTTTTGTCATTAGACAAACTCCCCCATGTTGCTCCCTAAATTCCTATCTCCTATAATCCAAATTCCCCCATGCCACTCTTTAAATTTCCATCTCCTGTCATCCAAATTCTGGCCAAAGCTGATGTCTAATTTAGAAAAAAATGGAGCCTACAGAAGATAGGATCTGGAATCAGTTAGGGTTTGAAGACCTTAACTCCTCCACTTACTGTAGCTATAGAGCTGGTGAAAGTGTAAAATGGCACAACTGCTTTTGAAAACAGATTAACAGTCTCTGAAAAAGGTAAATGTACACCAATTTGATAATCCAGCCATTCCACTCTTAGGAGAAGTGAAAACTTACATCGATGCAAAATCTTGTACACAGTTTATTTGTAATAACACAATACTGGAAACAACTCAAATGTCATCAATTGGTGAATGGATAAACAAACTGTAGTACATCTGTATAATAGAATACTATTTAGTAATCAAAGTGAATGAACTATTGATACATGCAACAACATGGATGAATCTCAAAATAATTATGCTGAGTGAAAGAAGCCAAGCAAAATAAAATAGTGTTCTCCTACTGAGATAAATTTGTATTCTATTTATATAAAATTTTAGAAAATGCAAACTCATATTTAGTGACAGAAAGACCAGTGATTGCCTGGGAGTGGGAGAAGGAAAATATGGCAATAAGTGAAAGAGAGAGATTAAAAGGGTCATGAGAAAACTTTTGAGGTGCTGGATATACTTATTATCTTGATTGTGGTGATGGTTTCACCATGTATACATGTCAAAACTTGTCAAATTGTACATGTTAAATATATGCAGTTTATTGTGTGTCAGTTATACCACACTAAAACTATTAAAAATATTTCTATAACTTGCAAAATTAAAAGATACTCTTAATTATCTCCAGTTAAAAATCGTTGAAATTGTGTTTTGTGGAGACTTTGGCCCTTTTCTTGGATTGCTTTCCAATGAAAATTTATTCTAGACAGATTAAGGTAAAAAAAGCTTGAAAAAAGATGAAAGTGACTGGGAAAGGACTCGGAAAGAAAACCGTCAGTTTCTAGGTAATCGTATATAGCTGAATTGTTAAGATTAAATGTGTAAGCACTTCAAACTCTAAGATAAAGAAATTATCAAATCAATTAACTTAATGTGTAGACTTTTAAAATCTCAGTGCTAATAAGAGAAGACAGATTGATCTGTCTGTGTACAGCAGCACTCAGTTAATAAAAAAAAATGACAGATTCATTATATAAAGAGTGAGAGATTTCTCAGTATAACCCAGTTGTGGTTCATGCCGTAGTGATACTCAAAACCATAGTGATATAACATTTTCTTCCCAACCATTTTGGTTATATTTATAATAATTATTCGTGTTGGTGATTCTGCATTTGGCAAAGTGCAGATCTTATAGAAAGGAGCAGGTTGGGGAAAAAACGGTAATGACATTAAGGTGAAAAAATATATTAGAAAGCATCTGCTTCCAAAATATATTAGCATAATTCCTATCTAGACAGTTTGTGTTTTGTGTATGGGTAATGAAATACCATTTTTTGTTGTTCAAGAATCTTTGCAGTTTCAAATCATCTTCAGCTGATCTTCTATAAGTCTTACCATATCCAGACCATATCTTTGGTTAAAGTTTTCCATCCAGACCTTATTTTGGCATAAAAAGTAATTTTATTTTCCATTTGCATTTTGCCTCATTTCATTTTTCCACATCTTGGCAAAATGCCTGGTTGAGATTGTTCTATTTATAATATGCCAAGCGGGTAAAACATAAATATGTTTTCCCACTCTGTACTTTGCCATCAGTGATCTCCATGGAGTGGGAGCCACCACTATCATGTTCTTTTTCTTTAAGATAATGGTAGATTTTAAATGTGGGCTGTGTAAGCATATCTCTATCTCTATCTCTATCTATCTATCTATCTATCTATCTATCTATCTATCTATCTATCTATCTGTCTATCCACACACGCATATATATATATTTAAACCCTTTATTTCAAAATCATAGTTGGTGGTACAACCAGAGCTGGTAGTGGGATTACCATATTATAATAAACAATTCATACTTCAGGAACTAGGGACAGAGCACATGCTGCCTTGTTTTTTTTTTTTTTTCTTTCAAAATCTTCTAAATGTATTTAGATATCAATTAATCACCCTTTTTGTTCCAGTAAGTTAAGAGAGACCTACTATAATCCAGGAAGTTAAAAACACAGAGGAGACTTCTTGGACGCTTAGTTGTCAGACTACTGTGGACTTTAAGATGGATAGTAGTCAGATAGATACATTGATAGATTTTAAATTTGGGCTTTCTTTGCTGTTACTCATATATAGTTGTCTATTTTGCAAACATTTATCAAGTTGTAGGGCGAAATTATCTCTACTGGAGCAGATGAAAACTTGTTTAAATGGTGATTGGTTAAGATCCAAAATGAGTATGCTTTCAATTTAGAAATGTAGAAAAGATGCTTAAAGTCTTTAGGTGTATCTCTGAACATACTTAAAATACTTTTAAAAGTCATTTTTTATTCCTTTTTTTTGAGACAGGGTCTCATTCTGTTGCCCAGGCTGGAGTGCAGTGGGACGATCTCAGCTCACTGCAGCCTCCACCTCCTGGGCTCAAGTGATCCTCCCACCTCAGCCTTCCAAGTAGCTGACACTACAAGTGGATATCACCATGCTCAGCTAATTTTTAATTTTTATTATTTCAGTAGCTTTTGAGGTACAAGTGGTTTTTGGTTACATGGATGAATTGTTTACTAGTGAAGTCTGAGATTTTAGTACACCCATTACCCAAGTAGTGTACATTGTAACCAATATGTTGTTTTTTATCCCTTACCCACCTCCCAGGCTCCCACTTCTAAGTCTCCAAAGTTCATTGTACCACTCTGTATGCCTTTGCGTACCCATAGCTTAGTTCCCACTTATAACTAAGAACATATAGTATTTGGTTTGTCTTTTCTGAGTTACTTCACTTAGAATAATGACCTCTAGCTTCACGCAAGTTGCTGCAAAAGTCATTATTCTGTTCTTTTTTAATGGCTGAGTGGTATTCCATGTATGTATGTACCACATTTTCTTTATCTACTCATTGATTGATGGGCACTTATGTTGGTTCCATATCTTTGCAGTTGTGGATTGTGCTGTGATAAACATGTGTGTACAGGTGTCTTCCTGATACAATGACTTCTTTTCTTTTAGGTAGATACCTAGTAGTGGGACTGCTGGATCGAATGGTAGATATACCTTTAGTTCTTTGAGAAATCACCATACTGTTTTCCATAGAGGTTGTACTAATTTACATTCCCACCAGCGGTGTATAAGCATTCCTTTTTCACCATATCTACACCAACATCTATTTTTCTTGACTTTTTAATAATGGCCATTCTTGCTGGGGTAAGGTGATATCTTATGAGTTTAATTTGCATTTCCCTGATGATTACTGATATTGGGCATTTTTTCACATGTTTGTTGACCATTTGTATATCTTCTTTTGAGGAATATCTATTCATGTCATTTGCCTATTTTTTGATAGGATTGTTTTTTTCTTGCTGATTTGTTTGAGTTCCTTGTAGATTCTGGATATTAGTCCTTTGTTGGATGCATAGTTTGCAGATTTTTTCTCCCATTCTGTGGGCTGTTTACTCTGATGATTATTTCTTCGGCTGTGCAGAAGCTTTTTAGTTTAATTAGGTCCCATTTATTTATTTATTTTTGTTTTTGTTGCATTTGCTTTTGGGGTCTTAGTCATAAATCCTTTGCCTAGACCAATGTCCAGAAGTGTTTTTCCTAGGTTTTCTTCTAGAATTCTTACAGATTCTGGTCTTAGATTTATGTCTGGATCCATCTTGGGTTGATTTTTGTGTAAGTGGAGAGGTAGGGATCCAGTTTTGTTCTTCTACATCTGGTCATCTTGTTTTCCAGCACCGTTTATTAAATAAGATGTCCTTTTCTCAATTTATATTTTTGTGTGCTTTGCCAAAGGTCAGTTGGTTGCGTTTAGCTTTATTTCTGCATTCTCTATCCTGTTCCATTGGTAATTTTTATTTTTATTTTTTTAGAGATGGGGTCTCACTATGTTGCCTAGGCTGGCCTCGAACTCCTGGCCTCAAGTGATTCTCCCACCTTGGCCTCCCGAAATGTTGGGACAGGCATGAGCCACTGTACCTGGATCGAGATCCTCCTATTTTAAGATGTGTGGTGGTACTCTTCTGGAAGAAAATCCTAAATATAATAATAGAGATTTATACATTAGTAACTCTTATTAAGTAATTTGTAGCATTACAAAAGAATTAGTGGTTTTATAAAAGGTTTCAAATTTTCTGTAAACATTGAAGTCTCAATACATATTAAGTTATTTGATTTGGCTGCGTATTTTCCAGACCATTTCTAAGGCATACTTTGACTCTAAAATTCTCTTTTGTAAGTGATTAGTCACTGCATGTTCTCCTCATATTATTTCCTCATCCTACTTTCCTTTAAAAAAAAAAAAAGCTTTCTCTCTTAAAATCCATGTTACGGGATTCAAAGCTTCTGAAATCCACCATGCCCAACTATAATATACAATTTAAAATTCACATTAAATTTCATTGGGAATATTCTTTATAGGCTGTGATGAAATTAAAATCTTACATACTCCTCCATTTATCATCTGGAACAATATCTCTGTGAACAAGGAACAAAAGAACAAAGAAATGATGGTTACAAGATAAGGAAATCTAGTAGGTAAGAGCCTGCACAATTTTGAGATAAAGTTCTGAATTTTTACTTTTCTTGTTTTTATATATTGTATCATGGTGTCTACCCCAGGTTTATTAGAGAAGCTGAAATATTAACCTTGATTGGCAGAGTGGCTATTATCGTTTTTATGTGTACTAGGCTAGGGCTGGGCCACCAGTTTAAAGAGGTGTCAACTGAGGAGTGGAAGAAAAGGTTGTGGCATGTCAGGTTATACCCTAAAAGTGTAAAGTCCCATGGCAATACAATGTGAGCCCTAATGCAGAAAATACTCTCAGAGGAACATGTCCTCTTTGCATAGCATCGCTGGGAATCTCGTCCAGGGAGTTCAATGGGGCAGGTCACCAGAGGAGGACACAAGGGGCAAGTGCAGGACGGCCATGTGCATCATTTGGCCCATGTGCTGACCATATGAAACCTGCTTTGGGACTGGAAAATGCCTGACATGGCTAACCTAGAATATATCACTTTGCTGGTTCCTGGCACCATCCTTGTTTTTAATGTGCAATGAGTGGCTGCTGTTGCACTGTTTGAACATTACTATGCCTTGCTGACCTAGGGGAGCCTGAAGCAAAAAAAAAAAAAAGGTTATCTACTGCAGTTCTAAATCAAATTTTAAAACAACAAAACATTTTAATATCTGTAGCTGGAAGGAGAATGTTTGGAGCTGTGCAACTGGCAGGCAAGAGTGTAGTGACTGAAGAAGAGATGATTCTTGGGCCAGTTTTGGACACAAACTGAACTAAACTAAAAAAAAAAAAAAAACCCAGGCAGACTGTCCTGTCTAGCTTCCCAGTAAAGTCAGAGGGGACAGTCCTGGCAGTACTATGGATTTGTATGCTGGGATAGATATAAACAGCAAAACTCTCAGCCCTGTGGCTATAAAAAGAATTATTTTTTATGATGTGTTCGTTGTTTAAGAGCAGGCTGTGAGTTTTGTTTAACATTTAATTCCAATACAGTTCAAAAACCAGAATTCTATCTTGTGTGCTTAAGCTCTTTCAGATGTTTTTATTGTGTAACATTTTCTCCAGATTCTTCTTTTAATGTATGTTTTTTTTTCCCTCACAATCTGTTAAAAGATCAGTTTGCGTGAATCTTGACACTGTGATGCTATTTCATGGTTTTAATTTGAATGCGAGCTGTTGCAGCTGGAAGCATATGATTAATGATACAGACTTGTTTGTCACAAAAACAGATGATATTTTACATTTAGTCAAGATGCATTGAAAAATTGACTTGCTTGTATTTTACTGGCTGTAAGTCACATTTTAATTCACTTTTGAATTCTCCTTATAATTTGAATTAATCTTAAACATGCAGATATATCTCTCATGATGTAGCTGGCTATTGAAGGTATTTGAAGGATGATTAGAAAATCGCATATTAAATATACATTATCCATTAGTTAAGTAGTCATTTTTAAAATTTTTTTTGCTGATAAAATTGTACTAAATGAGTCAATGAATCTGGGAGTCAGTATACAAAGAGAGTGGGAATAAAGCTTATAAATTCATTGTTCTTGATGGCTTATATATTTTTATATACTTTTACAGTTTACCTGAATAACAAGGTGATGTTTCTGATCTCCCTTGCCTTCTGCTGTCTTGAAACTCTGCCCCACATGAGACAAGGCAGTGTTTTCCAGATTTTCTACCATCACTCTGGAACTCAGAGTGGGCTATGGGTGCATTTGCTGCAGTGGGCAGTGGTCTAACCTGTCCTTCTCAGAAGCAGTGTCAGGAAAGTTGGGTATGCAGTCTCCTTCAGAAATGAGTCTTATAATAGCATTCTACCTTCCAGCAGTTTTTATCTCATAAAAGAATATGAAACCATATTTGTTAAATCAGACATTTCTTGCTCAAACCTGTTACACCAAATAGGAATTTGCTGTTTTCAAATCTCTGGCATGTGACTGAACTGAACAGTCCCAAACTGAGTACTTGCATGGTGAGGAAGTCAGTCTCAGAAAGTATGTATATATGCCATGTTTGAAGAGTTTTCATTATTATCATTCATTATAATTTACTAAAATGCAACTCTCTGTTTCTTTGTTAAAATAATCTTAGCTCTGCCTTGTGGAGCCACACTAACAAATAGTACAGCTCCCCTAGATAGTAATTGGGAAACATGAATTTAGGTGTCATGTATTCTGAAGGATCACTTTTCAATCTAATTATCTTCCATTTCTTCAACTATTTTTCCTATGATGTGGTCTCCAGGTCTATCACGATCCTCCTTGTCTCCTGGAGAAGTATTAAATTGTGGGGTCCCTTGTAAAATATGTGCCTAGAAGCATGATGCTATAGATGTGGTCTGACCAGTGATATTCATCTCTTTTTAGGTTTGCTTTTTCTTTTCATGCCAACAACACGAATCATAGCACCCTACTGGCCCATGTTGGATAAGCTGTCAAAACATCCAGCTGTTTTTAGTCATGTCTTTCCCATTGTGTTCTTCAGCTGATTTTTTTTTTATTCCAAGTACCAGACATTACTTATATCTCTATTAAATTTCATTGTGTAAGTGCTGGCTCATTGTTCCAGCTTGTCAAGAACTTTTTGGCTTTTTTTCTTTTATCATCCAACATATTAGCAATTCCTTTCAGCTTTGAGACATCTGTAAATATTAAAATAATTTCTTCAACTTTTTAATTCAATTAAAATATGTAAACATGTATCAGACTGTCTACTCTGTGCTAATCTCAGGCTCCCTGCTAGAAATAACAAGATGGATAAAATGTAATCATTCCAGCTGGGCGCAGTGGCTCACGCCTGTAATCCCAGCACTTTGGGAGGCCGAGGTGGGCAGATCACCATGTCAAGAGATTGAGACCATCCTGTCCAACATGGTGAAACCTCATCTCTACTAAAAACACAAAAATTAGCTGGGTGTGGTGGTGCGTGCCTGTAGTCCCAGCTACTCTGGAGGCTGAGGCAGGAGAATCGCTTGAACCCGGGAGGCAGAGGTTGCAGTGAGCCGAGATTGTGCCACTGCACTCCAGCCTGGCGAGAGAGCAAGACTCTGTCTCAGAAAAAAAAAAAAAAAAAAAAAAAAAAAAAAAAAGCTAATCATTCCTTCAGGGAGCTCACAGGCTATAGGGAATAATAGACATGTAATTATAAAACTGTAATGGAGTGTGATAATTGCTATAGTAGAGTTACGTGTGAAGTGCTGTGAAAACCAAGATTGGTTGCAAATCATAGAAGACCTAGCCCCTTTCATGTTGGCACAAATCCACGAATTTGGGGGTAAGTCAGTTAAATCAGCTACAAAGCTACCGAACTACTGCCGTCTGATTTCTTTCTTTCTTTCCCAAGGATACTGTAAGAGACTTGTCAAATACTTTCCTGAAATGATCCCATACTATGGTATTCCCCAAATGTACCAACCTAGCAAGTCAGTCCAAAAGGAGCTGAGAATTATTTAGAAACATTTATTCTTAGTGAACCCATGGTGGTTCACAATGATCCCAGTTTTTAAATCTGGGGCAATATTTGCCTATCACCAATCATCTGGTAACCTTCCCATTCTCCAGGGTTACATAACATTGCTCAGAGCAGTTTTGCAGTTACATCTGAGTTTTTCTGCTATCTTGTATGTAATCTGTCTGGATCTGGAGACTTGAGTTAACTTAAAGAAGTTTGATATACTCTCTCCTATCTGCAAATTTACTTTCCTCTTAACTGTTTTCAAAGTTACTCTTTTTATGCCCTCTCTAGTTTTTTTTCTTATCTGATCTTAACATTTTTGCGAGTATAACTTCATTTTAGCCTCTAATCTTTCCCTTTCTGATAGCTTTATCCTCCTTTAACTGTCTTCCTGTTTTGGATGACCATTCATGGTCTCCGCCTTCTCATCTTCTTCCAATTGTTAGGTTGAAATCCTTTCTACAGTCTAGGGTAAATGATCATTTTTGGTAGTGTAGTCTCTAGAATAACATAGTAACCATTTCTTCTTTGATGGTCACAATTAAGTTTGGAGACTTAGATTTGTCATTGTTTTCTTATCCTTCTTTGCTATGAAACTGTCAGCTGAATCAGGTATACATTTGTCAGAACTGAGGACCTTATAGCGGCCACATGTCTAATGGCATCTGGCTCTGATAGTGTGTCTGTTAATAGCGATATGCCTGCTACCAAGACTGGACAAATCACGTATTTGGCCATGGATAATACTTGTGTGGGGTACTGCCAGCACTTGCCACTTTCTCTCTCCTCGGGGTTTGATTGCTGATCTACCCTCCTCCTTATCAACTCATTTTTATCAGTACCTCTGTCAGTATTCCTAACTGAATCCGACTTGTGTGGAACTTCGACTCTTTAATATGGTTTAGACAATTTCTGATGATTAATGATAAAATAATTTAACCTTCAGTATCTATGTCCTTGGTAGGCACTTCCCAGATCTTCTATATGCCTGTGTTGTCCTGTGTAATTTGGTATAGATCTGGCACTTAGTATTTATCTGATTTTCTTTTAAAAGTTTATGTTTGAATTGAGTTTCTAAATATTTCCTTAGATTAGATATTAAAAACAGAAAATTCAGGATTAAAACATCGTAAGGCTCTTGATACATAATACAAAACCGCTTATTAGAAAATTTACATAGATTTACATTCCTATTAGAAATACATTCTATTGTCTTTGTTATTGGATCTTTCATATTGTTGCAGATTATCGTTTAGATTTTTTTAGGCAGTTGGATAAGTGAAAAATGGTACCATACCACAAGATACAGGTCATAAAGACCTTGGTAATAAAACAGGTTGCAGTAAAGAAGCCGGCTAAAACCCAGCAAAACAAAGATGGCAATGAGAGTGACCTCTGGTCGTTCTCACTGCTACACTCCCACCAGCACCATGACAGTTTACAAATGCCATGGCAACATCAGGAAGTTACCCTATATGGTCTAAAAAGGGGAGGCATGAATAATCCACCCCTTGTTTAGCATATCATTAAGAAATAACCATAAAAATGGCAACCAGCAGCCCCTATCTATGGAGTAGCCATTCTTTTATCCCTCTACTTTCTTAATAAACTTACTTTCACTTAAGAAAAAAAAGTACCATATAATTTTAGTTTATATTTTTTAAATAACAAATTAAAATTCTTTATGTTTGTATCTCCTTTGTAATTTGTGTCTATTGATTATTTTGCTCTTAAAAATATGACTGTTTTTAGTGAAATTTTGCATGAAAGATTTTGGGTTAATGATTTCCAGGTGAAATTTTGGGTTAAAGATTTCCTTGAGATTTTGACTGGTAGTGTCTTAAACTCAATAGTAAATTTGGAAAGATTAAAATGTTTATTATATTAAATGCATAAATATATTTAATAAACATATTCATTAAATTTGGAGAGAATTAAAATATTTCTTATACTATATGGTAGTATAAGACATATTTTGTTTCTGTGCCTGCATGCGTATGTGTTTGTGTGTTCATCCATATACATATTGGGATATTTTTCCATGTACATATTGGCATATTAAAATATTTGTTAAAATTGCTGGATTTTTAAATGTTTTTTAATGTATTATCAAAGTATTTGAAAACATTTAAATTTTGTTTCTTATCACCTTATGGAACCATGTTATTATTAGTTCTAAGTTTTCTCATTAATTATTTTGGGTTTGTATCTATAAATAATCATACTTTTTCCCCCTGCCAGTTGCAGTACCTCTTACTAATTTCTGCCTTATCATATTGGCTAGAATTTTTTTTTTTTTTTGAGACGGAGTCTTGCTCTGTGGCCCAGGCTGGAGTGCAGTGGCGCGATCTCGGCTCACTGCAAGCTCCGCCTCCTGGGTTCACGCCATTCTCCTGCCTCAGCCTCCCGAGTAGCTGGGCTAGAATTTTAAAAACAATACTCAGTAATTCTGGTGATAGTGTAGCCACACTAATGTGGTATCCTCTGCACCTAGTATAGTACTTGGCACATAAAAGTTTCTCAGAAAGTGCTGGAGTAAATTTACTTGAATTAAGCAATCAAAGAACTTTGACTCTAGTTGGTAAACTAAAAACATTTTACATAAGTAACAATGGTACAAAATAGAAAGTTACGCATGACATTAAAAACTGTAGATAACTGACTACTCTGGCTCCTTAGTGGGGGAAAAAAGATTATATACAAATACAGTAAAAGGAAGGGTTTTGTGGTACAGATGGCATTTAATGCAGGCTTAGGAATCGATTATACTTGAAAATATAAAGATAGGGAAAAAGTAGATCCCCAGGAGGAGGAGAAATTCAAACCAGAGGCAACAGCAGTTGAGAAGCATGAAGGGTGTAAGGGGAAAACACGAGCAGTTCATTTTGACCAGTGTAAACGTTTCATAAATGGTGTGAAAAGATTCAAGGTTAGAAAGGTCATTTGGGTCAAATCATCAAGAGCCTTGAATGACAGGCTAATAAGCTCTTTGGACTAATGCTTTGCAAGGTTTTTCACATTATCAAACATTGAAAATGATAATATTTTAATGGTATATTAGGATAAACAGAAACTGCTTACTGCTAGAGGTGATGACAAGAGATGGGGAGAGCATGCCCCAGGTCCCACTGGACACCCCAAGGGCTACAGGGATCTCAGCACTTCTGTAATCCTTCCAAGGCACATCTAAGTTAGGAAGAAGATAAGATTTGTAGTTTCAGATTTCATCTAGACATTTCTCTCAAATTCAATTTAAAGCTGTTTTGTGTTCTGCCCATTTTCTCCCCTCCACACATACATACGCATCCTTCCTTAGATGTGCCAAATAGGTTCCTAGTTTCCAAATCAACTACCTAGAGTGCCATTCATTTAAGTTTCCTTCAAACCATGGCTTTTAATTGAAAGAAGAGATGATTATGTACCTGTGTCCCTGGTTCTTTAATTTTCTACCTAAGTTTTGGCTACCAAAAATCAATTCTATATTTCCCAGGTATGTATCATTGTATTTGTTTTTCCCTACTTGTTTTTGATTTTATGATACTTTTGAAGAATAATTACATCTCAGTACTAATACAACTAATTTTGACATGAAGTTTTCTCACGATAGCCTATGATCTCCTAATAAGTTAATAATATATCATTTCTGATAACACTTTCAGGGAATTAGTCTGTGGCCCTCAAATAATAATAAATTACATTGTTAACTTTTAAATCTGAAAGAGCTATTGTAGACTAAACAAAATTAATGATTTTCTGTAAAAGGATTTTCCTTGATTAAAGAATTAAGTTTCAATAGCAAAATATCATAATTTAATGATGCCACATCGTCACTGGGTGTTGCATTAGGAAAGAGAGTGCTTCCCAGAACACTTTTTTTAAATCTCTCTTGACAGTTAACCAATAAAATTAAGAATGTAAAAATATATTTTGATTTAATATTTTTAAACATTTTATGGTTTTGCTTGTTTGTTTGTTTGTTTTGTTTTGAGACAGGCTAGAGTACAGTGGTGCAGTCATGGCTCGCTGCATCCTCCATCTCCCAGGCTCAAGCAATTCTTTTGCTTCAGCCTCCCAATTATCTGGGACTACAGGCATGTGCCACCATATCTGGCTGATTTTTTACTTTTTGTAGAGACGAGGTCTCCCTCTGTTGCCCAGGCTGGTCTTGGACTCCTGGGCTCAAGCAATCTTCCCACCTTGGCCTCCCCAAGTGCTGGGATTATAGGCATGAGCCACCACATCCAGCCAATATTTTAAGACATTTTAATGCTGAAAATGGGCTATAAACTTTACAATTGATTTTAATTTCTTTTACATATATTGATGGTACTTTGGCTATGTTTTAAAAAGAATTCTCATCTTTTAGATATATACCAAAATATTTACAGATGAAAGTATGTAATATTAACGGTTTGCTTTAAAATAATAGAAAGGAGGAAGTGAGGTGAGGCTGGATTAGACAGGATTGTTGGTAATGGCGTTCATCAGACTTTCCTTGTTACATTTATATGTTCAAATGATAATAAATGAAAATGCCAGGAATATAATTCATCATTTATTTGATGGACATCAGAAACCCTACAGTACTATTGGGAAAGTGGGTGGCTATTGCATGCTACATTAAATCTGAACTGCTACGCTTTTAATTTCTGTTCTGTGCCTTATTTTCTTTCATAGTTATTATCTCTTCTCGTTTAATTTTTTAATTTCTTGATTTAGTCTCTGTTGTAGCTATCTCTTCTTGCTACTGTCTCTGTGCCTGTTTCTGGCAGATTCTCTCTCTCTTCCATCACCCACATAATGATTTACTACTTCTAATATGCTCTGAATAGGGAGCCAAGAAATTGTGATCACTTTTTTTTCTATGCCAGGTTTCTGTGTGGACCTGAGGGACTTTTTAGAATGTTAAGCATGGGAGCTTTAGGTTATTAATTTGGAGACATTTCTGTTGGCTGTCCCATGGTTCTTAATTTTTAGCTGTCTTCTGGATAGTTGAGGCATCCTATCAATGTTCAGATTTAGATATTAGATGTTTCGATTTAGATAGTATACAAACAGTCATATATGTTGAAAGGTATCAGGAAGGGATTGGTTTTTTTGTTGTTTTTAATGCAGTGCTAATGATGGTAATAAAATTTACTTATAACTCACTGAAAAGAAATTTAATTTTCCAGTTTTTATTTAAGAATCAAAATAGTAAGGCCAGGCGCCGTGGCCCATGCCTGTAATCCAGCACTTTGAGAGGCTGAGGTGGGCGGATCATGAGGTTGGGAAATCGAGACCGTCCTGGCTAACATGGTAAAACCCCATCTCTACTAAAAATACAAAAAATTAGCCGGGCGTGGTGGCACTCATCTGTAGTCCCAGCTACTCGGGAGGCTGAGGCAGGAGAATCACTTGAACCTGGGAGGTGGAGGTTGTAGTGCGCTGAGATTGCGCCATTGCACTACAGTCTGGGCGACAGAGCGAGACTCCATCTCAAAAAAAAAAAAAAAAAGAATCAAAATAATAAATATAGGAAATACTTGTGTTGCTCAGAGATAGGTTGAAGCCTAAATGACATAGTGTCATAAATGTATTATCAACTCAGTGACCTGTGAGACTGTGAGCTCATGAGTCAGGCAGGGGTCATGTCTATTTGGTTTGCCACCATATTCCTTATGCCTAGTGTTACGTCTGATACATAGAAGCTACTCAATACATACTTGTTAGTTGATTAAGTGAATCATAATATAAATCAGATGGCTATTTTAAATTCAGCACACATGAATTGAGTGAAGATTATATGTTGATTCCTATATTAGCTACCTAAAATATCCAGAAAAATTGGTCTCAGAACATAAGTGCAGAAATCTGTCAGCCCACAACAGTCATAAAGAACTAGGCATGTAAAAACTGATGCTTTGTTGTGTGTCTAGCTTTTGAAATTGAAGAGATAATCAGTTTGCTGCAGGATCACAATGGATAGAGAAAGTAGTCTTATAAAAAATAAAATTAAGGAAGGCTTCACAAGGTCATAATGTTTGGGTTCAGGCTTGAAATCTGCATAAGAATTTTCTAGGTAAGCCATAAGTGTAGCAGAGGAAAAACAGCCAGAGGAACATCTTAGTCCATTTGTGCTGTTGTAACAAAATACCTGAGACTGAATAATTTATAACGAACAGAAGTTTATTAGCTCCATCTTGAATTAATTTTTGTATAAGGTGTAAGGAAGGGATCCAGTTTCAGCTTGCTACATATGGCTAGCCAGTTTTCCCAGCACCATTTATTAAATAGGGAATCCTTTCCCCATTGCTTGTTTTTCTCAGGTTTGTCAAAGATCAGATAGTTGTAGATATGCGGCATTATTTCTGAGGGCTCTGTTCTGTTCCATTGATCTATATCTCTGTTTTGGTACCAGTACCATGCTGTTTTGGTTACTGTAGCCTTGTAGTATAGTTTGAAGTCAGGTAGCATGATGCCTCCAGCTTTGTTCTTTTGGCTTAGGATTGACTTGGTGATGCGGGCTCTTTTTTGGTTCCATATGAACTTTAAAGTAGTTTTTTCCAACTCTGTGAAGAAAGTCATTGGTAGCTTGATGGGGATGGCATTGAATCTATAAATTACCTTGGGCAGTATGGCCATTTTCATGATATTGATTCTTCCTACCCATGAGCATGGAATGTTCTTCCATTTGTTTGTATCCTCTTTTATTTCCTTGAGCAGTGGTTTGTAGTTCTCCTTGAAGAGGTCCTTCACATCCCTTGTAAGTTGGATTCCTAGGTATTTTATTCTCTTTGAAGCAATTGTGAATGGGAGTTCACTGATGATTTGGCTCTCTGTTTGTCTGTTATTGGTGTATAAGAATGCTTGTGATTTTTGCGTATTGGTTTTGTATCCTGAGACTTTGCTGAAGTTGCTTATCAGCTTAAGGAGATTTTGGGAATAGCAAAGACTTGGAACCAAACCAAATATCCAACAATGATAGACTGGATTAAGAAAATGTGGCACATATACACCATGGTATACTATGCAGCCATAAAAAATGATGAGTTCATGTCCTTTGTAGGGACATAGATGAAATTGGAAATCATCATTCTCAGTAAACTATCGCAAGAACAAAAACCCGCATATTCTCACTCATAGGTGGGAATTGAACAATGAGAACACATGGACACAGGAAGGGGAACATCACACTCTGGGGACTGTTGTGGGGTGGGGGAAGTGGGGAGGGATAGCTTTAGGAGATATACCTAATGCTAAATGATGAGTTAATGGGTGTAGCACACCAGCATGGCACATGTATACATATGTAACTAACCTGCACATTGTGCACATGTACCCTAAAACTTAAAGTATAATAATAATAAAATAAAATAAAAATAAATTAAAAAAATACAAAAATTTAAAAAAAGAAGTTTATTAGCTCAAGATCTGGAGGCTGGGAAGTTCGAAGGCATGGCATTGGCACTTGGCAAAGGCCTTCTTGCCGTGTTATCCTGTGGCAGAAGGCAGAAGAGTAAGAGATTGAACTGACAGCCTGAAGCCTTTTTATAATCAGCATTAATCCATTTGTGCTGGTGAATCCCTCATGACCTAAGCAACTTCTATTAGGCCCTACCCCCCAACACTGTTGGATTGAGGACCAAGTTCCCAATACATGCTTTTTGGGGGACACATTCAAATCATAGCAGAGAAGTTTTAAAAGTTTCAAAGAGCTTGGCAATTACACTGGGTTATAGAGGAGAGGTAAGTTGGGCAGTTGATTGAGAATTAGGAATAAAGGATAAGGGGTAAAGAATGACTTAAGATTCATAGTTTCAATCTTGGCTGCTAAGTCTGACAGGGAATTCAAGAGGTTGGGCTGGAAAAGAGTGCATAGCAAGAATTAGTTTATTTGGGGACAAATTGAGTTTAAAATTCCTGGGGAACATCTAGAAGGGAACATATGATAGAAGAAGTAAGAGTATTGGTGCTCAGGAGAAAATTAGATGAGAGCATTTGAACTGAGTGTTTTCGTGATATTAGAGGTAGATGAAACAATGTGAGTAAAGACTTTCCCAAAGAGGATGTACAACAAGAGAAGAAATAAGCTGATGAACAGAATTTTGGAGAATATCAGCAGAGGTAATTCTTAATTGGAGATCTGTGCACTCTGAGGGTGGAAACTGTGCCTTTTTCTTTTTTAAAAAAAATCTCTGCAGTACAGCACAGCGCAACACATGGCACCCGGCAAACCCTCATAGCAATTTTTTTAATGTTGCTTTTTAAGAAGTATTTTGAGAATGCAGTAAATACTATTGACTGGGGGAATCATGAGTCGCCAGTCAGACCAATGGTAAATTATTATTTTTTTCTCCCTGTAGTTCATTAATCCACATTTGGGAATTTCTACCTAGCTGCAAATTTATTTTAAACTTTGCATTAATTATCTATTGCTGTGTAACAATTCACTACAAATTTGGGGACTTAAACAGCACACGTTTTATCAGTAAGTTAAACATAGAATTAACATTTGACCCAGCAGTTCCACTTGTAGATAATACATACAAAATAATTGAAAACAGATGTTCAAACAAAAACTTGTGCACCAATATTCATGGCCACTCTATTCGCAATAACCAAAAGATGGAAGCAACGCACATGCTGATCAGCAGGTGAACAGATAAACAGTGTGGTATATCCATGCAATGGAATATTATTCATCCATAAAAGGATCTCTTTCTAATTCCTGTTTTTGTTGGCAGATTTCATTTCCTTGTGGGGGCAGCGTTAGACTGAGGGTCTCGGTTCCTAGCAGCCTCCATTCCTAGGTGAGAGAATACACTCAATTCCTTGCCATGTGTGACTCTCTAGTGTGGCAGTTTGCTTCATAAAAACTTGCGTACTGGGGCTGGGCGCGGTGGCTCACGCCTGTAATCCCAACACTTTGGGAGGCCAAGGCAGGCAGATCACCTGAGGTCAGGAGTTCGAGACCAGCCTGACCAACATGGCGAAACCCCGTCTCTACTAAAAATACAAAAATTAGCTGGGTGTGGTGGTGCACACCTGTAATCCCAGCTACTCAGGAGGCTGAGGCAGGAGAATTGCACTCCGGCCTTGGCAACAGAGTGAGACTGTGTCTCAAAAAAAAAAAAAACAAAACAAAACAAAACAAAAAACTTGCTTACCAGAAAGGCAATAGAGAGAATCTGATAGCAAGACAGAAGATACCTATTCAAGGAAGTGACATCCCATCACCTTGCCACATTCTCTTGGCTAGAAGCAAGGCACTAGGCCAGCTCACACTCAAGGGGAGATTACACCAGGGGTCAATATCAAGAAGTGGGGATCATTGGAGGTCATCTTAGAGTCTACCTACCACAAACATGAAGGGGTAGCCTTCACCATGTAACATTTCTGTGGGGTTTTAGTAATTAGCTTGGAATGACTATGCTCTTCCTAACCTTCTTTAAATCCAAAATCATTGAGCACCTATGATGCCATTATGGCAAGTATAAAGAAAGAAAATATGTGGTTTCTGGCTTTATGAAAATACAAAATATGGGTCATTCTAAAGTTTTTTATATATCTATTATTAACAATGGTGCATGACCTTAGATTGATTTTTGCTAAGACTGTGTTTGTGTATTTGTTGAATAGAATGATCTGATTTTTGAGGTTTGTAGTAAAATCCTCATTTTTCTAATTAAGAAAGAGACAAAATCTTGAAGAATACAAACCAAAGAGTGGAGGTGTGGTAGATAATGTGTTTTTTTCTTTGCTATTTTTTTCTGTGGTCAGTCATTTGTATATAAGAAAAAATATTCAGAACAGCAGCAAGCCTATGATAAATGTGTTTAAAACAAATTTTTAAAAAATGGACGTTGATCCTATGTCAGAATTACAAGCTTAAGCAGATTAACATACTTTTATATGTGCTGCCCTATAACTGTTTCGACCTGTCTAGAATAAGAAGAGCATGAAAGGAGTGATATCTTCTTATCAGTCAACTATGAAAATAAGTCCTAATCTAATATCAGAATTGTAAGAAAATTCAGCACTGTGGAACCTTACTGGATACCCAATAAATGTCTCTTCTCATGTAGCCTATTCTCTGTCCTCAGGCAAATATAGTCTTTAACTATCCTAATCTAAATAAAATTTAGACAGTAGGTGTAACATCATTCAAATTACACTGTCTCTCTCCCTTTTCTCCTGAGTGTGTTCTTCGTGGGAAACTGTATTTGGAAGTGAAGTGCTTAACCTCAGGCAATGTTTCAAAGTCATTTGTCTTCTTTTTGGCTAGTGCATTGATCCCTACTCCTTTAATGCTGTGTCACTCTCTTTTGTATAACCTTCTCTTTCCAAGTGCTGTATGACACATTAACACTTATATTTTAAAGTTAATTAAAATTAATTTCATTTTGAGAGTTCCACTTGCCTCTTGAGACAGTAAGATGCATTCCAGAGCATAAGATAGAAGGTTGGCAATGACTGATTTAGTGATATGATTAAGTATGAAGAAACCTGCTTGATGGTATATGTGATGGAGTGGGCTAGTCTTGTTTTAATATATAGTAATTGTGTAAAGAGGGAAGTCTGATCACTTTAAGACATGATTTTAATGGTTCATTCATCCACCTTCACTCATAGAAACTATTCATTTCGAATTGTCTGAAATAGGATGATCATGTTACTAGCATCCTCTTTAAAAATGGCAATTTCAAAACACAAAGGGGAAGCTTGCTTCTGAGAATAGAAAAAAAGGGACTGTACCGCTTTAGAAAGAAGCTCAGAGAGAAGAAACAGTATTTCAGATAAGAAATATAAAAGGAGCCGGGTGCGTTGGCTCACGCCTGTAATCCCAGCACTTTGGGAGGCCGAGGCAGGCAGATCACGAGGTCAGGAGATCGAAACCATCCTGGCCAACATGGTGAAACCCTGTCTCTACTAAAAATACAAAAAATTAGCTGAGTGTGGTGGCAGGTGCCTGTAATCCCAGCTAGTTGGGAGGCTGAGGCAGGAGAATCACTTGAACCCGGGAGGCAGAGGTTGCAGTGAGCCGAGATGGCACCATTGCACTCCAGCCTGCGCAAAAAGAGCGAAACTCCGTCTCAAAAAAAAAAAAAAGGAATATAAAAAGAAGAGAGGGTGTGAGTAAGAGTTCTTTTAGACTATATAAAAATGAGACTTCTTGTCCTCGAATCGATGGGTAAATAGTTTACATAATCACTCCCCATTCACTCATTAATTAACTTAATCAATAAATATCAATGGCCTGCTCTGTGCCAGATTCTGTATAGATACTGGAGACACAGTGATGAACAGCACAAATGAGAATCTTGGGGTATTTTATAAAAATTATTTAGTAGAGCTATGGAGACAGGTAACCAGTGAAATTAGAATGCTTAAGCAAAAGCTGTGAAAAGGCTGAAAAAGTGGGTTATAAACAGTTACAAGAATTATTAAGAAAAAGCCCATTTTGTGCTTAGATTTGTGTTTGCTTTTCTTGTATTCACAATTCAATTATATTTTATTTAAAAATCTACTTGACAGAAAAAAAGAAGAGTACTTGCCTACAAATGGCACCCCCTGCCTTAACCCATGCTGCCTGAGCTCTTATTTGTGCAACCATGCAAGCCGCTGAAAAAAATAGTACCAATTTTTGGTTATCTATGCTTTATAACAAAAGAAAGAGAAATGTCATAAAGTGTAATAATAGCTTTATATGTATGTGTATGTATACTGTATGTCAGCCTTGTAGGTAACATCATCTCTCAAAGGTATGCGTATACACGCACATTGCGCACGCATGCACGTGCACATGTGGACAAAACCAGTTTGTATTAGTGATCAGTTTTGGTTTTCATAAGGGTGTCACCTGAATGTTAACACGACTAATCATGCTGTTTGTGTTCATGTCTAGTTGAAGACACCTGTACTGAAAGAACATGCGTTTTTGTCTGAAGGGGAGAAATTTCTTATTTGGTGTTAGTCAAGGGAAGAAATCTAGACAGCAATGAGGGAGGAAGAAACTGGAGATTATAAAATACTGAGTCTGAAGGTGATACAGGACATAGGAGAAAGTTAGTTGAACAGAAAAAGAAAGGGTCTGTCCCAAGTAAAAACTTTGGTTTATTTTTTTATAACATTGGTTTTCTCAGGAATTACAGAAAATCTATTCTTTGCCTCTTTTGTTCAGCATCTGGTAGCCTTTTACTTCCAGGTACTGAGCTAACTTGAGTTAGTTCTTCGTTCAGTAGTTCTGTGAGTTATAGGCTTAAATGGTGGACAAATGATAATAGTAACATCCACAACAAAATGACAGTTAACACTTGTGAACAGTTAGCATATTCTACGTACTGTGTGAAAAAAGTTATTTAATCCTCACAATCCTATGAGGTAATTAAGTATTATTATTTTCCTCTCTTTTATTGAGAGGGAAACTGAGGCTTGGAACAATTAAGCGGAGTTTTCATGTTACTTAGATGATATGTGGCAGAGCCAGGCTTTGAACTCAGTAAGAGTCCATGCTGTTCATCACTCTACCATCATTCTGTCCTTCAGGGCTGAATCTCACTCCTGAGATTCACTGCTTTGTTTTCAAGGAAAATTGTGTACTGAATTCTCAAAAAAATTAGAAGCTTTGGAAAGTTTTAGAACATACTTGATCCCTAAACTTAGAGCTGCCCAAATTTATTTATGAGTTATAAAGTGCATTGACTTATCTAATTACATAATTCGATATGCACATTATAAAATTAAACATTGATGTCACCTCCCTGAAATCTAGACTTTTTCTTTGCCATTCACTATTTTATGCTTGAGCCTGAACATGATGCTGGGTGGCCTTCTGTCATCAATAGGGGGACAACAACTAGATCAAAGGGAATGGGCCAGGTGGAGAAATGGAACTCTCATTTTAAGAGCTCTGATAAGCATTTCCAAAAAGAATGTCATAGAGACAGTTAAAAGATGAAAGAGCAAATGTGAGTGCAGTCATATATTGCAGAGCAAGCATAATTCTCTTACAATTTTGTTATGTGAGTAAATATGGTAATAACTTGTTTTGAGGTCTGATTAGTCACAGACGAAAAAACACTCAAAGTGAGGGACAAATTTACTATTCCACTTTTGAACATCAAGGCTTATAGTATGTGACTCTAATTATACTTTATGCTATATAGGATGAGACATTAGATGGTTTTTAACTTTTTCCGTGAGTTTGTCTTAATCTAGAACCTCTTGCATCTTTATCAGTTTTGTCACAGGATTGGTACGTTAAAGTTTCTGATAAAAAAGAAAAAATACTGGTTGGGGAAATTGGCAAGTTGTGCTAGAAAGCAGTAGCATTTCCGCATTATTAAAAGATCTTATTTCATCCTGGGTATGCAACAAATATCTTTCTGTCAGCCAGGAAGTCTCCATTTTGGCTCTTCCCAATTTATTGCTTTGGTCAACGTCAATTGCAGCAAAGCTGTTCCCACTAGCTTTTCTAGTCTTGCCACCAGATTTTCTAGAATACCACAAAAGTGTTTTGTTTTTTGTGTCATGCCAATGGCTCAAGAATTAGCTGCTTAAAAAACATTTGGAACTATGCAAGTTGTGATCCCCTTGGCATCTGTGGTTCTTCTAAGGAGTCAGCTGTTGGCTTTTGCAGGAGTACGGAAGGGAACATTTCTCCAGAACTGTTCCCACAGCTTTTTCTTTCTATGCTTTCAGTTTCTCTTGGGTACTGATTCTGTTGGACATCAGAACAGTATAAAGGTTCATAAATAGGATAGAATCAAAAAGTATCCCAAGGAACATAGGTTAATGTACTTTGTGGTTTTAGTACAGTGCTTAGCACGTGCTGTATTATGGCTGCATGTTTTCAAATACTACGACAGGACTCTGAGAAAGGCCTATGAGTAGAGTGAAGTTTCATTGTAAATATGTTTAAGGAATTCTTAATATCAGATGCTGAATGAGAGATTCCTTGCAGAACTGGGTATGTACCAGAAACATAAAAATTAGTTGCTAATAACTTTACTCAAGCCACCACCATCAACCAAAAAGATAGATTATTTGTATAGCAAAGAATGATTTGCTTGGTAAATTCTACATTCTACTTTTGAGAAATCAGAATAAGTATTCTATAAAAGATTAATTCTTTAAAAACTATTGAGTTTCCATTATGGGTTAGATGTGGTCAGAGTATGGTGATGAATCAGACACGAAAATGCACAAAACTCCCATATGGTTCTTCCAGTGTAATCAGGAAGATGAACTATGCATTTAGATTACTATGCTACAGGGTAGAAAGTGTTACATGGAGAACCAAGAGAAACAGACCAGAAGATTTTTAGAAATTATTCCCAGCTGCAAGATCAGGTAAAGCTTGGTGGAGTAGGCAACATTTGATCTGGCCCCTGAAGCGCATGTAGTGGTTTGAATTTACAAGAACTAAGGGGACAACTCACACGGTAGTAACTCCAGGCAAAGGAGATAACAAAACCAAATGCATAAGGGTGGAAACCTTAGGTCTGGTCCAGGAGAGCAAAACGTTTTGCTCATTTGTGGAGTATCTAAGGAGATCAACAGAGGAACATGGTAGGAATGGCAAAGTGGAGCCAGATTATGGAGAACTATAAATGCTAAATCAAGTCATTTGAGAACTTCAAGTTATAGGCACTTAATGTTTTTGAGCAGAGTAGTGATATAATTTGAGCTAGTTTTCTGGACAAGTATTAGTATATTTGTGATAGTTTGTGCTAGTTTTCTAGGTAAGTATCTTGGTTCATTTGAGACTGGGTAATTTATAAGCAATAGGAGTTTTTTTTGGCTCGGTACGGCTAGGAAATCCAAGTTCAAGGGGTCTCATCTGGCAAGGGTCTTCTTGCTGCATCAAAACGTGCAGAAGGTATCACATGGTGAGAGAACATGCAAGAGAGAGGAGAAAATGGAGAAAACTCCTCAAATGAACCCATTTCCAAAAGAACAGCATTAATCCATTTTTGAAAGTGAAGTCCTTGTGACTTAATCACCTCTTAAAGGTTCTACCTCTTAATTTTTGAAGGGGCATTGAACCCATAGTGACAAGTATGAGTAATTTAACTGGAGCTGTGCAAAGAGCCGTTGGAAGGTCATCCTACTGATCCAGCTGGAAGGTGATGAAGGCATGAACCATAGTGAGAACATAAAGGAGGGGCCAATGTCAGAATGCAGACATGGTCCTCAATGCAATTGTTAGGAATTGACATCTAAGATAATGATGTAAAATTGTGTTTGGAGTCACATAGACATCCAGAATAAGTGTTGAGGGAGGATAAGGTGAGGAGAGGGCAACTGGCATATCAGTTTGTATGGTACGTAGAACTTTGTTTTATAAAATGTAGGCTGAGGACCACCTACCTTGGAATCTCCTGGGAGGCATGCCATTTAAAGTTCCTGGGCAACACACAATTCAGTAATCTTTCTAGGCCTTCAAGTATCTGATCACTGGGTTAGAATTCCGATATAATGGTACCAAGGAGATTAGGATGCTTCCTGGGTAGACCTCTTAGTTTTGAGATTGCCCTCCCAACTCCAGCTCTTCTATCTTGGGACTTGAGTCAGCCAAGGTTAGAATAAAGATAGTTTAAAGTAAGACTTTTATTCCCGCTAGAAACTAGCTCTAAATTTATGCCTAAATTTCAGTAGATCTTAAATGTCTTTTTCTCACATTAAAGACAATGAGTATCCATATGTGCCATGTCAGAAATTAAAGCCATGTTAAAAATTTTTATAAAAGAATAATAAGCTCATAACATGTTAATATAAATAACATTTTTAATGAAAATCAACAATTTTGAAAACAAAAAAATAGTGAGAAAATTGGCAAATCTTTTTAATCTGGTTTAATAGAAGAGGGCCGGATGCTCATATCTGCTTCTACAGTTAATCTGTTGTTAATATGTTGTTTGGGTTGAAGTATATGAAGAAAGTCTAGTCTCACATAGATAACTCAAAAAGGGAGGCATGATTTAATAACCTTTTTAAGTAACTGTTGATTGTCTTCTTTGATACTATACTGAAATTCTTCAACAGGTGGTTGTTTCTTAATCAGTTGTAGTGTGGAATCTGGAAAACTTATCAGGGAACTTTTTGTACTCAGTTAATTAACTTGCATTGGTCTTTCTTGTACTTTGAATGTATTTTTTTATCTATGCATGGTTTTGTAACATCATGCATTCGTCATTTGGAAAATATTGGTTCACTGAGTAGTGTAGAGCTTCCAAATGTTTACAGATTACTTTATGAATATCTGTCTATTAATATCACCACCAATCTCATCACTGAAAAGCTGTCAGGCTCACTTAAAACTTAGCAGAAATAAGTTTTCTAAAATTCTAGCTTTTGCTTGAAAACAAATTTTACCATTGACAACAAATACTATCATTTGTTTTCCTTGAAATGACAAGCTTGCACATCTATTTTTGAGAAAATGTCTATCAAACAGTCAAATCTGAATAATCATAGTTTGTCAGTTGAAATTTCAAGTAAAAATGGAGTTGTGTGAAGTAGCTTACAACTCAAACAGTTGTACAAGTGCTTATTGTCAAATCAACTGTCTACTTTGGTATGTAGCAAAAATGTATTTTGCTTACTTCCCATTTAGTCACATAGAATATTTTAAAAGTGTGTTTAAGAGCTAAGTTAATAAAATAATAACTTTTACTGCCGTATTAAGGGAATTCTTGGGTGAAACTGTAGCAGGAGATTAAAGAAAAGGATCTTTTCACTATTAATATATTATTCATACATTATGTCATATAAGGGACATTTTTTAAAGTTATGGTATTTCTCTTTGGGTTTGTGTGTGTGTGTGTGTGTGTGTGTGTGTGTGTGTGTATGTGTCTCACTATTTGCAGGTACCATATGTACTCCTAAATGTGGCCAATGAAAACATAGTTTCTCATTGAAAGAGTTGACTGCACAAGTTGAATTTCCAGGTGTCCTGTGTGTTTCCAAGGGACAAGCTCTAGTAAAACATGCAACCAAATTCTCTTTATACCTGACTCACTGGACACCATCTAATGTGTGGATGTATTTGCTCTGCCTGCTATATTTGCAGGCCTCATTGTAATTTGTATTACTTTACAGGATTTGATGGTTTCAGTTAAGAGGAATAATGGCTTTCTAAATATCTCTTTAGGTCCTAGCTCAGAGACTTGTATGGATGGAATAGGTACTTAATAACTATCCATTGAATTAACCAGTTGGGAAATGTTTTTGGACATATTTCCATTAATGTATGTGGGCATTAACTTACCTTTTGTTCCAATAGGGTTCCATTTCTTTTCTCCTAGCTTATGTGGTAATATAGTTCTTTATTTAGCCTCATTGCCTTTTTAGTCCATGATCTCTATTTCAATCACATTAGACCTAAATATATTTATTAGGTGTGTAACCTTGGGCAAGTTACATAATCGTTTTGTGTTTTGGTTTCCTTGTTGATAAAATGAGATTGATAACAGTATTTACCTCATGATAGTCATTAGACTGTCATGGGTAAGTGATTTAATATACGTAAAACACTTTGAGCAGCCACCATTCATGTCAGAACTACACTAGTTTGTCAATTGCAGCCATTAGTTGGCTGTGGATAGAAACTCAATGAAAGCATTCTGTGGGCATTAGTTGGCTATGTGGAATTTACAATAAAGCATGCTGCATTGAGTCTTACAATGAAAACTGTGCACTGCACATCCTTCATGTTAGTGAAATTTATAACAAGCTAGTGTACAGATACACATGCACACTATTTTTGTTGTTTTAAACACTTACCACCGAGTAACACTGCCTCCAGTTTTGTCCCTCCAGCTTATGGATGGTTCTCAAGCATATGGATAGTGTCTGGATGTAGCCTGTAGCAGATGCTGTTGGTATCCTACCCAGATCTCCTTTCCTGGGCCAGTGCATCCATCTCCCAGCTGCTGTGGGTATTGGCTGCTAATGACTCACACCTGTACTCTTCTCCAGAGGCCTGCCCTTGGCTGACAGTAATTGCCCCAACCAAATATGTTTGGGAGATTATGAGATCATGCCCCAACCCCCTCCTGCTCCCCAGGGATGGCTAATGACTATACAAGGGTGTAATAGCTCAGCTCCCTTGCCTTTGGACTAGACAACTTCTGTGGTTCAATCCATGCTTTAGAGTTCCTTATCGCATCAAGCTGAGGCTAGATTTCTGAAACAATATCTTTGCCTAGCTTCTTCCCCCATTCTAGCTTACTTCTTTCACTTCTAGTTTCTCCTGACAGCACTCCCTCTAAATCGGGTGTACAAGAAATGATGTCTCAGGCTCTGTGTCTAGGGAACCGGACCTAAGATGTTGCTTATCTCAGTACCCCTGCTGTTTCCTTAGTTCCACCACCACCTAAGTAATGAATTCCCTATATTAAATAATCTCTGGCTTAAATTTCCTCTTTATTTTTGTTTTGTTTTCTTAGTTGGACCCTGCTTGATATGCATCAACCCTGCTCATATCCCATGTCTTCACATACTTAACATTACTCAACATCAAATGTCCTTGATCCTCTTATTAAATATATACCTAGTTATTTTTGTATAGTATAATGGTGAAATCACAGATTTTAGGACCTGAAAATTAGTTTCAAAGGCTTAGTCAATTATACTTCCCTCCTTAGATTGTTGTAAGAATTGTATGAGCTTTTCTTTTTAAAACACTTAGTACCTGGAGGATAGGAAGTGTTTAATAAATGGGAGCTGTTTGGCTACTGATATTATTCTTTCAAGAAATTTACCCCCACCGCCCCAAGCACCATGGTATGTGCCTTTAGTCCCAGCTACCCAAGAGGCTGATGCAGGAGAATCACTTGAGTCTTGAGTCCAGCCTAGGCAACATAGCGAGAACCCATCTCAAATTTAAAAAATGAAATTAAAAAAGAATTGCCCCACTTTGGATGAAATGCCTATCTCTTGATCCCAGAGGACCTAATGAGTATCTCTATGACAGCACTTTCTTGTACTCTATTATAATCTTTGAGTTTTCTTTTCTATTTCTCCCAGAAAATATAAGCTGCTCAGTGTCATCAGTGGTGTGTTGGCTCTCTGGGAGATGAAAGGACTCGATATGTAGGATTTGCTGATTTCCATAGTGACAGTGCTTTCACCCTGATTGATTTCAAGCTACCAACAGGATGTCACTGAGCACAGAGTTGGGAAGAGAAGCAAACAGGTGACCCTTGCCAGCCAGGGCACACCAACTGCAGTCCCCACTGTTTCCCTAACACATAACAATATGTCAAACATAGGAGCTAGATGTTCAGTGGATGACTGAAATACAGTTATTAACTGGTTAGGACTTGATCATATGCAATAAATTGGTGAAATTCCTTGAAATCTAATTGTCGTTATATAACCAGTAGCACCCCTTTCCTACACATGCACACATATTGCCCCTCCTATTCTTGAATGAAAGTGATGAAAACAGTCACCATGATGTAATGGGAAGTGCCTATGCCTTCCCTGGGCAGGTTGTCTGCTAACTCATGCAAATCCCAATTTTGTGATTTATTAGATACATGACAAGGGATCACTTACTTTACCTCTGTCTGCCTCAGTTTCCTCAGAGAGTTGGACTAAATCATCTCTAGAGTTTGTTCTAGTCTCAAATTTGTAAAGCTTAATTAGTATATAATTTTACTCCCTCATTCCCTCAATTTTCATTATTCCAGTACTGAACTTTGAGTTAGATGTTGTGCTATATAATGGAAATACAAAGAGGAATACTACATGACATGCCTTGGCTGATGAGACTCTCCATGTGGTGTTGCTTTTTTTTTTTTTTTTCTTGAGATGGAGCCTTGCTGTGTTGCCCAGGCTGGAGTGCAGTGGCGCGATCTTGGCTCACTGCAACCTCCACCTCCCGGGTTCAAGCGATCCTCCTGCCTCAGCCTTAGCTTCCCAAGTAGCTGGGATTACAGGCACCCGCCGCCACGCCCGGCTAATTTTTGTATTTTTAGTAGAGATGGGGTTTCACCATGTTGGCCAGGCTGGTCTTGAACTCCTGACCTCAGGTGATTCACCTGCCTTGGCCTCCAAAAGTACTGAGATTACAGGTGTGAACCACCGCGCCCAGCCTCTCCATATGTTTGTTTGTTTGTTTATTTGTTTGTTTTAATAAACATCTTATCTCATTGAGATCATAAGTGTACACCTGTTGTCTGTTATTTTTCCTCATGGGTTATGAAGCCAAACAGAATCATGTAATTGTATCAAAGGCCATGATTTTAGTTTTTCACAAACTTTAGCACTTTGACACATAAAGCTATTGTGCTAATAACTCCCTAGGTGAAATTAAACAAGGCTGTCCTGATCAGCAAGCAGTTCTGTTAAAAAAGTATCACCAAGCTAATGTTAATGGTTTGGAAAGAAGCGTTGGTGGATGTCTAGGCCATGCAGCTCTCTGAGGCAGGTTCAGTCTCAATTTTTAGAGAGTGTGTAGTTCATTTGAGATGATTAAAGTCTGAAAATATCCTTTTGAGTTTAAGTCTAGGAAGTATTTATCCTGGTTCTCTCACACACATTTTTATATAAAAGTCATTAAGAATGGCTTGGATTTTGTGTCTTCCTTCAAGGCCAAATCTACCTATTGGCTCTACTGCCTTCTTTGTTCCCATCCACTGTGATTTCTGCCTTTTCTAAATTCCTGTTTTAATCCATACCACAGAGTTTAGCACTTAATTTTTAAAAGGTACATTGGTTTCCAGTAGGAATTACTGTTGGGAACATTTTTCAGTTGCTGAAAGCTCTTTTTAAAACGAAAATTTGTTTTGTTTTTGACAGGGGCTGATAACATCCGGAAATACTGGAGCCGCTACTACCAAGGATCTCAAGGGGTAATATTTGTATTAGACAGTGCCTCTTCAGAGGATGATTTAGAAGCTGCTAGAAATGAGCTGCACTCAGCTCTTCAGCATCCACAGTTATGCACTTTACCCTTTTTAATATTGGCCAATCATCAAGACAAGCCAGCAGCTCGCTCAGTACAAGAGGTATGTCTCATTAGCATGACAACTCTTTGTCTTCCTTGCTTGTACTTTTGCTGCCACGTTGGAACCTGGAAAAATGCATGTAATTAGGAATGTGCTGGTTATGCTGCTTTCAACATGAAACCTTAGTTTTCATAGGAAGCAGAAAGCCTATATCAATCTGTTAGCACTTGTTTACATACCTAACCCTACTTGGAGAGCACAGAGTTTTCTAGCTATTTAGCAATGGTTAAAAGATGTTTCTGGTTATATTTTTCATCTATTTTGAGGGGCTAAAGGCCTGGTTATTTAATGTTGTTTTAACCTGTGGACTTAGTTCATTCTCTTCTTCAGCTTTTCTAGGAACATATCGTGAGTATTTCCATGCATTACTCGCCTTCAGGTGTCATGTTCTTGTTCCTCTGAAGTGTTCAATGTTGACTAGGATTAATGGATCCTATTCTGTAATCTGCTAGGCTGAAAATTGATGTCTTGCAAATTCCATGCCATCAAATACATTTTAACATGGAACCAATGTTTATCTTCCTCATTTAATTTTATTTCTTAGCTTGTATCTCTCCTATAAAAGCATGAGACTAATTCTAGGCAAATAGAGTCTCAGCCAATAGAGCTTGTGATTCATGGTACTGCAGTAATGAGATATGTGAATAGTTTTTAAAACTTAAATTATAGTGAATTATAACGTAAGTACAGTGAAATCAAAACTCCTGATGTATTCCTTTATACTTGTAACTTTCAGGATATGATTTCCCCTCTCCTTCAGAAAATTGCATGCTTCCTCAAGTGATTTTGGAATGAGATGATTAATATGAACAATCTTGCCTTTCAGCCTGAAAAATAAATGAGGAGCCAAGGACATAACATGTTCTAACTCCAGACCTCCCTCACACTTAGTGTGTGACCCACGGCAGATAGCCTATTCTTGTGCCTGGCTTCTCACCTCTAAAATGAGAATAATCCAATTTATTATGATAAGTTAATAGGATTAATTTGGATAATTTACTTTGAAGTTTAAACACCTAAGTAGAAGAACCATATAAATAGAGTTTTTATTCAAATTTTAGAAACACAGTTTAAAAAAAAGAAAGGCAAGGACCCATTATTCAACAGACAGAGCTCATGTCTCACTTTAGTTGCCTCATTCAGCATTAAGTACGTAGCACCTTTTAAAGAATAGAGTTTGAAAAATACCTTATAGATAATATTAAGTAATTAAGTAAAAAACAGCAATAAAAATCTATTCAGAAAGTCATTAATGTGAAGATCTTCAGCATTATAATGATGGTGTCTCCTAATGTGCTTTTAAGACCTTAGTTTGTAAATCTTTTAACTTCTCAGCATCAGTTTTTCTGCCTATAGAGTAGATATAATAGTATGTAATGAAGGGTAGTTTATGATTATAAGGTCGTTTGCTGAGAATGCATTGTTATTCAGCTATTCATTCTAAAAAATCTTGTAATATGTATGTGTACACTACTACATGTAGACAGTATAATGTGTGTATGTAATATATACATAATACATATACACATTGATAAAACATAGATATAAGTGCCATTTTAACTTCAGATAACTTTATTCAAGTTATTTGCAATATCTGAAAAAAGATTTTTTCTTTCTGCTTTTAAAGTTATGAACCTGTGTATCTGTTTTCCTTAGACATCATATAATTGAAAGTAATGTATCTTTAAACCTAACATATGACTTATGGTTACCCTCCATAGGAATGAAAGATGATCACATTGAATAAAGGAAGCTTTTAGCAATTAATTGCTTCTGAGTATTCCTTGTGTGTGTTGACTGGCTGTCTTTCCTAGGTAAAGAGCAAATATCTTTTTCCTTCTTTTTGTGATTCATCTTTCAGTAAGACTGATAGTTATAAATGTAGCGTTGTCATAGATATGGTCTGAAAATGATTCTAAACTTGTGTATACTGGAGCATATGTGGCTTTGAGTTTCCTTTTTATTTGTATCCATTTTAAATTTACTTTTCTCAAAACTTTTGCTTGTAATGGAATTTGCATAATACCAATATGGGGACTGCTTTAAGTAAAGCATTTTTCCCCATAATTAAATAAACATATACCATACAGGTGCATGTCTACACTTTAGACTGCTTTAATGGGATACATGGGCTAATTCCATTATAAGTCTTGAAGTTTATGGAAGCACAGTGACATGGTTATACTTACTTTGGGTCTGGCCTAAAAAGAAAAGGATATATCCTAGATTTTTCCCATTTCTTGATGACAGAGAAGTTTCTCTGTGTACTGTATTAAAATGCCTTGTTGAAATGCTCTCAGGAATGTTTTAAGAATTAAATCAGTACCTTATTGTTGGCATAAAAATGGAGTTGTGGAATTGAATCTTAAACATTTTGTAAACAATAACTTTAAAATCGTTGGGAGCAGGCATTGGTATTATAGAAGAGGCAGTAGAAGATTGAAAAGTGAGCAAAGTCATGTGTTACTAGAAATGTATTTAGATAACGGTCGTCTTTTTATTCTCTCTTTCCTAAAGGTGTTGCACATCCTGTGCCCTATTGCTGATAAGCATTCTTACTCATTTGCACCTGCTAATTTGTGTATGTTTTATGGAATTTACCAATGCTAAAAAGATGGTATTTTAATCTGCAAAATACTTGTGAATTTTAGGCAAAATTCTGATCTGTCAGAATCAAGGAAGGTGCATTCAACTTACCAAAAAGCACTAAACTTTGATTCAGTTAGAAAAGATAATCAGTCATAAAGGCTATTGATTCTTCTTCTCACTCCATTGAAATTATTACATTTTATGTTTAATGCAGAAAATGTGCAATAATTTATCCTGTCACTGGAGTGAAACTGTACAAACACACTATTGGTTGATGAGTGTGTCTGGATACTGTTGACTTTAGAAGTGGGGAGAAGCCAGTGAAATTCAAAAGAGAAAGTCAAATTATCAGTGGGACTCCAAAGAGAATAAAAATCATAAGGAAGTTGTATATGTAGTCCCCTCCCCTACTATGAGTGTTGCTATGTTTGTGTGGAGCACTGAATTAAGAAATGAAGACAATGGTTAAAATTACTATGTAACCCACAGAGAGAGGGCAACATGCCCAATTATTTTCTTGCCCTTTCAAAAGCAAGTGTAGTCTTGTACATTACATATTTTTTCTTTCTGTAATATACCTGGTAATGACCTGGGTTTAACTTACCAGAATTTTAAGATTTTATGTCTTGAGAGCTGATAGTGAAAACATGTATTTTTAAACAAGCTTAAAAAAACAACAACAACAGCAAAACTCTAGGAAAAAGAACACCCTTTACATACTGTCTGAAAGCCAAGCAATTCTTGCAACAGATGTTTGTTGTATTCACTTTGGGGAGGTGAATTCCAGAATTTACTCATATCAACTATTTTTCTCTATAGAAAGCATTCGAGAAAAATTTATTATTATGTCAAGTGGCCCACTTGGTACATTAGGGAAAATTCTGATCTAATTTAAATGATAAAGCTATAAAATGAGAGAAATCTTAAGGGTAAATAGGTTGGTTTCTCATTTGTATTGAATTGTAATTGTAACTAATTTGTTTTACAACTCCCATAGGAGAGCATACTTCAGTTCTGAAGTTATTTAATAGATCAGGAGGGTTTTATGAGAAGTTAAGTTGATATAGTAGCCAATAAATGTAATCCTATTTTCCTTCTACACAGTTGCTGATTGTGATTCTTTTACCTCCTGGTTTTTAAAATCTTATTTTCATTTTACTGGACATTGTGTCTTATAAAAGAACACGTTTTGTTAACATGAAACAGTCTATATTTTCTAGCAATGTCATCTGATTTGATGTTTGTCTATATCCTTAATCCAAAAGTATTTAACTTTTTCAGAAATAGTATATCAAAAGTACAGTGTTAAGTATTTGTTGAATATTTTCTATTAAAGCAAATACTAATTGAGAAATATGAAGACTGTGAAACAGAGTTTTGAGGCAGAATTATAAGGTTGAATGGCTCTATTTGTTCCACGGCTCATTAACACAGGAAAATACAGCTTCTAAATTAGGGTGTCAACATTAAAGTTAAAATTTGTGATCAGGCCATTTCTCAATTTTTATGCAATTTTAATTCAGTTTGTTATTATGACATGCATAGAACTTTGTGTTATGTTTGAAAAACAAGATATAAATGCGAGAAAAGTATTTGCAAGTATTTTTGTAATGATATAAACATTACTGGTTTTTTAGACCATGTTTTATTTTGGTTATAAATATTCAGATTTTTTTGAACAATGCATTCATTACTCTGTGCATGAAGAGTTTATTTAATTTTCGCTTTTTAGTATTAGACATCTTCTGGAAGAGGGTGCTAGTGTGTTTCTATGGTATTTAACTATCACATTTAATTATAACTACTTATTTATAGGTGATTATTTCTACCTTGTGTACTTTTTTTCCTTTCTACAAAGGATCAGACAGAGTTTTGAAAGACTGAAATTCTTGGGCAATCTGTGTCTCTAGATAATAAACTATAGTTTAAATTATTTTATATTTATATTGCTTGATAACAGATCATTTCTTTTTTGGTAGCTTTATGAAGTACTGAGTATCTTCTCTGACTTCATGTGACAAATCTTTTATTAAAAAATGCAAAGCAGTGTTTAAATCGTGTAAAATGCTTAGCTTAATTTAATACTGCTTTCTGTATGTGTAGAGAAATGTGTTTGTAAAATAATCATTGGAAAGTGTCATATACTCTAAATCTTAAGAGTTTTCCAAGTATCTTGACCTGCCTCTTGGCAGCATTTTAGAATACTGATTTGATTTCACATGGAGCAGTGTACATACCTATGGTGTGAGCAGCTTGAAAATTCCCCTATGGGACGTATACTTATTCTAAAATGGTATGAGAGATACAAACTGTTTTTCGTTCATTCCTTACAGATGCACTGCACGCTGTTACAATTAAATATTGAGGAAACAATGAGAGGGTTTGGAAGTCAATTTTCCACTGAATGACTCAGCTATCTCTTGAAAATATTTATCAAGAGAAATAAATATTTCTGAATTAGCAATCATTTCATTAGGTATAAGAATGTCATTATTTTAAGTGTATTTTGAAGAGCAACTTTTAAGCTGTAAGTACTAAAACAGCCAGAATATTTTATTTATTATACATTAATTCATTTATTTCTATATGCATTCTTTGATAAAATTAATTTTGTATACCTGATTTTCTTGATTCTATGTCTATCCACCTTGATCTCACTGTTTTTTCCTCTGTATACCTGTGTTTCTTGCATCTACCAAGCAATATGATTAAAGTGTGCCTTGTCCACCAAAAGCAAAATTTCCATGAGCAAATACGTTATATAAGAAATGTCCATTTTATCAAGCAAATTATTTAGGTGAGGGTAATAAAGTTATACATCTCAATATATGTCAATGTATATACAAAAAGTAATTTATTATGTTCTCTTTTAAAACCCCCATTCCTTTCCACTATCTTCCTTCAGTCACATACATATCTTCATTTTATGTAAAGTGAACATTTTGAAGCCTTTTTCAATTCGTACTCTTTTTTATTCTCCACATCTAGACTTTTCACAGTCTCATTCTCCCACTTCTGCCTCTGAAGTGCTTCTCAGAGTTTCCTAATAGTTTACACCCCTAGATCTCCTCTTTTCTCACTATTTTTCAACACAGAGCAGAACAAGCAAACTTCCTATCGAAGTTTCATGATACCCATATTTTAAAACCTTCTAATATTAATAATCTTTTAATCCCTTCTGGAATCGAATGTAATTCCACAGATCTTCTATGTTAATGTGCATCGGATTCCTTTTTCTTCACTCACTTATGCTTATGTACCACTCACTATTCCTAATTCACTAGGAAAACCCCTGATGTAGTTTGGCTGTGCCCCTACCTAAATCTCAACTTGAATTGTATCTCCCAGAATTCTCACGTGTTGTGGGAGGGAGCCAGGAGGAGGCAATTGAATCGTGGGGGCCAGTCTTTCCTGTGCTATTCTCGTGGTAGTAAGTCTCACAAGATCTGATGGATTTATCACGGGGTTCCGCTTTAGCCCCTTCTTCATTTTTCTCTTGCCACCACCATGGAAGAAGTACCTTTCACCTCCCACCGTGATTCTGAGGCCTCCCCAGCCATGTGGAACTGTAAGTTCAGTTAAACCTCTCTTTCTTCCCAGTCTTGAGTATGTCTTTATCATCAGTGTAAAAATGGACTAATACAACCCCCTCAAGATGATGTATTACATCAGGAAGTAGTCTTGAATGCCCATGCCAAAGTTGGGCTCTCTCATCTGATTTCCCTTGGCAACCTGCGCTTATCCAAATCATAATATTAGAATTTCGCCTATAACTTCTCTGTCTACTCCTTAAGGTTGTAAGTTTGTTGAAGGACAGGAATTACGGCTTGTTTATGTCTCTGTGGTCAATAAACAGTCAACCCTCCATATCTGTGAGTTCTGCATTCATGTATTCAACCAACAACCAATTGAAAATATTCAGGGAAAAACACCATTCTCTGAATTCAACACGTATAGTCTATTTGTCAATATTCCCTAAATAATACAGTATAACAACTATATACGTAGCATTTACATTATTAGGTATTATAAGTAATCTAGAGATGATTTAAAGTATATGGGAGGATGTGCATAGGTTATATGATAATACTCCTCCATTTGATATCAGGGATTTATGCGTCTCAGATTTTGGTATCCATGGGAGATTCTGGAACCCATCCTCAAAAGATACCAAGGGATAACTGTATTTTGTTTGAAAGAGTGACTACCTCCGAATCTTACCATACATCCTTTCTTACTGCCTTCATACCATCAACTTTATCCAGATTTCCTTACTCTCTCTTTACTCAAGCCAATGCATCTATTTTTATCCTTGAATATAAAAATTTTTATTTTCCTGAAACACCAAACCTGACCTGTTAATATTGCTTACAAACCACATCTTCCTCGAATCCTCACCACTCTAACCATGTTAATACATAGTTTTAAAAAGATTCAACTTGTTAATTATCGTATTTACAAATGTTTGATTTTATGTTTCTACATTTGTGTTTGTCTATTTGTGGACTTTTTTTAACACCATATCAGGGTACTATTCTCTTTCCAAAATCCCTCATAGAAATTGGCTGGACATCTTGGCCAAATGATATTCTTTTAATACATTTTAAAATAATTGCTTATATTTATCTTATAGAACTTATGTTGTTTGCTAGCATCAAAATCTATTTTTTTCCTGTTTAGATTTATCACATAGAGACTGGTACATAATGAAGCTCTAAGGGAACATAATGACATGGTTTTAAAGTGATGAATTCAATTTATTAAAAACAAATGAGGCCGAGGCAGGCAAATCACTTGAGGTCAGGAGTTCGAGACCAGCGTGACCAACATAGTGAAACTCCGTCTCTACTAAAAGCAGAAAAATTAGCTGGGCATGGTGGCGCGCCCCTGTAGTCCCAGCTACTTGGGAGGCTGAGGCAGGAGAATTGCTTGAACTCGGGAGGTGGAGACTGCAGTGAGCCAAGATCACACAACTGCATTGTAGCCTGGGTGACAGAGTGCGGCTCTGTCTCAAAAAACAAACAAATAAAAAAATGTAGCCTTTTAATTAATAAAATCATTTATTACGTAAGTGAAACTTAGAAGGATTTTAAAAAATTCTTATATTTAATACTTTGTATGCATATTTAAATATTTTATAATGAATCATAACTAGTAAAGTTAGAGACTGATTTTATCCAAACAATATTATTTGGCTACTTTCTAATCTTTTTGAGGTAGTATGTATTTGTGTTGTTGTAGTGGTGATCTTCACACTTTAGATCTGTATGTTAATATTATATTTTATAAAAATTAGCATTTCATTAATCCTCATTCAACAAAGGCAATGGCTGATTTGAGGCAAAAGTTTAAGGTACCCTTTCCTTGTCCCTTAGTTCCTTTCATTTATTTTTTTATTTGCAAAAGAGAACTCAGTCACTACACATTCCATAGCTTACAAAGTTAATAAAACATTTGTCGAGGTAAATTAATTTGAAAATAGAGACATAGTTAATGTCAGTAAGGTACTTTGAAGATAAAAAGCACAATAAGCGTTAGTTATTATAATTATGATAATTATTATCATTATTATTATTACATAGTGTCTGCTTTAAAATACCCTTGGTTGCTCTGAGATGGCTGAGACTAATGAGAAGGGTTAATCTGTTGGATTTTATCCAGAACTAAGGATTTGAGACATAATGCACAAATGGTTTACTTTTTTTCTTAATGGAGCAAGAGATATATTTGTTTATTCCTTCCCCTGAAAAAACAGAAACAAAACTTCCTCTTGATTCTGTAATGCAGAAGCATTGTCACTCATTTTGAATAGTCTTAATATTTTCTTATATAATCTCTACAAATATGTCTGAGGAGCAAATACAGGTCTTCTTAAAAGGTTCTGAAAACATAGCCATTGATTTCTACTTCAGTATCTCTGAGTTGTGTGGAGCTTGAAATTATAATTTTTATATGTTAAAAAAGAATAGGGCATAATATGGGAAGAAAATATGAAATCTTAGTTCCTATTATAAAAATGAGAAATCATATCTTTGGGAAGTTATAAAAATAACTATAACTAATTATATAAATTAACCCCAATAAGAATATCTTAAGGAGGAGTCTTTAGATTATTCTTTAGAGAGAAGACTTCAGCATTAAGCAAACTTCTTTGCAAGGTACTGCAAATATTGGCATCACAAGTCACAGAGATGAAGGAAATATTGAAACATTTTAACAGGCGCATGTATGAAAGTCAAATGTACCCCCAGCCTCATAATCAGTAAGGCATTAGTGACATGTCTGAAGAAGACATTCCCTAATATTATTGCAAATTAAGTAATAAAAGACCTCAAGAGAATGAAAAGAGAAAAGGTGCCTGAAGCCAATGAATTACAATTGACAACCTAAAGGCAGTTGAAGAACCAATTGCTAGAGTGATTGCAAAGCTATTCATAATGTGCAGCAGACAGAGCACACCAGAAAGCTGGAACAATGCCTTCAGTTCAGCAATATTGCTTCAAAAGAATGGAAAGAGGGGAACGGGAAGAGCCACTGACCCTGAGACCAATTTCCAGGCAGCTGCACAAACTATATACTGTAATTAAAGGTTTTGACCAGTAATCACAGCAAAGCCAGACTACAGAAGTCTGGGGGAACCAGCAATGTTCATAATGAGGCAGACATCCTTAACTTAAAGCATGGAAAAAACAGGTAAGAAAGCTGGTCCATTTCTGGCAGTGACTTTGAAAAGTTCTGCTGCGTTAGCACAAATACGAAAATCACATATTTTTGGCCTTGTTCCTCTGAGAACAAAAACATGTAATAAGAGATACCTGCTTTCATCTTTTGCAATGAATAGAATACTCTCCTACTTAGAAACAGGCTTTTTCTCCTTGCCACTTTATTTTTTCCTTACCTATGAATTGCATGTGCCTTTGATGAAAACAATGAACTGGACATGTACAACGGTACATGTAATAGACTGAATGCAACTTAGAAGTGGCCACTCTTCCAGTGTACATAGGCTTGGAAATGAACTAATCCAAACCTGAGTAATTTGTTTATAGTACCTCCTTTCACTTTTGTTTATTGGTATCTACAGTCTCTCATTCTTTTTCTTTAATAATATCTCTTTATATAGAATTTTATATTCAGCCATGACTCTATTATTTCAATAGTCACATTACCACTTCGAGGATTGATACCATGAAAAAAGGTTATCTAGTAGTTTTGAGTGAAGATATGAGGCACACCTTCAATACCAATAAGAAGGTATACTACAAAGGTCTAATGAAGAAAAATATCTCATTTTGAAGGTAGCACATAGCTTTCAACTGACTGGGCCTGTTATGGTCTTTGCTGTGTTTGTTATCACAGTATCTAATAGTGAAGTGGTAATTACTTTCTTTAGTAGAAATTCCAAGATCTAAATTGGTACACATATAAATATTTGACAACAAAAAAAAAATTTACAAGTTTTTTACTAGGTTACAAAGGAGAAGAGTCAAGTAGGGTTTAATTTTGTTTTATTTAGGCTTATATCTTAATATGTTCAAGTATCTGGATTCAGTTGCCCTAAACACAGTATACATAGATTGAGTTTTAGTTCATGCTACACCTGACATAAGATTATGGGCTATAATGTTTACATGGTAACTAGCTCCATAAAATAACTGGGATTGTTTTCATAAATGAGAAGTTAAACCAATGGAGCCTTATGGGAAGAAGGTTCTACATATGAACTGTTAAGTAATTTAGAAGTCACATAGAACAATATAATTTTAGCATGTAGAATTTGTAATATTTATTTTTTAATACTGGTTATGACTAATTATTTGTCAAGCCAAAGCAGTTCTTTATTGAAAGGGGCCAGAGTGGAAAATCTGGGTAACTTGTGTACAGTTTAGACAAGGAGAACAAAGAAATAATGCAATGAAAATAAGAGCTTGTCAGGGGAATCCTTAGAGAACAGCTGGTTGAAGAATTACAGTTGTTAACTGTGCTATGAAAGAAAGATGCTCTCTCATCAGGCGTTAGCATATTTCATTGAAGAGAAGACTGAATAATCATTAGAGGGATCCTGAAAAATAGGCCAAAAAAGATCTTGAGATGGAGGTACAATGTATATGCACAAAACACTATTGTTACTACTGTTATTATTATTATTATGGGAAAGCAAATCACTGTGTCCAGATAAATGTCCCGATTTTCCAAAACATGGCACAAATTGTTTAGAAAGAACACTTTCTTTCTTGTTATACATAAAGATTTACATTTTACTCAGTTTTCATATAGTTTCATTTAAAGTGGTATTTATTAGGCCAGACATGGTGACTCACACCTGTAATGCCAGCAGTTTAGGAGGCCAAGGCGGGTGGATCACATGAAGCCAGGAGTTTGAGACAAGCCTGGCCGACATGGTGAAACCCATTCTCTACTAAAATACAAAAATTAGCCGGGCGTGGTGGTGCACGCCTGTAATTCCAGCTACTTGGAAGGCTGAGGCATGAGAATTACTTGAACCCAGGAGGCAGAGGTTGCAGTGAGCCAAGATCTCATCACTGCACTCCAGTCTAAGTGACAGAGTGAGACTCTGTCTCAAAAAAAAAAACAAAACAAAAAATAAAATAGTATTGGTCAAATTTATTGGAGAGTTAAGTGTAAATATTTGAATTATTTAAATGTTTAATATGTAAATTATTTAAATAGACAGCCATGAATATGGAAATACATGTTTCTGCATATTTTGGATACCAATTTTGCATATTAACTTTGATGTTTTTCTTTAAGTATAAGTTGGGACATTTTTCTGTTTTCTTAACACTGGCTTTTTAATGACTTATGTTAATAAGCAAATTAAGTCCATTTTTTAAGTGAAAAAATGAGAATAGATTTTAAGGCAAAGCATGAGGTCATCAGGTACTTGAGTAATGAATGGCCTGTTACTGTTAATGGAAATGTTTTTGAGCACTATAGCTATCTTTTTTTCTTTACCAGAGAAGCTCCTTGTTTTCTTTTCATATTGTTAAATCTTTTAAACTAATACAGTTTTAAGCTAATACAGCACAGTTTTCTGCTCTAGGGAAATACAGGCTTCTTTAATTATTCTGAATGTTGTAGTAGCCCTTCAATTATTTAGAACATTAGTTCTAGCAGTGTAGATGCAGAAAATAATTTTGTTGAAGCAATGACTGACTTTTAGGTCCTAGACATTGCTTTTTTATAAAACACTCAATATGAATCTGTAATTTTGTAATTTCATCTGTTAAAAATGGAATACAAAAATTATAATTCTTTCATTATTTGTTTTTATTTATACTCTAGTTAGTCAAAATTTTGTCATATGTTTCTTTAGCCTGGTAAAGCCGAACTGAAAAATATATGTTATTTAAAGTTGTATCATATTTTTAAGATGTTAAAGGAAGAGTTGTGGCTGTAATTTGTGGGTTTACTTTCACCACAATTATTTTTAGAATAACAACTCTTCTCTCACTCATTTTGTTTACAAATATGCATACATTTGTAAAGAATTGTAGTTGAGATTGCTTGATCCATCCTCTGTCAATTAAGATTGTATGACTAACTAAGGTTCTATAGAAAATGTATTTCTATCATTTTCATTTGGATCCCCATGTGATATTACATAATTTTTAAATCTTCAATCTTATTTTAATAATCAGCCTGAATGATTAATAAAGCCATGTGGTACAATTTTACAAAAAGGTATACAGTGAAAAGTAGTTCACTTTTCTAGTCAAGTGCCCTGTTCAGCTCTAATTTACAATTCTCAGTCTGAAACCAGGCTGCTTTATTACTAAACTTTGAATGTCAAAAGGTTAGAAATGCCAACTTAATGAATTTTCTTTAGCAACAAAATGAAACATAGACTATATATTAATATAGTCCGTATTTGAATTCATTAAATTCCTTCAAATTTAGTGATTTTCTTAAAGATGGTACTTCTAAAACACTTTTAAGAAAATTAATTTTAATAGTTTAATCTCTAACTTGTTACCAAGGTATGAATTTTTAGCAGTTTACTGAGTCAAATGAGGGAGAGGACTTAGAGGAACCATGTGCAGTAATTTCACAATTTATTTGTGATTGCATGAGGTAAACATCTAAGCAGTCATACCGTGTTTATTATGAAAAATTTCAAACATATAGGTAAGTATAGAAAATATCAGACAAACCCATCCAACCCATTACCCGTGATAAAATGTTAACATTTTATCATGTTTGTTTCAGATCTTTTCTTTAATGAAACAAATCATGAAAGCTGCATTTAAAGCCCCTTCCTTTCCCTTCCTCATCATTTTCCCATCCTTTCTCCTTCAGAAGCAAGAAATATCTTAAAGTTGGTGTGTATCTTTCCCAGTGTACATTTCTATGCTTTGACTACATATACATGTGTCTCTAAATAATATATGATAATGGTTTGTGTGATAAAAATTTATATGTGATGCCTTACAGCTTTTTAAAAAATGTTCTGGTGTTTTCTTTATATTTAAGTTCTTTCTAGATTTTTTGTGATTATAAACAGAGCTGTTGATAAATATCTTTGTACATGTCTCCTTGTATATGCAAGCATTTCTCAAGTGAATACATGTAAAATTGCAGTTACGGGGGGGTCACAGGATATACCCAGGTTTAACTTGATGAATATTTAACTTGGCACTTTGGTTTGGAGATGACAAACAGTAAGACTGGGAAGTCAGAACTTTTGGATTTAAATCCTTCTCACTGTTGACCATCTAAATTATATTGGGCAAAAACTTAAAAGTCTGTTTTCTCATCTGTAAAATGGGGCTAATTCTAGAACCTACCTTGTAGTGAATGGTGAGGATTAAAGGAGGGCATAGCACATAGAGAGTCTTACTCATTATTAACAGTTGCTCCCTGCTTTCTTCCCCCTCCTCCTGACAGGGTTGTTTTGAGGGTTGAATGAGTTAATGTTCCATAAGGCAATTATATCAGTGTCTGGTATAGAGTAAGTGTCATGGGAGTGCTTTTTAAATACACAAAAGTCAAACAAAAAATATTTAATTTAGTCACAAAGGAATATATTTATATTCCTTTGAGGGTACTTAAAGAATAAATTCCAAATGTAAAAAAGAAAATACTGCAAAGCTATAAAGCCCTTACACAACCCTTACAACTTTTGCTAGGTTAAATTATAAGCAGTTAACTTATTTTACTTTCATTCATATATGTGGTATTGCGGGCAGAAATTTTTTTTTAATCATTAGCCGATAAAATGTACTTTTCTCTCTAGTTATGAGGAAACCAGGAAAACCAAATCTTTTGGTGATTTTCACTTGTGAAATTTGATACCAAGTCTTGTTCTTTAAGATGTTCCAGATATATCATTCTGCCCTCATTTTTAATATGTCAAGTTTGCGGTACTGTTATATTAGTAGTGTTATTTTTTCAAAAAGTACAAATGCAAATATAGAATGTTGTACTTTGAATAGCATAGAAGAAATGAGGGAGATGATTAAACAAGGTATAGGCCTACCTGCATATCTTTGCAGCCTCACCAAAATCCAGAAATCTGCCTTTTTATAGTATGTCACTTGTGTGTGCTCCTAACGTGATTGACAGATTGTTGTTTCCCCTCTTTGAAGGCTCAAGAGGTTACTCGGATTATTTTAAAGCATATTAAAGTGTATGTCGCACCAACTCTTACTCTCAGATTTAAATAGAATCTTCTCAAGCATTAAAGATGGATTACTTTGTATTACTTTTATTGCTTTTCAAGTGTTTTTGGAAACATTTAGGAGTCCTCCTTAAAACTGGATTTCCTAGAATGGGTTTTCTTTGGGGGAAATTTTAAGGATTAGTTGTAGACTTTCCAAAGTCTGAAGTTTAACAACCAACAGGACCTGATTAAAACAAATTACTTAGTTAAAAAATGAAAACAGGGCAGAAGAGGAGGAAACCCCATCGTATCTCTGTATTCCTTATAATAAATCAGACCTGTGTGTTTTTAACAAAAACGAGGGTGTGCTTTTTTCCCCCTTCATTCTCAGTTTCTTTTGATCATTGATCTGGGTGACCCCACGCTCAGGGTTTTTTTCTTCATTTGACATGGACAGATTTTTGAAGTATAGCTCTCCTTTGGGAACCCCGGGCAGTTCCACTTGACTAACCTGTGATCTAATGAGCAGTGATGCAGGGTTACAGTGGCCATTTTGTGTGCTTTGACGGAGGATGGCTAGACAGAAAGTGGGAGAAAGGCGATGTCTGCGGAGAAAAGAGAAGCAGGGGGATCGAACGGTGTGAAAAAGACTTGTTAGCCCACATTAGTTTGCCTGATTTACTTCACAACAGGTCAGAAAAGGCCAACAGCAGGGTTGTCGTTAAATTGCAGCATTGAAAATCCTGGTATTAGAACGCTTTCAGATCTCTGAAAGCTATTAATTCCAAAGTTGGTTTTCACTTACCTTTGAATTGCAGGAAACAGAGGAGCATCCAACTTTCCTCAGTCTTACAGATATTTATGAAATAATTATATGACCCTAGATTCTTTTTTAATGCTACAGGTTTTAAACATCCTCTCATGGTTGGCCTGTTTTACAAGGAACTTAGATGTGAAAGAGAAGCCAAACCCAGCAAGGTCGTTGTACTTTTTTATGCCCTATGTTCGACCCCTAATGAGATGCCCATGCTTTCCATTTGGAAATGCTGTAGGAGTGTGTTTGTGAATTTATGTCCTCATAATGGGAGGTAGCTCTTAAATTTGTCCCTGCACATCAGCACTGATGTCTGTGTGTGCATGTATACACTTTGTGTGCTCTCCCTGTAGAGTACAATCAGAACGTTAATTGGTCAAACCAAATTAGGTTTTAAAGTTCTTCCTTCCTCCACCTTAAGCTTAAATGAGTATATTTTACATCTTATTCTTCTTTTACTCCTTTTAGATGAAAAAGATGGCTTACCAAAAAATAACCAAGTTCTGGTAGCATGTTACCAAGCTTAAATGTTATTATAGGAACCTAAAAGTGATCTACTTGAATGTAAAATTTTCTTCATATTCAAAAGAATTTTGGAATTTATATACTACAAACTATTTTACAGTTATTGATCACAATTATGCTTGTATTTGACTACCATTTTTGTAAGACTAGCCAATTAAAAGCCATCTCACTATAGAATTAAATAACATTTGGTAGTGCCAGCTTCTTGATTTTAGTTAAGATAGAGAGAGAATCTAAAACTTTGTGTTTGAAGTAAAAATGGAAGCCTAAACAAATGGCAGTGTTATTGGCTGGTTGTGGCAGACATAAGTTTTTTGTTTGTTTGTTTGTTTTTTGAGATGGAGTCTCACTCTGTCACCAGGCTGTAGTGCAGTGATGTGATCTCAGCTCACTGCAGCCTCCGCCTCCCAGCTTCAAGCGATTCTCCTGCCTCAGCCTCCCGAGTAGCTGGGACTACAGGTGTGTGCCATCAAACCCAGTTAATTGTTTTCTATTTTTAGTACAGACGAGGTTTCACCATGTTGGCCAGGATGGTCTTGATCTCTTGACCTCATGAGCCACTGTGCCCGGCCTGTGTTAGACATAAGTTACTCCATGGGTAGTTGTTGCCTTAGAGCTATAAAATATATGTAACTTGTTTTCTTTGTGCAGTAAGGGTGCCCAGGAGATGGACTGGCTACTCCCATAGTCTTGATTCAGGTACTCTGGCTGTGTTAAGAATAATTTTGTTCAACAGGATAAAGAATTTTGTTCAACATTAAATAGACCAAATTTAAGCCTTACATAGTAACCAGTATGTGAAGACTTAGCTGTAGAAAACTGTCCTGTTTGTAGATAGGCCTGCCTATCTACAAATTGGCAAAAGCAACTTTTTCAAAGATGAGAAATACCTTGGTTTAGAATTTTAAGCATACTTCTGTGTTTTTAAAATGTCATTATTAGGCCGGGCACGGTGGCTCACACCTGTAATCCCAGCACATGGGAGGCCAAGGTGGATGAATCACTTGAGGTCAGGAGTTTGAGACCAACCTGGCCAACATGGTGAAACCCCATCTCTACTAAAAATACAAAAATTAGCTGGGTGTGGTGGCGGGTGCCTGTAATTCCAGCTACTCAGGAGGCTGAGGCAGGAAAATCACTTGAACCCAGGAGTTGGTTGCAGTGAGCCAAGATGGCACCACTGCACTCCAGCCTGGGTGACGGGACAAGACTTGGTTTCTAAAAAATAAAAAATGAAATGAAATGAAATGTCATTGCTCATTTAACAAAACAACTTGTGTTCATTCTCTTCAAACAATATTTTTTGCACACTTATTGTGTGCCACCATTGTGTAAGGAGGTACAAAAATGAATAACAGAATGACAGGTACAAAGATTAATAACCTACATATAACAGATAATCACAATATATTATGGTAAAAGCCACTGGAAATATGTAAAGAGTACTAAGGAGTGCAGAGGAGGAACTGAAATTAATATGAACTAACATGAACAGTGGTAAGTATGTTTCACATACATTGTATCAGGCACTTCTCCTGATTGTTCTGGGAAATGTGGTATTATCTCCTTATCCATTTTATAAATGAAAGACTTAAGGTCCACAAAAATGAAGTAATAAATTATGCAAGATCCAACTTCTAATACTGACCTAAACCTGACTCTTTGGACTTTGTGTGATATGCTCTTTCATTCTACCACAACAATCTCCTGTCATTAAATTTTTTTAAAAATAACAAAAACATTTTATTATTTGATTTTTAAAATGTAATCTAATTTTTTTTTTTTAACTTTGAAGTCTTGATTCAAGTTTTTTTCTCTTTGGATGTTTTTTTTATGTTTTTTGCTACTTGGACAGGCCCCAGTTGCCATTTTGCAGATGGGCCCTTTTTACAAATGAGCTCAATTGAAATGAGAGTAATATATTGAAGAAACTAAGCCAAGTGTGTTTTTATATATTTGTGAGACAGAGTGGCTATTGTATTCTAGTACTTGGGGGGAGAAAGCCTGCTGATTTGGGCTTAACTTACTGTCCTGTCTATCTTTGTTTTCAGAAACAACACAGGACTACATTACAGAACTAATGACACCTAAAGCCATTTCTGTAAACATCCAGCTTCCTCCCTAAGCTTTCCTGGTTGTAACCAGCCTTTAGCAGCTCTCAACCTCCATTCATTCACGTGTTTTTTCATTCATCAGTTTAACAAACAAGAGATGAGAAGGGAAAAGGACAGTAGAAAAGGGTCTTTGGGGACAAAGGGAAGAGTTTAAGAAAAGGCACGGGGCTATAAAACGTGTCATATTCTGGTAATTGTTAGCCATTCTAAAAAGAACTATAAATTTTCTAAATATACATCTTCCTATGCATAAACAGGAAACAACTATTACAGAGTTTAAAAGGCGGCCTTGTCATTAGATAGTAGTTCCTTTTTTTAATACCTCTTATTAAATTCATGCCCTCTGTGACCCAGGTAACATATGATGGAGGAAAGATGAACTGAGATTTTAGATCAACTCATATGACCTCAAAGTGGCAGTGAATTCCTAAATCCTTTTCCCTGTCCTATGCAAGCCCACTGCAGGCCCACTGAAGGACAGAGGCATTAGAAAATATATCTTAGTTCTCAAAAGAATTTCGAGTCTTGATTTCACACTGTTTTCTTCTTTCATTCATATAGTTGTGCCACATCTCTATGTCAGAAGTAGTTGATATTCAAAGAAGGCTGCTGATCTAACTTTTAGCAAGTCGGCAATATCCATTGGGCAGGTATCTTTGTTTTGATTATTGATGTATATATAGGTGCCTAGAACAGCTCCTTAAACATAGTAGATGCTCATAAATACTTGTCAGATGAACAAATTTATTCAGTGCTTATGATGGGACAAACAGTGCATTGTGTCCTGGATGTAGAGTAGTGAGCAATACAGACCCAGGCCTGGTCACTGTACAGCATTCCAAGTGGGTAGTTTTCAGAACTGTTTGCTTTATAGCAAAGTGATAGTAATTCTCTTTTAGAGGTAGGTAAAATGAATCATGTAGATAATGGTAATGAATTATTATTAAGGTATTATAGCATATCTTAAAATGCTTTATTTTATTAGGGCATTTAAGAGAAAATGGTAATAGTTACTTAAAATACATATATGAATTATATACCCCAGTGCCTTTTTTGTTGCTGTTATTTTACCTTTGTGTAGTCTCTATATCATTACTGGTTTTTTTTTTTTGTGCTATGTTATATCTTAGTTGGGAATTTCCATGTTTTATTCCTAATCAAAAATCTTTAATATTGTTGTTTTAAAACAGAATTCATGTACTTCTGACAGGATTTAATTAGCAAAATTATTCTTTTTTTCCTCTGTATTTTAAGAAATTGAAGTACTATTAGGTATTGGGAAAATATGGCAATTTTTAAGGCAATCCAAATAAAAGCCATATGAGACTCTACGTGGTCTGGTCTAGGAAGTCACAAATTTGGTGAGTATCAAAATGAACTGGTATGACATTTGCTAAGCAGGTGGTAAATGTCAAAAATTTGTCTACTAGCCCAGGATGGCCTATATGCCTCAAGTCTTGAGAACCACTGTGTCTCTAGGGTAATCATCTGAAATGCCTTTCATCTGTTTCCCGAGTTGTTTCTCAGACTAAACCCTGTATAGAAACCTTCACTCTGAGACCACACTGAAAACACATCTGCACTTAAGAATGTGGATTTTAAACACTGTGTGTGTTGCATGCACATAAATTATATTTAAGAGAATCTGTTTTTATAGCAGATCCTTGATATTCATCAGGATGCATTCTAAACTTCCCACCAATAGCAAAATCACTTGAATATTGTATGATAATGGTATTTAAGTAAGAAAAGAGTAAAAGTCATTTTTGCACATTTTTCAGAAATCACTTTCATATTTAAAAAGTTTAATAACCCAGATCAGTCTTTTTTCTTTTTTTTTTTTTTAACTTTAAATGTTTATATTATACTTAAATTATTAAATTACCTCCAGCATTCAATCTTTGCAAGAAATCCAAGTCAGTCATTTAATGGGTAGACTATGTGCAGGAAGCATAGTGTTACTGGAGACTTTCACACATACCTTCTGTCTTTGCATTATGAGAATCAGAACATCCACTAAAAGCCTAGCTCTTTATTAGGGAAAGGTAGCAATCAAATAGAGCATTGCTGAATGTGTGCCAAAGTGAGTGCAGGGAGAATGAGCAGGCTCTGTCACATCCTTACCCTGGGGCCAAATGCTGCCCAAGTTTTCTCGGTTCATGTCAGGCCAGGTTTGGGGTGCTTTCTTTGGTCTTTCAGTGACCCCAGCAGGATCCAGAGAACACCCTGGCCTAGGCATTTGGCTCAATGCCAGGACACCTTTCATGTTTGAGTTGAGCTATGGAGAATTCACCTTAGAACAGAGCAAACTCCCTAGGCAAGACTTCTGTGAGCACTCTACATTCAACAATAGACACCATTCTCAGTGATTACCAAGAATTCAATTACACATCCTTCTCAACAGTGAAGCACTGCATCTTTAACATCAAAGCATGGCTTTGTGTTTGTTCATCACTCATCCTTTATGAATACTTCCTTTATATGTCTGCATGTAAATGTGCCTATAATATATATGTGTATGGGATGTAACTATGGACCAATAAGGCTCTTTAAAAGACACCCCAGAAATGTATGAATGCCACCTTCTTCTAAGCACAGAGACTTTTAAAATTTATGATATATTGTTTTACAGGAAAAAATAAGGTAAGTTAAAATGATATAATTTGGGTCTTCTTTTCCTATTTAAAATACATCTAAGTTTGAAAATTAGTATCAGTGTAGGATTTGGCAGAATAAAGATCCGCCTAAAGATCCTCTGGATTGGAGTTATCTCTGAGATCTGGTCAGAGATATCTTAGAAACCCAGCCCAGTAAGGGAGAGAGCAGCCTCTCGAGGCTTGGTGCCCTGGTGATTTCAGGACTAGAGGATAGGAGAAGACAAGGAGCAAATGGATCTAAACGCTTTAAGGAATAATGCAAAGATTAAAAGGTTAATAGCCCCTATATCCAGGATCACCTTGAGTGGTTCTCTGGTTATTTCAGTGGTCTCCTTTGTTCCACTGAAATGGTCTTCTGGGTTCTACCATATGAGCCATACAAGAAAATCTCTATTTTTTATTTTTTGTTTGCTTTTTTAAAATTAAAAAATTGTACATTCCATGCTTGGTCATTCATTTCATTAGGAATTTGTCTAAGAACTATAGGTATGTGCTTGTTTCACCCATCCATTTATTCTTATATTCAATATGGATTGATGGAGCATCTAATTCCATAAGCCTGGTAAATAAAATGTACTCTTTAGAATAAAACATCTTTCATCACCTGAGGGTATTGACAAGAATATGCCAAGGATTCTAAAGCCAGATGCCAGAAGAATTCCAAAAAGATTGTGGACATCACTTGGAATAAATACATAGCACAGAGCTTCACCAGGAGACTATATTTGTACGTGTATTTTCAACCTAAACATTCCGGAACGAACGTGTATAGATTCCATATCCTGGTGATGGTGGTGGTGGTGGTGGTGTGTGTGTGTGTGTGTGTGTGTGTTTTCAATTTGAGCAGTCTATTAACCACATGTAAGTAGCTAGAGGCAGGAGAGGGAGAGGAATGTGCGGAAATGCATTTGACTTGGGATGTCTCATTTTCCAGAATCCCTGCCAAGGGCTGGCAAGCCCAGAAAGGCAGAGGCTGGCACCATTCCCTGCCACTCTCCGCCCTCTATGGTATACCCCATCAGACGCCTGTTGTAGGCGTGACCTAGATTCCCTAGCTGATGCCTGGGACCAGCAGGGCCCATTGCATTTTTTTTTTTTCTGTGTTTCCTCATCTCTTCATCTCAAGTCTTGCTCAGCCATTAAGTTAAAGAAATGCTCCAAAGGTCTGTGCCAAAATGTGTCTGCCCTTGTTCTTAGTGGCACAAGCCCGACTGTCAGTTGACAGGTGGGCACACCACCTGGGGAACAGTTAGCTTCCCATACCAGATGGAGTTTTACTGGTCCAGGAGAAGGCCCACAACTGGGTTGCTGGAACAGATGCTCTGCAGACAGTCTCTGGATCTGTTTTCTTCCTCCTCCCCATGCCCCACCTTTGCTTACTGCATATGAGCAGTGCCCTGTAGGACTGCTACAGACTACAGCTCTGTAGCATTATAGGAGACTTCTAAGCTAAAATTTCTTTACCGACCTTATGTTTGAGTAACATTCTCCAGCCCTTCAAAACCTGAGAAATAAAGTCTCTGAAAACAGAGATATGTATAACTATGGAATTTGAATAGTGACCTTAAAAAACATAGGTTATGAAAACATTTATATTAGCATTTGCCAAAAGGTTGTTTGGCTGGTCTTGGGAGTGTTGACACTTTAATTGCGTTTCTCGCCTCTCAATAGCACAATTTAGATTAAATCTAATTATGGTAGATGGTAGTACATAAAAGTAGTACCTTTTAGATTTCCAAAGTGTGGAAGAAAAAGATTTTCCCCATGGTCTGATATATATTCTTGTTTTATTGCAAATAATTGAAGAAAAGTGAAAGTAGATTCCTCTGGTTTTCAACCTAGTACTTAAAAATTTTAGAGGAAATTTAATCTGGAGAAACTCTTGTTTTTTACATAAGAAAATACCAGTGTTTTCAGTCATTCCTTTCAGCCATAAAACATCTGTATTGTGACAAATGACTCATCAATTTTAGTGAAAGGAGTCTAATCTCAGCCCTAAGCGTGATGTCTTGTTATAGCCCCTTGTGGTTGTGTTGTGCATATTTCTTGCTAAGTAGTGTTTGTAGAAGTATGTGTACTTTCATTTAAAAGAGAGTCCCATGGCAAGCTTCTTTTCCTTAGCATTCCAAGGATTTTATAATTATCCTTTTTTATCTTTCCTTTTCCTATCCTCCTCTCTCCCTCCTCCTTTCCTTCTTTCCCTTTCTTTCCTTTCTTCCTTCTTCCTTTTCTGTGATATATAAAAAATGTATAATGTATGGAACATGTGTATGTAGTTTAAAGAGTAGTATTAGAGCAAATGGCAATGTCTCCACTACCCACATTAAGAAATAGAAATAGAAAACTCCCTGTGCTGTATTATTCTCTGAGCCCCTCATTTTCATGCATCCTCTACCTCCCACCTAGAAGTAACCACTGCCTTGAATTTTGTGTTGCCTGTTTCTTTTTTTTTGCTTTTCAATACTTCTGCCACCCATATATACATCTCCAAATAATATATGTAATAGCCATCTTATATTTTTAACTTTATATAAATTGGGAATCATGCTAAATGCATTCTTCTGTGGTCTTCTATTTTTGTTCATTATTATTTTGAGATTCATCCATACTCATCTCTGAGGCTATGGTTTATTCGTCTTTATTGCTGTGTAATATTCCATCATATTGAGTGTATCACAATTGATTTATTCATTCTACTGTTGATGGACATTTGGGTTGGTTTCATTATTTGGACATTACAAACACTGATGCTGTGAATGTTAATGAATGTAACATTTGTATATGTACAACCATTTCTCAATGGTATGTACCTAAGAATAGAAAGAGTTATAGGGTATATGCATATCCAACCTTATTAGGTACTACCAAGAAGTTTCCCAGAGTAGATAAGAATTTCCATTTGTTTATATCCTTATCAGTATATGGTATTATCTGGGTTTTAAAATTTTGCAAATCTTTGTGCATAAAGTGACATTTTCTAATTGTTGCTATAAAATACAAGAAATATACATTCGTATGTTGGTTTTTGTAGCCAGAAAACCTAGACTTTTAATCCTTTTGATTCATTTGAATATAATATTAATACATGCCTGCACATATTAAATTCATTAGCAGATGAAAATTTCTTTCATCCTTTTCATGTCTTATTTTGATTACTTTTTCTTGTCTACCTACATTGACTGGTATCTCCTGGACAATTTTGAATAGGATTGGTGACAGAAAGTGTTCCTGACTTCCTCTGGCTTACAAAAGGAGTGCTTTCAACATTTTTCCTTTAAGTGTGATGTTTTCTGTGGGATATTTACTTATTTAAATAGATAAATGCCTTTAATCTCGTAGTAGGTAAAAAACTTTTTTATAAAAGATATCCTTTTCTATTGTGAAGTGAATTTTATTATGAATGGATGAGGAAGTTTATCAAATGCTTTTCCATAATTATGGGGAGGATTATGTGATTTTTTTCCTATTAATAGTAACTATTAATGTTGTAAATTACCTAAATTTATTATCTAATATTAAATCACCCTTGTATAGTATTAGATGTGATGGCTACAGAAGAAATGTCTGAAACTCTTTACCCTTAATTAACGTACAGTCTAATTGGAGAGACAAAACATGATTAAAGAAAAGTTAATAGATGCCACAAGGGTAGATTGTAATTATTTTCTGCATTAATGGGGCTTTGAGTTCAGTTGGCAAAAACCGTTATGGACTGCAGTGGGCTGAGCCAGCTTCCTGAGGCGGGGGGTGCTGGAGCTGAGACTAGAATACCTGTTTATCTTTTTACAGCACTTTGAATAGCATTACTTTGCATTACCAAGTTACTTCTTTTTGAGATTCTAACACTGATTTCAAGTAATCATTCATATGCGACAACACTCCATATGACTGTTGTTCTTCAGTGAGATTTGTTGCACTTTGTCTGACAAAACCACCTTTAGGATCTACTTTGTTCCCAGCCAATATTTTGCTGCAGCTCAATTTGTAGGTCATTGGTCCCATCCTGAATTTGCTGCTACAAAATTCACTTCCAAAATACTTGGACTTTTTTATTTTAATAAACTACTTGATTGCCAAGGCTAATTAGAAAAGAGAGCTACTTAAGTAGAATTTAATTTAATAAACATTCATAGAACACTTACAGTATGAAAAGGACTCTGCTAGGCCTCCATGTAAACAACAAATTATAGCTGCCCTCAGGAAGCTTTCTGTCTGCTAGGAGTTTATGCTTCACTAGGGCTGTGCTGCCTAGTGTTGTCCTTGGACACAAACTGAGGAAAATCCTCATTACTTTTCACATTGAGAATGGGTTTTGCCTTGGTTGTTTCATCAGGTTAATCTACCTCTGACCAAGCTGAGTAAATCATTTTCATGCTAACAGTGGGCAAGGATGGGAAAATGCTTGTTTTCAATGGCCAAATAGATGATTTTTTTTTACAGTTTTGTTTTAAAGTACTATGTGTACATACTATGTGTCTTTGTTCTGTTTAATTTAGTCTTGCAGGTTTTCTTTTACTCGTTTACTTCACATTTTCTGCCATTTCAGTCACATACGTATAGCCCAGTTTTGACAACCCCATATGACCTCTTCAGTCAGCACTGCATACTTCACATTCCTTTATCTTAATTTATACATATCTTTGTCCTGACAATTCCCCAATTGTAGAATTAATTGTTTTTTTCTCTTGGTCTTTTTGTGTTTTGCTCTATTATTTGCCCCTTCTTTATCACCTTCCCATATGCTTTCTGGAAACAGTCATGCTAGTTGGCAGTATATCTTGCTATCTTAACAGGAAAATTTCAATGGATAGTTCCTAGGATGCATCATATTTTTGTAACTGTACAATCAATCAGCTAATATCCAAAATACAGTACCCTGGTTATGCTTATTAATATTTGGAGCCGACTGGGCACAGTGGCTCACGCCTATAATCCCAGCACTTTGCGAGGCCAAGGCAGGCAGATCACTTGAGGTCAGGAGTTCAAGACCAGTCTGGCCAACATGGTGAAGCCTCATCTCTACTAAAAATACAAAAATTAGTCGGGCATGGTGTCATGTGACTGTAATCCTAGCTACTCAGGAGGTTGAGGCAGGAGAATCACTTGAACTTAAGAGACTCAAATATATATATATATTTGGAGCCATTTAGTTTCATTTTTGTTTCCTGTAGATGTAGCAGTGTTACTGGCTTCTTCCATTGTCTTTGTGAAAGCGGTGAATGCCAATGGAAACGAGTCACATGTTTATATTTTAACAGTCACATGTTTATATTTTAAAAGAGTGGAATATTTGTGGTAAGTGCAGTTGTGGCTTAATACCTCTGCTATTCCTTTTAGCTATCCAAACCAGAGGTGCTACTTCCTGAAAGTGGCAGAATTCAAAGAATCTAACCATGACATGCTTTTGATTTTTGTTATTAAGGAGATCTAGGGCTAGAAATTGCTAAAGTAGCATAATAACATGGCTTAGTATAGAAACCAGGAGCTGCAGCCCAAGATCTCGGCAGTACCATGTATAGGTTATATGACTCTGAGTTCTCTCTTTTTTTTTTGAGATGGAGCCTCGCTCTGTCGCCCAGGCTGGAGTGCAGTGGCTTGATCTCAGTTCACTGCAAGCTCCGCCTCCCGGATTCACACCATTCTCATGCCTGAGCCTCCCGAGTAGCTGGGACTACAGGCACCTGCCACCACGCCTGGCTAATTTTTTAGTAGCGACGGGGTTTCACTGTGTTAGCCAGGATGGTCTTGATCCCCTGACCTCGTGATCCGCCCACCTTGACCTCTCAAAGTGCTGCGATTACAGGCGTGAGCCACCACGCCCAGTGACTCTGAGTTCTTAAACACCTTACTTCTGCTTACCCAGGTTTAACATGAAAATCATCTATTAATTCAGCTTTGAACATTTTTTAAATTATTAAAACCATGAAAATTATTTAGCCATAAAGTATGTGTTGACTTTGCATATATAAATTCCTCGTCTCTCCCATGTGGCTTCATGTTTTGTTTATACTACTGTTTTCAAATCATTAAGTCAACCGCCTAGAGGAACTTGATTCCAGTTTTTGTGAAAAGCAAACCCAGAGCCTAGAAAAATGAAGGCCAAATTCATTGTACGTATCATTAGGCTAGTTGCCTTGTTTTTTTTAACCCATTCTGATTTCTTTTGCTTCTAGTATAGCGGACCAGTGTGTATTTTTTGGCTATAGCATGTATGTTTCATAGAGTATTTGTTAGGATTAACTAATAGCAGGTAGAGGAAGGGTTAATATTCTCATTTTTCCCTCCTATTCTATCTGGAGAGATCATAAAATACATTACAGTTAGAGTCAACAATCACCACTTGAAGAAATCTCTTCAACACAAAGCCTGATAAAATTTACATCTGGTAAATGTCTATTTAAGCTACTGCGAAACACATATACTTAAAAAAAAAAAAAGGCCTTTTCATTGTCTCAATGTCTTGAAGGCTGGAGATTGTAAAGCACTTCCCTAAAGTTCCTATGAGCAGGATGAGGCTATTTGCCTTTATAGAGCTATAGAACTAATAAGCAATTAAAGGGGATTTTGAAAAAAGCCTATAACTTCCAAAGTGATAAACTGTGGAAATATTCATTGGACCTGTCCCAGATTAGCTGAAGTATCCAGATGCTAAAGCTTATGTGTAGAGGCCAAGTACGGTGGCTCATGGCTGTAATCCCAGCACTTTGGAAGGCCGAGGCGGGCGGATCACCTGAGGTCGGGAGGTCGAGACCACTCTGACCAACATGGAGAAACCCCGTCTCTACTAAAAATACAAAATTAGCCAGGCGTGGTGGCGCATGCCTGTAATCTCAGCTACTCAGGAGGCTGAGGCAGGAGAATTGCTTGAACCCAGGAGAGGGAGGTTGCGGTGAGCCTAGATAGCACCATTGCACTCCAGCCTGGGCAAAAAGAGTGAAACGCCATCTAAAAAAAAAAAAAAGCTCATGTGTGGTGCCTGGAGCCATGGGACGCTTAGGAGAGAATATAGGTATTTCAGTCTGCCTCTCCTGGGACCCATCCACCTCTTCTCTTTTCTTCTAAGCCGTGGTTACCACCTATGGCGCTGACCATTCTCCTAGTGAAAACCTGCCAAAGACAATGGAAGCAACTACAGTGTTCCAGATACCAAGAATATCTTTATTCTGTATCTAAGAGTACAAGTTAGAAAGTGTTAGCCTAATAAATTTTGCAATAATTTATATATTGATAGCTGAAGGGAATTTAAAAATATTTTATGTACAATTGCCAGATGTTTTAAACCAATACTAATAAAAATATTTGTGGGGAAATACCCATGTTTCCTCCCTAATTCATCACCAACTGGCAATTTTAGTCTGTACGTTCAGTGACATGAAGCCACTGATTATATATTTGGGAGTCACAGCTATGTCACACTGCAACAAAAATTTCTAAAAAAACTTATTCTCAATTTCTGCATTTATTACATTTTGTCCTCGGATAATATTTTGATTTGCTATTTCAAATTGCTTTGCTGTAAACTATAGCAAAGGAGAAGGAAATGAGGTCATTGGGAGTAAAATAAAGGACTAATAAATAAAATAAATAGACTTATAAGACCTGTTAAATACTGTCAAGTAAAGCCAAAGATTGTTCTGTAGTATCTTTTGATTCACAGTAGTTTGCTAAGCATTCTGAAGCTCACAGGGTTAAACAATTCATTTATTCTTATTGTCATTGTTTCCCTGTTCTGTACAGAAAAGACATGGTAGCAGTGTCATTTCAGTTCACCTAAAGGGAATGACTGCAGCCTTACGCAAAATGTAGTATCCAAGATATATTTGTTCTATAATTTCAGTGAAGTGGATTCTCAAATTTCACGGTTGTTTTTATTAAAATCTGTGTATACATATACTCAGACATTAGCCAAAGCCATAATATCTGAACCATAAAACAGCCTCACTAAGGATTCATAAATATGGCCTCTCCCGCCCAATCATTTTCATATCATGTTTGTCCCTTTAGTAGGTTCCAAGATGATGTTTTTCAACTCCCATTACACCCTAAGAATTTGCTTGGATGAGTGAAATCAGTTGCAGTTTTTTTCGCCAGAACATGGTGCCACACCCTTGGCAGGTAGGCAATGTTGTCTTCATATGTTTGCAGAATTACTGAACATTAGCACTTTGTCCTCCAGAGAATACCCAACCCTACCCCTCAGCTTTCAGTGCACTAATGCCACAGACAAATCTGGCTCTGGAGGGGAGATGGCAATGTGAAGGCTCCCCACAACTTTGTGCATCTGGGGGTCGTACAAAAACAATGGCAGTCTTACAGCTTCTCCCAGGGAGATGTCGAGGGGCAGCGTTGAGGAGAAAGGGTAGACAGAGTGATTGTTCTTTCTGTTGTGCTTTTTCCCTTAAAAATGAATAAATTTAGATCACTTTAAGTTACAGTCTCTCTTTTTTTTTTTTTTGAAGAGTCAGTACCACTGTAGTGGCCCCAAAAGTATCCTACTCCTCCACCCCTCTGGGAGTCTCCAGATCTCTAAGACTAGATGAGCCCAAGAATAGTCTTACCCCACCCAGCCACTCTATCAGGAACCATCTGTGGACTGAGAATCCGCTCCTATTCTGAAGCATACGGTGTCCTGAAAGGCCTTCTAGACCCCTTCTGGGTTTGGTTACACAGGCTGAGAGTGCCAAGCCCACTGGCTAAGGCTAATTGTACAAGAGCACTCCAACGGCCTGCAGTGCCCCTGCCCTTCACCCCTAGCCTGGCTAATGTCCAGTGGTCCTCCTGGAAGACTTCCTGGTTTCCTCTGAGATGAGACTCCTCCCAAAGACTGGGCGACTCAGCCCCTTGGTTCCCATGGCACCCTGGCTATGGAATAAACGCTGGCAGTGTGGGGATTACTACCCCCATATAGATCATTCAGTCATCTTCTTTTCTGTATGATTAATTCTCCAGCCCCCTCCCTACTCCATTTAATTTTAGCATATGTATGATAAATCTTCATTGAATAATGAACAACTCATCAGTGATAAACCTTTTCTGAGGTATTGTTGTCCTTTGAAACAAAAACTCCCAGATTAAATGGTACTCAAAACTTATTAGATATTTTGCAGAACTCACAGTTCTACATTATTATAGTCATGTATTATAGTTATCGATTTACTTTAGGAAGTTTGAGTTGTAAGTTTGACAGCTCAGAGAACCAACATTTACATCTATTATTAATAAAGACAGGTGCTGCACTGATAATATAGTTAATGTATTCCTAAAAGAACCTAAATGAGGAGAAAATGACATTTTCTCTTTGATTTTAGTTAATTGGTGATATTTTCTCATGAAAAAACTTTTGACCCAAAGCAACAGTATATATCACATTTAAGTATATTCAGATTCATTTCATTGTCAATGTCCAGCCAAAGCACATTTAATTCTTGCGCAACCATCCCTGCAATAAGTTAATCAAATGAGCACTCAATCCCTATTGCATAGAATATTTAAGAGAAACACTTAAAAATTAAAGTGTACCATTGCATCAATTTCAGTTGCATTAGAAGTTCTCCTTAGTTCCATTAGCCTCAATTGTTTAAATAGCCACAGTGGTACTATGTATTTGCTACACACTCAACAGAATATATGAGCTTTTCTCTTTCCTTTATTCTTCTTTTTTAATTGGAAGGCACTGCTCATGAAATACAATTCTTTGATTTGTTCTCTAGACAGTAGAAAGACGTCATGGTTATTTCTTCCTTGGTAAATTAAGCCCCATTGTCAAACATAACTAGTGAGAAAAATAAATGCATTGTGTGAAATCCTAACCTTTAAACATACCACATTTGCTTACATATTTTTCTTTCTGTTTCCCTTATTTTTACTCTAAAATATGAAGATTCGTAGGCCTCATCTGTCTTTTCATTTTTCCCATATTTTCAACAAAGGTAGCCACTCCTCCAGAGTCAGAAATAAAATGATAAAATTAGTTCAAATCTAGGTCTTTTACTATGCCCAATTCTTCAGCAGCCTCTATTTCCTTAATATACCATTTAATGGAAAAATTTGACAAATTTGCATATAATCAAAAGGTGATTTTGCATCTAATTTTCCCCCCTCTAAATATGAGGCTTGAGAAGGAAAAAGTAAGGCCTTAGCTGAAGCTTCATCTTCCTTCTGAGCATTAAAGGTGCAAGAGCAATATACACTCAGAAACAAAGAGGAGAAAAACACAGAAAAAAAGGAGAGCCAAGGGGCTGGTGTGAGGGCTTCTTCCTATTTTATCTTGGTAGGAGTTGATTAGATTATGTGTCTTTAGTGTATCTCTGGAAGATAGAACATATTCAACTTGCAGTCACAAGAGATACTTTTTCATGATGATAATTTAAAATGTTACCAGGATTTTTTCCTTCCAAATGTGAGTATCTGTCTATACACACACGTATGTATATGTAGTTTTTGAAAGGGTAAAACTTCTAAAACCACAGCGAATATTATGGTGGTTAAAAAAAAGTCAACCTATAAGGAGAAAAATCATAAAAAGTTAAAATTCCCTTTGAAAATATTTTAGAACTTTCATGCTGTAGTTTTCTTTCCAACAGTGGAGCATTCTCCTATTTCTCCTGTTATGCACAAGATGTAGTATTTGATTTGCATTCAAGGGTCAGGATGAAAAAGAATACTCGTTTTTAAATACTAGAATCACACACTGTAGTGGAAGTGTTCTCATCATGAGAAGCCCCAGAGAACTGAGACCCATTAGGGGGATTTGTATTTGTCTCCCTCCCTCCTTTCCTTCTTTCCTTCCTTCCTTTCTTTTTTTTTTGTTACCCAGGCTGGAATGCAGTGGCTCAGTCTTGGCTCACTACAACCTCCGCCTCCTGGGTTCAAGCAGTTCTCGTGCCTTAGCCTCCCGAGTAGCTGGGATTACAGGTGCCCGCCATCACTCCCGGCTAATTTTGTATTTTTAGTAGAGACGGGGTTTCGCTATGTTGGCCAGACTGGTCTCAAACTCCTGATTTCAAGTGGTCTGCCCACCTTGACCTACCAAAGTGCTGGGATTACAGGCATGAGCCACCATACCTAGCCTGTTTTCATACTGCTATAAAGAACTGCCTAAGACTGGGTAATTTATAAAGGAAAGAGGTTTAATTGACTCACAGTGCAGCATAGTTGGGGAGGCCTCAGGAAACTTACATTTATGGCAGAAGGCGAAGAGGAAGCAAGGCACCTTCTTCACAAGGCAGCAGGAAGGGGAAGTGCTGAACAAAGGGGGAAAAGCAATTTATAATACCATCAGATCTCATGGGAACTCACTATTACCAGAAGAGCATGGGGGAAACCACCTTCATGATCTAGTTAACTGCACCTGGTCTCTCCCTTGACATGTGGGGATTATGGGGATTACAATTCAAGATAAGACTTGGGTGGGGACACAAAGCCTAAACATACCAGGATTCATGTCTTCCATCTTCAGAACATAAATTCAGATGGAGCGGTGGTAAGGGACTGTTTCAGTTCTTTCTTTCTCAAGTTTAATATGCTTATGATACAATTCCATCATTAGTAGAGTACCCATGGAAGGAGTTATTTCAAACAAATAGATTGAATACTTTTAACTGCTTTGTTAAAAGTTTTCAAACTAAGGCTAAATGGGCATCACACAATAACCAATAACTTGACACAAAAATCCTTTATATAACGCATACTTTCATGAATGACATAGGACATAATTTTTGATTTAAGTTATGGACCAACTTGTGCCCTTCCCCCAGTTCATATGTTGAAGTCCTAACACCCAACATGACTATATTTGGAGATAGGGTTTTTAGGAAGTAAATTAAGGCTAAATGAGGTCATAAGGGTAAGATCCTCATTTGATAGGGTTGATGGCCTTAAGAGGAAGAAGGAGTGAAAGAGCTCTCTTTTTCCCTACGTGAAGACACAGCTAGGAAGTGGCCATCTGCATGCCAGGAGAGGTCTCACCAGAAACTGACCATTTGGCGTCTTGATCGTGGACTTCCTGGAAAACTAAGATGCTTATAGACTTGAAATTTAGAAAACGTTCAGGTCCCCATCTTCTTCTGATGAATGAAGAGAATTGTCCTCACTCCTCTGTTGTGACATTTAAAGGACAGGGGGAGTTTCAGAGCACTCAGCTGAATTTGCTGTGATGAATAGACATCTCAGGGTTTTTTTGTACTCCCTGTTTGATATTTATATTTTATGAATTTTGAACTACTTTGAATATGAATATTATTAGAAATTTATTAACGCTCAAATAGTTGGTTTTAACATGTTTCTATTATTATTTCAGATGAAGTTAAAATCTAAAAACACAAAACGTTAGGCCTTTTTCTTCTTGGGGACGATGGGGTTTTTCTTGGGGATGATGAGAACATGATACAAGCAAAAATGATTTTATAGCCATACCTAAATGCTTATGTAAAAAATAATTTACTGGCTGAAATTGTCCATCCCCAAAGGCATCTTTGAAGAAATTATGCATAAAAATGAAAAGCTTGAAAAAGTAACTTGAATACCATATCATTTGTAACCAGCAGCACTGAATGAATTATGTGCGTAGCAGCGATGTCTTTTGTTTCTGTCTCTAATCCTTTCAACTCTTCACCTCTCTCTAGTGCAATATTTAAAAATTGTTAGTCTTCAAAAGTATTCCTATCTAACAGAATACCCAAAGCTGTTTCAACTTTAGAATTCCTATGTCCTGTGTTTTATTGAAAGTGATTACACTTCCTTGGAAGTACATGGTGATTCACATATACCTAATATAGGGCCTTGTTCATAGAAAGTGCTCATAGCATTCATAGAAGGTCATTTCCTAAAGGACTAAATGATTAAATTAATATACATCTGTGTCTGTGTGTGTGTGTGTGTGTGTGTGTGTGTGTGTGTGTGTGTGTGTGTGTGACGGAGTCTCACTCTTGTCACCGAGGCTGGAGTGCAATGGCATGATCTCAGCTCACTGCAACCTCCGCCTCCCGGGTTCAAGTGATTCTCTGGCCCCAGCCTCCTGAGTGGCTGGTATTACAGGCATGTGCCACCAGGCCTGGCTATTTTTTGTATTTTTAGTAGAGATGGGGTTTCACCATGTTGGCCAGGCTGGTCTGGAACTCCTGACCGCTGGTGATTTGCACACCTCAGCTTCCCAAAGTGCTGGGATTACAGGCGTGAGCCACCATGCCTGGCCTTAATATGCATCTTTAAATTTGTTTTTATTTTGAATTTTTGGTGTTCTAATACAGTTTACATCACTGCCTGTACTCACTGCCCAATTTTCTACAGGTATCTATCTATCTTGTTCATTTGAAAATAGCATTTAGAAAGGGAAATGATAGAATTTTTTTTCTCATCAATATATCTTAATTTTCCTATACTTGAAAATAAGAGGGATTATTCAAAATCAGTTTCAGAAAATGTTGACATTGTGTAGGTTTGCAAGTGAAAAGAAGGCAATGGAATTTTGCATTAGCACTTAATATTGGGCCCTATTTGCTTGTTACTTGTTTCTGTTAAGATCCATGGTTATATCCAATTTTCTTTCAATTCTTTACTCTGTGGTTATTGGGTTGGGTGATTTTGATTCTGTTCAACAACTGGATGCTTTGAGTAATGAACTTCAGTGCATAATTATCCAGCGAAATCATAGCAAAGGGATGAGATGACAAAAAGCCAACTTATTTTCAGGAACTAAAAATAATGGTATAATATAGGAATTAATACATGTATGACTATTCCAGCATCTGACTTTATTCTGATCATTTATTTTTATATAAATTGTAATTTAAAATTGTAAAATTTTAAATACTTGCTATTAATCTGTAAATATCGTTTACTTTTTAAAAATAACAGTAAATTAAATCTGATGTTTTAGTGAAATGCACAAACCACTGAATTCTTTTGAATTAAATAAGGTATTGATAGTAATTCATTTAAATAATTATTTCCCCCTTTTATCACTTTAGTTAAGCGATACTTTACTACTAAAACAAGCATGTTATTTATAATAGCACTTAATTGTAATAAAATTTAATGATTATTTTAAGCTGATTTTTATGCTATCAAGGTTTAGTAGGATAGTGAGTTAGCTTATATGTGATTATTTTTATTTATGATTTAATATTTTGCATCTATTAAGATGTTTTTGGTAGTTGAGAATGATGCTCATAATTGTTTTGTTTAGGAAATGTTCAGTCAATGTTACTTTAGCGAGAATAGTCATTTTAGCTATTAATGTTAGGGAGGTCAGAAATTTTGGAGGATACTCCTGTCTTATGCCATCCCATGAAGTAAGGATAGAGTCAGGGTTGAATATTTGCCATGGGCCAATGCTTTTAAAACTAATGTGTGGAGTACTAGTATGCCTTCTCATATGTGTCTAAATAGAAATTTAAAATAAAATTTACCCCGAAGGAGTTACTGAGCTTCCTGTGTGTATCATTTAGTGACTTGAAGGTTTTGTGTGTGGTCGTTCGTGTTGTTTCTTCACTCATATGGTGTTGGACAATGAATTATATACAGAGAGTGTGGTACTGCTACTGTCTGACTTGTCCTGGGTTCTACACTTTGCTTTTATTCAGACCAGCCTGTGGAGTAAGCACAACGTATATCCTAAGCAAAAGCTATTCTGAGGGTTTTCAGTTGATTACAATGTAAGCATACTTAGGAGCAGATGAGATTCAGTAATGAGAAAACCCCATCAATTTGGGTGTTAGGAATAACTCATTGTGCTTGCTTTTTGTTAAACTTAAGAGCATATTATAAGTAATAGACAAATTAAATTCAATTCAGAAGACTCTTGTGGGGACAGTTCCTTTAAATACTGGAAATGCTGTTATTTGAAAGAAATAATTACTTTAGAATTTACTTAAATTTATTGTAATCAAATTAGCATAACTCAAGAAAGACATTGTCATCACACATCTTTCCCATAACGCTTTATTAATTACATATTTCCAAAGGAATGGCGTCTTAAGGTCCCAGAATCCACCAGAGTGTTCACAAAAACATTGTAAAATATCCCTTGAAAGGTAGTTAAAAATCAGGTCATGTTAGAGCTGCCTTACATACCTACCCTTTCCTGAGAAAACCTCACATCTTTGCCAAATGACAGACAGCTTACCTGGATTAAGGTTCACAACTTAAAATAGAATATTAGAAAAAGAGACTGACGCGACTTACCTATTATTAAGGCTAGCTGTTGTTGTACACACTCCAGATTTTATGTGTGCATGTTAATTAAGTAATGAGAACCCCAGGGCAACATTTAGTATACATGTTTGAACATTTTTCCCCTTAGAACAGTGAGCATCATGTTTCCCCGTATAATGGCTGACATAGACAACCAAATTCCTTCAGACCTTTTCAACACTTGTTTGGAAGGTAGATTGCTTCCTTTTGAGTTCTTTACATTTATGGCTCAGTGTCTGCGTTCATTTTTCTGGGGGAATGCTTCCATAAATTTCATAGCCACTGCTATAATCTCTCTAGTGATTAATCTCTGAAAAGTTTAATGAACTGTCTAAAGAGGGTGATTTTCTACTTGGGCCTGGTAAGACACTTTTTACGTTGCTTCTCTGGAGCCATGTTTTCCGTGTTATTTTCATGATATTCCTACCACATTCATTTTCTTTCTTTGAGTAGTAGATATCCTTAAATAAACATCACAGTTTGAGAAGATATCATCCTTCATCCTGTTGCATTCCAGCCAAAAGGAGGTCAGAGTTTGAAGAACTTGAGTAAATGAATGACAATATGTTAACAGGCATAAGAAAAATTTAACGGTACTCTTAATTTCTCCCTGTTAAGTCTTCATTTATGATGATGAAGCACAACTAAACATCTTTGGGGTTACTTGAAACATCCTGCGTAGCATAGAAGATGTTCTCATAAGGGAAGCTAATAAGAAGTCACCACTCCTTCAGCAACTGCTAAGAGGAAGAATTTGCTTCAGACAGATTATGTGGCAACTGCAGTGGTCCAGTGGTTGGAGGCCTCTTGATGAGCACAGGAGCCTTTTTAGGAATTAACGCTGATGTCTTCCTCCATGGATGTTTTCTACATAGTTTGGGGGATTAAAAAAAAAAGCACTCCTACATTGGACTCTATTAACACTATGAATTTTATTTTTCATTTAGTTTCATCTTTTAAGTGTTGTAATTATATACCTCCACAATCTATTAGAACGTAGTACCATTGTAACGAGATGTCAGCTAAAAATGTAAGTTTTGGCCTTGAGAAGGTGATTTTTTTACAGGATTCTTACTTGTGATTTAATTCTGCAGTGAAGAATACTTTCTCAAAGAGTTTGTATATGTTCTTTGTCACTATTTCAAATAGTTTATCAGAAAGGATTTAATATTGACGTATATTATGATATGAATCCATAATTTTTCATCAAATTACTGCTATACTATCCTGATTTCTCTTTTTTTTTCTTTTTCTTTTTTTTTTTCTTGAGACGGAGTCTCGCTCTGTCGCCCAGGCTGGAGTGCAGTGGCGCGATCTCAGCTCACTGCAAGCTCCGCCTCCTGGGTTCACGCCATTCTCCTGCCTCAGCCTCCCGAATACCTGGAACTACAGGCGCCTGCCACCATGCACAGCTAATTTTTTTTTTCATGTTTTTAGTAGAGATGGGGTTTCACTGTATTAGCCAGGATGGTCTCGATCTCCTGACCTCGTGATCCACCCGCCTTGGCCTCCCAAAGCGCTGGGATTACAGCCGTGAGCCACCGCGCCTGGCCTATATTATCCTGATTTCTTAGTTTGCTATTGAGTGTCTGCCAAGCATTGTGCTGGGTACTCATTTAATCGTTGTACCAACTCTGTGGTGCGTGTGTATGTATTATTTACACATGCACACACACTTATTCAGATACATAATTTATTATGAATAGATATAAGGTAGTATAATGGGTTAAAAGACAAACTGCAGAGTCAGTGTATAAATCCAGGTCTTTCTAATTCTAGATCTTATCCTCTTACCTAGTCCGTACTCTTCATTTTACCACATTTAATATGGTACTTATTAAGGGTATAACTTAAATACAAGATTAAATTACTACAATTTTAAAACTCCACATGAACTATATGACTGGGTGCAGTGGCCCACACCTGTAATCCCAGCACTTTGGGAAGCCAAGGTGGGCAGATTACCTGAGGCCAGGAGTTCGAGACCAGCCTGGCCAACATGCCAAAACCCCATCTCTACTAAAAATACAAAAATTAGCCAGGTGTGGTGGTGCACACCTGTGGTCCCAGCTACTCAGAAGGCTGAGGCATGAGAATCACTTGAACCCAGGAGGCGGAGGAGGTGGAGGTTGCAGTGAGCCAAGATCGTGGCACTGACTCCAGCCTGGGGAACAAAGTGAGACCTTATCTCAAAAAAAAAAAGGAATATATATTATTAACCCAAAGACTGTTTTGTTCTAGCTTCTGTTTTTGCTTTTCGCCTTTGGCTGCCTTGTGAATAAAATCTTAAATGACCGTGATAGAAAAATTATGTAAAGTAGTATTCACTAAAACTTTACTTCTGTAATTCAATATGAAGAAGCTTCACGTCTACCTGGGGAAAGTATATCAGTTTTCTCAAGCCTACCTTGTTTGTCTAGTGACAATAACAGATTCCTAGGGTTGGAAGAACCCCCTATATTTATTGTCCTGAACTTGGCAAAGATCATGAACATTCATTTAACCATCTAAATTATAAATTATCTTATAATAGCTTCTTTGGGCCAGGAGACTTTAACTTATTTAAAGTAATACAGTATAATGATAGGCCAGGACTTTTTTTTTTTTTTTTTTTCCTGTATTCTGTACTAAGAATCATTCTGTCAGATCTGCTTTGGGTTTTTCTGTGAGTGTTTCTCTTAATTTATATTTCTAGAGTTTTTGTGTCTTGTGGGGATATAAAATTCCTCAGGAGTGTAAGGAGTAAAAGACTAAAGAACATTAATAGTGTGTGAAGATTGCTACCACTGAGACCTGGGGAAGTGAAATATGGGCAAATGGACTCATTTAATTTAAAATTCTTTTTACTCTTTTACCTTCTTATATGTGTCTTTTATTTGAGCATTTTTAATGTGATATAACTTAAAAATTAAGCTTCAGAGTCAAATAGAAAATATCAAAATTAAGAAGGAAATAGATGTATTTTTCACTCTGCCTCTAATACTATTAAAGTAAAATCTCTCTGACTTGAATAATAGAAACTGACAGTTCTGAAAACATGTGCCTTTTCTTAATAACACAGGCAATTGTCTTTTATTTATTTCATCAGGGAAAGACACTTAAGCTCACATAGATTTCAATAGCTTTATGCATCAAACTTTACAAAAGCAGAAAAGCAGATAAAAATTAAAAGTTAAATATCTTTTCCTCTTAGGATCTTATCTTCTTTATTCTTCTTCCTTCTTCTCAGTTGTTTATTAGCTTACTCTTGGATTTACAACATTTTATTGACAATCTGTGGTTTGTGGACTTTATTAGTCCCAGTCTGTCACTTTAAGAAGGAGAAAAGGAACAGAAATGATTATAGCCACTATTTTTGGATGTATTGTAGGTTTTAGGCATTTAGTTCTCACAGCCACACTGTGAAGTAGGTGCTTCATAATCATCCTCCTTCTTTAGATGAGGCTCAGTTTGTAAGCAGTGGACCTGGTGTTTGAATACCAATCTGTATGATTTAGAGACACAGGATTTCCCACCACCCACACCATTTGAACATGTTATAATCCAGATCTGGTATATAGTAAAGATGCTAGTCAACAGTAAAATTACCAAATGGGTGAGCTAGAAGAAAGACTGACACAGAGTGAATATTCAGCTATCACTCTGTAAATAAAATAGTTCCACTCTGGTTTTTCTCTGCTGCCAGCACAAATGAGACTGGAAGGCAACACCTGGAATGACGGGACCCCACCCAGTCTCCATGACATATCTTGGCATTCCCACTGAAGCTGTTAAGAAGCTTGGAATGCTAGAAAAACTAGGAAGCAGCATAATAGTCAAGAGGAGTTTTGTGCTTACAGGTACTGCTACATTCCCACCTGGCTGCTGCCCATACATCCCATTGTAAAGTTTCTTGTTACTGCTAGTTTGAGAGCCACCTTCGTGTCTCTTGGCTTTTCTTTTAATCAAGGGGACTAGAAGTAGGAAAACATTTCTTTGGGGCTTAAATGATGTCAGTAATTGGCAATGGAAAAAAGGAAACTTAATCTGAGCTGATCACAGAGACACTGGTCTTTTCCTTTTATAAGGAGACACCACTAGACTATTTCCATTTGCTTTCCCCAGAGTGTTATATTGTTTACTACTCCATGTAAGCCAGCCATATCTTTAAATGAAAGCATTTTCTAACCAACTTCTGAAGTGAAATGGTAACAATCTCACTTGAAACCTATATGTCAGTACATCCCACAACACATGAGTTTGTTTCAGACTTTGAGTCCTCTTATATATGTGGTGAGAAGTTCAAAATTACCCCTTATTTATACAGCCTTTGGCAGTTTGGGCAATGTGTTTTGTCACCTGTTTGCTGTCTTACGAAGAGCTGGAAAGTTTATGAAGAAATAGAAAATATGACTTTGAGCCCTTGACATTTTAAAATAAATGTACATATTGTTAGTGACAGATTGCTAAACTTGGCTTTAGACACTTAGCTATGTTTCTTGCCAAAAGTAATCCAGATGTGCATAATTTATCCGACTGCCATATGTGCACTGACATGTCGTTCTATAATCAACTGTTCAGTATGGTTACAGTTATATGTTCTTTTTTATCAACAATCTTTTGAAATATCACTGACTTGATAACTTATTTTAAGTTTTAACAACTTCTCAAAAAGTAATGCATAACCAATTTGGCTTTAAACCTGAGTGACCAGACATGTTGAGTGTCTAGAAAAGACATTGACAATCCACATTCCCTGAGGGCCATATGTATTTCAAGGGGGAAAATCTAGGATACCATCTTCAGCGTGATTCTATTTTGATGAGTGTCTTAGGGGTATAGAATAGAAGGTGTACCCAATTAAATTTTGTTGAAACAAAAACAAAGTAAAGTCTCTAACCAAGTAATTTGTTTTGGAAAGGGAGTGGGAAAAGGAAATTTTGATACATATGAAATAAATATGTGGAAAGAGGATATTTCATTTTTTCCCTAATGCAGTATCTTCTGTGTTGTGTGCAGGCAATGCTTGTGACATTCACATGGGGTATGGCACTGTGCTGATTCCCAAGCTTTATCTTTTTGTTTAAGAAAGGCATTTTTTTCCCTAGAGAATTTGAGAGAATGTATGTATGATAGGAAATATTGCTTGTCTATTACCATTTCTTAAATTGATACTTAAATATCTCGGAGACATTTAGACCACATGATGATAGCATTTGTACCAGCGCTGAGAGATAGTTACCTTGAAACTATGTCCTTGTTTTTTGTGCTTAGTGACACTGAGCCACCATCAAGTCTAGACAGGGGTATTGCCAACCATGTGTGTCCTTGTTTGTGTTTATCCACAGCTGCAATTAGGTTTTTCACACTGTCCCCATCTGTGGAGGCTAGCTGTGCAGTGACCTTGGCCAGTTCAAAATCTGTTCAACCAAGCCCGTGTGTGGAGAGAACTGGGAGTACAGATGGTAGGACTGATGATGGGGAACTGTTTTGTTAGTGATCGTGGCTGATAGTAACCAACCTGTCTTGTACACAGTATGATTTTTAAAGACATATCCTAAAACCTCTTATAGTAAAACAAAAATTGGCCCAGTGTCAGTGCAAATGTCCTGAAAACAATAAGAGTGATACAGTGGCAGGTTTGTGGGTGTGGGATGTCTATTTCATTATTATTATTATAGTCAATGTGTAGCTCTTATTTTCTTTTTTTTTCTTTTTTTTTTTTTTTTCTTTTTTTGAGACGGAGTCTCGCTCTGTCACCAGGCTGGCGTGCAGTGGTGCAATCTTGGCTCACTGCAACCTCCACCTCCCAGGTTCAAGCAATTCTTCTGCCTCAGCCTTCCGAGTAGCTGGGACTACAGGCGCCCAGCACCATGCCTGGCTAATTTTTTTGTATCTTTTAGTAGAGACGGGGTTTCACCGTGTTAGCCAGGATGGTCTCGATCTCCTGACCTCGTAATCTGCCCACCTCAGCCTCCCAAAGTGCTGGGATTACAGGCGTGAGCCACCGCGCCTGGCCGGTAGCTCTTATTTTCTAATCAGCTTCCACTTTCCCTGACACAGTTCAGTAGGAGGTTCTGAACATTAATGTACCAAAAAGTGCTTCTGAACAATAGTGTACCAAAAATTCCTTTGAGACTTCCAGGTTTCCTACTTGAATGCAGAGGTTGGGTCTGGCTTTGCGGGGGGGGGGGGGGGAAAGGCGGTGGAAGAGAGAGAGCATCTATACTTGAAAAAAAAATCTGATTTAGACTGAACTGTAACTGTTATTTATCTTGCCTGTGATTACCTGTCACTTTGAAATCTTATGGGAGTGATTTGCTCTTCTCCTTTGAAATTTGAGATGTTCAATGTGTATATTTTCAGGCTTCTCATCATTTTTTCTAATTAAAAACATTTATTTATTGGTATATCTAAAGATACCATTTTAAGCAGACATGCACACATAATCATACTTAGTCCACTTGCTGTTGCTATAATTGAATACCTGAGACTGGGTAATTTATAAACAAAAGAAATGTATTTCTTTTTTTTTTTTTGAGACAGGGTCTCACGTTGTCATCTAGGCTAGAGTGCAGCGGCACGAACATGGCTCACTGCAGCCCTGACCTCCCTGCCTCAAGAGATCCTTGCACCTCAGCCTCCCAAGTAGCAGGGACTGCAGGCATGTGCCACCACCCCTGGCTAATTTTTGTGTTTTTTCATAGAGACAGAATTTCACCATGTTGCCCAGGCTGGTCTCGAATTCCTGAGCTCAGGAGATCCTCCCTCTTTGGCCTCCCAAAGCGCTGGGATTACAGACATGAGCCATTGCACCTGGCCAAGAAAAGAAATGTATTTCTTTTTCTTTTTTTTTCCTTTGAGACAAAGTCTCAATCTGTCACCCAAGCTAGATTGCAGTGGCTCTGTGATCTAGGCTCACTGCAACCTCCACCTCCTGGGTTCATGTGATTCTCGTACCTCAGCCTCCCAAGTAGCTGGGACTACAGGTGCTCGCCACCACACTCAGCCAATATTTTTTTGTATTTTTAGTATATACAGGGTTTCACCATGTTGGCCAGGCTGGTGTTGATCTCCTGACCTCAGGTGATCTACCCACCTCAGCCTCCCAAAGTGCTGGAATTACAGGTATGAGGCACCAGACCCAACCAAGAAATGTATTTCTTATAGTCCTGGAGGCTGGGAAGCCCAAGGTGGAGGAGCCACATCTGGTGAGGGCCTTTTGCTGGTGGGGACTCTTTACAGAGTCCCGAGGTGACCCAGGGCATCACATGGCAAGGGGGCTGAACTGAGAGCCAAACCAACTTTTTTTTTTTTGAGACGGAGTCTCGCTCTGTCGCCCAGGCTGGGGTGCAGTGGCGCGATCTCGGCTCACTGCAAGCTCCACCTTCCAGGTTCACACCATTCTCCTGCCTCAGCCTCCCAAGTAGCTGGGACTACAGGCGCCCGGCACCACGCCCGGCTAATTTTTTGTATTTTTAGTAGAGATGGGGTTTCACCGTGTTAGCCAGGATGGTCTTGATCTCCTGACTTCAGGTGATCCACCCGCCTCGGCCTCCCAAAGTGCTGGGATTACTGGCGTGAGCCACCGCACCTGGCCCAAACCAACTTTTATAACAGACCCCTTCCCTTGATAACTAAACCACTCCCATGATAATCCATTAATCTATGAATGGGCTACTCCATTCATAAGGGCAAAACCCTTCATGACCAAACACCTCTTAAAAGCCCTCCAGCCAGGTGTGGTGGCTCACGCCTGTAATCCCAGCACTTTGGGAGGCCGAGGTGGGTGGATCTCTTGAGGTCAGGATTTCGAGAACAGCCTGGCCAAGGTGGTGAAACCCTGTCTCCACTAAAAGTACAAAAAATTAGCTAGATGTGGTGGTGAATGCCTGTAATTTCAGCTACTCGGGAGACGGAGGCAGGAGAATTGCTTGAATCCAGGAGGCAGGAGAATTGCTTGAATCCAGGAGGCAGAGGTTGCAGTGAGCCGAGATTGCGCCACTGTACTCCAGCGTGGGTGACTGAGTGAAACTCCGTCTCAGAAAAAATAAAAAATAAAAAAAAGTCTTCCCTATCTTTTAATGCTGTTATATTTGGGATTAAGTTTTGGTTTTTTCGTGGTTTTTTTTTTTTTTTTTTTTTTTTTTGAGACGTTTTGCTGTTGTCACCCAGGCTGGCGTGATCTGGACTCACTGCAACCTCCACCTCCCAGGTTCAAGTGATTCTCCTGCCTAAGCCTCCCGAGTAGCTGGGACTACAGACACTCGCCATCACTCCCAGCTAATTTTTGTATTTTTAGTAGAGACGGGGTTTCGCCATGTTGGCCAGGCTGGTCTCCAACTCCTGACCTGAGGTGATCCACCCTCCTTGGCCTGCCAAAGTGCTAGGATTATAGGCGTGAGCCACTGAGCCCAGCCAGGATTAAGTTTTAACATGAGTTTTGGAGGGGACAAAGATTCAAACCATAGTACATACAATTATGTTTTAGAAGAATTATTACTATTATCATCATTATTACCCTCATCATCCATATTTGTTTGGCTTCACTTCATTAATTTTGAATTAATGAAAATGTTCCAGATTTCTGGATTTATCCAAATATTTAAAAAAATATATTTTCACTTTCAGTAATTTTAGAATGTCGCATTGAAGAAGTCCCATGATTCTTTAAAAATTTATATGTTAATATAACATTTTGAAAATGACAATACAATTAACAGCAAACATTTGTTAAGCATGTGTATCGTATTAGGTACTATTCTGCTTTGCATAGCTCTCAACTGGCATTATTAAGTTACCTAAAGTCAGGTAGCTAGGAAATGGCAGAGCTGAGCTAAGAAGTCAAGCAGTGAAGTGAGCTCCAGAACTCATTTTCCTAATTACGCTGCCATTTGGTCTTCAACAAATAAAACCAATATTAACATATTGTACTTACTAAGAGCCTGTTCAGGGTATCATTACATTGAGATGGCATGACCCTGATAAGCATTTCAATTTTTTGTACTTGGAAAATTCCAATTAGGATAAATTTACTGCAGAATCTCTTGTCTGCTTTGTTTTGGCTAATTCTCCAGTCTGACAATTTGCTGCCTATTAATAGGATTTATCTCACCTCTTTTATCTGTTGGTCACTCTACAGGACTGGGATCTCTTTCACTAGGGTTATGTCATACAGTCTTTCATTCTTCCAACAAATTATAAGTTAGAGATAAAGAAACAGAAAAGAGATTCAGTTCTTCCCCCTCAAAAAGTTCACCTAGATTGGTCCAAATGGTTGTGGTCGATTTTCCATAAATGTTGGATACGTTGACTTTCTAGAGACTATTTCTGAGGTCTCTGCAGTTGTCCATATCAGTTTCTTGAATTGTGCTTTCTGTTCCTTGGTGCTGGTGCAATAGAACCCACTGATTGGGTCTTACTTAGCTTCTAAAACTTCTTTGTTCTGCTTTGTTTTGTCTTAATTCACAGTCTTCTCATTCCACACTCTGCCTTCACTCTCATTTTCTCTATAGTCTGTTAAAATGGGAAGAAGATAGTTTGGAGTGAGCCATCCTCAGTTCAAATCATGGCTCTACGACTTTTAAATTATGAGACTGTAGGCAAGTTCTTGGAACCATTATTTTCTTATCCTCCAGCTCTTTATTGAAGATTAAATCAGAGAACAAAGTGTCAAGACATGGTCTCTGTCTTTGAAGTGCTGACACTTTAGTGGGAGAGATAGACCTACAAACAAATAATTAAAACAGCAGTGATAAGTATCATAAAGGTGGTGTGTGTGACATGCTATAAAAACTTACAGGTGAGTAGTAAGTTTTTGGTGAGTGAATGAATGTGTGAGTGAAACTTAGGAGAAAGGGAACTGAAATATGACTTCTTGTCAAGAGATTTGGCACAACTCTGGATAGCACATGGTATGATTTTATAAATGTTCATTCATTCACCTAACATTTATTGAGTGCTCACTACGTGCCAGGCAATGTGCTGTTTACTGGAGATTACCAAGACGATGGTTCATGCTGAGAGGAAAAAACTAAATTGTTCATTGCTCTGGCTATATTCAGTAAAAGAGCACTTGCGTTTTCTCTGGTCAAATGATGTAGCACAAGCATTTCATAGACTGTGATTAGGCCTTCCTTATAGCATCAATAAACCTATTTAAATAGGTTCTTCCTGTACATATTTTTATTCTGAAATCCCCTTTTTGATGTAACTGAATAAATGAAGAAAAAGATGAGTATATACACAGCTTTCAGATTTCCTTTCTTTCATGCCTGCAAGCATGGCATATATACTTACTCTTGTGAAATCTTTAATCAGGTAATCTGTTAGTACAAATAGTTAAGCTCACAAAATGAGTAGTTTTTACACAGAATTTATACAAGTGTAAGTTTTAAGCTTCTGTTTTTTATCATAATGATGCAGATACTGAAAAAAATTGTCAGAAAAATCTCTCTTCCCATCTCTTCCTAAATGCAGTGTAAATAGCAGCATATATTGTCAATCTCAGTAATAATAACACCCGTGTGAAGCACTACTTGCTCAAAGGAGTGAGAAAAAATATTTTGATGTTTAGCAAATGCTATCCCAACAGTGAAAGGAGTGCCAATTTCCTGTTAGATGTTGAATCAGTCATTCCAATGGCAAGTAGTGATTGAGGAAACACGGCCAAATTTTAATCTATGTATAATTGCATATATCCTTTTCAGATGTCGTTTTTAGTGAATCTAAGAAGTACTTAGAAGGAATTTGCTACTATATTAAGGGACCCTCTTGTATTACCCAGCACCTACCCCCATATATAAAATAACCTTCTATGTTGGCGATTATGCTTTAGTTTCTGTTACTTTTTTAGTAATAATTTTTTTATATTTTTTAATTTAGTTTCTTGTATAGTAAGACAATTTAACATTATCGAATGTGGAAAGTAGAGGAGGAAATTTGTAACACCATTACCCTATTATAAGATTTCTTAATCTCAGCAGGTTGGGAAGTAGTTTTATGCGTTGTAGGATGTTTAGAAGCATCCCTGGCCTCAGTCCACTAGATGCCAGTAGTACCTCCTGAGTTGTGACCATCAAAAGTATCTCCCAATGTTACCAAATGTCCCCTGAGGATCAAAGTCCCCACCCCACCTGCTCATTTTTGAGTTGCCTTTATTCAAAGATATTATCAATTTTGAATGTCCCTGTCAGTCTTCTTTCATGATATATAGATCCTTTTACAGAGCTGTAGTAAGTGTATGGATAGTGTTGTATTCTGATTGTTCATGCTATATAACATCTAAGCATTTTCTGCTGTTAACTAGGTATCAGATTTAGCACTTTTATATTAATTCTCTATTGAATTTTTTATGAAAACATGGCAAATGGCCTCCTTATGAGTATACTTTTTCTAGTTTACATTTTTGCTTTTCATATATGCACTATGTCGCTCGTGAATTCTTTTCCTACCTTTTCTGTTGGCAAATGGGGGCTTAGGCCTTTCTAGTTCCATGTGGTCTCTAGTATAGGAGAAAGCACCAGGCTTTGCACTCAGACAGATGTGGATTCATTCCTCCCCTGACACTAGTAGCTTTGTGATTTGGGGCAATATATACTCTGAGAACATCTTATCTTATAAAAGGAGAGAAAATACAGAGGTATTGTGATGCTAGAAATAATGTATTTAAAACATCTAGCAGAGTAAGAACTCAATAACTGTTAGTTTGAAGTAGTGGTAATAATAGTGCGGTTTATATTCCTTATTGATCCAAATGTAATGCAGACCACAAATGTGAGCCATGTATGTAATCTAAATTTTCTAATAGCTGTGTTAAAATAAATAGAATAAGTGAAATTATGATTAACATTGCATTTTATTTAACTCATAACATTTGTATGTAATCAGTACTGAAAATTATTAATGAGAGGTTTTACATTATTTTTCTCATACTAGGTCTTTGAAATGTAATGTACATTTTATGCATATAGCACATCTCAATTTGTTTTTTGTAGTTGTTGTTTTTTGGTTGTTTTGTTTGTTTGTTTGCTTGTTTGTTTTTGAGACAGTCTCTCTCTGTTGCCCAGGTTGCAGTGCAGTGGCGTGATCTCGGCTCACTGCAACCACCCCACCTCCTGGGTTCAAGTGATTCTCCTGCCTCAGCCTCCGGAGTAGCTGGGACTACAGGTGCATGCCACCACACCTGGCTAATTTTTGTATTTTTAGTAGAGACAGGGTTTCGCTATGTTGGCCAGCCTGGTCTCGAACTCCTGACCTGAGGTGATCCGCCCGCCTCAGCCTCCCAAAGTGCTGGGATTACAGGCATTAGCCACTGCGCCCAGCCAGGACATCTCAGTTTGGACCAGCCACATTTTAAGCTGTCAATAGCCTGATGTAGCTAGTGGCTATTATATTTGCTAGCATAGCTCTAAGCAATATGTGAAAGATGCCAGATTAATATATATGCATTAATGACAAATTATTACTAAACATGGTGGGAATACCTACTTTAAAGATTAGTTTTAATTAATCTTAACCTTCTCTTTTTTAATAGCAGAAAACTATTAAAACTCTTTTATTTTGCATTTTACTTCTCAAATTTATTTAATTCTGTGGCTGTAGCTAGAAATAGCTTACAGATCCTGTCATTTTAATGTACATTATATCTTACTTGCTATTCAGTTTAATGTTTGACTTAGTTTGTCCAAACCCTTCCATTCAACAAATGTTTATGGAGTAGAGTTGACCCTGGGTATACTCAGAGCATTGGTTCTGGGACTACCCCCACCCCATTCCAAATCTACACATGCTTATTCCTGTGGAACTCAAGTATACAAAAAGTTGGCTATCCATAAATGTGGGTTTTGTAACCCACTAATACTGTATTTTTTTATCTGCATATAAGTTGACTCAGACAGTTCAAACCCCTGTTACCTGAGGATCGACTATACTTAATATGTGCCAGGCACTATTCTAAGTAAATGTTTTTTTTTTTTTACTCACTAGATTTTTAGTGCTCATAAAACCTCAGGGAGAACAGTGCAAATATTATCCCTACCTTCCAAATGAAGAAATTAAGGCACAGAGTGGTCAAATCACATGCCTGAGGTCACACATCCAGAAAATGGAAGACTTGGGAGAAGTATTCAGGAAAACTGGCTGTATAGCTTCATACTCTCAAAGACTGATGCAATGCTGCCTTTTTCTCAATCCTCATTTCTCTAAGCACAATTCAATTACTTTTACTTGTTCCATTGTTATATGTGGTTAGCCTCAGGACCTATTATTCCCAATTGATGGTCACATTTCCTCTTTGGTCTTCTTTAGCTGCCCTACTATGCTGAAAGCACTGGTGGGCTTTTTTGTTTAAGGCTGGGGGAACTTACAGGGGGAGTGCAGAGGGAGTCATAGGCCACATTATTTAGTATGGATCTTGTCCTTTGCATCCTTTCTTCCTTTTAAGAGAGAATCTCATCATCTGTATTTCGGTATCACATTAGAATACTCGTGACTCTTTTTTTACTTGCCCAGTCTAAGTTCAGGCTGGAGAAGGGGAAACAGAGGCGGAATAGTGCTTGGTTGTTACACAGCAGCCATGCACTTCCGTGGGAGAAAGTGCTGCCTCTGGATTTCTGAAGAAAATCAGAGAAAGAAATGTATTATGTAAGTCTGACTCACTGAGCAGAATGGGTAAGATAAATGGTAGGAAAACTCAAACCAACTTTTCTATGACCCTGTGTGAAATTCCTCTTTGTGCCCTAAGAAAAATGCTAAAAATGATGTGGTCAGAGTGGGAATGCTGCAGCTCAGAATCAGAAGGAGAATTTCTAAGTTTTAGAAAGAAGCTTGCTAACATCATAGGCGCTGCTAATGGCCATATACATATTAATAAAGCTTTAAACACCTCCCAAATTAGCTTTATTTTTACATCAAAAGTGCAAGACATGGAAGTGGTAATTTGTGTTAGTCCAGCAGACACAAAATTAATTGAGATAAAAACAAGATGTAGCAGGCAAACCCTTTGGGTGAAAAAAATAATGAGTTATTCTAACTCATTTAGACAGTTTCAAGTGAAACATAATAACAAGAAATGAGTTCACAGTGTTGAATTAGGAGTTTGTCATACATATCCATGCTCCTCAACACCAAAGTCAAAGTAGTAGAAGCAATTAAATTCAGGTGCTGTGCCATCAGTGTACCATTGTGCTGTGTGAGAAAGCTGTACCTCATTTAAATCTTTGGGTTTACTGCTCATCTTACTATATCAGGTAAGCATGCTGCTTTGTGTCTGCCCACAAGCTGGACTCAGGGATTACAGAATGAGTGTGGCTCTGGTGGACACAGGGAAGCATGGAGATAAAGAAGTTCATTGGTTTCTCTAAATCTGTTTTTCCCAGAACAGTTTGGCAGCACAGTGAAAACCAACTGCAGAATCCTCATTTCCTAGGAAACGTCTATCAAGCCACAGATCCCTCAACTTGTCACCAGCCCATAGTCTGTCAAGGCATAAGCCAGTTGTACTCGGAAGACACGCTGCATCCTTGTGATGCCTTGCCTTGTATGGGATTTATTATCAACTGTTACCCATTGTTTAGGGGTTTTTCCCCCCTCTCTCTTCCTGACATCCTATGCCTCATGTATGAAGAATTTCTTTTTGAAGTTATGTAGAATGATTCTACTGTGAAAGCATTATTGTGAGAGCTAAGGAAATTAGATTGCACAATGGGGAATTTAAATATAAAAGAAGAAAACAAGAAACTCCAGAGGAACTACTTCTTGAAACTATGATTCTACAAGTCCTGGATCTCTCTATCTTTAGCATCTGCTAAAATTCACATCCTCCACTAGCCATTTTATTTCCTTGCTGTTTCTTTTTGTGGGCTTCCTGATGAGGAATGCCATTCCCCATTTTTTCATTCCTGGGCTCAGCTCATGTTTTCTGTTAACCTCTCCTGTTAACTTTTAGCTTTCTTGCCAGATTTTCTTATGGTATATGTATTAGTCCATTTTCATACTGCTGATAAAGACATCCCTGAGACTGGGCAATTTATAAAAGAAAGAAGATTAATTAGACTTACAGTTCCACATGGCTGGGGAGGCCTTACAATCATGGCAGAAGGCAAGGAGGAGTAAATCACATCTTATGTGGATGGCAGCAGGCAAAAAGAGAGTTTGTGCAAGGAAGCTTCTGTTGTTTTTTTTTTTTTTTTCCTTAACCACCAAATCTCGTGAGTCTCATTCACTATCACAAGAACAGCGCAGGAAAGACTGGCCTTCATAATTCAATCGCCTCCCACCGGGTCTCTCCCACAACACATGGGAATTCAACATGAGATTTGGGTGGGGACACAGCCAAACCATATCGTTCTGCCGCTGGCCCCTCCCAAATTTCATGTCCTCACATTTCAAAACAAGTCATGCCTTCCCAACAGTCCTCCAAAGTCTTAACTCATTTCAGCATTAACTCAAAAGTCCACTGTCCAAAGCCTCATTTGAGACAAGGCAAACCCCTTCCACCTATGAGCCTGTAAAATCAAAAGCAAGTTAGTTACTTCCTACGTACAATGCGGGTACAGGCATTGGGTAAATACAACCATTCCAAATGGGAGAAATTGACCAAAACAAAAGGGCTACAGGCCCCTTGTAAGTCCGAAATCCAGTGGGGCAGTCAAATCTTAAAGCTCCAAAATTATTTCCTTTGAGTCCATGTGTCATATCCAGGTCGCACAGATGCAACAAGTAGGTTCCCATAGTCTTGGGCAGCTCTGCCCCTGTGGCTTTGCAGGGTACAGCCTCCCTCCTGGCTGCTTTCGTGGGCTGGCATTGAGTGTCTGTGGCTTATCCGGGTGCAAGGTGTGAGCTGTCAGAGGATCTGCCATTCTAGGGTCAGGAGGATGGTGGCCCTTTTCTCATAGCTCCACTAGGCGGTGCCCTAGTAGGGACTCTGTGTGGGGACTCCAAGCCCACATTTCCCTTCTGCACTGCCCTAGCAGAGGTTCTCCATGAGAGCCCTGCCCCTGTAGCAAACTTCTATCTGGGCATTCAGGCATTTCCATACATCCTCTCAAATCTAGGTGGAGGTTCCCAAATGTCAATTCTTTTATTTTATTTTACTTTTTATTTTTTTGAGTGGAGTTTCGCTCTTGTTGCCCAGGCTAGAGTTCAGTGGAGTTCACTGCAACCTCCACCTCCCGGGTTCAAGCGATTCTCCTGCCTCAGCCTCTCAAGTAGCTGGGATTACAGGCATACACCACCATGCCCAGGTAGTTTTGTATTTTTTAGTAGTGATGGGGTTTCACTATGGTAGTCAGGCTGGTCTCGAACTCCTGACCTCAGGTGATCCACCCACCTCAGCTTCCCAAAGTGCTGGGATTACAGGTGTGAGCCACCATGTCCAGCCCCAAACTTCAATTCTTGACTTCTATGCAGCCTCAAGCTCAACACCACATGGAAGCTGTGAAGGCTTGGGGCCTGCACCATCTGAAGCCACGGCCTGAGATCTATGTTGGCCCTTTTCTGCAACAGCTGGAGTGGCTGGGACACAGGGCACCAAGTCCCTAGGCTGCACACAGCTGGAGGACCCTGGGCCTGGCCCACGAAACCACTTTTTCTTCCTAGACCTCTGGGCCTGTGATAAGAGGGGCTATCATGAAGACCTCTGACATGCCCTGGGGACATTTTTCCCATTGTCTTGGGGATTAACATTTGGCTCCTCATTACTTATGTAAATTTCTGCAGCTGGCTTGAATTTCTCCTCAGAAAATGGGATTTTCTTTTCTATCGCACTGTCAGGCTGCAAATTTTTCAAACTTTTATGCTGTTTCCCTTTTAAAACTGAATGCTTTTAACAGCATCCAAGTCTCCTCTTGAATGCTTTGCTGCTCAGAAATTTCTTCTGCCAAATACCCTAAATCATCTCTCTCAAGTTCAAAGTTCCACAAATCTCTAGGGCAGAAGCAAAATGCTGCCAGTCTCTTTGCTAAAACATAACAAGAGTCACCTTCCACATTTTCAGGTATCTTTTCAGCAATGCCCAACTCTACTGGTACCAATGTACTGTATTATTAGTCCATTTTCACTCTGCTGATAAAGACACACCTGAGACTGGGTAGAAAAAGAGGTTTAATTGGACTTACAGTTCCACATGGCTGGGGAGGCCTCACAATCATGGTGGAAGGCAAGGGGGAGCAAGTCACATCTTACGTGGATGGCAGCAGGCAAAAAGAGTTTGTCCAGGGAAACTCCCTTGGGAAACTCCCATGTTTTTTTATTTGTTTTTTGTTTGTTTGTTTTGATACAGTGTCTCGCTCTGTAGCCCAGGCTGCTGCGCAGTGGCAGGATCTGGGCTCACTGCAACCTCCACCTCCTGGGTCCCGCTTCAAGCAATTCTCCTGCCTCAGCCTCCTGAGTAGCGGGGATTACAGGAATGCACCACCATGCCCATCTAATTTTTGTATAGTAGACACAGGGTTTCACCATGTTGGCCAGGCTGGTCTTGAACTCCTGACCTCATGATCCACCCACCTCAGCCTCCCAAAGTGCTGGGATTACAGGTGTGAGACACCGCACCCGGGGTTTTTTTTTTTTTTTTTTTTTTTAGTCATCAGATCTCATGAGACTCATTCACTATCATGAGAACAGCACAGAAAAGACCAGTCCCCATAATTCAGTCACCTTCCACTGGAATTCAGGATGAGATTTGGGTGGGGACACAGCCAAACCGTATCAGTATAGAACATGATAGAGGGTATCAGTTATTAAGAAAATTTATATTCATTATCACCAAGGGTCCAGTGTTCCTTTCATGAATCTAAATATCAGCTTGGAAAGGAACTTTTCAACTATTTCTAATATTTGGTTATAAGTAGAATATGAAATACAAGCATTAATGTTCCATAAAACTGTTTTTTATACACATTATGGAATTCCATCTGCCTCAATAGTGCTGAAGGAGCCAAATAACTAAAATGGACCCTTTAAAAAGTTAACTACACAATAAGAATAATTTATTCTCAAAAGTAGGTTGTACATTACTATCAAGCAAAGTGTCCTTTAATCATCCTGCTTTCTCATCCTGGTTCCAACTGTCACTTGGTAGAGGTAACCATTGAAACTTTAGTGTATATCTTTCCAGACCTTTCTGTATTCTTTCTCACATTTTCTCAAATACTGTTTTCTGTCTCTGTGGTTTTTGCATAAATGCTATAATACCAGTGCATCCTGGTCTTCTAACCAAGTGATGAACAGGCTCATGCCATTATTTAAATACAACTGGTTAAGCTGTCACTTGAACATCGAAGTCCGTGCACTATGTTGAATTAAAAATCGGAAAAACACCAGAGGACCCACAAGATGAGTTCTGGTTGATCACTTTGTATTCTCAAGGTCGTCTCACTTCACAGTGAAGATGCTGTCGGAACGGAGGCCCTAATCAGACAAGAGTGTTCTAGACTGATGAGCCTTTTAAGCCTGCTCCACTGTCATTTCTTAGGAAGTAGCCATGTTATATCACTTGGCTGACTTAATTCCTGTGTTTCTATTAGGCTAAGACAGCAATGACCTTTAGTCTATAGAAGAAAAAAAGCAATTTGCGGGTACAGATTAAGGAAAAATAGGAGGGTTTATATAAGTGGCTTGGAGACCATAAGGTTATTTAAAGCCTTTCTTGGAGAAGGTGGCTTTTAGACTGCAGTTTAAAAAGGGAACATGTTGTGACAAATGGAACAAGGTTGTGCAATTAAAATTATCCTTTCAAAATATATTCAGAACCTAATGACGTCTCACCAGCCCCAGTGCTTCCATCATCACTCCTGATGTGCAACAGCAATGGTCTCGAAAGTTCTCCCTCCTCCCGCCTTGCTCCTCTATGTGCTATTCTCTCATGGTAACCCGAGGGAGCCTTGAAACTGTAGTTAGATGATATCACTCCTCTGTTCAAGACTCTCCTGTGGCTCCCATGGGGAAAAGCAAAAGCTCTATCTGATCTGGATTCCACCACTTCCTGGACTTCATCTCCCAGCTCTCTCCCTGTTGCTCCCTCAGCTCCAGCCACACTGTCCCGCTTCTGCTCCTTGAACCTGACACGGGTAATCTTACCTTGGAGCTTTTGTGCTTTTCCCTCTGCCCAGATTTCCCCAGAGCTCACTCCCTTGCTGTCTTCAAGACTTTCTTCATAGCACGTATTTCCTTCTCACATATTACATATTCATTTGTTTGTTGCTGTTTATCACACTGCATGAGAACCCAAGCTCCTGGAGAGGAGGATCTCCATTTATTTTGGTCCCAGTTGCCAGAACAATGGCGGGTATAAAGTAAGATTCAACAAATACTTGTTTATTTAATACTTAATTCATGTAAAACAGCCAAGCTACAAAGTTGTAGGAAAAAATGAAGTGTGAGGGATCTTTTAAAAAATCAGAATTGGCAAGGCACGGTGGCTCACACCTGTAATCCCAGCACTTTGGGAGGCCGAGGCGGGCAGATCACCTGAGGTCAGGAATTCGAGACCAGCCCGGGCAACATGGTGAAACCCCATCTCTACTAAAAATACAAAAATTAACTGAGCATGGTGGCAGGCTCCTATAATCCCAGCTACTCGGGAGGCTGAGGCAGGGGAATCACTTGAACCTCGGAGGCGGAGGTTGCAGTGAGCCGAGATCGCGCTGTTGCATTCCAGCCTGGGGAACAAGAGCGAGACTTTGTCAAAAAAAATAAATAAATAAATAAATAAATAAATAAAGGCACCAGTAAATTAGTGGAGACAGAGATAAAATACCACTGTGTATTCTTCACAGTTTCTTGAGATCTTCATATATTATCAAATTATTGGGATTATTTGTGGGCTCATACTGTGTTTTACTTTATTCATTAGGCAGGGTCAGAGTCTCACTCTGTTGCCCAGTCTGGAGTGAAGTCGAGAGGTGCAACCATGGCTCCCTGCAGCCTCAACCTCCCAGACTCAGGCCATCCTCCCATCTCAGCCTCCAGAGTAGCTGGAGGTAGCTCCAGGTGCATGCCACCATGCCTAGCTAATTTTTAAATATTTTTTTGTAGAGACTAGGTCTCACTATGTTGCCCAGACTGCTCTTGGGCTCAAACGATCCTCCCATCTCAGTTTCCCAAACTGCTGACATTACAGGCATGAGCCACTTATGCCCCATCAATAGTATGCTTTAAATGGTGCTATACAATTTCTGTGGGTTATTGCAATTTGAGTATGCTACTACTTCATTTATAATGTTTAGTGAATGGACAAACACTTCCTAAGGAAAAGAACATGATGGTACTTTTTAAACAGTGGCACAGTTGTGTGTTAAAACCTGCCCCATCACCTTTAAATATGTTACCAGTCTTATGGTTTTCATTTTTGGAGGAAAATCATGTTGATGGACTATTTTTAGAGGCTTCAGAAAGAACATTTATTTTCTTCAGCTCTGCTCCAGGAATATCAGACAGAAAATACTAGAAAGTTTAAAATAAGCCAGTTTGGAGAGAGGGCAAGATGAACAATGATTAATTTTATAAACATCTTTTATTCCTAAATATCCTACATTATTGTACCCACTGATATTTATAAGATGCTGTTCCTATTGCAGGCTGACTATAAATCACTTTTCCCAAAATTTAATCTTCCTTTTAAGGTGATTTCTATCCTCTTTTTTTTTTATTAGACTATACATTTTTCTTTCTAAAACTTTTCTTTCTTCCAATTTATTTGTTATTGCATTATTCTATGTTCGTATGTGTATGTTCATGTATGTGCACATGTGTATATGTTTGTGTTCATGACACAAACCTACTACATGAGTAGTTTCTCATTTAATTCACAAAGCTGATCTGTGAGCTAGGTATTTGTGCTCCCCCGTATACTCAGGAGGGAATTGATGTTTGGAAAACAACGATTTGCCCAAAGATAAGCAGTTAGTAAAAGACAGAGCTAGGATTCAAAAATCAGCTATGTCGTGCCTCATAGTATGTGATTATTCCATCACACCATGCTCCCTCCTTTAGTGGCCTCTGGCATCCCCCCAACCCCACGAGGTGTCAGTTTCTTTATTTGTAAAATGAAGAATTTGAATCAGACTTTTTTTTTTTTTTTTTTAGACAGTTTTACTCTGTTACCCAGGCTGGAGTGCAGTGGCGCAATGTTGGCTCACTGCAGCCTCTGCCTCTTGGGTTCAAGCAATTCTCCTGCCTCAGCCTCCCGAGTAGCTGGGACTACAGGGGCACGCCAGCATGCCCAGCTGATTTTTTATTTTTAGTAAAGACAAGGTTTCACCGTGTTGGCCAGGCTGTTTCGAACTCCTGACCTCAGGTGATCCGCTCACCTCAGCCTCCCAAAGTGCTGGGATTACAGGTGCGAGCCACTGCACCTGGCCTGAATCAGACTGCTTAAAGGTCCCCGCCCCTTCCCCGACCCTTCTGTTAGTGGCTTTTATTATTGGTCATAATAATGGCTACCACTATTGGGTTAAACTCTTTAAAAACATAACTTATTAAATTCAGTAACCATATGAGTGTGATATTATCCCCATGTTTCAGATGGAACTTAGACTGATTAAGCAACTTGCCCAAGACCATTGAGTTATCAAAAGCAGAACTCGTATGTGAACCCAGATTTGAGACCATAGTAACCCTGCATTGTTGCACACACTTTCTACAGTATGCATACTCCTTTTGTATAATAAATGTAAAATTGACAAATGTGGGAAAACTTACTCATTCAATAATTCAATAAACATTTGTTGAGTAGATATAGTTGGTCAAATTCTGGTAACTGCCATGAACCCAAAGATGCACAAAGCTTTGTCCCCGCGTCTGGGGAGCCCACAGTTCACTAGTGGGTGGAGGAGGAGAAATACACATGATAATTATAATACAATGTGACAAGTGTAATAATATTTCAGTGGAATGCCATGGGAGTTAGGGAAGTAATCTCTGATCTGGGCATTGAAGGGTAAATAGGAACTTGACAAGCAGAGAGCAATGACAGAAGAAACTGGATGTACAAAGGCAAGTGAGTATAATCATACAATGGCATATTATTTGGCAATAGAAAGGAATGATAGGCCAGGTGCAGTGGCTCACGCCTATAATCCCAGCACTTTGGGAGGCCGAGACGGGTGGATCACCTGAGTTCAGGAGTTTGAGACCAGCCTAGCCAACATGGTGAAACCTCGTCTCTACTAAAAATACAAAAATTAGCTGGACTTGTTGACATATGCCTGTAATCCCAGCTACTTGGGAGGCTGAGGCAGGAGAATCGCTTGAACCCGGGAGATGGAGGTTGCAGTGAGCCAAGATCACGCCACAGCACTCCAGCCTGGGCGACAGAGCAAGAATCTATCTCAAAAAAAAAAAAAAAAAAAAAAAAAAGGAATGATGATGCAACTAATACATGTTACAACATGGATGAACCTTGGAAACATTATGCTAAGTGAAGAAAGTCATTTACAAAAGGCCACATGTCATACTATGCCGTTTACTGTAGATGAAATGTGCAGAAAAGGAAAATCCATAGACACAAAAAGTAAATTGGTGGTTGCCTAGGGCCAGGGAGAGTGTAGGGATTGGCAAGAAATGGGATTTGACTGCCAATGAGTATGATGTTTCTTTGTAGTGTGATAAAAATATTCTAAAATTGATTACGGTGATGGTCGCAAAACTCTGTATGTACTAAAAGCCACTGAACTGTGTTCTTTAAGTGCATAAATTGTGTGGTATGTGAATTGTATCACAACATGCCTTTTTAAAAAAATAAAAGCTAAGTGGGTGTCCAAGAGTGTGGAATGTTTAGGTCGCATGGAGAAGTTTGGTGTGACTGGAAATAGATTCGGTGAAGTGAGATAGATGAGGTAGGTTGTGGCCATTTGACAAAGGGCCTTCTGCTTCAGATTAACACCTTTACCTTTTCTCATCTAGTATTCTTTTATTTTTTTGAGACGGAGTCTCTCTCTGTAACCCAGGCTGGAGTGCAGTGGCGCGATCTTGGCTCACTGCAAGCTCCGCCTTCTGGGTTCACGCCATCCTCCTGCCTCAGCTTCCCAAGTAGCTGGGACTACAGGCGCACGCTGCCACGCCCGGCTAATTTTTTGTGTTTTTAGTAGAGACGGGGTTTCACCGTGTTAGCCAGGATGGTCTTGATCTCCTGACCTTGTGGTCCGCCCGCCTCGGCCTCCCAAAGTGCTGGGATTACAGGCATGAGCCACAGCGCCCAGCTCTAGTATTGTTTCTCTAAAGCTCATCCACATTGTTGAATGTAGTTTATATTTTTCACTTTTGTGTAATATTTCATTGTGCAAGCTATACCACTGTTTATTTATTTGGGACATTTGCTTTGTTTCCAGATTTTTCTTTCAGAAAGAGTGCCACAATAAATTTTCTTATACATAATCCACTGGTGCAAGTCTCAGAAGATAGTACAGTGCCATTTTTATAAAGCTCAAAAATAAGCAAACTCTTTAAAGGTATATATGCATACATGTGTAATAAGACTGTGCTAAAACGAGGAAAGATATTAAATACAACATTCAGGATAGTGATTTATTTAGGTGGGGGCGAGGTACCGGAAGTAAGGGGAGAGATGGAGCACAGAGGATGGCTGTAGGTTACAGATAATATTCTAGTTTCTGATTGGGTGGTACATTCATAGCTAGTTATTTATTATTAAATAAACTCTATTTTAGAATGACTTTAGATATACAGAATTATTACAAAGATAGTACATAGTGTTTTGTGTATCCCATACCCATTTTCCTCTGTTAAGAGTAGGGGGACATTTATTACAGTTAATGAACCAATACTGATACATTGCTTATAACTAAAGTTGATATGGTATTCAGATTTCCTTAGTTTTTATGTATGCTTTTCTCTGTTCCAGGATCCCATACAGGACACCACATTACACTTAGTTTTCACATCTCCTTAGGCCCCACTTAGCTGTGACAGCTTCTTAGACTTTCCTTGTCTTTGACGACCTTGACAGTTTTGAGGTGTACTGGTCAGGTATTTTATAGAGCGCCTCTCAATAGGAATTTGTCTGATGTTTTTCTCATGATTACACTTAGAAGGAAGATCCCAGAGGTACAGTGCCACATCACATCATATCAAGGGTAAACACTGTCAATGTGACTTATCACTGTTGATATAAACTTTTATCACCTGCTTGAGGTAGTGTTTGTCAGGTTTCTCCACTTTTTCCACTCTAGAGCCACTCTTTTTTATTTTTATTTTTTTTCTTTTTTCATACTCTACTGTTTGGAAACAGGTCATACTTAGAGAGCCATACTTAGAGAGTAGTTATGCTTTACTTTCTTTTGGATAGAATACCTACACAAATTATTTGGAATTATTTGGAATTTTTCTACATAGTAGGTTTATCTCTTCTACCCCATTTATTTGTTGATTTATTCAATTATTTACTTATGTCAGTAGAGACTCATGGATATTTATTTTATACTTTGTTTTTTGTTTGTTTTGTTGTTGTTTGTTGTTGTTGTTGTTTTTGGAGATGCAGTTTTGCCATATTGCTCCTAGTCTCCAGGGATCCTCCCGGGCCCCAGGGATCCTTCTGCCTCAGCCTACCAAGTAGCTAGGATTACAGGTGTGTGCCATCAAGCCTGGTTCATACTTTGGATTATAATTCAATACTCTGTTATTTTGTTGCTTAAATTGTTCCATTTTTGGCATAGGATGTTCTTTTAATTAGCTCCTACGTCCCTTTGACATAGCCTCATCGTTGTGGGGTTTTAGGTGATTTTTTTTCTTTTGGCACTTCCTAACTCTGGCACTGTAAGAGGCTCCACACTCATCTTGGGTATTTCTTGCCGCAGACAGGATCAGCCTTTTGTTGAAGAAGCCCTGGTCATTGGAAAATGGAATCAGAAACCAAGATCTGCGTGCCCTGTGTGCCACTGGGGTATTATTGCTTCTAGACCTCAGCTGATAGAGCGAACTCTGTGTGTGCACGTGTGCATGTGTGTGTGTGTGTGCTGGCCCATGTATATACATATAAAAACATTTTTATATGTAATCCTCTGTATATTAAACTAAATATGAGTTCATACTGAGGTCTTCAGCTCTAATTCATTCCCATAAGGATCATTCTAGCGTTTTTACCCTTGCTTATCTGTAATCTCTCAGTAAAACAGTGAGAAATCTGGCTCACGCTATCCACCATCCATTTACTCAATTGTTTAATTTTAGTATACATATATAATGGTTTCAAAATTAATCCATACCCCTGTGGGAGACAATTCTTACGTACAGTTTCCTTTACCTTTAGTCTTACAGACTTCCCTTTCTTCAAGAGTTACTTAGTTCTGCACTTTATACCCCAATACTTTTCTGGGAAGTTGTTGTATGCAATGTAATATGTTTAGATTATTTATAATATATTTAGATTGCATTTCATGCTAGGCTTCCCCGACTTTCTAGTTAATTTTTTTTAATTTGCATACATTGAGATTTATTCGTTGTGCTATAAAGTTCTTTGGGTTTTGGCAAATACTTAATGTCTTACATCTACTTTTAGAGTACCATACATAATAGTTTCACCTCCATAAAAAAAATCCCCTATGTTTTACATATTTGTCTCTCCCACTCTGAACCCATGGCATCCACAGACCTTGACTGCTATATTTTTGCTTTTTCTAGAATGTCATATAATTGGAATCATACCTTATATAGCTTTTTGAGACTGGCTTCTTTTACTTAGCAATATACATTCAAAATTCATCTTTTTTGTGGTTTGATAGCTCATTCTTTTTATCAATGAATAATATTCCATTGTATAGCTATACTGCAGTTTGTGTAGTCGATTCTTCTATTGGAAGACATCTTGATTGCTTCTAGTTTTTTGTAGCTATACATAAGGTTGCTACAAACATTTGCATATAGGCTTTGTGTGAACGTAAGTTTTAAAATCAATTGAGTAAATACCTAGTAGCGTGATTGTTGGGTCGTATTTGTAAGAAACTGCCAAACTGTCTTCCAATGTGGTTGTACCATTTTCTCACCATCAATGAATGAGAATTCCATTTGCTTTGCACCCAACAGTTGTTGGTGGTACTGTTTTGAATTTTAGCTATTTTAGCAAACGTGTAGTGGTATTCTTTGTCTAAATTTGTAATTCCCTAATGTCAGATGACGTTGAGCATCATTTACTTGCTTACTTGTCTGTTTGGTGACTTGTCATTTATCTTTTGCTCACTTTTAAAAACTAAGATACTTACTATTTATTTTTAGGCTCTGCAATTTATATTTGTTACATGTATTCTTTTGTATGTATCAAATAGTATGTTAAACTATTAAAGCAAAGGAACAGGAAGAAAAAGTTTCAGCTGCATGTTGTAAGTGTGAGGGTCGATTAAGAATTCAGACTTAACTTCAAACTCCAGCCTTGGTACTTATTAGTCTTGCGACTTTGAGAAAGTTATATACTCTTAAGACCTCAGTTTCTTCATACTTAAAATGAGACTAATACCTACCCTATCTGTTTCTTTGTGAGAAAATCATTAAAACAACAGTGTTAGCTAAAGATCAAGCAAGTGCTGGAGACTTGACGCATGTGCCACAAAGGAGATGCTCAATAAATGTTGGCTTCTCATAAGCCCAACGATGGAAAGCTTACTAATCATTAAGCAAATATTTATCAAGTGCCTATTCTGTGCCAGGCACTGAGATACATTCATGGGTCTCTGAGTAGTAGTATTAATATCTTATATCTACCTTTACGGTATCATCAAACTAGTTATATGACTTACAGTTTAAATTACTTTATAGTTTAAAATCACATTTGAGCCAAATTGTGACATTATATTCATAATTTAGAAAGTTAACATAGGGAAAGGATCAGAAGCAGAAGATTAAATTAGTAGGCTCTTCTAAAAATTCAGATGAGACAATAGGATCTAAAAGATAAAATTGGGAATAGAGAGAAGGGAACAGCTGAAGAGATATTTCAGAGGTAGAATTTCATAGACACGAAGATTACTAAGCGATCACGGGTAAGAGAATGGTGTTAAAGATTACTTTTTCTGATCATGAAATTTTAAAATATTGGTTTATAAAGCCTCATATTCACTTAGCATGTACTGATAATCCCCAGTTTTAGACACACGCACATAATATCCCTGGCCACATTTTCTTTTGCAAAATTCTTTAATTCAGAAGTGCTCCTTCCCCAGCAGAAAGCATCTGAAGAGAAAGTCAAACATTCAAGTCAAGTGGGAAACTTTCAAGATTAATTGCCTATACTCACTAGCCACCAAAAATTTTCTGTATTGGTTCTAATAGTTATATTGCAGAACATTTTAAAAGACAGCACAGTATTCTTGCTTGTCTAGTAAAGTAGGAAGGTAAGTTTTTGCTCAATGGGGTGATTGGCTCAGCAGCAACAAGAACTGCACAATTTCATCTCTAATTCTAATCTAAACAGAGCTGAGAAATAATTCCCTTGTGTGTTTATAAGTAAGAGTTAAATCCCTCCCATTGTAATGTAGCACCAGATCGAAGTAAACAGACTATGATTTCAGTGCTAGACACAGCCTTAAGGCAGAAGAAATTACACTGTCATGCAAAGGATATGTAGCTGCTGCTATTTTGGTGCTTGAATTCTTCGTTGTCACATAGTTGAAGGCAATCCAGATGAGGAAGAGTGTTAACCAACAAAAAGAGAAAATTCCCTGCACATGGCTAGGAGGATGGAGGGGAAGAGGAAGGCTAGTACAGTACCATCTGAACACACCAATAAATGATCTGCTCCAACAAATGGTGGCTTAAACTTGTCTGCCCGTTCTTATTGAAAACAAGTTGTTTAGAACAAAATGCAAGCTGAAGATTAAAATCTATATTTCAGGCTGGGAGTCGTGGCTCATGCCTGTAATCCCAGCACTTTGGGAGGCTTAGGTGGGAAGATCACTTGAGTTCAGGAGCTTGAGACCAGCCTGGGCAACATGGCGAAACCCCATCTCTACAAAAAAAAAATCAGAACAATTAGTGAGGCGTGGTGGTGGTAGGAGGATTGCCTGAGTCTGGGAGGCAGAGGTTGTAGTGAGCCGAGATTGTGTCACTGCACTCCAGCCTGGGTGACAGGGTGAGACCCTATCTCAAACAACAACAACAACAACAAAACCTCTGTGTCACCAAATGGTTTGCCTATCATTGATTAATTTAATTGGATTGGCTTCCAGTTGCTTATAAAATAAGTTTAGGAAAAATTGGATATTTACTTTCTTGATACCTCCAAACCATAGGATATATCCTTTAAGATGTATATTTAAGATAAATGTAGATAATATGGATTTAAGATACCTATGTATAGTGCTGGGCATGGTGGCTCATGCCTGCAGTCCCAGCTGAGGGACTTACTGGGAGGCTAGGGTGGAAAGATTGCCTGAGTCACAGATTTTGAAGCTGTGTTGAGCTATGATCATGCCACTGCACTCCAGCCTGGGTGACAGAGCAAGATCCTGTCTTTAAAACAAAAAATAAGTAATTTAAGAGGCATTATAATATTTGCTTCTCTATGTCCATATCTTAGGTATACACGTAGACATTATAGGCAGTTACTTTTGAAATCAAAGTACTAATTCTGAGCACACTAGATATTTGTTTTACTACCCAGAATGGAAGGTAGAGAAGATTCTAAAGTAAGAAAGATTCTATATTCCCCACCAATGCAGGGATTCTGCCAGTTGCTCAGTAGTTTTTTTCCAATTATACATTTTGGAACTGAGGAAATAACCACAGGATGGGTTCAGGGACCCACTGTACCCACTATGGGACTGACCTGAGGTAAAACTCCTTGATCACCTGACCTCCACTAACTCCTGCTCTGACTGGTGGGCCACAGTGATGTTTTGGATCTCTTGGAATGTGTCAGTTCAGGGCCAGTAATCCCCAAATGTCGGACTGTTGTTTTTTTTTTTTTTCCTATAGCATAGTCAACCTGGTAATAGGCAAATGGTTCCTTTGGGGAAGGCTGAGAAAAAGAAATATATAGTATCATGAAATATAGAATTTTGGCTGGGCCCAGTGGCTCACACCTGTAATCCCAGCACTTTTGGGAGGTTGAGGTGGGCAGATCACTTGAGGTCAGGAGTTCGAGACCAGCCTGGCCAACATGGTGAAACCTCGTCTCTACTAAAAGTAAAAAATTAGCCAGGTGTGGTGGCAGGTGCCTGTAAATCCCAACTACTTGGGAAGCCTAGGCAGGAGAATCGCTTGAACCCAGGAGGCGGAGGTTGCAGTGAGCTGAGATCGTGCCATTGCATTCTAGCCTAGGCAACAGAGTGAGACCCCATCTCAAAAAAAAAAAAATATATATATATATAATTTATATATATATAATTTATAAATATACAAAATTTTGATGAAAGGTAATTGAGTATGAAAGTAGCATATTTTAAAAACAAATAAGCCAAGTGAGGTGGCATGCACCAATAGTCCAGCTACTCTGGAGGCTGAAGCAGGAGGATTCCTTGAGCCCAGGAGTTCTGGGCTGTAGTGCATCATGCACATTGGGTGTTTGCATCAAACACTAAGTGGCATCAGTATGGTAACCTCCTAGGAGGGGCGACCACCAGGTTGCCTAAGGAGAGGGGAACTGGCCCAGGTTGGAAATAGAGCAAGTTAAAACTTCTGTGCTCAACAGCAGGGGGATTACTCCTGTGAATAGCTACTGCACTCTAGCCTGGGCAACATAACTTTACCCCCTTTCAAAACAAAAACAGAAATGAAACAAAGGGAGACAAAACTGAAATCATCTTTCCTAAAGTAATTTCTAAAAACAAGACATGTGAACCAGTAGAGAAAGATATAGGGTAAATTTGGAAATCATCATACCATTAGAATGACACGCAATGCTCATATAACTTTAACATGTCTGTGAATAAAAATGCAAACTCCGTTATGTGATAACGAATTAACTCAGGATAACATAATTAAATGCATGATCCATGTCATGTTTATGGTCTTCAACCGTGGAAGAATTTATCCTACCTTGGTAATTCAGTGTAACTTCAGTGCATACTGGTTATAGTGAATAACTGTTGTCTTTCCATCCGTTCTTTCAATGTCTCCTGAGAAGAGCATTCTATATTCTTTTAGTCTGCAACTCCCTCCACAACTTTTTAATTCAGTTGTGCTGTCACTGTCAGTACTCTACCTCCGGGCCACAGCGATGCCCTAGCAGAGTCCTTTACTGAGGTTTTATATGAAGATGTTGTAATAGGGGTTGTCTCTTTTTCTGCTGTGGCTAAGATAATTACTTTCTTCTCTGCCTACCCCCAGCCCCACATCCACCATGTTGCGGGGAGACATGAAACATGCAGTAGGAGAGAATGAGACCAACACAGAGAGAGTAGCATGACCAAGCTATTGATTAGTTGGTTTTGGTATGCTAGTATCAGTCTAGCTCTGTTGATGTCTTACATGAACAAGTCAATCTCCCTTACATTTTGAAACTTTCAGTGGAACTACTTCTGACTTGTTTTGTTTAATGCAGTCCCTCAGTACCAGCTGGCTAGAGTATACTTCCTGGAATACTAAATTTTTTATTTCACTCCCTTACTCAAGAAATTCCCATGTCCCCACCAGCAAGAGCACTGACTTTGTGAGCCATAGAGTCTGAGGTTGAATTTTGGCTCTTTCACTAACGAGCAAGTCTCTTCAACTCACTGACCCTCCTGATCCAAAGTCCCAGTTCCCGGGGTTACTGAGAGATTGAAGCATGACAGTGTAAATGGAAAGCCCTTGATAAAGACCGAGCATGTTGAGCATTCAGTGGGAATGTTGAGACTCCTGAGCACAGCTGTCCAGGCATTCCCCATAAGGCCCTGGCCTGCCGTACCATGCTAACCATCCACTCCCTTCCTGACCAAACTCTGTTGCCCCAATCTGGCTTACTTGCTGTCCCCAGTAAGCCCTGCATTTTCCCACCATGTGGCTCCCCTTCTGCCCTTCATCTACTTACCTGAATTTAGCCATTTCTTTAAAAATCAATAAAGTCAATTCCATTGCTCTACAGCAGTTGTTGACCCATGATTCTAACATGATCATCTCCCTCTCCAAATCCCTAGGACATTCTGTTGCCTCTATCATTAATCTGGCAGCTAATCATAGAATGTCCTGGTCTTTCCTTTTTTTCATTCAAACTGGTTTGTATTTTGCATGATTTTTTAATTTTTTCAAACACTTTCATTCTATTTTTATTTTCTGTCTCTCTCTCTCTCTGCTTATGTATTTTGAGACAGAGTCTCGCTCTCGTGCCCAGGCTGGAGTGCAGTGGCATGATCTCGGCTCACTGCAACCTCTGCCTCCTGGGTTCAAGTGATTCTCCCACCTCAGCCTCCCAAGTAGCTGGGATTACAGGCACATGCCACCATGCCTGGCTAATTTTTGTATTTTTAGTAGAGACAGGGTTTTGCCATGTTGGCCAGGCTGGTCTCAAACTCCTGACCTCATGTGATCCATCCACCTCGGCCTCCCAAAGTGCTGGGATTACAGGTGTAAGCCACCACGCCCAGCCCATTCTATTTTTAATCCAATTGTATGTTCCTTATGGTCAAGAACTATGAATACTTTTATTTCTTTTCTCCTTTCTAGGACTTAATACATACTAGTTCAATCAATAAGAATATATAATTTAGTCATTTTTTACAGATCTGTTTATAACCAGTCTACACGGACTATCTGAACATTTAGATATTTTGAACTATTCTTTTTATTACAGATATAATCTTATTCTAATAAGTACCCTTCCATGAGGAAAGAAAGCAGTCATAGGTAATGCAGGAAATACCAATCAAGTAGGACAGAAAGAGAAAACTAAGAGCAATTGAAGGTGACTACTCTTTTATTCTGTTTTTAGCATTTCCTTCAAGTGAGTTGGCTCTTTGTAGTCCACTGAGGAATTGTACAGAGAAATGGTGACTGGAATTCATTGCCTTCTGTTGACTGGGGGGTAAATGCTAAGTCATTTCTGAACCTACAACCTTGGCAAGCTCTGCCCCACTCTCTCTATGTCTGAACCTGCAACCTTGGCAAGCTCTGCCCCACTCTCTCTATGACCTAAAGATTAGACAGCCAAAAATGAAATGATAGCCATGTTAAGGTGGCTTTTTTTTTTTCCTTCTTGATTTCTAACTTGTTTGCTCTAAGGTAAATGATTGCCTGCTTACCAAAAATCTCTATTTGACACATAATAGAATTGCCGTCACATGTTGTTTAAACAATCTGTATCTGATATGACGTGCATCTAGTCACACTTTAACATCTACAATAAATGAATAGGAGACAGAACTAGAATCTTTAGGAGAATTTTGGAGTTCAGTTTGACAAATTTAGCCAAAGGTTATGAAGAAAATACAGTTCTTAGCCCCAATGTTCTTGTAGTCTGGACTTTCAAGCAATCAGCATGATTTAGTCCAGCTTTTAAAGCAGTCAGCTTTGTTATGCAACTATACTTAGAACAAATGGTGGCCCAATTGTGTGTGTGTGTGTGTTTGTCCCAATTATTAAAGGTATGCTTTGTGTTTTCTGACCAGGGAACTACTTTATAATACTGGTATTGGGGGTAGGAGTGCCACGTTTGGTACAGGTAAGGTATAGTGAACCACATTTCGACTGTTTCTCAGCAGTTACATTTCTGGGAACGTTATATAACTTGTGGTATAGCCAAATCCTTGAGCTAAGAAGTAGTGGTATAACTGGGATTACTGCAATTGTTCTGAGTTGAAGAAACTTCTAAAATGTGTAGTGTGAAATTTGGCTTGCTGAAATCATGGCCAGAGAGGTGCATTTTAAAACAAAACCAATAGGGAAATCTTAAATCCAAAATTGCCTTACACATGTTAAACTAGTTTAAAATAAAATTTTGTCAAAAGGAATAAAATTGTGAAATTGTCAAAGTTTTGTTATGTGATATCATCTAATGTTTGTAGAGATTTTTAAAATGTAATGGTCACAATTTTGCAAACAATATATAGACCAGTATTTAAAGGCACACAAAAAACTGTTATTTAAACTAGCTCAAGAAAATGATCTGAATATAAAACCTCCTATCTTGGGCACATTATAATTTAAAAATATTATGTATGAGAGATACAATGTTTTTTCCCCTAAAAGTTGCATATTTACCTTTTTTTAAATTCAAAATGTGTCTTTAAATAAAGGCCTGTTTTGGCCGGGTGCAGTGGGTCACGCCTGTAATCCCAGCGCTTTGGGAGGCCAAGGCGGGTGGATCACCTGAGGTCAGGAGTTTGAGACCGGCTTGGCCAACGTGGCGAAATACCATCTGTACTAAAAATACAAAAAGTTAGCCAGGCGTGGTGGTGAGAGCCTGTAATCCTAGCTACTTGGGAGGCTAAGGCAGGAGAATTGCTTGAACTCAGGAGGTAGAGGTTGCAGTGAGCCAAGATCGCACCATTGCACTCCAGCCTGGGCGACAGAATAAGACTCTGTCTCAAAAAAAAAAAAAAAAAAAAATTAAATAATGGCCTGTTTCTAGATTTCAAAGCAGCTTGGACCTGGAAATTAAATATTTGGAATCTATCCAAGTAATGTACTTACAAGAAACTTTTGTATGTTAAAGGCACATCTAATGTGCTTAATAAATTTCATAAACATCAATAAATGGAGTGAGTGAATTAATGAGCGAGTGAACTAGTAGTCATGATGCAATAGGAGTGACGAGATAGAATTTTCTGAGTTTTTTGTTTGTTTTGAGATAGGCTCTCTGTCTCTGTCACCCTGACGAACATGGCTCACTGCAGCCTCAGACTGCTGGGTTCAAGCGATACTCCCACCTCAGCCTCCTGAGTAGCTGGGACCATGGACCACAGCATACCACCACACCTGGCTAATTTTTTTTTTTTTTTTTAAGAGATGGGGTCTTGCCATGTTCCCGAGGCTAGAATTTTCTCTTATTAAGAGCCTGAATTATTTTAATGTTTCCAAGTTTCATGGTCATTGTTTATAAAGTAGAAATAATAGAGCAAATTTGTTTTCGGTGTTGTATTAAATGAAATGATATATGCAATATGCCTGATGGTGCTCAGCCCGTGGTGGTAAATGTTCTCTTTCCCTATGATGGAAATGTAGCCTGACATTTGGAGAGGCAAATCTAATTTCCATGACTTCTATCATCATGTATCTGGAGATCACTTCCTAAAGGAAATTTCCAGCCTTTACCCATCTCATTGACCACAAACCCATATTTCCAATTCAAGGGTTGTGAAAAATGTTGCTGGAAAATATAAGGACAGTATTACCATGGTTATTATTACATAATTATCTCAATCTTGAGCAGAATCCTAGAATGTCAAAGATTACAGGTTGAAAACCAGTGACTACCATTCACTCAGAGCCTTATTGAGAGCCTGCTACATCCAAAACACTGTGCAAAGTGTGGAGATAAAAATATAAATAAGGCATACCCCTAGCTCTGGGAAGGTAATTGTATATGGGAAAGATAAGCTTGTTTAATACTATTTTTAATGTATAAAGTACTAAAAAAAAAAAGAGGCATGTGTAGAATGGGAGAAGAGAAAGAGCAAATAATTCAGCCTTGGGAATTGAAGAAACAGAGAAGGTTGTGCTTGTTTTACAGCCCCAAAAGACGAACAGGCATTTGCCAGGAAGGGATGAGGAGGTGAAGATAGTGTCTAAAGGCAGGAAGGCATGTAGTTAGTACTTAATTGTACTGTTAGAGGTGCCATGATGCCTTTGTGTATCTGAAGCAGTGGTTTTCTAAAGCTAAGCCGTTTTAAAAACATGAACCTATATATAGGTTTATTTTTTTTTGAACCTATATACATGATCTATATATATGAAAAAGAGATAAAAGCAAAGCTGCCTTCTCCAAGCAGGAAAGAAGGCCTGGTGTCACAGCTGCTAGCCGTGTTACACCCCACCCCCACTTGGTGACACCCGAGGCACTCTCAGGGAAGTTAGAGAAGTGTGGTAGGAGACCATGTAAATTCAGGTGTGTAGACCAGAATATGTCACTTTAGACAGATTGGGCTTTGTCCTATGACGACTTAAAAGTTATCAAATATTTTTAATCAAGTTAATAGCATCAGCTGTATTAGAGAACCCTACGTGTTATGTAAGGTCAGTCAGAGTAGAAAGATTGGGGTAGAGACCTGTCAATCAGATGCTCCAAGAGTCCAGTTATTAAAGGAAGGGCAGAGAGCTAATCTGCATAGATCTGAGTTCTGAGTTTGGCTCCTTCTCTGCCAGACTCCACGACCTGTAATTACAGAAGCTTAGATTTAAAGATCTTCCATGTATCATTTCACTGCCTTCCAAATTTAGGTACCCCTCTGATAATGATACCGACAAGATAGGCTGTCACATTACCTAGAACATTTTCATGATATGAAGCATACTACTTATTAGGAAAAATCCCTTTATTTTATGGTAGCCCTAATTACATTTAGAAACAACAAAATGAAAGAGCTGGGTGCGGTGGCTCACGCCTGTAATCCCAGCACTTTGGGAGGCTGAGGTGGGCGGATCATGAGGTTAGGAGTTCAAGACCAGCCTGGCCAACATGGCGAAACTCCATCTCTGCTAAAAACACAAAAATTAGCCAGGCGTGGTGGCGCTTGCCTGTAGTCCCAGGTACTTGGGAGGCTGAGACAGAAGAATCGCTTGAACCCAGGAGGCAGAGGTTGCGGTGAGCCGAGATCGTGCCACTGCACTCCAGCCTGGGCGACAAAGCGAGACTCCGTCTCAAAAAAAAAAAAAACAAAAACGAAAACAAGCGAACAAAAAAACCTCTTCTCTTTCATTCCCAACTAGAATAAATGATCTATTGGAGGATTTTTTACCAAACAATCCTTTGGATATTTATACATAGCTACATAGCCCTCAAATCCTTGCTCCGCCTTTTCTCTGCAACTCAGAGTTCCCTGATTCAGAGTTCCTGGGGCGTCAATTTCAGATTGCTTGCTTTTCTCATTGCCCTCTATGGATGCTTTCAATTCCAACTATGAAATGAAAGATGCCATCTAACGCTAAAATAAAGTTCCTCAGAGTTGGAGTGAAGAGTGTACTATCCAGCAATGGAACTGGTACCTCCTTTGATTTGGAAGTACTACTCTTTAAAGAAGCATGTGATTGTAATAATATTTTAATAGCCAGGTCATACTTGTGGCTCATGTAGAGCCTGTAGTTAACTCAGACCCTGGAGCCTTGAGCAAGTCTATTAACCTATCCTGTCCTTGGTCCCTCTAGCTTAACCATAAGGGTCACACCTGCCTCCTGTTCATGGTAATTATGGATAATATGATGTTAAATTAAATTTATAGGCAATGTTGTACTTGAAATTCAAGGTGACCTAGTTGTTGTGCAGATGTAGTTTTCAGAAAGACAAAAGAACCATTGTCAATAAAGTAATCTATATCAAAGGCATATTAAACAGCCTTTGGAAAAAAATTGTGTTTCCTAGGATTTTGCATTCTTTGACCTTCACTACTTCTGTTTTAGCAATAAGAGATTTAGCCTGACTACTCTATAAATAGATTTTCAATTTATATTGCCAGATAATACACAATTTGATGAGACTGAGGATGGTTTTCCTGAGAGGCTAAGTTAATTGGTTTATGTATTATTGTCTTGTATGTGTCTCACTTTTTCCCCTGGCTTCCAAGCCTTTGAGGCGTATGTTACTTTGTCTAATAGAATATTCTCTTGGCTGACTTCAGCAAAGGAGTGACCAAGTCTGCTCTACACTTGCTGGCAGGGATGTTGCAGTAATCACAATAAAATAAGGTCCTGAGGAGAATCTGGCTCAGACAATAGGAGTTACAAAGTAAAAACAAGGACAGATCCTTAATGTTAGCCTTCTTCATTATGGGAGCTGAACAATATTTGATAATCACATTTCAGTGTATTTTATAGATGCACTATAAAAACTACACCATAAAAAATTTATAAAATCTGTTATAGAGCAATTTCCCTCCCTCTTTTTTTATTATGTCAATAGCACCCAGAAGTTTTTAGAAGATACTTTACTTCCTTCACAGGTAGTTAAAGGAATTACTAAACTTCATTATAACACTGAAACTCTGTTGGACATGGTGGTAAAAACTGTATTTGGCTTTGAGGATTTAAAAAACATAATGAATGCAGTTAGTAGCTCTACTGTGATCAGTCTTATTTAATAATGTTTCTCATGCCTTTTTCATACTTTGTGGGAACAATGAACATAGAATCCAAGCTTTTAGGTGCTGTTATTTCATGATAAGACTAAGAGAAATATGACTTTCTGCAAAAATTTTAGGTATTCTTTCTGAAAATTATGGTTGTATTTTCAAGATCCTGTTGTTGCTCTTATTAACAAATATCTTGTTAGACTTGATATTTGATTCTCTCTTCCCACTGGAACTTTAGGTATGTGATAGTTCACCTGTTTAAGTATGAGCTTTCTTTCATTAAAAGAGGGACAAAGTGCATTGCTGATATGCCCTTGACCACTTTTAAAACATTATTAATATCTGCATAATGCTGTTAGCCAGGAAGAATGTGCCATTGGTGCCAGACAAGTCCAAATAGGATTTTAATGCATGACGAAATGTAAAGATAAGAAATATTGAAGAACAAAAAATTAGAATTTGGTCAGAGCTCTTCTGTGAATTACAGGAGAATAAATCCAAAGAGGACTAAAGCTGATGCTTGTCAAATGAGTCAAATGTCTAATCTGCCCTTTCTTGTTTGAAATTGGAATAAATGCATTACAGTTTCAACCATACAATTTTATAATTTTACGTACACATTGTTTATGATCTTTTGTGGCTTCTTCTCCAGTGGACCAGAAAAAAGTTCAAAAATAAATACGTTTTTCAAAATAAATTTCTATCCATTTCTAGCTGCATTTATTAATTTATTTGCCTTGTTTTTTTTTTTTTTTTTTTTTTTTTTAGACAGAGTCTTGCTCTGTTGCCCAGGCTGGAGAGCAGTGGTGCAATCTCGGCTCACTGCAACCTCCACCTCCCGGGTTCAAGCGATTCTCCTGCTTCAGCCTCCCAAGTAGCTGAGATTACAGCATCTGCCACCAAGCCCATCTAATTTTTGTAGTTTTTTAGTAGAGAAGGGGTTTCACCATGTTGGTCAGGCTGGTCTCGAAACTCCTAACCTCAAGTGAACCACCTGCCTCGGCCTCCTAAAGTGCTGGGATTACAGGCCTGAGCCACCACACCCGGCACTATTTGCCTTTCAAAGAACTTTACAGTTCTCCTGATGTCACCATATTCTTTAATATGTCATTTTATATTATGTTCTGTAGAAACCTCATTATCTAAGAGATAAGTGAGTGATAGAAATATAATAAGGATGAATATCTTGTTTTACAAGATGTATATAACCTATTCTACACTTTTTGTTTTTCTCTACTTTAGTCTTAATTTTCTTTCTTTTCCTCTTTTCTGTCTTCATTTTCATCTGCCAATTTTTCAGGTCCTTTTCCCTTTCTTAAAAGTGTGAACTTCTAAAGACTTGGACAGCCTCACTATACAAGGTACGACAAACATTGGGTGTATTTAGTTGAGTAGGTGGATGCCTACGTACATGCATGGATGAGTAGGTGAGTAGGTAGATATATGAATAGAAGAGTGGACAAGTGGCAACTCTTCCCTGTCACCATGATTGCTGGAATCGCAGAGACCTAGTGGTTGGTCTCCTGTAATCTCTGGCAATCTCAGCACTTCATTTTGATCACTAAGAACTTTATTGCATCTTGGAGTATGTTTTGAAATTACAAAGCATGGAGGAAGAGCTTGGCGTGTCTGACACCTTAAAAAGAATTGTAAAGGCATAGATCAACTCTGTTAACTTTTGTGTCAATATAATGAAAGTCTTTGATTTTCCCAAGTGAATTTATAATTTGGAAATGGGGTATGAATATATGGCAATGATGATGATTTCTCCAAAGACAGCAAATGTCTTAGTATTTGATTGTCCCTTATTTTATATCTGTGAATCATATATATATATATATGTTTACAAATAAGACCAGTCTGTTTTATTAAGCTAAAAATTATATTTATAAGTGTTAGTTTATCACTTAATCTTACATGTAAATTCACAGAGTGAGATGGAAACAAATGGAAGTCTTATTTATATCACTCTAATTTTGGTTTATTTCACTGTTCAATTATTCAATTACCTTTAAGGTATTTCATTGTTTTCAATGACTTACATGAGGTTTACACTTGAGTTTTGATGGGCTCTTGGTGGAACTTAGTTCTCTGTTATTTTTGGAATGCCTCTGTTTGGGATTTTATATATGTTTTAACAATTTATCATTATAATTAAGTAAACTTAAGTTCATCTTGGGACCATCACAAGAGTATTGGTAAAGATGCACTTTAAAATAAATCTCCTTATATTTAGTCTAGACTGCTAAGTACTAACTACATCTGCTCTGCAGAGAATCAGATTAGGCCAGGAGAGTCTTATGTCTTCATTATGCCATTATTGCAGTGCATAATGTTTGGATAAAATATAATTTTCCTGTTAACTCTAAGCAAGGTATAAATAAGCAAAAACTTTTTAGGAATTAGCAATTTCATTACATTCACTTGTACATGCTCTCATTAAAATATATGTTGCTATAATCAGCTATAAATTACTGGGCATTAAATTAATTACATAGGTTATATACAGTTGGCAATTAAAGTATGATTTTCAATTCAAGGTGTTGATTAGACAATTAAAATGATTACTAAATAAAAAATTATTTCTAAGATATGTAATAGTTTGGAGATTCGGATAGATAATCTAATACTGTGATGAAAGGTCCATAATGTTTGCAGAATTTGGAAAGCCTTGAATTAAAATCATTATATTGCTGCCAAGAAACAGTGGAAATAAATGATAGGTTTGTTTTAGCTTGTTAGCATACTATGATGTCCCCTTGAGTTGCAAATATAATATTTTTAATACTATAACGACTCTAATGAAATGGAGGTAAAAACAAATGAAGTTTTAAAAGTGCCTATCATCCATTTTCAGGTGTACTTAAGCATTTCATTATTAAATACCGTAATCATCCCTGAAGTTCACAATGGTTGCCAATAGTCCTGGGTCAAGCATACTAAAACCTTTGAAATATTTTCTAGAGTGTCTATTTTTACTTGGCAGGTAAAACCTAATGATAATTAGGGTGGAGGCATTAGACATCACGTAAACTTTTTCTAGCTATTGCTTTTTTAGTTCAGTGGCTAGTTTTCAGTGTGGATTAACTTAATCTGTGCAAATAAAAAATAAATGATTACTTTCTTACATTTCATTCATGTATTTACTACATTTTCTGTATTGGTCATCATTTTTCACAGAAAACTATGTAAACTTTTTCTTTATCTTGGACATATTTCTAAGTTCAATGTATTCCAAATAGAAAAATAAAGGGTAAGGACAGAATATTTCCTGGAAACTTAATAAATATATTCTTTAAAATGTTTATTAATTTTTTAAGTCTTTAAGAAATATACATTTAATACTTGGAGACAACTTTGCTTATAGTTGAAACAGTAGTGTGTTTTCTTTCAAGGGTAAAAGTTTTAGATATTGTGGGGATTTAAAAAAATGTATGGCTTAGTAGGTTCAATGTCATTTAAAATCTAAGATTTTCTGTAACCTAATAATAGACTAATTTCTGACAAATAAAAACCTGTATAAGACATTTATATTCCCCACAGTTTTATTTCTCAGTTTTAATTATAAAAGATATAAACCAAGAAAATATATTCTTCCTTATATATGATGAATCGCTTTTACGTAAATTACCATTTAAAAATAAAATCATCCCTTTGAATTTTGTGTCTTTGGATTTATTAAGATGTGCTAAAATTGCTTATCTTTACAATTCCACCTAAAACCATTTTTGAAATATAATCCAGTATAGGAAACAAAACACTAAATCTATTTAATTTTGGAGCTCAAATTTCTCATGACAAAATACATTTTTGGACTTTAAAAAATTAGTCATAAATATAATTGATTCTGAAATAATTAGGTTTTTATTAGTCTGAAAATAGAGCTCATCCCATCCCTTTTATCCATCTGCCACATTAAGTATCTGACAATCTTTACAAGTGCTTCTCATTCAGCTTATACAAAAATATAGTTTTTTTTTTCCCCCAAGTGAGTTCACAGGAACAAAGTATGGATTTGAAGGAAAACAGAGTCCTACGCTTGGTATACCCTCAGCGTTTTTATCAGAGGGGAGTAAACACTGAAGGAAATGAGGTGTTTGCCTTCAGTCAGTATTGGAATATGTAGAAATGTAGAAGTAGAAATTGGATGGACTATATCTTTTAAATCTGATTTTAAATAAAAAGCATTTCTATTTAACATATTGATATTATTACTGGTGCCAGAAATGAGACTATAAAGTAATTTATTGGATAAATTTTATTTGAAATTTTAAAAACATTGCAAATAATGTGTAGTCACTTTTAAACATGTAATTTACATGAGGGATATTTCATTTTGAATAATTTGATGTTTTTCTTTGATTCCCAGAATGTTTCTTATATCTGATCAAAATCCCTTTTTTTTTTTCTTTTTTACGAAGCGGGGTCTCACTCTGTTGCCCAGACTGGAGTGCATTGGTGTGATCTTAGCTAACTGCAACTTTGAACCCCTGGGCTCAAGTGATCCTCCCACATCAGCTTCCTGAGTAGCTGGGACTCTGTAGGCATGCACCACCATGCTGAGTTTTTCTTTTTTTAGAAATGGGATCTTGCTATGTTGCCTAGGCTGATATCAATGTCCTAGCCTCAAGTGATCCTCTCACCTCAGCCTAATATTAATTTTATTTTTCTCACTTTATAAGTAAGTAGTTGGGAGACTTTAGCTAATTTTTTCAAGTAATTTTTCTTAACTCACTGTTTAATGGACTTGGGTTTTAAAAAATAGTCAATTTCTATTGAAAGAAACATAGTTCAAATATGACTCTATTAAAACAAAAAATGTATCGGAAATAGACTCTGTATTGGAAATAGACACTGCATTGGAAATAGCTCTCATATTTAAAAGTGGGCTTTATCATTACATTATCTTAAGATATTTCTTAAAGATTTGCTAATTTAGTAATGATGTCTAGTTCCTGGATATTCCTTTGTTTGGAAAATTTGTGCAAATTTCATTTGACTCATCTTGATTTGGAAAAGATGAGGTATACTCTTCAAAAGAGTTATGTTTTCCCTTTCTGTTACATTTCTGATGACCAAGTATTAATATATCATAAATACATTTAATTAATTTTGACACTGCCTAAGGAAACCTATAAGGATATGTGTTTTATTCTAAAATAATCAAAGTTTTTTTTAAAGTTACTTTTAAAATAAGATGAATCATCTTTTGGCCTACATGTCATTCATTAATCCTGTATGAGAATTTGATTACTATGTCTGTACATTTCTTCCTCCAGACAGTTCCTTTATTTGATATCATAACTACATCTGGGATTGAGTTCTTAATGTGAGTTTAACAAACTTGTGAGCTGATTTCATAAAGCTATCAAAAGCACTTGCTGATAACTGAGGAATATGATTCAGTATGTCTCTGAACTTAAAAAGTATTTTAAAAATTTAAATAACTGACAGGTTTTTTTTTAATTAACCTATTTCATTTGCTATATTTGTCTTGCCTATGTTCTCAGCCAGAAGTCGTTTTCAAAGGGTGCATGTGTTTTGACTTGTTAGAATTTTAATATTTTAGATTAAGTCATTCAAAAAGTATATTTCTTAGGCCAGGTGTGGTGGCTCACACCTGTAATCCCAGCACTTTGGGAGTCCGAGGCAGGTAGATTGCTTGAGGCCAGGAGTTCAAGACCGGCCTGTCAACACAATGAGAGACCGCCCCCCGTCTCTAAAAAAAAAAAAAGTTATTTAGCTGAGTGTGGCGGCATGTGCTTTTGTAGTCTGAGCTACTCAGGAGGCTGAGGTGCGAAGATTGCTTGAGCCCAGGAGGTTGAGGTTATAGTGAGCTATGATTGTGCCACTGCACTCCAGCCTGGGCAACAGAGTGAGACCCTGTCTCTCTGTCTTTTTTTTTGTTTTTAAGTGTATTTCTTTATTAGTTGATGTTTACAAAGTATCTTTTCATACCCACCAAATTATGTTTTACTTCAGAAATTTGTTATGCCTGCCTACAGTGTAGAAATATTTCCAGAAGTAGTTACATAGCAATTTGGTAGGGTGACCACCTTTACTTTAACAAATAGCATTTGAATGCATTTTATTCACAGTAGTAGAAGGGAGTGACTGTAAATAGTTTACTGTTTGTTCTTTCTGGCTCTATTGTCAATTTCAAGATTCATGTGGTTGAAGCTTAGAGGATAAGAATGTTAGGGTCCATAGTATGGGTATTATTTTTGTAAGTCATTTATTTATTTCAGCAAGGGCCAAACAGGCAGTTTCTATGAGTCCTGCCTTACACTCATCCTGGGAATCAAATCAATCCACAACAAAATGGATTAATTTTTCAATTTTAGTGAAAACAATGGGAACGTCTTAATGCTTAAGCAAACACTAGTTATACCTTCTCTTCCTTTTTCAAAATATTCTGGGGGAATAATGACAAGACAACCTAAGACAGACCTTGTGCCGGGCGTGGTGGCTCATGCCTGTAATCCCAGCACTTTGGGAGGCCAAGGCAAGCGGATCACGAAGTCAGGAGATCGAGACCATCCTGGCTAACACGGTGAAACCCCGTCTTTACTAAAAATATAAAAAATTAGCCGGGCATGGTGGCGGGCACCTGTAGTCCCAGCTACTCAGGAGGCTGAGGCAGGAGAATGGTGTGAACCCGGGAGGCGGAGCATGCAGTGAGCCAAGATCAGGCCACTGCACTCCAGCCTGGGCGACAAAGCGAGACTCTGTCTCAATAAAAAAGACAGTCCTTGTAAATATTTGTCAGTAAAATTTTAATGATGTCTAATTTAAAGTGCCATTTCAAACTATTATTTCTGTGGTATTTTCTTAACAAAATATTCAACAACTCTAAAAGATTTTAAAGTGATTTCTTTCTTTTTTTTTTTTTTTGAGATGGAATTCTCGCTCTGTTGCCCAGGCTAGAATACAGTGGCTCGATCTCGGATCACTGCAACCTCCACCTCCCAGGTTCAAGCAATTCTCCTGCCTCAGCCTCCTGAGTAGCTAGGATTATAGGTGTGCGCCACCACACCCAGTTAACTTTTGTATTTTTTTTTAGTAGAGATGGGGTTTCACCATGTTGGTCAGGCTGGTCTCGAACTCTTGACCTCATGATCCACCCGCCTCGGCCTCCCAAAGTGCTGGGATCACAGGCGTGGGCCACTGTGCCCAACTAAAGTGATTTATTTTGATAGATTAAGCAAACATTTTCTAAGCACTATCTGGTACAGTCTGTACAGTCTTTTTTTTGAGACGGAGTCTTGCTCTGTCACCCCAGCTGGAGTGCAGTGGTGTGATCTCAGCTCACTGCAACTTCCACCTCCCAGGTTCAAGCCATTCTCCTGCCTCAGCCTCCCGAGTAGCTGGGATTACAGTCATGCGCCACCACGCCCAGCGAATTTTTTGTATTTAGTAGAGACAGGGTTTCACCATGTTAGTCAGGCTGACCTCAGGTGATCCACCCGCCTCAGCCTCCCAAAGTGCTAGGAGTACAGTCGTGCACCACCATGCCCAGCCAGTCTTTTTTTTTTTTTTAACCTTATATAGCTGTAGATTCCAACTTCCACAGGCATGAAAAATACTTATATATGTACATATATACAGACATACCTACCTGACTCCAAATATGGGGATCAAGTAAAACATTAACCAACATTTTTAGTTCAAGGTGGCCTGTTAATCCAGGAAATAGATTACAATTAAAATAAAAGAAGAATAGAAAATTTGGGCCATCAGAAAATGTCAGGAACCAGAACTTTTTATGTTTAATTCTAATTTACAATAAGAGTCAAGAGGTTGAGTAGCTTTATGCATGATTGAAATAATAATACCAAACATCCCTATCCTTAAGTTTTAGTTTTGTGCAACAGTAATTCCCATGCTTAAGTAGTCTCTTCTCTTACCCTATAGTCTTATTTGCATTGTGAGAAATTTCTTCTCTTGCCTGTCACATTTTTTTTTTTGTCATTGTACCTGGCATGTAATATGTTCTCAACATAGATGTACCAAAAGGAGTCATGAATAAACAAGCCGGGTGCAGTGGCTCACGCCTGTAATCCCAGCACTTTGGGAGGCCAAGACCTGTGGATCACTTGAGGTCAGGAGTTTGAGACCAGCCTGGCCAACATGATGAAACCCTGTCTGTGCTAAAAATACAAAAATTAGTCCAGGCATGATAGCAGATGCGTGTAATCCCAGCTACTCGGGAGGTTAAGGTAGGAGAATTGCTTGAACCCAGGAGGCGGAGGTTGCAATGAGCCTAGATCACGCCACTGCACTCCAGCCTGGGCGACAGAGTGAGACTCTGTCTCAAAAAAAAAATAAGAAGAAGAATAAAAAAACCCATGAATAAACAAATGTGTCATTTAGACCTAAGAAAAATTTAAAAGCCAGAAGAGTCTTCTAAATTTTCTCTCTTTTGAGGATAAAGTCCTCACATGCTCCATTCTCAGCCTTGAGAGGGATAGAGTAGGAGTTTCTAGAGCTTGATTGCCTGTAGTCAGTATGAGGTGGAAAATGTATTTTCTGTTAGTAAGTAGAAAGGCTGCTCTACCTTAATCATGCCAATTATATATTATTTAATCATACCTGACCAGTGATTGGAATGATGATGATACAAATGTTTTTCTTAGGAATTAGGTGTTTCACAAAATTTCCAAACATCCTTTTTCCTTTCTATATAACGAGCCCAAGAAAAACTTTGTCATTGATATCACAAATCTAGTGTGTGTGTGTTGGGGATTGTGGAAGGATGTAGATGATCTGTGTCATGGGGAAACTGCATTTAGTTCTTGCATTTTGCGAAGTCTCGGGTGAAGGACAATTATTTTTTAGACAACAAAGACAAGAGCATGTCAAGTACTCTCGCCATGAATGGTGGTATATTTTGGAATTTGTTTTTTGGTAGAATGGGGCACATTCAGGTGGGCCATTATATGATGCAGCTCTGAATAAACTTTCCATAACACAGCTTTATTTCTCAAGTGAATTATATCACTGAAGCAACAGGTCGCATGGTCTGTTGCCTCCAGGGTAGTGCCTCTACAGCTGGGCAAATGTTATCTAGAATAGGACAATCCTCTTTTCTCATAAGTGCCATGTATTCTATCTACACTTCTTCTGCACAAGATAAAACTTGAATGTTTCCTTTAAGACCTCTTCCAGAATCTTCCCATCATGAAATAGAATGTCGTCTATTCATCTACTTTGACTGAGTGGCCAAGATGACATTTGAGCTGGTAGTTCCAGGAACTAGATGGCATTACTTTAATGGTCTGAGCATCAAGTTATCTTTCCCAAAGTGATGCACAAGAGTGGCTTACAGGTATTAATTTTTGTCTAGATAGTCTTAAATGTCTGTCTTAGTATTAAAAAATGCTATGTCGGCACAAACTTTTTTCTCATTTTGAGTGCCTCAATAATAAAGCTTAAATCTTTTAGTCTTCTAACCATGATCTTAGACTCCCCCTGGTTTGGGGGAGTTTATCTTGTCCCAACCTGTACACATGTACCATCTGTACATAGTAGCTTCCACGTGTATAGAAATAAGCAGACTCTAAGTATGTGCTACTTGCATTTACAGTGGTTTCCAGGTGGCTCCTTGTTTGTGTCACATTCTCTTCTTAAATTTAACATGTTGACCTAAATCATCCTAATCTTTTCAACCATCATTACTTTCTAGTTTTTTCATTAGCTTGAATGGCACTTTCAACGTTAATGTGGCTCTAATATTAGAACTGATTTTCCTTCCATTTTAGTGCTCTTTGCCCTTTAGCAGGTAGGAGATTCCTTCTAATTCTCATCTTGATATCATGGCACATCTCTGCTGAAACCCATCAAACCCAACTCAAGAGTTTATGTAATCTTGCATCTGCTTGTTTGCCTGCCTTTATTTTATCCCACTGGTTCTCTCTCTGTTCTTGGCACAAGCCAAACTCACTGCTGCCTCGGGACCTTTGAATTAGCTGGTGATGCTTCCCAGAATTACCTTGCTTCAGATCTTTGTATGTCTGGCTTCAACTCTCAGCTCAGGTAGCTTTCTCACACTCCTCAGTCACTCCCTATCACATCTCTCTGTTTCAGTGTTCAAAATGTAAAAATCCAAAGACATAAAATTGAAAAGACTTTTAAATTCTGATCTTATGTCCTTCCAACATTTCCATTAATGTCCTTTCTCTTAAGAAATGATAGTTACAATATGTAGTAATGTGTTATTTCTATGGAGCAGTCCACAACCTTTTATTTATTTTTTAAAATATTATCCCCCCTCCAAAAACTCTGTGTTGAAGCCCTTATGTGTCTTATACATAACTGCTGCTTTGGCTTTGCTTGTCGTATAGCAGGTACTTTTCCACTTATATCCTGACTCACTTTCAGAAGTCCTTTTTTGAAACAGGGTGTTGCTCTGTTGCCCAGACTGGAATACAGTGGCACGATCATAGCTCATGGCAGCCTCAAGCTCCTGGGTTCAAGTGATCCTCCCACCTTAACCTCCCAAGTAGCTGAGACTACAGACACACACTACCATACCTGGCTAATTCTTTTTATTTTATTTATTTATTTATTTGAGATGGAGTCTGGCTCTGTCACCCAGGCTGGAGTGCAGTGGCGCTATCTCTGCTCACTGCAAGCTCTACCTCCCAGGTTCACGTAATTCTCCTGCCTCAGCCTCCTGAGTAGCTGGGACTACAGGCACCCGCCACTATGCCCGGCTAATTTTGTTTTTGTATTTTTAGTAGAGGCGGAGTTTCACCGTGTTAGTCAGGATGGTCTCGATCTCCTGACCTCGTGATCTGCCCGCCTCAGCCTCCCGAAGTGCTGAGATTACAGGCGTGAGCCACCGCGCCCAGCCATTCTTTTTATTTTTTATAGAGACAGGGTCTTTCTGTGTTACACAAGCTAGTCTCAAACTGCTGGCCTCAAGAGATCCTGCAACCTTGGCCTCCCAAACTTCTAAGATTACAGGCAAGAGTCACCATGCCCGGCCTACTTTCAGAAGCCTTTTGAATATGAATACTTTATATTTTACTGAAAGTATGATGTGTGTATTTATTGCATATGTTACATATGCTTAATATGTCTACCATATTTTTAGAGAGTGGGGGTTTTTAATACTTGCAAATTGAGATTGTAAACTCTTTGAGAGCTGTATTGTGTCTTCTCTTTAGCATGCTTCTCTAGGTGTAGTGGTGGTGGTGGTGGTGGTGGTGGTGGTGGTGGTGGTGGTGGTAGTGGTGGTGGTGGTGGTGGTGGTGGTAACTGTTTTTATAAATTAACTATTTTCCAGACATTGTGAGAGGCATTTAACAAACATTATCTCATGTACTCCTGACAACCTGAGGAAGTAGTTACTGTAATCATCCCCATTTTACATCTGAGAAAATTCCTTAAGGAAGTTGCCCAAGGTTATAGGGCAAGTAAAAGACAGAGCTGAGATTCGAACCCAGAGAGTCTGACTCAAGAACCTGCAATCTAAAACAACTATTTGCAGCCTTCTCAATTACACCATGAATTCTTCGTAATTTTTTTTTTTTTTAGACAGAGGTTTACTCTGTTGCCCAGGCTTGGGTGCAATGTAGTCCTCATAGCTCACTGCCGCCTTAAGCCTTGACTTCCTAGGCTAAGGCCATCCTCCCATCTCAGCTTCCCAAGTAGCTGGGACTATAGGCGCATACCACCATACCTGGTTAATTTTTAGTAGTAGTATTATTATTTGTAGAGATGGGGTCGTGCTATGTTGATGGTGCTGATCTTAAACTCCTGGTCTTAAATGATCCTCCCACTTTGGCCTCCCAAAATGCTGGGATTACAGGCATGAGCCACCATGCCTGGCCAATTGTTAGTAATTCTGATTGACTACACTTAGTGTATTCAGAGAGAGACATTCATTTCTGCTCTTTGCCTTCAATGGATAGACTGCCAATTAAGTGTTGGGTAGAACAGATTATTAAATATCAACTTTTGACATATTGGTAAAAATCTAAGGAAACTAACACTTTGCTAGAAACTTAGAAAATGTTATTGCATTCAGTTGTGGTTTTTTTTTTTTTTTAATTTACTAAAAAGAAGATTCCCCTCAACCTGGTCCACCCCCTTGATGGTGAATTAAGGAGGTGAATTTTGAATGGGAAAAGAGAAAATTTGCTCAAATTAGTGAAAGAGCTTTTGAGGCTCTGAGGTTGTTATGGGACTTTGTATTAAGAAAGGACTATAAAATTATAACACATATGGCTGTGGGGCAGATTGAAAATAATTTAATCTTTTGACCGATTGCAGTTATGGAACTTGGAATGATTCATCATTTATATAAGTTATCATTGCTACCCCAAAACAGAAATATTGTCACCGGGTGCAGTGGCTCATGCCTGTAATCCCAGCATTTTGGGAGGCCGAGACAGGCGGATCACAAGTTCAGGAGATCAAGACCATCCTGGCTAACATGGTGAAACCCCGTCTTTACTAAAAATACAAAAAAATTAGCCGGGCGTGGTGGCGGGTGCCTGTAATCCCACCTACTAGGGAGGCTGAGGCAGAAGAATGAATGGCATGAACCCAGGAGGTGGAGCTTGCAGTGAGCCACGATCACGCCTCTGCACTCCAGCCTGGGTGACAAAACAAGACTCCGTCTCAAAAAAAAAAGAAAGAAAGAAATACTGTCTATTACTAACTGGTTGATATTGGCATAAGTACACTTTAATATGCATATTAGTAATGACTCTTTTCTGGGAATGTTCAGCGCAAAATACAGGGAGTGAGTTTGTTCTCATTGTTTGACCTGAGGGCTAGTATTTGATTCTTTGATTAAATAATAGGTCCCATGGATTACTGGGGAGGGGAGGGTATAAGAAAAAGTTCCCCGTGTGCTGCAGATGGCCAGGTTGGATGTGGCAGTTGGTGCAAGCATAGATCAAAATGGCAAAAGTAAAAATGAAACAAAACCAAAAATGTTCAACCAGATGATGGGCCATGATTGTGAGGTTGGTGGAATTTTATAATGTAAAATTCTAGTTTATCCCTTTTCTACTATTCAGCACATATTTAGGCTTGTTGGTATTCATAGTATACATCTCTTAACATAATTAATTCCCCTTTGGCAAATACCATATTCTGCAGTTCATTTAACTGTTCTGGGCTGCAGAGCCTTAGGGATCACACCTGAATTTCATTATGGAAGTTTAAGTAATTAATAAAGAGAGGAATCTCACCATTCACAATTGCCTTCCGACTGGTTAAGACAAGACTTGATGTAATTTTTTTCAAAAACTTTCTATAAGCACAGCTTTATTGCTTGTTTTGTGTGGTGCACAGGGGATGTGCAAAATATTTGGTCATGCTGACTTTCAACAGGATCCTACTGTCTAGAAATCCTGGATAATTCATTTTCTTTTCCCAGTTTCACCTGTTTACACTTCAGAGCATTACAAGCCAAAGACAGTCAATTAAATTTTTAGAAACACCACAAACCCACTCATTTAAAATGAATAGTAAGGAAAGAATAATAACAAAATGCACTTTAGTTAGTCGCAAGTGAGGCCTCATATCCAGAAAGAAAATCTTAAGATTTTCCTTTCTATACCTTCCATAGCTATGGTTCATGTGGCTTATATCCTTAAGAAGAGAGCTTTGCATCAAGTGGTCACACACATCTGTCAGTAGGAACTAGAGAAGAAGATTCCTTCTAGTAACCTTCTGGCAACTCAGTTTACATGTTTCTCACAACCCTCAAATGCCCAGTCCTGCCCCCTAAAATGTAATGTGGCTTATTCATTGGTGTCTCTCCATGTTGTTCTTCAGGAACAGGTGTTGTTGCAAAAATAATGGCATAATGGCTCAGGCAATATTTGTGATGATGGTAGGCCTCAGCTCTACCCATGTCTCCTGTAGTCCCACTTAGCTTCTGTAACTAGATTAGGAATTTTACTCCTTACAATCTCAAGAAAATTTCCCTTGGCTCTCTTGAATGTTCGACTCAGAATTATAAATTGAAAGGTATAGGCCAGGCACACTGGCTCACACCTGTAATTCCAGTACTTTGGGAGGCTGAGGTGGGAGGATCACTTGAGCCCAGGAATTCAAGACCAGCCTGGCCAACATAGTGAGACCCCATCTCTGCAAAAAATACAAACATTAGCCGGGCATTGTGGTGCACACCTGTAATTCCCAGGTACTCAGGAAGCTGAGTTGGGAGGATCACCTGAGCCTGAGAAGTCAAGGCTGCAGTGAGCTCTGATTATGCCACTGCACTCTAGCCTGGGTGACAGAGTGAGACCCTGTCTCAAAAAATAAAGAAAGAAAATAAATTGAAAGCTATAATTTTGGTATGTGACAGATTATAAGATAGACTTTGATTTTTACTATGTGCAGAATATGATTTTTATTCACTTAATAATTATTTCTTGAACACAATATGTGTCAAAGTTGAAACAAGCTAGTCAGTCTAAAAATTCAGCATTAACTCAGTTACTAATGAAAAACTATAAGGAAATGATTTAACGCATGAAATTATTTACTTCTTTGATAAATGGTCATCACCTTGGTACTAAAAATGTATTTAGGTTTTCTTGGTTTGTTTTTAGAAATTATCCCATCAAGCCCTCTGCTTCTTGGTAGAGGCTATTATAGGAAGTTGGTATTTCTAATATTCCTCCCAAAGAGGCACCTTAAGAAATAACAATACCTATGATTTGAAAAGTTCTATAAATATTTCTAAGAAAAAGTTCCAAGAAGATGCACAATATTCAAGGCAAGTAAAATCCTCCCGGAAATTATTACTGTTATAAGATGATGCTCTAGTAGCATAAAATATTCAAAATCCCTTCCTGGTCAATTTATCCCTGGGAAATAGCTTTCTCACTAATGTGATCGGATTGTAATTACCGAAACAAACAAACAAACAAACAAACAAACAAACAAATAACTTGCCAGTAGCATAGGATCTTTCCCACTAAACTGAGGAAAGAAAAGCAGTGATTATCCCTTATCACTTGGTATTGCTTTTATTCAGAAAGAAACACATGTCTTTTCGTTATAGCACTTTCCGATTTTTAAATTCTTGTTCATGAAAATGTGATTATGATGTACTAGAAATTTGCCTCAGGTTCTTTATCAGTCCAGCATCTTATATTCAAGGTTCCAATTAATTTTAAGAAATTGAATTAAATTCTCTGTTTCCTTACAGAATCGCCTTCACAAGCCATGATATTAGGTTTGCTGTTCTTGGCATGGGAAGTGCTTTCAATATGTGACTGTTGTTTGCTTTTTTTTTTTTTTTTTTTTGGTCCCTTTGTCTCTCTGCAATCATATCATATGTGTGTATTCAACTAGCAGATATAAGAAAACTCAGGTGAGGGTAAACTTAAGCTTTTGGTCGCTATCCTCACTTTCCATTTGTTCCACAAAGAAAGGATTGTTTCATTTCCATTTAGTGGCAGGAAAGTGCTCTCATGTTTTTCTGTAGATATCAAATCTGCCTGGGATTTGGCCCTACTTTTCCTTTATCTTTATTGGTTTTAGTAAAAGTGGAAAATTTATGTTAAAAAATATGTGTATATAACATAAACACACATACTACAAATAGACATATAAAACCTACTTTTATCATTTTTTGTATCACTTTATGTTGAACACTTCATGAAATGTTTATTCCACATTAACTTATTTGGTAAATGCATAAAAAATGTTTTTTTCCTTCTTGAATTGCCTTTTCAAAAGCCTCTGGATTTTATATGTTATACTTTGTGAGTATTTGTATTAACTATAGATATACATATGTATTTGTATATATATCTCTTTTCTTGACACTACAAATTCTTTATCCAGATTATTGAGTAATAGGTTGTTATTGTTAGCTGTTCTGGTTAAATATGAGTAACCATATGTTGTTTAGATATGAGGAAATAGGGTTATGTGTTATGATGAACATAAATACATTCTTCTTGAATATTTGCAAAGTAACTCATAGGCTTGCTTAGGAATCCTCATTATACATCTTATTCCTGGAGACATAATAATTATATGAATTGAGTTAGTACCATACCGACCCTAAAATAACAAGTAAAATTGTATCAGATATTAATTTTAAAATTGTGTCTTTTTACTAAGTTTTTATACAATACAAAGTATTAAAAAGTATGGATAAATCTAACATCGCAGTACATGTTACTCACGAATTTGGTTTTCTTCACAAATCTGCAAAAGTACCATTACCTGCATGTAGCTTCATGTTACATAACTGCCATTGATTTTTATTTTGGAATAATTATAGAGTCACAGGAAGTTACAAAGATAGCTGAGAAAGATCCTGTGTACTCGTCACCGAGTTTTCTCCATGGTTGCATTTTATAAAACCATATAGTACAACAACCAAGCCAGGAAACTTGTATCGTAGGGGCCAAGGGCAAGCCTCCCTCTTTGCCTTCTGAAGGTTCACTGAAAATCAACTGACAAAAGGCAGATTAATAGGAGAAAAGGCATACAAATTTATTAACACACACAGGGAAGAATCCCAGAGTGATTAATCCACCACATAGTGGGGTGCTGATGGTTATATACCCTTCTTCTCAGGGGAAAGGGTGATGGGGAAGTAGGGATGATTTTAGGAGAGTAGTAAATGATTTTTAGGGGAATTCAGTGGGCTTGAAGAACATACACCGGCCTAGGACAAAGTCTGTTGGGCCAGCAGAGCAGACACGATGGTTCGTGACAAAAACCTGCTCAGGTGTGTTGACAGACTTCAGTCTTTCTTCCTGTGATATGAGTTCAGTTAATGAAAACTCAGGGAAGGGACCAGAGGTGATTGTTTTCTTCTTTGGCAAGTCCAGACTCTCAGCAGATAAGGGAACTTCAGAGAATAACTTCATCTTTTGCTTTGGGAGGCGCAGAGGATTGAGAGAAGGAAGGGAGGAGGAAGGTCAGAGAGGCCTAAGGCTTCTTCTTCAGTTAAGCACATCAAAGCGCCATATTTTGGTGTATCAGTTTCTGAGCCCCAACGGTATAATGTGTACATATAGTTCCATGTCTTTTTTTTTTTTCACATGTGTAGATTTGGGTAATCACCACCATGATCAAGATAAAGTCGTACCCCTTTAGAGTCAATCCTGTATTTCCCATCTTCGAAAGTCTAGAGCTTAAGTCTGCCATTTCATTTTTTGCTTTTTCGACTTAACCGTCTCTTTACCTTTCACTGTTTTGTTTTTCCTGCCTTCCTGAGGGTTATTTGAACTTTGTTTATAATTGCATTTCCATATATCTGTAATATTTTTAAATGTGTCTGTTTAGATTTTTAGTGTCGTTTTAGGTATTACACTGTACATCCATAATCTTTAACAGCCTATTTGTGTCAACATTTTACTAATTCAAGTCCAATGTAAAAATTATTATCTCTCTCTACATCCCTTTACCCTCCTCATTTATAATATAATTGTCTTAAATATTTTTTATTTTTTCAGTCTAGTTTCTTTCGGTTGTTCAGATTGGGTAATTCCTGTTTTTCAGTCTGCAGGTTCACTGACCTGACTTCTCCATCCTGCTGTCGAGCCTATCCATTGAGTTTTTAATTTCATTATTACATTTTTCAGTTCAACGATTTCTACTTATTCTTCTTTATATCTCCTCTTTGAGAACATTGAGAACCACATCAGACAGTGTTGTAATTTTTTCTTCCACCATCAAACATGATATCTCTCAAGAGGAGAAGGGCATAGGGGTGAAGGGAACTTTCCCTCCATCCTTTGAAGGTTCAATAATTTGAGTCTCTGGAATAAAGTTGACAATATACAGATTAACAGGAGAAAAGGCACACACGTTTATTACATGCATATAGACGGGAGCCCCACACAATATGAGACTCAAAAAAGGGCCTGATGGTGGAAGCTTAAATAGCATTTTGAGCTACAGAAAGAAATAAGGGGCTGGGATTTCTGGTGGGAGGTGGTAACAGGTTATAGAGGTTTGAGGGGAGAAAAATGTGTGATGAGCAGAGGCTGTCTTGTTATACGGATAAAGTCTCTCAGCTAGCAATCTTCAGAATAGGTGGTTTTGACCTTTAGTCTCCTTTCCTGTGAGCTAATCTTCTCTGTTTGATAAGATTATAGAGAGGGGGGCTCAAAGCAATTGCATTTCTTCTGGAGGAACTTCCCTTAGTCAGATAAGGGAACTTCAGAGAAAGCACCTTCCTGCACTTTGGGAGGGAAAGAGGGGCAAGAGATGAGAGACAGGGGCAGCAGGGGACTGGAGGAGGGTGAGGAGAAGGTCAGAGAAACCTTGATTCAAAGCACTCAGCATGCCAAAGCACCATACTTTGGGACATTGTTTCCTGAGCCCCAATAATACTTACGCGTATTTTTGCTCTTTTCAATTTTCCTTATTCCCAGTGTTCCAGTATTTCTTCTTTTTATCATTTCTCTTCCATTTTGATAACTTTCTGTAGCCATTTCTTTAGGGTAGGTCTGCCAGTGACAAATTCTCTGAGTTTCCCTTCGTCTGAGTATGTCTCAATTGCCCCTTCATTTCTGAAGGATATTTTCACTGAGAATCAGATTCTGTCTTGACAGATCTTTTCTTTCAGCACTTGAAAATGTTGCATCATTTCCTTCTGGCTTCCGTGGTTTCTGGGGAGGAATCTGCTGTCATTTTAATTTTTATTCTTCTTTAGGTGAGGTGTCCCTTTCTGCCCTGCTGCTTTGAAGCTTTTTCTTTGTCTTTATTTTTCAGAAATTTCATTATGTTGTATCTTGGCATGGATTTCCATGGGTTTTTCAAATGTTTGAGGTTCTCTAAACTTCAATCTGTAAACTTCTTCAATCATTATGTCTTTTTGCCAAATTTGGGATATTTTCAGCCATTGTTTCTTAGAAGAAGTTTTCAGCCACACCCTCTTTCTTTTTTCCCTCTGAAACTTCAGTGACACAAAGGAAATCTTCGATTATGGTCCCACAGGTTCCTGAGGCTCTGTTCATTGTTTTTAGACTTTTTCTCTTTGTTGTTCAGATTGAGTAATTTCTGTTGTTCTGTTAAAGAAATTCAGGTACGCTGATTCTTTTGTTTTCGCTCTTCTATTATTGAGTCCATCACTGAGCTTTTGTATTGTTCAGTTATTGTATTGTTTAGTTCTAAAGTTTATATTTGATCCTTTACATCTTCTACTTACTGATGTTTTATATTTTTTCTTTTGTTTTATGCTTCTTTATTATTGCTCATTAAAGCTTTTTTGTTTTTGTTTATGTTTTTTGAAATGGAGTTTCACTCTTGTTGCCCAGGCTGGAGTGCAATGGCATGATCTCAGCTCACTGCAATCTCCGCCTCCCGGGTTCAAGCGGTTCTCCTGCCTCAGCCTCCCAAGTACCTGGGATTACAGGCATGTGCCACCACACCCAGCTAATTTTGTATTTTTAGTAGAGACAGGGTTTCTCCATGTTGGTCAGGCTGGTCTCGAACTCCAGACCTTAGGTTATCTGCCCACCTCGGCCTTCCAAAGTGCTGGGATTACAGGCGTGAGCCACTGTGCCTGGCCCTAAACCATTTTTATGATGGCTGATTTTAAATCCTTGTCAGAAAATTCTGATATCTGTGTCTTGGTGTTAGTGTCTCTTGACTGTCTTTTCTTTTTTTTGAGACGGAGTTTCACTCTGTCACCCAGGCTGGAGTGCAATGGTGCTATCTCGGCTCACTGCAACCTCTGCCTCCTGGATTCAAGCGATTCTCCTGCCTCAGCCTCTTGAGTAGCTGGGACTACAGGTGCCAGCCACCACAGCCAGCTAATTTTTTTTTCTTTTAATTTTTATTAGAGACCAGGTTTCACCATGTTGGCCAGGCTGGTCTTGAACTCCTGACCTCCCGGCCACCTGAGCCTCCCAAAGTGCTGGGATTACAGGAGTGAGCCACGAAGCCCTGCTGACTGTCTTTTCTTATTCAAGTTGAGGTGCTTCTGGTTCTTGGTATGACAAGTCATTTTTCATCAAATTTTAGACACTTTGGCTATTATTTCATGAAATTTTGGATGGATCTTTTTGAGACCTTCTGTCTAGTAGATGTCGTCTGATACTGCTCTACCTCTTTACTTGTTCAATGGGGTTGGATGTCTGGGTTACCCACTAAGTCTTTGTTGGCATCTGGTGGGTAGGCATACCTCATTATTGCTTGGCAGGGGCAGGAGTTCAGGCTCCTTACCAGCCTTCCCATGATACCCCCACTCTGGGAGAGGTGGGGATTCTTACTGCTCTGAGTACAGTCTCTACTGACACTGCAGGGGGGTGGCCTTGGTACTGCAAGGTGGTGGTGAAAGTCCTAACTAGTAGGCCTCCGCTGACACTGCTCCTGTAAGGAGGGGAAAGGACACATCATTCCCCCAGTGCCAGTCCAGGTTCCTGGAACGTACACAGTCTCCATTGACAGTGTGAGAGGGGGAGGGTCACCACTGATTTTTAAAATCTCATTTTAATATTTCAGATATTTCCAATTATAAGTAACTTTAATACTTCATATGTTTACTTTTTTGGTTATATTTCTTTTAGATCTACAGATATATTTAGTTTTTTCATACTAGTTTTAACAAAGCTCAGAGCTTACAATTTTGTCTGGTGTTGTAGCGTCACATTTGAGAACTGCTAATTTGCTTTTCAGATGTGAGAAGAAGAGAATAATTGCAAAGTGTGCTGTAGATGAAAGAGTTTAATGCTTTTGTAGATATTTTGTGAAAAGCAGTGAAAGTATAGGTCTGGTTTTTTAAAAAATGGAAATAGATGGTGCTTACATTCCTACTTGATTCTTCAATTTATAACAACCCAATTATAAATATTACTTTTTGTTCCAGATTTTTTACAGAATCAAGTGTATGTTTGTATAAGGCTACATTGGCATGAGCATTAGAATGTCATAATATTCACATTTCCTTTTCAAATTTAGGATGTAGTTTATTACATTTCTGGAATTATGCATATGCAGAAGATCTAAAGTTGAAATTTGAAAATTTGTAAATACATTCAGAGATTGAGATAATTCAGTGACTTCATGGCCCCAACATACTTAACTGTCGTTCAATATGATATTAATTGAAGGCTTTTAAGAAATCCTTCCAACAAATAATAGATTTCTAGGTATAGCCCTCTGTAGTTTTACCGAACACTACTTTAAGTAGATATGAAGATTCTCAGATCATTTGTTAAGATAAAGCTTCCGAAATAATAATGTAGACCCTCTTAAAAATAAAAACTACCAGAGAATTAATTGCTTTAGCCTTATCTCAAAGCAAATGGAAACCTACTTAAACAATACGTCGTTTACTTACCTTTGACATATGTGGATAAGGGCATAAATAAAATCACTTGGAAAAACCTTCACTGTTAGATGACAAACTTAGGTACGTCTCAACTGGGTTAGGAACATAAAAAGAAAAAAAAAAAACCTGTTTATCTTTTTCAGGGTGTTTCAGAAAGTCTTATACTTTATGATAATAAATTCATCAATTTTATAAATAAATTAACATACATATTTTTTCATTAAATTTAGTAGTTAAGATGCCAATGCATTTCATTGACAAAAAACTGTTTAACAATAAAGAACTCAATAGTACCAAATTCGTAAAGAATCTGATCTTGTTCCTTAATTTAGCCTACATGCATTATCTTAAATTGTGCAGATTATAGAAAAAAACAACAACATTGGGAACTATAATAGATTATTCACTCCGGGTGTTTAGTTCTGTTTTGTTGAAGAAAAGGGAGAAACTTTCTTACATGTTTGTTACTTCTCTTCCCCAAGTTAAGGCTAGACTTTACGGTTTGTTTAGCTGTGAAGGGATGACAGACTTGGGGGATGGTGAGGGGAGCTTAGTTTTGGAATGTAAATACATGTAGAGCTTGCCTCCTTTTGTTTAGCATCTCTTTAAACTAAGACAAAAAAAATCAGTGAATGAATGAATAGCAGCATGGTGAAATACCTAAATGTTTGAGTTAAAATTTTTGGATGTTTGAAATCCTATTTGGATCCTTTTCCCAGATCACGGTGCATTCATATGCACTCAGCAGGAAACTTCATGGAGATGCACATTTGGGCAGAAGGTCTTTGACGGTGCCTTTTTCTTAACTTGTGCCTTTTCTTCTTTAGAAAAAAGTAATGGCTTAAGTCTGACTGAAGAACAATCTTTTTTGTATGTTCCTTATAAGAATTTACTTATGGTTCACAGATTTTTACCCACCATCTATGTCTGCAATCCTTGGATTTAAAATAGCATATATCCTACTGCAGACTACAGGAAACACCAAATTAAAGACTTAATGACATACTGTTGAAAAAGACAAAAGGCAACAAATTATAAATCAATCCACTAAACCTTTAAAGTGAAATTCACAGAAAAAAAAATGTGCATTTGAGCTAATGGTTTTGTGAAGCATTAGAGTTTTTGTGCTTATGTAAACCAAAATACAGGTAAACTTGGCGGTACAGTTGGATTTGAATCCAGATATTTTTTAAAAACTATGATGAACATGTGGAATGTGCTTCTTCACTAGGCAACAAGCCTAGTGATTATATGGGTATTTCGGTACTTCTAAATGCTGCTCATTTAAAAAAAAATGTTTACCCCTTTTTCTTATTTTTAGAATTATTCTTCAAATCCTGATTGTTTATGGTATCTATCTAGTAATGTGGTGGTTTATTAATTTTCCTCTTCAGATTTGCCTTAGCCATACTGAAGTCCATTCCGATTTTCTTGACGTGTAAGGAAGTGAGAGTGTCTTTTGTCTATTGCTTAAGTTCTGGGGAAGGGAGCAAGAACAAGAGGCTCTGGGGGTTAATGGAAGGGTTAGAGAACAGATGGAATGGGAAGGAAAAGGAGGCCTTTTAAAAACTAGTTTTCAAAAGACCCTGGTTACTGCCTCTGGCTCATTTTTCTAGCCTTCCCTTTGGGAGGGTTTGTTGTGGGTTTTTGTTGTTGTTGTTGTTGTTGCTTTGGTTTGGTTTGGGTTTTTTTTTTTTTTTTTCTTCCACAAAGGCACTGATTCCCCCAGAAACTCTGACAGAACATGCTCCTTCTGGGTGGTGTGGGAATGTCAACCTGAGCTGGTAACAATGCAGCTAGTAGTGAAGTTATCATAATAGCCTAGAGAATCGTGGCTGCAGGGCCCCTGATAATTCTGTGGAGCTGTATTTGGGACTGGAGGTGAGACAGCTCTGTGTCAATGCCTTAGAACCAGGAGAGCCTGGCAGAGACATACCAAGCTGAAAACACCAAAGCACATTCAGACCTCACTCCACTTCATGACAGTTCATTTGAAGGTAATAAAAATGACTGGCCAGGGTGCACATGTTTGCATGTGAGTGAACAGACACACCATTTTAGGGAAATATGTCAAGCCTAAGCTCTCTCTTGTGCTCACGGGTGGATTCTAAGGTCAAATATACTGATGAAGATTCCATACACACTATTATCCTCATTGTTGTTATGATGTTTCAGTTTCAACAGAGAGCTGGATGCAACACAGGGCAGAGGCGACAAAGGCGGAGCAAATCCAATGCCAGAACTTGAGAGAAAAGTAGAGGACGCACCACGATTAACATGTTGGCAAATTCACTTTCTTTGCTGTTGTCTTTGCTTTTCTTTGGCTTATCATCATTTACAGAGTTGGTCTTTCCAACCATGAAATCGATCTCTCCGTTCTCAAAAATTTGTTTTAAATAAGAGGGAGGGAAATAGATGACAGTATATGCATAAGATGGTAGAATATATTTTGAGAAGATATTTTAGAAGGTATTATAAGGCATTTGACTCCTCAGAAAAGTCAGAGGGAATGTCCTATATGTAAAATGTAGCATGAGGAGGTTAACATAGACTGTACTGAGGTAAGAAAATAAGGTTGCATTTGAGCGAGGTCTGTAGCATGCTGTGATGAGCTTCTCAGCACACAGCAATAAGTGGAGGCCTGAGGAAAAACAATTTTACTGTGTTTGCAACTCTTCTAGAGGTTCATTAATTGTCATGGGGTGGGGAGCCGGTGTTAAAGACAAAGGAGCAGAAAGGCTACATAACTTGTGGTCCTAAAGCAACATGAAAATGTGGGGCTTCTTGTTTAAAAATAAAGAATTTCATGGTAGTGACAGCAGAGTGTTAAAGCAAGTGTGGGCCCTTATGAGTCCTGTGGATTGTGACTGCACAGGTGACACACCCATGAAACTGGCCTGCAAGAGGAACCTGTCCTGCACTCGTTCCATGGCCAGGAGCATCAATGACTGCCCCTTTTTCACTGTCTACTTACCATCTCTTTCACAGGGATTTCGTGAAGATTACTTGACAGGGAACGACAAACACTTGGAAAAAATTCAAAGGAAGCAAATTATATATTATACACTATAAGGGAGAGAGAACTTTCTCTCTACCCTCTGAATGTTCAACAACCAAGCCTAAGACATGAACTGACAGAAGACAGATTAACAGGAGAAAAACCACTTTAATTACCGGTAGCCGCAAAGGAGTTCCACAAAACATGAGACAAGGGAAAGGTCAGATGATTGAAGTTTATAGAACATCCTCAGCTACAGAAAGGAAAAGGGCTTGGGCCTTCTGGGTGGTGGTGACACAAGTTACAGGAGGGTGAGGAATGGAGCTGTATGGTGAATAAAAGTTGTATTATTATGCAGATAAAGTCTCTCTGGTAATAGAGCAGCCTTCTTCCTGATACAGTTACTTTACTAATGTAGACTTCTTTTAGAGATAGAACTTTCCTTTATAAAAGTATAGGTTTTCAGAACAAGCTCAAAAGATGCCAAAGGGGTGTATTTTGGGGTTGCACATTCTGGTCTCTCACAGTCATATTTTGGGATGGTGTGTCCTGAGCACCAGCAACACACCCATACACACCTCAAGCTATGTTTTCTAATATACATAATTCTTTAATAAAAGAAAGATTATTGACATAATTAAGGGACAACCAAATGTGTTGTGACCATCTAAAATGTTTGCCATGTCAATAGTGGAATGATTAAGGTAACATTATTAAAAAGTGTCCCAACTCTAAAGTTCTGTGAGTCTAATATCCGTAATCATTTTATGAAGATTTATAATGTAAAAGCCTGCCTGATGTTCAGCTTAATAAAAGAGTAACTTATGTATGGATGTTAAGGAGATAGTTAAACTGAATACCTGATACAGGTTGAGCATCCCTTATCCAAAATGCTTGGGACTAGCAGTGTTTCACATTTTGGATTTTTTTCAGGTTTGGGAACATTTGTGTTTTTTTGTTTGTTTGTTTGTTTGTTTTTGTTTTTGTTTTTTTTTTTTTGAGATGGAGTTTCGCTATTGTTACCTAGGCTGGAGTGCAGTGGTGCGATCTTGGCTCACCGCAACTTCTGCCTCCTAGGTTCAAGCAATCTCTCCTGCCTCAGCCTCCTGAGTAGCTATTACAGGTGCCCACCACCATGCCTGGCTAGTTTTTTGTATTTTTAGTAGAGACGGGGTTTTGCCATGTTGGGCAGGCTGGTCTCGAACTCCTGACTTCAGGTGATCTACCTGCCTTGACCTCCCAAAGTGCTGGGATTATAGGTGTGAGCCACCGCGCCTGGCCTGGGTTTAGGAATATTTGTATTTCACTTATATAGGGGCAAAGGGAAAACCTTCCCTTCACCCTTGGAAGGTTCACTGATAAATCAATTCAAAAAGGCAGATGAAGAGAAAAGGCACACAAATATATTAACTTGCACACAGGGCAGAACCACAGAGTGATTACATACACCCTAAAGGGGTTCAGGAGCTCAGAAGCTTATATACGATCTTGAGGTTAAAAAAGAATGGGAGGCCGAGGCGGGTGGATCACCTGAGGTCAGGAGTTTGAGACCAGACTGACCAACATGGCGAAACCCCGTCTCTATTAAAATTACAAAAAAAAATCTAGCCAGGTATGGTGACGTGTGCCTGTAATCCCAGCTACTTGGGAGGCTGAGACAGGAGAATAGCTTGAACCCAGGAGATGGAGATTGCAGTGAGCTGAGATCATGCCACTTCACTCCAGCCTAGGCGACAGAGCAAGACTCTAGCTCAAAAAAAAAAAAAGAATGGGGACTTGGGTCCTGGCAAAACAGGTTATGGGATGGGGGACAAGAGGAATTCTGATGAAGGGCAATAAATGATTACTTGGGAGAATTAATGGATGAAGAACAGAGATTAACTTGTAAATAGTTCTCTTTGGGTCTGCTCAGGTGTCCTTACATTCTTGGTCTTCTTTTCTGCAATAGGTACAAGATAACAGGGAGGAGAAGAAAAACAGTTGTTCTCCTTGTGATTCCCTTGGATCTTTAGGTAGAGTGGGAAAAAATCTCTTCCAGTGTCTGTTGTTCTCCAAGAGCCTTTAATTCAAAATACTCATTATACCAGGGAGTAGTGTTTTGGGGTGAAGTTCCCTATGATCCTTCATTTGTTTGTTAAACATCTCTAATCTGAGAATTTGAAATCCAAAATGCTCCAATAACCATTAACTTTAAGCATGATCTTTGAGTGTCATGTCAGCACTCAAAAAGTTTCAGATTTTGAAATATTTCAGATTTTGTAATCACCTAATGGGTTCTTCTTACCCACTGTGCAGATGAAGCCAATTCACTGAGACAGCATTATTGCATTAGAGAAAGAGTTCAATTATTGCAAGGCAGCCTAGTGGAAGGATGGGAGTTATTACTCAAGTCTGTCTCCTCAGAGGTTCAGAGGTTAGAGCTTTTCAAGGGTAGTTTGTTGGGTGGGGGGGTAAGGGAATGGGTGCTGCTGATTGATTACAAGTGAAATCATAGGGGTGTGGAGAACAGCCCTTGTGTGCTGAGTCAGCCTGTGGGTGGGGCCACAGAACTGGTTGAGTCATGAGTCACAGGTCTAGATGGAGTCAGTCAGTTGCCAGGATGCAGGATGAAGAAATATCTCAAAGGACCAATCTTAAGTTCTACAATAGTGATGTTATTTATAGTAGCAAGTGGGGAAGTCACAAATCTTGTGACCTCTGGTGCCTTATAGGAAGGTAAGCTATGCCTGCATCTTACCAGAATTCAGGCCCTTCCCATAATTCTAATCTTGTGGCTTTTCAAAATTAATCTTACAGAGGCAGTTTCAGTCCCTGAACAAGGAAAGTGTCAATTTTAGGGAGCAACTAGCATCATCATTGTTTCAAAGTTAAAATTTAAACTAAATCTCTCCAATGGTTAGCTTGGCCTGTGCCTGGGAATGAGTGAGGACAGCCAGCCTGTGAGGTTAGAAGCAAGATGGAATCAGTCATGCTAGACTTCTCTCACTGTCATAATCTTTGCAAAGGTGGTTTCAGATTTTTCAGATTTTCTGACTAGGGATGCTTAACCTATATGAGATAAAACTTACCAACTTAAATTCATTGGCTTGCATATTTTTAACTTGTAAAATGAAATTAGCTTTCTATACTCAGTTTTCAAAACTAATAGAGATGTCTTAAAATTGAATAAAAGAAAGTAGGAAAAAGAAAGAAGTCCGGGCGTGGTGGCTCACACCTGTAATCCCAGCACTTTGGGAGGCTGAGGTGGGTGGATCACCTGAGGTCAGGAGTTCAAGACCACCCTGGCCAACATGGTGAAACTCCGTCTCTACTAAAAATTCGAAAATTAGCCGGGTGTGGTGGTGCATGCCTGTAGTCCCAGCTATTCAGGAGGCTGAGGCAGGAGAATTGCTTGTGAGTGAGCCGAGATTGCACTACTGCACTCCGGCCTTGGCGACAGAGCGAGACTCCATCTAAAAAAAAAAAAAGAGTCCAGCGTGGTGGCTCACACCTATAATCCCAGCACTTTGGTAGGCCGAGGCGGGTGGATCACCTGAGGTTGGGAGTTGGAGACCAGCCTGACCAACATGGAGAAACCCCATCTCTACTAAAAATACAAAATTAGCTGGGTGTGGTGGTACATGCCTGTAATCCCAGGTACTTGGGAGGCTGAGGCAGGAGAATTGCTTGAAGCTGGGAGGTGGAGGTTGTGGTGAGCTGAGATCTCACTGTTGCACTCCAACCTGGGCAACAAGAGCAAAACCTCGTCTCAAAAAAAAAAAAAAAGAAAAGAAATATTATTTTTTGTTGTTTGTTTTTCAACTTGCATAGCCTGGGTTAAATGCAGCCAGTGAGTAATAATGCAAGTCCTCAATCATTCAAGACAAAACTAAATTGTTGTCTTTAGTGATACAAAGGAGAGTGACCAAATAAGAGCTAGGGAACTGAGAGACTTCATGGGATGCATACAAGCATGGAACCCATAAAACAATCAAAACCATGAAGAGGACTATCAGCCAGTTATAGAATCTTTATTTCTGGAAGACTACAATATTTGCTTATCTAAAGGGATGGACAGTATCTTCTCTCATCTCTTTCAGAGCTATTATTTGATCTGAAATATTACAAGGCTATAAAAGGATTTTATAATGTTTGCATGCCATTTTAAGAACACATATAAACAGTGTATTTAAAATCTGTTATTTTTATACAAAGTGATGGTAATTTGTTAGGTATCGCTAGAAATGCTACCTTAAATTTACAATATTTGGTTTGTCTATTAAACATTTATGCTCTTTTTTTTTTGAGACAGAGTCTTGCTCTGTTGCCAGGCTAGGGTGCAGTGGCGCGATCTCAGCTCACTGCAACCTTGGCCTCCTGGTTTCAAGAAATTCTCTTGCCACAGCCTCCCCAGTAGCTGGGACTACAGGTGCGTGCCACCACACGCAGCTAATTTTTGTATTTTTAGTAGAGTCGGGATTTCACCATGTTGGCCAGGATGGTCTTGATCTCTTGACCTCGAGATCCGCCCGCCTCGGTTTCCCAAAGTGCTGGGATTACAGGTGTGAGCCACAACACCCGGCCCTTATGCTCTTTTAAGACCGTAGTTTTCCAGCATTTCCTCCACTGCCTTTGGTTAGACTGCCTGCATTCAAGCTTCCCTTCCTGAATTTTCTGACTTAGCAAGCCTTTTAACTTCGGTGTCTTAGGTTGTTTTAGGTTAAATGTTCTGGGAAAGAAGTTAAAAATGGAACTCATGCTATTTTTCACCCTAACCACCTATATAATCACTATCAAGTTTCTACCCATGAAGAATAGTATTTCCAAATACTGACACCTTTTTCTGTTATTTATTTAAAAACAAACAAAAAACAAAACAACAACAACAACAAAAAACCAACCTCTTCTGATTACAGGAGAAATGTGCTCATTTTAAGAAATGCACACATTACTGAAACGGGTCATATAGAAAGTTGAAGTTCTGTGTAATACAACTTTTTGAGGTAATAATGGTGGAAGTTTGGTGAAACACTTAAATTTTACAGTTTTATAATCTACAAAGCCATAATGTATAGAACTCTGGATATTCACAGTATATATTTCTAAAGGTTGAATTCCTTATATGCCAACTTCTGTGAAACTACACTTATTTTCACTCTAGAGACTTAACCTTGAATCGTGAAATCTGCTCACGGAGGGCTTTTTCCACTCCCGGCACAGGCTAGGCATCTGTCTTATAATTTGGCCTTTTATCACTTCACTAAGGACTTCTTCCACAGTCTTTGTGAGAGCTGATTTTTTTTTTTTTTTTTTGAGACGGAGCCTTGCTCTGTCGCCCGGGCTGGAGTGCAGTGGCGCGATCTCAGCTCACTGCAAGCTCCGCCTCCCGGGTTCACGCCATTCTCCGGCCTCATCCTCTCCGAGTAGCTGGGACTACAGGCGCCCACCACCAAGCCCCGCTAATTTTTTGTATTTTCAGTAGAGACGGGGTTTCACCGTGTTCTCCATCTCCTGACCTCGTGATCCGCGCGCCTCAGCCTCCCAAAGTGCTGGGATTACAAGCGTGAGCCACCGCCCCCGGCCTGATTTTTTTAAAATTTTTTTTATTTTACTGATTTGATGGAGTCATTGTTGGGATCAATAAAATAATGCGATAATTTCTTCAGAAACCATTGTCATCTTTAGATGTCCTTGGTGTTGGACAGTCTTGGGCTTTGTATTGCAGGTTATTATTATTTTTTATTTAGCTGGCGGTTATTCAGAGCCAAGTCTGGTGAATATTTTGAATCATGTTGGTTCCCTTCCAGATATGGTCAAAGATGAGGTGATATCTACTAGGCATTGAGACTGTTTGTCTTGAATGTCTTGTTAACTAACTCTCTAGATAATTCCAGTGGAAATACTAATGTTTAGCAGTGACAGTATCAATTGGAATATTGCCTATCTTGACAATTTTTTTAGACCAGTGTTTTGGAAGTCTTAAATTTGTAGCTCATTTATTGAAAAATCAATCTACTTGTTTTACTTCATTGTCATTGCTTTGACACTTATAAAGTAATTATTAAATGTAAGGTGAATGTTACTACTATGCATGGATTGTTTAGCAAATCTCCTGTTCAAGGAGCAGATTTTTAGTCCTGTTGAGCCTGCCCTTCAGGAAGAAATGAAGTGAGTGGGGCAGTGTTTTTGTGTTTTTCGGGAGGGCTTTCCTTTTACTCAGGTCTGCTAAAAGAATGCAAATCGCTTCAAAACAGTCATCATTCTCCCTTTCTTTGTGGCCTTATGTGTTGGTCTTAATCTCCTCCTTTCTGTCTTTTTGTTTTTGTTTTTTTCCTCAGTAAAGAGAGTCAGGAGCCTGCCCTTTCCTCCCTTTCTCTCACCTCACCTCCAGGGTGGCCTGAGAATTGAGGAAGAACCTTAAATTCTGCTCTTTGTTAAGAGCTCTGATAACTGGAACTGTTGGAATATTGCTAAAATGGGTTTTGGAGATGTTCCCTACTCTCCCTGCCTGCCATTTCCACAGATTACTGAGGATTGGCTCTGTTGCCAAATGAGGCTGATATTGAGCCTCAAATTTTGACCCATTTTTCATCAAGTTTGTCTTAATATAGAAGTTGCAAGATTTAGTAGTGCAGCAATTATTGTTCTTATAGAAAAAGTCAACTGCATGTTTGCTGAATTCCATCTCTTGGGCTGAAGACAAAAGAGTTTGTGCACAATATTCGCAGTCCATAGTGTTGTAAGCAGGAATGTCTGCAGCAGCCAGAGAGTTCAGGGCAATGTTTTTTGACCTGAAACAGTTACCTACCTAGCAAATGTAATACAAAGCCTAAGTATTACTTTCTATGGAATGTGGGGTGTTTCATAACTAAACAAATCAGTGATGCTGGAATAATATGCTTTAAAAAAACCTTACAAATCTATATTTGAGTGAATGAAATGAATGTTAGAAAGTTTACAATTTTTATGGAAAGCTGGTAATTTTAGGTTGTTGGGTGGAGGAAAAGGAGGGCAACACACTTTGCTAAGTTACTTGAAGTTCCTGCCAGTACTGCTGCCTTCTCCCAAATGATTAAAAAGTCGAAAGCAACTTTGTGGCAATTTAACAATGATGGCAAATACACAGAAATGCAGGGAGATCTTTCATTTAGGCTGTCAAAGATCAGTGGGAATTAAGGCACCTTTGCATTTACATATATAATATGAAGCACCTTTTGTTTTATATTTCACAAATTCTAATGGACATTTTATTTATAATGAAACATGAATACTACTGCCAGGATATTCTAATGAAAATGATCAGCTCATTTTCAAAACCTTAAAATAATGAACATAGAAATAATTTCTAGTGTCTAGTTCTGTAATCTTACATTAAAATAGTTTCTTGGACCTCCAATCAGCCACAATACTGAAATGACAATGCCAGAATAGATAACAGAGATGCAAAATGATTTCCAGTTAATGACATTTTATCTTATTAACGTAAGTATTAACATTTTAATCTACCAGAGGAAAGAAGACTCAAATATTAAAAGAAGAATTCTCTGGAGCAGTTTACAAACATTTTGGGAAAACAAGGATGAAGCACAGGGACTGGGAAAAGATTTCAGTGTTTCTCTTGTTCACATGACAGAGTAGCAGTCAAAATACACCCCTGTGATTTGTCGCATCTGTTAGAAATGCTGCAGTAGCTAAAGGGACGTTCCCTGGCTTTGGTGAAGAAATAAGTAAACAAGCCAGTGTAAAGAGAAAACCCTGGTTAGTGATCAGAGGCCACATTCTCCAACCCCTGCAAGTTCTAGCTTCGTGTAATGCCAGAAAGAGAGAGGTCAAAAGTCTGAGAGAACTTTTGTTATGAAAAGTGTTTGTTTGTATTTTTAAAATTTTGGATAACATAATCCAGTGCTTTGGGTACAAAGGTTTGAGCAATCGGCACCATTTTAATAATGCATTTAGTAGTCGCAATGCATTAACACTTAAAGAGATAGAGTCTAAAATGCAGTTCATGTACACATTTCACAGTCTGCCTGATATTTATTAAGACACACCTTCTTTTCCCTAGATACCTTTTCTCACTATTTCTGTCTTAGGTGGTTACTCATCTCTCCTCACTCTTACATGTAGTGTTTTAAAATTTCATATATATGCCCAGAGGACTCTTGGCATTTAAACAAGTTTCTCTACATTAAAAACAAAAAGTCTGTTTCTGAGTTATAGAAGTTATTTAGCTCCTCTGACACATAATGCTACATCAGCTTCAGGACAATCAAATATAGCTGCTTTTAGAGACAGCAGAACTAAAGCAGGAGCCGGTCTGTGCATTTTTGCATGACTCACTGAGATGTATTGAAGGTCTGAGTCTCATGCAGAATTTAACCCTCTCTTTCCTGAGACTGATGATGTTTTCATATAATCTACACTTCCTCTTTCAAATGGTGAAGGCAGACAAGACCCCCAACATTGGGAGCTGCTTTTGATTTGAAAGAATGTAAGTGATAGAGGACTCAGGCTTATGTATCTTCTTTTGGCTCAAGTGTGCATTTCTCAAAAAGAAGGTCTATAAGGAAAGAGGCAGCAATGATCAGTTTGTTAACATGTCAATATTGTGCTCCTATGCTACCTTCAGGTTTCTCTTTTCATTGCAAAACTGGCCAAGTTTTTTTATTTTAGTAGAGACGGGGTTTTACCACCTTGCCCAGGCTGGTCTCGAACTCCTGAGCTCATGTAGTCCACCCACCTGGGCCTCCTGAAGTGCTAGGATTACAGGCATGAGCCACCGCGCCTGGCCACTCTTTCTTTTAAAATTTAAAGATAAAAATATTTTATTTAAGGCCAGGATCATATGCCATTTTAGAGGGGACAAAAACTGAAGATGCTATAGGGAGAAAATCTGTTGAAATACTATTTGAATAAGATGAATATATTTAAAGCTAGAAGGCCAGTTACTTGCATTTTAGGGTAGTAAAGAAATTGACCAAGTTTATCAAAACACCATTGGCTATCCATCTTGAAAACGCAAAGAGTATTACAAAAGTGCATAAAACTGACAAAGAGCCCAAGGCGGATCAATACTTTTAGAAAATGGAGAATTATGCTTTAGAAAGCCACAGACCTGAAGTTTTGCTACTCTTCTTTCAAAAACTGTTTTCCAGAAATCAGTCTTAAAACACTAAGAACAAAATGAAATCAAGCAAGGCAGAACCAGCCCCAATTAAAAATTTGACTTTCAGAAGAGTAAAAATTTTGTTTCACCTAACTTTATTTTTTTGAAACGGAGTTTTGCAACCTCCGTCTCCTGGGTTCAAGCAATTCTCCTGCCTCAGCCTCCCGAGTAGCTGGGATTACAGGCATGCACCACCACCCCGGCTAATTTTGTATTTTTTTAGTAGAGACAGGGTTTCTCCATGTTGGTCAGGCTGGTCTCGAACTCCCGACCTCAGGTGATCCACCCACCTCGGCCTCCCAAAGTGCTGACATTGCAGACGTGAGCCACCGCACCCCGCCTGTTTTACCTAACCTTCACATGGACAATGCACTCAAGCTGGTACAAAATTCAAAAGGTATAGAAGGGTGCATGTAGTGAAAAGGGAACCTATCCATTCCCCACCTCATGGATAACAATGACAGCCTCATTTTAAGTACATTTAGAACAAATAAATGAAAGGAAATCAATAAATGTTATTTATTTTGTCTGAACAAGACTTTTTTAATTCCATTCTGTGCAAAATATTAATTAAAATTGGAACAGTATGTTCTCCATCCCTGTTTTTCAAACTGTTGGTTGCAGCATGATTAGGGAGTCATATACAGACTTTTGTGGATTTCATGTTAAAAAAAAAAATCAATTGTTATAAGAGAACACACTGTTTTGTAAAAAAAAAAAATCTTTTTTGTTGTGCATATGTATTTACACACATATATCCATGTGTACTCGGTCTCAATATCAAAATATTTCTTACAGTTACTTATGGTCAAACTGTTTGAAATACTTGTATTTAATTTTTCTGGTGTGGCTTTTCAGACACTCTGGAAAGCAGAACTAAGAAATGATTTCTGGGGTATATCTAGGAAATGTCACCTCAGTTATAGCCCAGAAACAACTGTGGCCACAATTATGAAGACAGTGTTTACACTAAGACCATGGATGGAACCAGGCTTCTGGATTCAGTAGCCTCTAAATTTAAAGGGGTTTGCCAGTACTTGGGAGATGTAAACAAAAACAGTCAATAAAGCATTCTTTTTTTTTTTTTTTTTTTTTTTTGGAGATGTAATTTCACTCTTGTTGCCCAGGTTAGAGTGCAATGACAGGATCTCAGCTCAATGCAACCTCCACCTCCTGGGTTCAAGCAATTCTTGTGCCTCCTCCCAGCTACAGCCTCCTGAGTAGCTGGGATTACAGGCATGTGCCACCACACCTGGCTATTTTTGGGTTTTTTTGGTTTTTTTTTTTTGAGATGGAGTCTCGCTCTGTCACCCAGGCTAGAGTGCAGTGGTGCAATCTCGGCTCACTGCACGCTCCGCCTCCTGGGTTCACACCATTCTCCTGCCTCAGCCTCCCGAGTAGCTGGGACTACAGGCGCCGGCCACCACGCCCGGCTAATTTCTGTATTTTTAGTAGAGATGGGGTTGCACCTTGTTAGCCAGGATGGTCTCGATCTCCTGACCTCGTGATCCGCCCGCCTCGGCCTCCGAAAGTGCTGGGATTACAGGCGTGAGCTACCGCGCCCGGCTATTTTTGTATTTTTAGTAGAGACGGAGTTTCACCACGTTGGCCAGGGTAGTCTTGAACTCCTGATCTCCTGACCTCAGGTGATCCACCCGCCTTGGCCTCCCAAAGTGCTGGGATTACAGACATGAGCCACTGCACCCGGTCCAATAAAGCATTCTTAAAAGTGTTAAAATATGAGACAAATATTATATGCTCTACCATTATAAATACAGTCACCTGGGGGACAGACTGGATCCTGTGAACAATTGAGCTCTCTGGGTCTTTGGGAACTAAAGAAGAGAACAGAAGGGCAAATAGTATAGGACACCAGAAGGTATGTTTGGAGTGGGGGTGTCTTGTCTTCTGCCATCTACTACCTATGTGACATTAATTTAATAGTTTGCTTAGCCTCACGAAGCCTCAGTTCCCATATCTGTTTAAAAAACAAACACGGGCTGGGCGTGGTGGCTCATGCCTGTAATCCTAGTACTTTGGGAGGCTGAAACGGGAGGATCACTTCAGCTCAGGAGTGCGAGAGCAGCCTGGACAACATAGTGAGAACTCCTCCCTATTTAAAATAATAATAACTATTATTCAAAAGAAAAAAGAAAAAGAAAACACACATTAGAATTTAAAAACTAGAAAGAGAACACTTGTTTTGCAGGATTGTTTTGATGATTAAGTTAGCAGAAAACATAATATGCTGACTAGCACATTGTAGGCCCTCAACAAAATGTACATTTCTTTTCTTCTGTATGTGAACTCATTGAAATAAACTTCAGCTATAACCCCTCTTACACACACACACACACACAGGCACACACACACAAAATCACATGTAATCGCAGATGCTCGTACCCCTACAAATTTGTAACCATCCAGCAGTATTTATCTAATGTCCTGTAAATATAGCACTACCAAACTCTAAAATAATTTACCAGTAAGTGCAAATGGCTCTGTGATAGAGAGGCGGCAATCAATACATAAGTGGATAACAGTGTGGACTTGAGATCTGCCACCGAAGCCACTGGGCAAGTTATTCAACCTCACTGTCACTGTTCTACAGCTTCCTCATCTATAGCATGGTGAGAATTTTTTTTTTTTTTTTTTGAGACACAGTCTTGCTCTGTCACCAGGCTGGAGTGCGGTGGTACGGTGATCTCAGCTCACTGCAACCTCCACCTCCCGGGTTCAAGCGATTCTCCTGCCTCAGCCTCCTGAGTAGCTGGGACTACAGGCACGCGCCACCATGCCCAGCTAATTTTTGTATTTTTAATAGAGACGGGGTTTCACCATGTTGGCCAGGATGGTCTCGATCTCTTGACCTCGTGATCTGCCTGCCTCAGCCTCCCAAAGTGCTGAGATTACAGGCGTGAGCCACCACACCCGGCCGAGAATATTTAACTACCTTACTGGTTTGTGTGTGTGTGAATTTGAAATTATTATACGTAAAGTGCTGGGAATGTTGTCCAGTATTAAGCAAAGTTCTTCCTGTCACCTAAGTGGCAAAGCGATGGCAAGGAAATTGGTTACTGAAGGAAAGTTTCCTATGGAAGTGCAAAAGTAAGGCTTTTGTGAGATTTTAAGGTGGAGTTAGTGAGAGACTATCAGAAAAGATGGAGAGATTTTTATTCACACTTGTGTGCCATTGTTAAAGATTCCTTTTAATACTCTTCATGTTTAGTTTGGGAAGTCTGTGTGCTTCTTGTGTTTAAAGTTACTGACTGATACGCTTACTTTTGTTTCTAACAGTTTTTTATGTTTCTTTTGTTTCTAATGAAATATGCCCATTAGCTGTATTTTTTGGTGTTTGTTTTTCGTTTTTAAAAGGAGGGGCACAAGAATGATGTTTCTAAATTTCTCAAGTTTAATTCCAGGCCAAAGTAGAGATAGATAGATAGATAGATAGATAGATAGATAGATAGATAGATAGATAGATAGAAAGAAAATATTTTCTGACTGACATTCTGACATTCCATTCCAGTCCTTTAGATGTTAGACTACAAACAATCACAGGTGAATTCTTTGGCAACTTAAACCTGTTTTCATAGCTCAGGCTTTGTTTGAGGGAAAACAGTTTGATTTTGAAGGAAATTTTCAAAATTCTCATGAAAGACCTTCAGCAGAATTGTGGATCTTCAATGTGCATGTACTTTTCATAACTCCTATCTATAAAAATCCACATTTGTGAGAAATGGCTGGCTGATAAATGTCACCAGTTTGAGGATGTAGGGGATTGTGGTATGTAGCCATGTTGTTCCCAGCTCACGTGTGGTTGTTGGCCAAATTTGAAGCAAAGAGATACAGCTTCATTCATACTTATGTGTCATTATTCCATTATTCCATTCTCACTGTCACTGTTAGATAAGTCTTCAGCTGTGAATACCACATTTCCCCCACTGTGGTACATTGTATTTGTAACTTCCAAAATGAGCTAGTTCATAAACTACATTCTAAGTTACCCTGGGAGCCCATTTGCTCATTCAGAATATATTTTGAAGCCCATGCCCTTCACCACAGTGCTTCAGGTACAGCCCAGAGTGTTTACACATTTAGTCTCCAGACTAAAGCAGGGGCTTTTTCCATTGACTACTACTAATGGCCAATCGTTTTTGCTCAATTTGCATTGAGTTCAGAAAATTATTAACTATCAAGACCTGGTTAAAGGCCTACTTTTGGGCTTTCTCACAATGCAGAATTTGACTGGTCAATAGAAACCACTCTGGGTATCTCTGAAATGACAGAGATACACAGAATCATTAGCAATGAGAGCATAGTTAGAAATTCAGAAACATATATTACAGGGCAGCAAGAAGAGACCTGTGATACAGAACTTGTCAACTTTGTTGAAGAAATTTGCAAATATATGCATCTGTTAGCGATCAGTGTCCTGACTTAATAGGCAAGTTTAAAATTACTGATTATGCTGATGTGCTTCTGATTTCTTTTTGCAAAACAGATGAGTAGTTTTTATTCCAAAATTTGTTCCAAATCCTATTTTTTGGCAGTGCGCTAGGTTTAGTCACAGTGTGAATAAAGTATGCTCTCTCTGTCTTGATTACTCTGCCTAAAATATCTCAACACAGTGTACATTTGGTCCCTCTTAGATTATTACAACTAATGTTAAACATCAACAACTTCTTCTTTTAAGCTAATGAAAAAGTTGCAATTGACACTCTTATTACCCTTATGACACCTCCCCAAACCCAAGTTCCTCTTCTCAATTCTCCACTATTTTGACTACTCAATACCCTCTCTAGGTCACTTCCTTTGCCTCTCAACCATTGCCTTTTGGTTTTGTGTCCCTCCATTAATGTTTAGAGGACGACTGATGTCTTTCATTCATCTTTGGATAAAGGGCACCATTATTAAATTGGCTTTGCTTTATTCCATGTGTGTCCTGGATCTGCCTCCCCTCTTAGTAGCCAAGGACACATTTCTGAGTTCTCTATCTATGCTTGCCAAAATGGGAAAAAGAAAACTGTTGAACCTGAAGTCTTGTAAGATACGTAACCAATTCAATCCATATTTTTCATATAAGTGATTTTTTAGCGTCCAGTGACTCCAACCATTGGAAGCTGTGGAGTAGATGAAGAGTTGTTTGTGCCTTGTGGCATTTATCTTGGGTATGGTCCATCTGTAATGAATTTGAGTCATGAGATATAAATCATATCATTATAAAGAGCCTAAAATGGGCCAACACGAGAATCTAGCAATAGTACAAGGTGTAATGGTACTGAGAATTTAAGACAGAACTTGACCTCAGTTATTTTCCTTTGGATTGCCAGAGGCCAGTAGCTACATTTGCTCCTCTTGAGATAAGCATTTAAGGATGTTCCTTCAGCCATTGTTGACTCAAATTAAGCATTGCATGAAGCAGCATTCAACCCTTAGGAAAAGTTAGTTGAGTTGCCATCTTTAGGGATCTAAGATGCTGGAACAGTAAACTTTCAAAAAATGCTTTGATGCTCAGATTTAACAAAAAGTTAAAAGAAAATAAAGCCCTTAAAAACAAACCTAATACACTTATCATTGTTGTATTAGTATGAAATGTTGTTTCTTTACAAGCCTAAAAGGAGAGGTCATTATTTTTGTAGCTTTCCATAGAATAAGGAGATTGATACTTTATAATGTTCTGGAAACCAGATAGATTTTGAAGTTTTGAAAAGGTTCAGTGGTGGTCATCATGGAGTAGTTGAGAATTGTCTAACTAGAGTGGGGTATTGACTTTACAAATATTTATCAAGTACCTTCTGCATCCTTAGCACTCTGTTAGGCACTAGGATATGGGGAGCTTGTGATAAAGAGATGGAAAAGATAGTGGCTCTCCCCTCAAAGGTGTGTATAATGTATTAAGGTACATAATGCAAGGAAATGAATAAAAGGGAGGGTGGATTACTGAGTCTAGTACCTAAGCACACACAACCCATTTCTGGGGGAGAGGGTTGCAGGCAGGGCTGGCTACATAATTTGCAGGGCATAGTGCAAAACAAAAATTCCATTGTTCAAAGTCGGGCAAAAAGTACCATTAAAAGTACTAAAATATAAAGTTTTATCCTCTGCTCATCCGACTTCACTTACAAAACACAAATTCAGAGATAAAATTATTAAGAATTTCAAGATAGTAACAGCAGAGTACTAAACTAAGCCCAGAGCCCTTCTGAGCCTGGGCCCCTTTTGAAAGTGGGGTCTTAGGCGACTGCACAGTGGCTCACACACTCATGAGGCCAGCCCTGGGTACAGGGGTGATTCCTGTGAAATCTAATATGTCAGCACTAAACCTTTTTTCAAGGAAGGGTTTATATAGAGAAATTTGAACAAGTTTGTACAGATCAAAATGGATATGTTTTGTTAGGTATATGTTTTATTTATTTCCCTTTTTTTGGTTAGGAATTAGGGACAGGGATTATTTCTTATAAGGGAAGACAGAGACTAGGGTATGAAAAACTCAGAGGAAGTATCAGACTTGGAGAAATATAGTGATACTATATGTACCGCAGAGACAGGCTGGGTCATTTGTTAAACTTTAGTGCAGGATTTGCCATCCAGGGTTTTGGTACCCAAGGTGGCTTAATATTTATGACACATCTTTCTACATCAGTTGTTACATCATTCTCTCCTTTTTCCTCAGTTTCAACCCTTCTGAAGGGTAGCTGTTTGCCTCACTCAGTATAATTTCACTGATTATTCCAGATGTACCCTAGTTGTGGTGAGAGTCTATCCAGGCGTTATTGCAGGCAGACGTGATGTCCATTTATTTATGTAGATTACCACCCTCACATGCAGCTAGTGACCAGAAGAAAGGTTTTCAAAAGATTGAAAACTTCTAACATAGAGTTGGTGTTTTTGTTTTTTGTTGGACAATAGTCAGGGGAGAGAATCTGTAGCAGATTCATTTCTTTTCCTTGGCCTAAAAGCCTTGCTGGAGCCTCCTCCAAACTTAAAAAAACTAGAGGAAAAGAAAAGAGTGTTCTTTGAATCCATAATACATCAGTCTGCAGTGTAGCTTTTCTTTTTTGCTAATTTTTTCTAAGGAAGACCCTCATGGACTCAATATAGATATGAGTGAAACTGCTGTCTCAAAAGCCTTTTATTAACTAGCTGCTAAATTTTATGACATTTTTTCTGTCTACTATACCCCACCCTTCTCTGCTTCCTTTTTTTCCCTTATTTTTTTCCTTATTTTTATTTTTATTTTATTTTATTTTTGAGACAGAGTTTCACTTTTATTGCCCAGGCTGGAGTGCAATGGCGTGATCTTGGCTCACTGCAACCTCCACCTCCCGGTTCAGGAGATTCTCCTGCCTCAGCCTCCTGAGTAGCTGAGATTACAGGCATGTGCCACCACGCCCATGTAGAGATGGGGTTTTCTCCATGTTGGTCGGGCTGGTCTCGAACTCCCAACTTCAGGTGATCCGCCCACCTTGGCCTCCCAAAGTGCTGGGATTACAGGTGTGAGCCACCGCACCCAGCCTTTATGTATTTATTTATTTATTTTTATTTTTATTTTTTTGAAATGAAGTTTCACTCTTGTTGCACAAGTTGGAGTGCAGTGGCACGATCTTGGCTCACTGCACCCTCCACCTCCCGGGTTCAAGTGATTCTCCGTGCCTCAGCCTCCCAAGTGGCTGGGATTACAGGCCCGCACCACCATACCTGGCTAATTTTTTGTATTTTTAGCAGGAACGGGATTTCACCATGTTGGCCAGGCTGGTCTTGAACTGCCGACCTCAGGTGATCCACCTGCCTCGGCCTCCCAAAGTGCTGGGATTACAGGCATGAGCCACCACGCCCGGCCTTCCACTTATTTTTGAACATTTCTTTTTGTTTGAAGTTCCCTTCTTCCTGAGCTTATTTTAGCATTGCACATGCCTACTTGTTTTCCTACATTTCCTTTCACTGTCTTCTTCACTCAGTTTTCTTTTCCTCTCTATTCCTTGAGTATAGACACTTACCGAATGTTGGTCCTACAGCCTTCTCTTTATTCTCTGTTCTTTCTACCTAGGAGATTTCTTCCACTTCCTGGCCCCACTCTTGACAGCATCTCAGTGTTGATGTCTCTGTCTTCTGACTCCAGATCCAAATGTTACTCTGAGTGTGCTTAATGTGAATGCACCAATGCCCCATTAGCCCCCACATCCCTTCAGCATCGTCATGTTAAATAAATTCCTTATTCCAGTGGGAGTTTACTTATTCTGTCTCCTCCCACTCATGTCTGCTATTTGGGACATCCCTCTTTTGGTTGGTGTTGCCCTGGTTCTCATTGGCACCAAACCCAATTCCCATGTCTGTCTCTCCTTTTTAGACCATAAGCAGGGACCAGGCCTTTTCATTTTGTAACTGCTGCATGTAGTACAGTGCCTGGAACACAGCTCAGTAAGTAACAAGCTGATTGATTCACTGAATTAATATTGAACGGCTTCTCTCCCACCTCCCAGTTAGTTCTCAAAGACTTTTCATGCCCTCATCTCTTATGTAAATATTCCACTTTTATTCTTTTGCATCTCTAACCTTCCCTTTATGTTTCTGCCAGAGTTGTCCTCCTTACAGAAGTCCCTTTCTGTGCAGGGCTGTGCCTTATTCATCTTTATATAACCCAAGTGCTGAACCGCAGTGCCTTGTATACAGTAGCCACTTAAAGGTATGCTAAATTTGAGCGGAGCTAAGAAGGAAGGAAAGAGATGTGAGGGGTGACACATTGAAAGGAGGATTAGAAAGATAAAAGGGGAGAAACTAAAGGGCTGAGGCCAGCCAGTCTGTCTGTAAACATTCCATTAGTCCTGGTGTTAGATTGGATAAAAGCTTTTTTTTTTTTTTTTTTCCTGATGTCCCTGGACACTTCTCCTTTGGAAAAGAACGATACATTATTCAAGAGATGGGAAAAGCGAGAGAAATAGGGCTCAGTCCCCCTCACAAAAATCTGGTTCATAGAACCCAGAATTTTGGAGCTAGAAAATGCCTGAGTAGAGCCCAGCTCTCATTCTGCAGGCAAGGAAACTGAGGCATGAGGAGGTTAAGTGGCTTAGCAGCTAGCTAATGGGAAAATCAGCAGTCAAACATGAGTCTCTTTCTTCCTCTCCCAGCACATCCATCAGTAAATCACATTTTCTCTTTTCTTGGTGGTGCAGGCCAGTGTTTAAGGTGAGGGATTATGATTACTAAGAGACTAGGCATTTTAAAGACCCTTTGCTAATCACAAATTTTTGCAAAGTTTACATCAGGCTCTTTTTAAAGGACTCAGCATGGTGGGAAATAGATTAGTGGTTTTACATTTCTTTTTTTTAAGTGGAGATTTCCAAAGCGTCCCTCTTTTTATTTTCTTTTTAAAATAAAATTGTACTTAGCATAATTAGAGAAACAGATTAAAGTGGAATTGTTCTGGCTAAATTGGAGGTGAGGACCATAAATTCTGCTTGCTGCCCCCTTCCCCATTCACCTCCTTCATCCTGCTCCTGGATGCCCACTGAAGAATCTGAAAAGTTTCTTAGAGAACACTTTTTATCCAGTTAATCAAATGACCTCCAAGGTCCCTTTCATTCTCTCATGCTATGGTGCTGAGATGATGTAGTCTGTTGCCATTTGGATCATTATTGAAAATTATCAGGTGATGAGGATTTAGGGAGAGTGAAACAAGAAGTGGTGTGGGAAGGCCTGCTATTCATCAGGAAATAAAAGGTACCCTTAATTTGGTTTTTAAGAAATAGTCAGGAAAAGAGATTGATAGGGCAGCAGAGAGACTGTCTACTGCTTGGAGATTTTGAATGCTGTGGCTAGAGTGATAAACAAAGACAACTCTTAGCAGTGGGCACATATCAAGAAATGAAGAACGACGAGCCCAGAGTTGAGGAGCTCAGATTAGGGAACTCTTCTGAGCTCAGGACATAAAGAAGAAGACAGATTATTTGGAGAAAAAAGTTTGAAAGGTTTTTGTGAACTGGATTTATAATGTAAAGGACAGAACTTTGTTGAGTTGTTTTCCAAGGTTCAGCAAACGAATTGCATTTCAGCATAAATTTGTCAAATGGTAGATGAGAAATGTATTCTTCACCCTATTGAGGTAGTAATGTTGGAAAGAGATCTTGCTGTACGATACAGGAGAAGGAAGGTTTATTAAACTGCACAGAATGTCTGCAAGTCATCCCACATCTCTGAACTCTTTCTTCCCATCTGTAAAAATAGGAAGATTATAATTTTAGATATGTTGAGCCTGTGTCCATCCCAGTGCTCCTGCTCCCTTCTGCCTTCAGGCGTAAGGTACAGGTGTAAGGTGTTAGCCTACCATTATTCTCTTTTTATCTAGGGTCTCTTTGGATCAGTAGTCTCTAACTAGAGACAATACCATTCCTACCTAGGGGACTTTCACCTAACCAGCCTCAGAAACCTATTTTTAGGTAGCAAAAGAAAAACATTTGTCATATAGACCTAGATGTTAGCTGCTTGTCACAAGCTGAAGGGGTGTTCTCTTTTTTTTTTTTTTTTTTTTTTTATGAGACAGTCTCACTCTGTCACCCAGGCTGGAGTGCAGTGGTGCGATCTCAGCGCACTGCAACCTCCGCCTCCCGGGTTCAAGCAATTCTCGTGCTTCAGCCTCCCAAGTAGCTGGGATTACAGATGTGCACCACCGTGCCCAGCTAATTTTTGTATTTTTAGTGGAGACGGAGTTTTGCCATGCTGGCAAAGCTGGTCTTGAACTCCAGACCTCAGATGATCTACCCGCCTCAGTCTCCCAAAGTGTTGGGATTACAGGTGTGAGCCACTGCACCCAGCCTGAAGGGGTGTTCTAATGTTGAGTATGATCACACATGCATCAGCTCTGTTCTGGTACTCGCATTTCGTCAACCAGAGGCTCCCCTCATAAATGTCAGATTAGTCCCAGGAGACACTAGTCTGCAATCTGATTTCCCTTGCCATTGTCCCCAGCTAGGCGGCAGAGCTGAGTTTAACTAAAAGTTTAAGAAAACTGGGTTTTTTGCTCACCCATCTAGCTGAACATTCTCCTGAACATCTGCCTGAACATCCTCCTCTGAAGAAGCCAATGAGAATTATTGATAATGTATGAACCCCCAGGAGACAAACCTTTTACAAATAAACTGAAAGACAAGGAAGTAAAGTTATATACAGTTATTAAGGAACACTCAACCACCCCTGCTTTTTAAAACCACATAATGAAGCTTTAGCACATTTCACCCTTATTCTGTTTTTGTTTCTGTTTTAAGCTAGAGACTCTTTGGGTCAGTGGTTTCCAACTGGAGAAAGTACTTTTTTGCCTAGGGGACTTTGGGGAACGTATGGGAATATTCTGATTATCACTATAACTGGGGTCACTGCTAGCATTTTGTGGGCAGGGGCCAGGAATGCCAGGACAAGGCCAACCCCCGAAAAGGGAGAATTATCATATCTTAAATGCCAGGAGCATCCTCATTGAAACACTGAGCATTTTAATGAAAATGTACTCTTCCTTTGCCAAATTTTCTTACTGATAAACTATGATAAACTACTCTTGAAGATGAGTAATCTATAGCTATTTTGCTTATTTGGACCTTAGTAGTGTAACTGTTTTCTGACATTGGACACTCAATAAGTGTCTGCCAAAATACTGAGAATTATGAGTAGTGAGGCATCAAATATTTAAAACATATTTCTGTTTTATACATAAGCAGTATAGTCATTTTTAAAATCATTTATTGCACACCCCTAATGTAGACAAATGTTTATAAAATATTATTTGAATTAAATGCAACTGCACACTCACATCATTTAAAAAAATCCCCAATTGCTTTTTTTTTTTTTTTTTTTTTTTTGTGACGGAGTCTCGCTCTGTCTCCCAGGTGTGCAGTGGCACAATCTCGGCTCGGAGCAACCTCCACTTCCCGGGTTCAAGCAATTCTCTGCCTCAGCCTCCTGAGTAGCTGGGATTACAGTCACCCACCACCATGCCCAGCTAATTTTTGTATTTTTAGTAGAGATGGGGTTTCACCATCTTGGCCAGGCTGGTCTTGAATTCCTGACCTCGTGATCTGCCTGCCTCGGCCTCCCAAAGTGCTGGGATTACAGGCATGAGCCACCGCGCCCAGCCTCCCAGTTACTTTTAAAGAATGTCTTGGCACCCATTAAGAAAAGTAGATGTTTAGACCAGGTACGGTGGCTTATGCCTGTAATTCCAGTACTTTGGGAGACTGAGGTGGGAGGATTGCTTGAAGACAGGAGTTTGAGACCAGCCTCAGCAACATAGTGAGACCCCTGTCCATATAAAAAGAAAGAAAAATAAGTGTTGATTTGAGGTTTGTGTGTTTTCATTTAAATGGCTCTAATATTAATATTAATGGCATAGGACTTTCAAAATAATTTAAAAAAAATTTTAAAACAAGGCAGCTGGTATATGGCCTACATTTAGATGTGAGTTGCAGTTTTTAAATGCATCTTCACTGTTGGTGGTCTCAGCAAAGTCAGTTCAGACATGGCAGGAGTTAGGGATTGGGAGGAAGAAAATACAATTTCATTTTCCTCATGTTAAATGTACATTATCAAGGATCCAGTTTAAATGTGTCTAAGTTAATTGGAGCCCCTAGGAGCCACTTTGCTAAGCAGCTAATTCAGCCTCTCTTCCCCAGAGAGGATAATTGTTGTTAAAAAACAAAAAAGTAAAATGTGTTGTTTTCTCATGTAATTATGTAACTGACATCTTTATATAATAATACATTTGGGTGGTCTGTCCCTGAAACACTCGGTTTGTTAGGAAACATTACAGTTTCCACAAGTAATCACTTACTCCTAAATATGATGAAAGAATTTGGTAGTATTACATTGCATCATTGCATTAGTCAGAAGCTAAACTTTCTAAATGAGTTTGGCACTGGAGAAGGCTTCTAGGTTTTTTGCTATATTTTTCTTAAATGTCATTATATGAGCTAAAATATTCTTCAGGTGGAATACTATATGACGGAATGTTTAAAAGTAACAAAATACCAATCTGTTAAAGAAAAGAGCAAGGGTCCCAAAGTGGCATCTTTTCAGTAATTACATTGTGATATCCTTATCAACGTGGTTATTCCAGTCTCTTTCAGCTCATTCATTTACCCCCACTGGATTGGGTTAGGACGCATGAACTTACTTGCCATAGTGAACCACAAATATCTTGACAATGGACACACTGCCATTAAAATGGAGTTCATTTTAATACATGTTGGTAATAAGGTTCTGTGACTTGCTGATTAAAAAATGCCACACTTAATGAAACTGGAATTTTCCCTTTAATTCTATTCTTCTGAGACTAGACTGCCTTGGTCCTGAGGAGACACCCATCCCTAATCCCAGATTCAGCCAGGACCTGACTCTAACTAATCATGATGGCTGATTATTCCACCTGAGGGCATGTTGTTAAATTGCTATTACCTAGAATTGTGTGGGAGGCTTTTGCAAAGTAGCAGAGAGAGGAAAGAAAGTGCACAGACAGATAAAACTCTAAGGAGGGAGGAGAACCCCAGGGCAAAAGCAATATGAGGTAAACATGCAGAAAGCTGAAATAGGCAAGGTAAAAGGTGCAGAAAGTTGAAATAGGCAATGTAAGGACAGAGTTTGATTTCAAAGATAGAAAAGGAAATTGTGAGATGATTGCAAAACTGTCATCATCATCATTATCTTCATCATTCCTTCTTTATTTTTTAGAGACAGGGTCTCCTATGTTGCCCAGGCTGGTCTTGAACCCTGGGCCCAAGGGATCTTCCTGCCTCAGCCTCACAAAGGCTAGGATTACAGGCACGAGCTACCATGCCCAGCCCAAAACTGCATTCTATGACTCAATCAGTGGTTTATCCTCAACAGCAAATAGAAATAAATAGGCTATGCTCAAAGGAAAGAAGAGAGTTAACAGTTTGGTTCCAAGGCTAACGACTAGGAGTGGGATTATTCTATCATTAACAATCTGCACTGTGTTTCCTAGACGAAAATGTGTATCAGGTGAAATGACACATTTCTACTTAACATCATCCTAAATTAGTGCTTTTAATATCTTTTTTTCCACAAAGAAATGGCCACATTTTTTAACTTCTTTTTTTTTTTGAGAAGGAGTTTTACTCTTGTTGCCCGGGCCAGAGTGCAATGGCGCCATCTTGGCTCACAGCAACTTCCACCTCCCGGGTTCAAGCGATTCTTCTGCCTCAGCCTCCTGAGTAGCTGGGATTACAGGCATGCGCCACTACGCCCAGCTAATTTTATATTTTTAGTAGAGACAGGGTTTCTCCATGTTGGTCTGGCTGGTCTCAAACTCCCGACCCACCTCGGCCTCCCAAAGTGCTGAGATTACAGGCGTGAGCCACTGTGGCTGGCCTGTGACCTTTTCATGCAATGTACCAATACTGTACAGCCATTGTGCCTAAATATGTGATATCTTACACATTTGAGATGGATGGGCATCTAACATGGTAGAGTCCATGACATTGTTGGTACTAGACATTAGGTTTTATTACAACACAAAACGTTAGTTATTTGAGAAAATAAAAATGTTTTTTCCTAGTATAACCTAAATGGAATCACATGCCAGATACAAAATTGTGAAAGCAAAGGTGAAATTTAATGGAATACAGTTTAAAAATGCATTTGGGTAGGTACTGCCATAAAAGTATTGCCTTTAAAATTGTAACCTAACCTGGAATGACAGTGCTTTTAACTAGGTATAAGATGTGTGTAGAAGCAAGTATAGATTTCCTCTGTGTGTGTTATATGTATACTGAGCAGGTATTGAAGTGTTATGACATTGTTCAGTCATTCAGGAAAATGGAAAGTCTACTTGTCTTTATTTAAACTTGTAGTTCCCAAACTGTATACCAGGGCACCCAAGGGTACCACAGTCAACTCATAGGGGATGTTTTAAATTTTAGAGGAAAACACAGCAATGTTTGGTATCTGTCAAGTACCCAGTGCATTACTAGATTGAGGTAGTTCACAGCTTCAACATTAGATGGCGCTACATTCCTTTTGACGATGTCATATCTTTCTAAGGTTGGGTTTTTGGAGGTTAACTTGATACAAAGCAAGTACTGCATGGCAACAATTTGGTATGGGAAATGAAGGCAACTCTATCCAATATGATTCCAAGATTTGAGAAGTTGTGCATACCCGAAAGGTGTACGCATACTTTAGTGAGTAGTTGTGGTTAAGAATGAAATAAAAATATACCTTTTTTCTTTCAATTTATAAGTATTATTTTTTTCAAACTGCTACCAAGTTATTAGGACAGCTCCTTAGTAGTTGTTTGAACGTAGGTACTTAATAAGTTAACTGTTAGGTATTTCTTTTGGCCTAAAGACACCACCATAGTGGGAGATTAATCACTCTCCCACTACGTGGGAGATTCATGAATCAAGAAAATTTGGGAACCTCTGCTGAAAGTTAACTTGGTGTCTTGGAGTTGAATCAAACATGTCTATAGAAGATTTTGTGAATAGAAGCATACTTCTGATCTTGCTCTGTTCTTCCCCACCTGATAGGGTCAGCTACAGAGCCAAGGTGTTTACACTCATTGCTTCAATTGCCCCCCGCCCCCCCTTTTTTTTTTTTTTTTTTTGAGATGGAGTTTCGAGCTTATTGCCCAGGCTAGAGTGCAATGGCGCAATCTCAGCTCACTGCAACCTCCGCCTCCCAGGTTCAAGCGATTCTCCTATCTTAGCCTCCTGAGTAGCTGGGATTACAGGCGCATGCAACCACACCTGGCTAATTTTTGTATTTTTAGTAGAGATGGAGTTTCATCATATTGGTCAGGCTGGTCTCGAACTCCTTACCTCAGGTGATCTGCCTGCCTCGGCCTCCCAAAGTGCTGGGATTACAGGCGTGAGCCACCGTACATGGCCTGCTTCAATTCCTTTTATATCAGCTGTTCAACAGCAAATAGAGACACCATGCCCCGGCTCCCTTTCATTCTGTTTAGATCTAATAGAATCTATATTCCCTACCAAGTATAACAGATGCGTTCCTAAAATTTGACCATAAAATAAGTTCCAGTACATTCAATTCAGTTATCTCATTGGCTTCCACTTCAAAAATGGAATTATACCCATGGGGTGGGGGTAGGGAGTGAGAGGAATTAGACTATATGAAAAGACTATATTAAAAGCAAATATTTCAAAATCAAACATTCAAAGAGAAAAAAAAATAGTGTTTCTTTGTTAAGATATTCGGAATAAGCCACAAAAGGCAAGCACATAATTAGCACATAATTTCAAAATTTTTTTGAATTTTGAAAACAAAATTCAAAAAATCAGTGCAGCAAATAAATTAGAGGTGCTTTTTCAATTCATAAAATAATTCTTCTCTTGCAGAATCATTCATAAGAGGGTTCCCTGTGATATGAGCATCCCCAGGGCATTTAAAATATGATTCAATTTTTAAAAATTCTATTTGTACCCAGCTTTCTTCAGAAACACAACTTTGGTTTTAAACAAGGTGCATCTGTTTCCAGAAAATGCTTTCCCATGGATCTGTGTGTAGAAGGGTTGTATTGCATCTGGAGATCACACTCAGCTCAAGTCAAGATTCTCTTTGAACGCACCAAGCTTAGGAGCTAAACTGTCTTGGCTGTGTGCTTGTGTTTGATCCTGTTGGGAATGAAGCTAATTGTTTAAGAATTTACATCCTGGTAAGGCTGTTAGCACTTTAAATTGATTTGGTATTTTTAAAAACTTATTTAAGATTTACTTATACTGAGGAACCTGGCTTTCCCTGAACTAAAAAGAAGAAATTGTATTTCCAGATTTTACCTGGCTTATCATCTGCACAAAATCTACTCTAGGAGCATTCTTTTATGTAACAATTGCAGTGGGTTTTACATATTGTCTTTGTAGCAATATGATGTGTTTTTTTTTAACTATTTTTTTTTTAGAGACAGGGCCTGGCCCTGCTGCCCAGGCTGGAGTGCAGCCTGGCTCACTATAGTGATCCTAGCTCACTATAGACGACCTGGGCTTGAGCGATCCTGCTGCCTCAGCCTCTCAAGTAGCTGGGACCACAGGCGTGTGCCACCATGCCCAGCAAATTTTTAAATTTTTCAATGGGTTTCACTGCATTTCCCAGGCTGGTTTTGAACTCCCAGACTCAAGTGATCCTCTCGCCTCAGCCTCCCAAAGCGCTGGAATTACAGGTGTGAGCCACAGTGCCCAGCCTTGTGCTTTCTTTAAAACTTTTTCATGCCTCCCAACGTGCTAATTACTGCCCTGTTCTTAATCTAGTCTTACACAACAAAGTGCCCTTAAAACTGTTTACATTCAAAGTGCCTTTTGCATAAGCATATCAAAATTCTTTATAAACACTAATTAATTCACACTATTCTGTGGAAGGAGTCGCTCTCATTTTTCTTTTCAAAATAAGGCTTTTGGTTCTTTGGCATTGTGTACCTGTCTTCCTACAGAGAAAAGTTATCGTCAGTTTCTCAAGAGCAGAGAATCAAACCTCGCAGAACTTTATAAACCTCACTTAGCATTGAGCTTTACAAACAAGGGGATACACACACCCATACACACACACACACACACACACACCCCTCCCTGGTAAGGGTTTGTTGAGAATGAAGATATCACACTTCATATTCAACAGTGGGTAGATATATCTAAATATCCTAGAAGTCTATCTCATGCTCAGGGTGATTATTGACTCACATTTTAAGAGGAGCCTGAGATGAATCTTTTTTGTAAAGCGAGGAATGTTTTTGAAATTTGAAGAATCACCGTTTAGTCAGTTACCGGATAACTAGACTTTAAAGTGATAACTAGACTTTAAATTTGGCCATAGGTGCATTTAACACACGATCATAGAATAACATTGAGTGTTCCCTTAATTTAGTTGTCTATTATTAATAAATGCCAGATAATTTAGAAATGTTATTTTTTATCCTTCAATAGCTATACAATGTATATTTTATTTTCTCCATTTTACAGAGGAGAAAATGGGACCCAAGGATGTTAAGTACTTTGCCTGGTGGGTGGTAGAAGCAGAATTCCAGCCCAAGTCTGACTGACTGCATAGTCTGGACTCTTTCAATTATCCATTCTCCTCCCCAAATCCTGTTATATCTGCAAGAACCATTTAGAGGTTATCTAGCCCATCAGCCTTGCAGATAAGGAAACCAAAACTCAGAGACACATAACTTGCCCAAGGTCACCTGGTGTTCAGTTCTTGATGCCTCTGAATAACCTTGAAATATGCTCAATAGATGTTGCATATTTATCTCAGCTGATTGCAGCTTTTCAGAAATTCACCACTCCTCCCCAAAGTTGATACACTAACCATTATGCTTGGTAGTACTTAGAATTCTAGGGAACTCATCTATCGGCAGCACCTCTGGACTTGTATTGAGGTTTTCTCTCATCCTTTATATCCTTACAGGCTTATCTTCTTCAACTGACCTACTTCATGTTCTTGCTACAGTCTACCATTAAAATTCAGATAAACAGTATGCTGTAAAATTGTCTTTTGGAGAGTATCCTGGTCATTTTAGGCACGCAAAATGTATTCAGTAATAAATTAAAGATCTTGATTCAATACTTGATTCAATACCCTATAAATATTAAATGTCAACTCATTCTTTTTTATCCTGTTCCTAATGATGTGTATTCTTAACCCTTTAGAAGCTAACATTTAATGAGCAGCTGTTATGCGTCAAGAACTATAATAAAGCAACTTGTAACTCAACTCACCTGATTCTTCCAATAACTTAAGTGGGGGCTATTGTCCATGTAGTTTTTTTCAACTATAAAGTTGAAAAGATCTTATCTCAGAAAAGCTTTTTTTTTTTTTCTTTTTTTCTTTTTTTCTTTTTGAGACAGGCTCTCACTTGGTTGCCCAGGCTGGAGTGCAGTGGCACAATCATGGTTCACTGCAGCCTAGCTAGACCTCCTGGGCCTCAGTGATCCACCCATCTCAGCCACCTGAGTACCTAGGACCACAGGTATGCACCAACACATCCAAATTATTATTATTATTATTATCATTATTATTATTTTGTTGTTGTTGTTGGAGTTGGAGTCTCACTCTGTCGCCCAGGCTGGAGTGCAGTGGCCCGATCTCTGCTCACTGCAAGCTCCGCCTCCCGGGTTCATGCCATTCTCCTGCCTCAGCCTCGGGATTAGCTGGGACTACAGGCGCACGCCACCATGCCCGGCTAATGTTTTTGTATTTTTAGTAGAGACGGGGTTTCACCGCATTAGCCAGGATGGTCTCCATCTCCTGACCTCGTGATCCGCCCACCTCGGCCTTCCAAAGTGCTGGGATTACAGGCATGAGCCACCGCACCTGGCCCCAAATTATTTTTTAATTTTAATTTTTATTTTTGTAGAGATGGGGTCTCCCTGTGTTGCCTAGGCTGTTCTTGAGCTCCTAGGCTCAAGTGATCCTCCCACCTTGGCCTCCCAAACTGCTGGGATTACAGGTGTGAACCATCGAGTCCAGCCTCAGAGAAGTTAATTTCTGAAAGGACCCAAAGCTCTATTCTAAATGGAAAGAAACTTGACTTGAGCTTCCCTTCTTCTTTAAAGAATCATTAACCACAAAATCTGTAATCTCTCTTTCTCACTCTCTTTAAAGATGATAAGATACTCAAAATAATTCAGAATGTGTGAGTTGGTTCTCAAAAAAAAAAAAAAAGTGAAAGGGGTTTGTGGATGGAAGCCCAATTAAAAGCTTAAAAGGATTGGGCCTGTGCGCATGCATGTGTGAGCCTTTTCTGCAAATTATGTGGAAGGACGAGGCTAGATCTAGATGAAGAGAAAATGAATACAAGACACCCCTCCCCACCCCACCCCCGGCCAGATGGACTTAATTAAAAGTTTGTCAGCCTGGCTACATAGTTCTGGAAGCAGTTCAATATTCATTTCTACATTTACACAAAATCTCTAGTATACTTCATTGTTAATGTACCTTCTAGGAAAAAGATGACCTTTTCAAAACATAACTTGGGCCTCTTGAGCCATATCTTGAAATTATATCATGTTCCTGCCTAGACACCATGGAGGGCTTTCTACTGCCCTTGGGATAACTGCTGACTTCCCTTCAGCCATCTCCACTGCCCAGTTTCCATCCTCAGTCTCTGTCATTGAAGACTTGGCCATTCCAGCTGTACTAACTTCTTTTGTACCACCCTACCCCTTCTAGTCTTAGATTTAAATGTATATATATTTCTTTTGTGTTCTCCACATTGCCCAACATTGTACTGGATATTCCTTAATCCCATCCCCTCTTTGTTTATGACGGTTCCTCTGTTTGCTCCCGAAATCCTGCTCTTGTAGACTCTCAGCCTCATTAGCAAAGGACTCTGTCAGGCTTCTTCACTATTGTAGCTCCAGTACAGAATGTGATACATAGCAGATGCCTAATAATTTCTTTTCAGTGACTGAATGAACGAAAACTACAAAGTTGAAACTCTGTCTCTGTGAAGCTGTCCCATTACCCCAAGTTAAAAAATTACTTTCTCTTCAGAATTATTATAGCAATTCCGTGTTCCTCATCTGATTCTTCAGTGTTTGCCAAAGCATAGTCAGAGACCACCTGCATTGGAACCCTCTGGAGTGTTTGATAAAATGCAGATTCCTAGGCTGTACCCTAGACCAGTGTAATCCGATGTCTGGAGTGGAGGCTGGCAGTCTACATTTTAACACAGATTTTAGCTCACATTAAAATTAGAGGCATCTGATCTGAACTCTTAGCTCTGTTAGAAGTGCTGATGAAAAGCAAAATAACAAAAGATGGTCAAAATTGAAAAATAAATTATTTCTCCCAAAATAATTATCAATTGCCTTTTTGGTTTATTTTTGCTGGTTTTTATTTTCTCTCTAGCAGTATATTGTTTGTTCTAAAATCTTGCCTGAAACCATTTGAAAGTTGAAGTCATGATCACTTGAAAGAATGACAGAACATAGGCAGAAACATAACATTCAGGGTAAACTATATGTTTGAGAGTCAGGGCCGAAAGAAGGTAGATAGGTACTCTATTCTTTTATTTAGAACTTCTGGCAGAATTGTAAATGAGAGGAGAGGAAAAATAAAACACTGACTAATTGGATGTGGACATGTGTTCTCTTAGCTCTGTGGTTACAGGGAATTAGTGGTGATCAGATTCAAAGACTAGTGACACTGGGTGTCATCCCCAAGCCCCACCGAAAAATTCCTACAGAGAGACATCAGGCAGTGAAGGCTGTCTTTTGAGTGTCTGAAAACGAGAAAGTCAAATCTGGGGACCTTTGGATTTGGGGATGTTAAAGTTGAGTATACGGGGGTTAATTTTGTCGGTTGCTCTACTTTTGTGTGTATTTGAAAATACCATAAAAAAGAATGATCTGTTGTATACCCATGTTTGTAGCAGCATTATTCACTGTAGCTAAAACGTAGAGGCAACCCAAGTATCCATCAGCGGATGAATAGATAAGCAAATGTACTATATATACACATGCAATGGAATGTTATTAAGCCTTAAAAAGGAAGGGAATTCTGACATATGCCACAACATGGATGAATTCTGAGGACATTACGCTAAATGAAATAAGGCAGTCATTAAAAGAGAAATACCTTGTGATTCTCTTAAATCAAGAATGCAGAGTAGTCAAAATCACAGAGACAGAAAGGATAATGGTGGTTGCCAGGGTTTGGGGAGAGAAATAAATGAGGAATTACTGTTTTATGCATAAGAGTTTCAGTTTTAAAAGATGAAAAGAGTAATGGCGATGGATGGTGGTGATGGTTGCACAACATTATGAATGTATTTAATAGCGCTGAACTGTACACTTAAAAATGGTTAAGATGGTAAATTTTATGTTGTGTATTTTACCACAGTTTTTTAAAAAAATCTGAGCCCAACCTAATAGGAGATAGGGGGAGGAGTGTGAGAGTGTGAGCAGAGGGAGTGAGGATGTGGGAAGAAAGACCTGCTGTTCTTGGAGGAGGGGAGTGGTGGAAAAGGTTGATTATGTAGAATTGGGAGCACCCTTGGTATTGTGAGTACAACATTTGCATGTACTCACCCTCTATGTAAACACATGGGCTAGAATCTGGCTATGTAGTTGTTCCATTCTTGACAATAATTTAGATAGTGAGCTTTTTACATAGATAAGTAGAAAGTTCAATATTTAAAAAGTGACCCCCTTAATTAGGTCCTGCTATAAATGAAGCTGGATTTTACATATGTGAGGGTAAATTGGCAGGATAAACAGCCATAATTGAAGGTCAAAGGAAGTGGCCTAGCTACAGGTTCAGTCCTTTTCAGTTCTGAATCCTACAAAGATTGCAGGAATCACTTTGAAAATGAAGAAATAAGTGGGGAAGTTGGGCTGAATGTATAAATAAGGGTTTTCTCAGTAAATTGAAGGCAGAATAATCTAACCTTAGCAAAGAAAAAAATATAAATTAACACAAGGGGAAAATAAATAGATGGTAAGTAAAATAATGTATTTGGCTGGAAATGAAATTATTATGGTAAATAATAGTTATTACCAGGTAATACATTGACCTTGAAAAAAGATGGAGGTGGTTATTGTTGATGATGATGTTAATTGTAGAGCAGTGGGAAATGGAAATCCTAAAAGGCATCACTCTATCAACTAAATAGGCGTTGGGGCCTCAAAAGAGGTTTTTTTCATTACCATTATTCTCAAGCCCGTGGAACTGAATTGAGTAACTCTCCAGAACATAATGTCAAAAACAGAGCTTATAGATTGAAAGCAAAGGAAAAAGCAAAAGAAAGGGAAAAGCAAGCAGGATAAGAGAGATGAAGGGAAACTGAGAGCCAGGGTTTATCTGCATCAAATAAGACCACACCAAGAATAGTGTGTTCAGCTATGAGCAGCTCAACTCCAGATGTGGAACAGCTGGAGAGAGTTCAGAGGAATGCAGCAAGAAAAGAATTAGACCAAACAAAGAACTGGAGAGCATATAAAAGACAGCAGGCTTTGAGAATGAGTCCATGATATGAGTCCTTTTCTAATTTTTATGGCAAGGGTTAAGAAGTATAAGAAGTTATTTTATATATAGTTCAATTTTCCCTTAATATCCAGGGCGGTCACTCTCTAAGTATGTGAGTGCTTGCAAACAGACCAGAAGAAAAGTTTGTGCACATAGCCCGGGTGGACCTTGAGCTCTGTAGTGAAATGGGATGCAGTGAGGATAAAGAGAGCATAAATGGAAGCTTGGGGAGACGACTGCGGGAGTGCGGGCTGTCCAAATGACTGGATGGCCTGTGGTGGGAGGGTTAGCAGTTCCATCCTTGGAGGAGCATTAAAAGTATGCTGAACTGGTCCTAGAAGTTTTATTGTTGGGAATCATCCGGAGTCTGGCAGAGGACTGCGTGAGATTACCTAATGGGTTTCTTCCGTCTATTTTCTGTGATTCATCCACCCTAGCCTACGGCAGTACATGGTTGAGTCAGTCGAATGCAGATATCTCATTAAAAGGGGGAATTAAGGGCTATTAAAAATGATTTGCTGCTACTCCCAGATTAAAGAAAGTAGACCAATTTACAATTACAGTAGCTATGGTCCAAAATAAAATGCAAATTGTCAAAATGCAACAGTTATAGGGAAACAGGAGTGAACCAGAGTGCACCTTCTCTGGCATTGTTTTTAGAGAATGGAAGGCTGAAAGTGACATTGCTGAGATAGTGTGATTTAAGCAGCCTTCCCCCACATGCTTTGGAGACCAGAGTCCCCAAACTGAAAATTTCAGAAGTTTCTTATAAATGGGTAACATAAATTTGGAGAGCAGATCCAACATTGAATGCTGTTTTCCTTTAAGATGCAAGAGGATTAAGTCAATTGATGATTTTTTTAAAGAAAATTTATTTTTAAAATATACTTATGTACAGCAAAGCACCCTGATAACTCAAAGCAGGTTTACAAGTTTTTCAGTAAAAATCTAGAAATTGGATAAACAACACTGAATTACCAAATGATTATACAGTCTCTATCTTAACAAAAACTGACCGCTGTTTATTATCTACATAATACTATACGCCATACTAAAAAAGACTAGGAATCAACTGATTCCATGACTGGCAGTTTACATAAGAAAAAACCGCTGGGTGCAGTTTACAAGAAAAAAATAAACAACTGCATCAAAAACTGGACAAAGGATATGATCAGACACTTCTCAAAAGAAGACATTTATGCAGCCAACAAACATATGAAAAAGTCATCATCACTGGTCATTAAAGAAATGCAAATCAAAACCACAACGAGATACCATCTCACACCAGTTAGAATGGTGATCATTAAAAAGTCAGGAAACAACAGGTGCCGGAGAGGATGTGGAGAAATAGGAATGCCTTTACACTGTTGGTGGGAGTGTAAATTAGTTCAACCATTGTGGAAGACAGTGTGGCGATTCCTCAAGGATCTAGAACCAGAAATACCATTTGACCCAGCAATCCCATTACTGGATATATACCCAAAGGATTATAAATCATTCTACAATAAAGACACATGCACATGTATATTTACCGTGGCATTGTTCACAATAGCAAAGACTTGGAACCAACCCAAATGCCCATCAATGATAGACTGGATAAAGAAAACATGGCACATAGACACCATGGAATACTATGCAGCCATAAAAAAGGATGAATCCATGTCCTTTGCAGGGACATGGATGAAGCTGGAAACCATCATTCTCAGCAAACTAACACAGGAACAAAAAACCAAACACCTCATGTTCTCACTCATAGGTGGGAGTTGAACAGTGAGAACACACGGACACAGGAAGGGGAACATCACATACTGGTGCCTGTCAGGGGGTGGGGGGGTAGGGGAGGTGTAGCATTAGGAGAAATACCTAATGTAGATGACAGGTTGATGGGTGCAGCAAACCACCATGACACATGTATACCTATGTAACAAACCTGCACCTTCTGCACATGTATGTATCCCAGAACTTAAAGTATAAAAAAAGAAAAGAAAAAAAAAAAAGAATGTTTAAAAGCCCGGGGTTATCAAGCAGTGGGAAAAACCTGGGAGTGTTCAGTCTTGAACTAGCTTTCATTCCATTTCTGAGGCTTTCAGAGTCATCCAGGTTCTCCTTACCTCCTCCTTAGTGTTCTCTCTTGGTTCCAAGATTCCGCTCTTGAAACCTGCCCTACTCATAAGCCTCAGGTAGCTTCCTCTTGCCTATACGAAAAGTGTAAGCTCTTTGCCTAGCTTTGAAAATCTTCCATTATTTCTTTTTTCTTTTCTTTTTTTTTGAGACAGAGTTTCACTCTTGTTGCCCAGTCTGGAGTGCAATGGCCTGATATCAGCTCACCAAAACCTCTGCCTGCTGGATTCAAAGCAATTCTCCTACCTCAGCCTCCTGAGTAACTGGGATTATGGGCATGCACCACCATGCCTGGCTGATTTTTTTTGTATTTTTAATAGAGATGGGGTTTCTCCATGTTGGTCAGGCTGGTCTCAAACTCCCAACTTCAGGTGATCCGCCTGCCTCAGCCTCCCAAAGTCCTGGGATTATAGGAGTGAGCTACTGCGCCCCGCATGATTTCTTTCAAGAGTTCTTGCAGATACCACAAATTAATGTTTTTCGAGTTTTTAAATTAGGAATCCTTATAAGTGATTATTTTTATGAGAATTGTACTGAAATATATGCACCACTGCTCACAGAGTATCAGTTGCTTGCAGACTGTGTTCTCTGAATCCTGTGTGCTCCCAGAAAGACTCAGGCACTAGAGTTTCCACTCTTTCTCACTCTTATTCGATGACTGACCCTCAGGGTGCCTTCTGGCTTACCCTATATCCAGCATTGCACTGGGATAAAATTTAATAAAACCAAAGGATGACTGTCCTAAGGCAATAATTAATACCATTCTCACATATTCTTTAATTGATGTTTACTAATATTTATTTTATCATTTTTCACTACCCTGTTTAAAAATAAATAATAATGATTAGGAAATTCTGTAGGATTTTTTTTTCTGGATCTAGTTATTATATCTTCAGTTTCTTGAAATATAAGATTCTCCTCTGCCACTGTGACTAAACCGGGGTTCGTTCTGAAGTAACTGAAGTTTGTTTGAATCTAGACCACTCCCCTGTGCAGTCGGGTTCCTTCAGTAATTCCCTCTGGCAAAGGGGGCAGGGCAGTTTTTTTATTGTGTTGCTTTGTTTTTTTGAAACTGGGTCTCACTCTGTCACCCAGGCTGGAGTGCAGTAGCAGGATTATAGCTCACTGCAGCCTTGAACTCCTGGGCTCAGGTGACCCTACGGCCTCAGCCTCCCAAGTAGCTGGGACTGCAAGAATGAACCACCATGCCTCGCTACAGGGCAGTTTGAGAGAAGCCTTTGGGTGTATTAGTGAGGTGCTCTGATTTGGAGTTTTCTTTTCCTTAAACATTTGAGATGAACTATCTTCATCTGAGGAAATAAGATTCAATGCTGTAATCTTAGCCCCTTGTTACTGCTTTCCTCTTAAATCTGAGGGTTTTTTGAATAACTCACAGTCCTCAGTTCTTAGCTCTGTGGGATTAAAAGTAAATTAAAGTGAACAAATGGAGTTAAGCAGGTATAGAGAACTAAATTCTGATAATTTCTCACATGTCTCCATCCACCTCCTGTAATTTAACGATTAGTGTCTTCTGACAAGAAAAAACTGTGTTTGTATTCTGGGTAGGTATAGTTTAGCGCTTAAAATTGGGGCCTAAAGTCAGGGCTTAAGCATCCATCAGACCTCTGTGTAAATTTTATGTTTGCCACTTGTTGGCTGTGTGTGAACTCTTTCCTCATCTATGAAATGGAGACCTAACACCAATTTAATACCTTAATCATAAAGAATCAAAAAAGGTAATGCAAATTAAGTGTTTAGCACAATGCTGGCACTGCTTTGATGCTACTTAAAAGAATGACTGCAGATTGCTTTTCAAACTAGTACTAAGAAATGGGAAAATGGAAGATAGAGATAATGAAGTATGTCTTTGAGTTGCTTTGGTATTTTTGCAAAATAGGTGTTGGAGAAGATACATAAGGAAAGCAAAAAGTATAATTTAGGAATCATAGGTTTATTAGCCAATGAAATCAATAGCACTCAAAGGAATAAATAAACTGTATGTTCAAAATAGTAGTTGAAGAAAGAAACTAGAGTCAAGACTTTAGGCCAGGTTCAGTGGCTCACGCCTGTAATCCCAGCACTTTGGGAGGCCAAGTCAGGTGGATTACTTGAGGCCAAGAGTTTGAGACCAGTTTGGCCAACATGGTGAAACCCCATCTCTACGAAACATACACACACACACACACACACACACACACACACACACACACACACACACAAAAGACTTTAAAGACTTTCAACTGTGACTGAGGCAGAGTTGCCAAGCAGATGCTAAACAAATTATTTTGGCATCTCTTGCTGGGGAAAATTCCCCCAGTTTTATGTGTCAGTCACTTAATGGGAGGACATGTTGGTATAGTGAAGGAGTGGGGCTTTAGAATCAGGCCAGCCAGAATTGTCTCCAGCCCTATGACTGCTTCTGGCACCTCTGCTAAAAATAGGGATTAAAAGAGGTTGCTATAGTATGAGATTTTTGTTGTTGTTGTTGTTTAGGTTTTGGTTTTGTTTTGAGACAAGGTCTTATTCTGTTGCCCAGGCTGGAGTGCAATGGTATGATCGTGGCACACTGAAGCCTAGACCTCCTGGGCTCTAGTGATCCTCCCAGTTCAGCCTCTCCAAGTAGCTGGGACTACAGGCACATACCACCATACCCAGCTAATTTTTTTGTTTATTTTTTTTGTAGAGATGAGGTCTCACTATGTTGCCCAGGCTAGTCTCAAACTCCTGAGCTCAAGCAATCCACTCACCTTGGCCTCTCAAAGTGCTGGGATTATAGGCGTGAGCCACCATGCCACAGCCCATGAATTTTAATGAAATATATATATAAAGACCAGGTACCTAAGAAGTGATCAATAGATGGTAGGTATTGTAACGTATAATAATCTGTGTTTGCTTCCCCTGTTGACAGAGCAGGTTCACTCACTTCTAGATGTGCTGTTCTGAAAGCATAGACTCAGAACAGGTAGCGCTCAGGAGTAACCTGACCCACAGAGTAAAATGAGAATACTGACTCCCTTGATAAAGACACAAAGTCTCTTAATGTAGCCATGTCTGTGTGGTTCTGGAAGTTAATATTCTACCCTTACAAATTTGAACCACTTACTGTATGATAATGCTTTATATTTTATACAACATTGTATTTACAAAGGAGATTTTCAATATATTGTATAAATACACTTTTCTCATTCCCTTTGTGAAAAGTATAGAAACTTAACCTCAATTGGTTGTGCTTCTCCTTCCACTATTTAAGTGGCCTTTTACAAAAGTTGGATCTTGAGGTACTTTGTTACTTTCTATAAAATATATATGTGTGTGTATATATATATTCTTATATGAACGTTTCTCAGAATACTGGACTTTAGCATACCTCTTGCCTGCTGTGATGCTTCTTTTATTTCTTTCTTTTCTTTTCTTTTTTTTTTTTTTGTAGAGACAGGGTCTCCCTGTGTTGCTCAGGCTGGTCTCGAACTCCTGGCCTCAAGTGATTCTCCCATCTTGGCCTCCCAAAGTTCTAGGACTATAGGTGTTGAGCCATCATGCTTGCCCTGTGATATTTCTTTTAGTTGCTGTGACAAATGGATGACTCCGGGAGTAGATAGTAAAACAAGTTTCGGGGAAGCTAAGGAGAGATTTCAACATTCAGTCTTTAGAACATTAGGGTGGGCATTAAGATTTGATGTCAGGAGTCTCTTATTCTCATTGCAAACCAAGTGGTTGCCTGTGACTGAGGAGTTATGTCCCATACATACAGATACCACTATTTCAAATATAGATGAAAATATATGTGAATACCATGTGATTATTAAAAATACAAATTTACCCATAAACATTCCTGAACTGGCAGTGACTTAAAGCATTGTATATTTTCTCAGGCTACAGATACTAAGCAATATACCACTTGTAGGATTCGATTCTTCCCTAGGTTCCTTTTTTTCCCCCTTTCTTTACATTGAAATGTTTGGGAACACATGACCTAGACCTTTTTGGATTTAGGTGTTAGCTGGAGACTAAAACCACTAAATAAAGTTTTTGTCTCTTAGATGGTTTTGTGCTAATGAGTCTTTCCTCCTATTATAGGCGAAAAGCCTCAGACCTTCCATTTAAGTGGTGCACTTTGTATCTTTCATCTAAAGAACATAAAATACTTTATAAAACTCCACAGTGATAGAAAGGAGGAAAAGTTGTTGGGGCGGGGGGGCAGAGGACCGGGGGACTTGCCCAAGGTCATACAGGGTACCAGTGGAAGCACTGCATAGAGAGCACCAGATTCTCCTGACTTGAATTCATTGTTCTCAGACCTTGTTTCCAGAGACTTGATAAGACTTTTCTGCTCTAATTTCATCATCAAAGAGCTTGGTTTGAAATACTTACATTTTGTGCTGGTATCTTTCAAAATATGATATCTTCTATCAGCAGGGTCAATCACTTGCCTTAGTTTGTTCTGGCAAAATTGCATGGACTTAAATTCTGAAGTAATATTGATCTATATTCCATAAAAACTCAGACCAGGTATTCATGACACAGATTTGATGGGAACACTTACAGATTAAACAGGAATCATCTAAGAAGTGAAGTTATTACTGACAGCCTTTTAGTTCCTCAAGTGGGAAAAATTACTATGTAAAAGACTACTGTGCTACATTAAAACAAAACAAAACACTATTAGTGGGAATTTTTTTTTTTTTTTTTTTTTTGAGGCGGAGTCTCACTCTGTTGCTCAGGCTGGAGTGCAGTGGCGCGATCTCGGCTCACGCAAGCTCCGCCTCCCGGGTTCACGCCATTCTCCTGCCTCAGCCTCCGAGTAGCTGGGACTACAGGCGCCCGCCACCACGCCCGGCTAATTTTTTGTATTTTTAGTAGAGATGGGGTTTCACCATGTTATCAGGATGGTCTTGATCTCCTGACCTTGTGATCCGCCCGCCTCGGCCTCCCAAAGTGCTGGGATTACAGGCGTGAGCCACCGCACCTTGCCTAGTGGGATATTTTTCTAACCTATGCCTTGAATTTCCTAGTTTTCACATTATAATTTGGAGATAAAAGTTAACAAAACTATTTTGTTAGTCTCTTGGTAATTAATTTATGTTTGTTATAAAAACAAGAACAAATGAAATACAACTGTAGTCCAGAGACAAATCACTACTGGGTATAAATGCTCCAACAGAAAAATCCATGAAGTTCGTTACTGTTCAAAAATACCATCCTTTGAAGGGGCTGCCCGTCTTCTTCAGGACTAAGCGATACTCACATACTGCCAGCTCCCTACACCTGCCTCCCTTGATCTATGTATAGAACTTTCCTTCTAGAAACGGACATTTCTGAACCACCAGCACCACGACCTCAAGCTCGACATGCCAAAAATTGAGCTCATCTTCTCTCAAATGCATTTCTCTTCCTGTTTGTCCCATATCAGTGAATGATGCCTCCATCGAGTAGTCACTTGGGGCAATCTTCTAGACTACGGTTTGGGGCTGCTTGCCAGCCTTGCCCCTCCACATTTGCCCAAGTTATTTTTTTCTGTGCTGGAAATCTACTCATCTCAGTCCCCTGCTTAAAGTTAAGTGGCTCCCCATATCCATTAGTATAAAAGTTCAAGTTCTTTGGCACAGCATAGAAGACGCTCTATGCATAGAAGCCCCTCATCACTTATTTCCAGCCACTCTGGCTCATGTGACATCCCAGTGAAATGTTGTAGTTTCCTAAATGGGTGGTGTCACTACCCTGTTCTTGGAGCATGTGCAAATATTATTCCTCCTACCTGCATGTACTTCCTTTCTACTCTAGACTCAGCCCTAGTGCATTTTTGACATGCCACTTACTCAGCTATTTTGGTACTCGTGTGGTTGCCTATCACCCCTGCTACACTACCCCAGTAGACCCTCAGTGCAGGGATTATGTCTTATTTGTGTTTTTGCTGCCTGCATAGCATAGTATCTGGGACCTGGAGGGTGCCTAAAAAATGTTTATTAATAGATGAATGAACTAAGGAAACAGGAAATCAATTTCTTTCCTTCCAATAAACAGAACATTGATGGCACACAGGCTAAATCCAGGATGTGCGAATCTTCAATCCTAAAGGTATCATGAGTCTGTGACAGCGGGTAGCTTTCCTTGATAGAAAGGTATGGCCACTTAATATCCTTTTTGCCATTTTTGTTATTATAGCTACACACCCAGATGACGTAGGCAGAGCCAGGGACCCTGGCCAAGCAGCTGTACTGATGTTCCTAGACCTATCAGCAGCCTTAGTCAGGTCAGGTCAACATGTTCTACTCACTCACCCACCTGCAAGCCTTGTGGATGGTTGTGTCTCAACTGGCTTTGGTCCTTCCCCAGAAGAATCATATGACACTTTTTTCTTTTAATTTCTTCAGTTTCAGATTCTTTCTCAATAGGACCCTTGGCATTGCCACGCCCCATGGGCCTAGATGCTCCTAGTATCTTTCCAATGTCAAATAAAGCCAGCAAGTATTGCCAAGAGAGGGAACAGAATTAGATCTGAACATTTCACAGTCCTTTGCATGCTGCTGCTTACTGCCCTACATCATGTCCATGTGAAACACTAACCAAGGATTTAGGGTGCCCGTAAAGGCCAAGATCCTTGAGAACTTCTTAGAGGAGTAGTGTAACAGGGAGGACCCTTTGCAAGTGCTTTGTAGGCAAGCTCTCTTTGAATACAGTGCTTAGATTAATGAAACTGAGATATTTCCAGCAATGGACAGTCACCAAATCAAGTCCCAGCTTGCTGTGACTGGAGGTGTTCTTAGTGACATAGCTAATTGGAAGCTGCTGGGGGATCCCTCAGACATCATTTCTGCCCACCTATTTCTTGTTTTTCTCTTACAAATTGATATGGGAGAAAGTTTAGAGAAAAAGATGGAAATACTTAGAATGGGAAGGAGGAAAGACTGAGGTTGTAGGAGTAAGGAAAAAAAAGGTTAGATTTTCAGGCTGGAGTAGAGGATGTTGGTTTCCTGGTAATCAGGCCCACACAACCACTGCTGTCAGTCCTGCTCATATACCAGGGTTCCCCTCATGCCTCCTTCACAGCACCTTTGTTTACATCTCCCTGAGGTACACATAACCAGAAGACTTTTTATACTGTTGCCGCTCACCTTCTTATAACTGATTACCACCTCACAGACAGAAAGTAGAATGGAGAAGTTCAGTAAAGAAGCCAGAAGATCAGTTTTCTCTCCTAGGTCTTGGATACATCACCTATGATTATCAAGGGCTCTCTCAAGATTCAACCAGATTTTAATTAATTCTAGAATTAGAGTTGCCTCAAATTCTGTGTGCAGCAAAGCAGAGGTTGTCATTAATCCATTAATAAATTGGACATTTAAGATCTATAAGGACATAGTTTTTGTTCTTTATTTTGTTAACTATTAGAACAATGTCATGTTTATTAAATATTTGTCAAGTGATTGAAATACACAAATGATGTTAGACAAGAAGATAGGCTGAAAGTACCTAATATAGTGACCTTTAGAATTCTGCCATTATTTCCAATATCTATGCTTTTGATCTCTGCTCACAGATACATGGTTTCCAAGCAGAAAACAGTGAGCGCAGAGAAACTTCTGTTTGCTTTTAAAATAATTAATGTCTACCAATATATGGCAGAAATTCCTTAAAGGGGCAGGGCGTGTTTTATAGATTACATTTAAGGGCAGATTATTGAGGAGGAAAACAAATCACCTAGTAACCTCATAAAAATGACATTTTTCAGATTAAGTCACAAGTAAAGGAGACTTAATTGACACTCCCAGGCACTTACAACCACTTAGCTGCCCAGGCACTGCCTGTGCTCACTTTCTTCTCCAGCCAGATCAACCTGGTAAGTGTGATCCAGGTCTAAGGCAACTTGCCAAGAGGTGGGTACATGACAGTAGCTTGCTAAAGGGTAGGCTGTACCCAATTTAAAAATCAGTTGAAAAGTTAACATGGGATTTGTTTCTGTGGGAAAACAGAGTCTAGCTTGTATGCAATGTTATTTATGTGGAATCAGTTTCCCAGACAGACCACAAACCCAAAACTCTGTTATTAGTCTCTTGTCTTCTTTTTTTCTGTTTTTTTTTAATGACAGGGCCTTACTCAAAGTCAACATAAAATTTTAAAGACTTTATTATATGCCCACATATACAAAAGGGAAAAATCGTTGAAAATAGCATTATTTATGCATATGATAAATGACTGTATCATTTCAGCTTATACCTTTTAAAATTGCCCGCTCACAGAAACTAAAACATCATTTAACCTCAGTTAAGTCTGTGTATTTTTGTTTGTTTGTTTGTTTTGTTTTGTTTTTTTAAGACAGGGTCTTTCTCTACCATGCAGGCTGGAGTACAGTGGCGCAATCATGGCTTACCACAGCCTGCTGAGGCTCAAGTGATCCTCCCACCTCAGCCTCCCAAGTAGCAAAGACTATAGGTACATGGCACAACACCTGACTACTTTTTTTTTTTTTTTTTTTTGAGATGAAGTTTCACTCTTGTTGCCCAGGCTGGAGCGCAATGGCTCGATCTTGGCTCACTGCAACCTCTGCCTCCCGGGTTCAAGTGATTCTCCTGCCTCAGCCTTCCGAGTAGGTGGAATTACAGGCGCCCGCCACCATGCCTGGCTAATTTTTGTATATTTAGTAGAGATGGGGTTTTACCATGTTCACCAGGCTGGTCTCGAACTTCTGACCTCAGGTGATCCACCTGCCTCGGCTTCCCAAAGTGCTGGGATTACAGGCGTGAGCCACCATGCCCGGCCTAATTTTTTATATTTATTTGTAGAGACAGGGCTTCACTATTTTGCCAAGGCTGGTATTTTTTTGACGTTAAAAAACTTTAAATCAAGTTTATATCTGCTGTAAATTTCCATTCTCTGTTTATTTCTTGGACCTTTATGCTTCGATTTCTCATACTCGGCTGTGCTTTATAAATTGCAGTTCCTTAGCCATCACTGCCATTGTCATCACTAGTAAATAATATTTATTTAGTGCACTCATGCTTTTTCTATAGCAGTTGCTCCAAGTAACATCACAGTTGCACAAACAAGCTGGATATGATAGAGTAAAAAGTAATTAATATTTTTAGAAATTTATCTTCAAGTATCTTTAGGTCATTGCAAACATGAAAATAAGGAAACTCTGCTAGTATTAAACTTGAAATCACTTCCAGTACGTAACAGAAGGCAAGAGACAGACCATCAGATAGATTTTATTCCTATATACTCCTTGACGTTGAAATCTCAGTACAATACCGATATTGGAGGGTGAGACTAATTCTCATTTGTGATTTAACTGTTTAAACAGGTTCATATTTTATGTTCCACAGAAAATGCCTTGACCGGTGATCTCGGTAAACCTGTATAATAATAAGACAGTGATTTCTGGCTCTAAAGTCTCTAGAAGAAAGTCATAATTATAATGTTTTATATTAGTTTGGACACATGTGAAACTGACACAATTCAACTGTTTTTGACGTACAAAAAAAGAAACAAATGTTACCTGGTGCAACCTAATATTTGCTTTGTAAAGCAAGCATAGGAGATATCTGTACTAAGACCCGGAAAGATTAAATGACTTGTTCAAGGTAATAAGGTTAACAAATAGCACTACTTGAATTTTAAAAACCAAGTTTTCTGAGTCAAAGTCCAGCATATCTTCTACTATAATATACTGTGCTACTGGGGAACAAACTAAAATAATGAAAATAATTGTGGTATTGAAAATATGATCCAAAATAAGGGAATTGTATTTTTTTAGGGAGGAAAAATGACTATCAATGCGGGCAGGTGATTAATCATCTGGGAAATTTAAAAGTATGAAGAACGTTTGCTTTGCCTAATTATTTACATTTATGATCCAAGAGGGGTTTTTTTTGTTTAATTTCCACTTTTTTCTTTTAACTCTTTCCAAATTTATTAGGAAATTCTAAGCCTTTACAAAAGTTGAGAGAATAGTATAATGAACCCCATATATCCATTACCAGTTCAACAGTCAAAAACTTACGGATAATCTTTTTAAATCTATATTCACACATACTTCCTATTCCACACTGGATTATTTTTAAGCCAATCCCAAATACCATGCTATTTCATCCATAAATATTTCAGTATGCATAATAGATGATTCCTAATCCATCTTTTAGGCTTATTTGGGAAAATGAACATTGCAATTGTTGAGAAGCAAACAATTAAAAACCTTTAAGAAATTCAGCAAAGCATATGCAAGGGCTGTTTAGAGCTAAAAAATTGCATCACATCAGCAAGAATTCAGTTACCAAATCTTCCCTTTCTGGCCTCTCAGCATCAGATACTAGCTGTAGGTATGCCAAGGCATGCATAAGGAGACTTGTTATTGAGCATGTTGTTTAGGATGTGTGTGCACCAAATATGAAATTTAACATATCATCCAACTCAAGTAATGAAAGGCTCTTCTTTTTTTTTTAATCACTTCATGTGGTGTTTGTGTGTGGATGCCTTTTTAAGAAATAGCTGTGTGTAAATGAATGAGGATAATGTACTCAATAATTTCTAGTCATATAACCTGAACGTTAGTGCTACAGAGATAGCATTGGTCACTTCTGAGTATTTTTGTTATTATTCTTTAAATGCTTTTGTTGTCTAATTGGAAAACTGGTAAAATACTATCATTTTCCAGATAAAGTTCTTGGCAAGTTTTCTCTCTTTCAAACCCCCTAGGACAATCCACAGCTCCATGAAAACATGAGTCAAATACATTACAAATTTCCCAAGGAGAATCAACATCTTTTCCAGCTGTTTGGATAGTCTGTCTAACATCTGACCACAGCCCTCATCTCCCAGTATTGTTCTGGGCTTTTATACTTTAACTTTGATTTGTTCAATGTTATAATTTAAAAATCGAGCCAATAGTTTGAGTCTTCACTTTTTTCTTGAAGACTTATAACTCTTATCATTTATTACTTTTAACATTTATAATTTTTTTTTAAATGCCAGCCACAGAAGATACTGACTCCTTAGGCACTTCTCTTTGATAGTGCAAAAATTCCTTCTTAATGCTATCAAACTTTTCTCTCTCTTTTTTCCTCCCTAGGTATTTTTCTATTATTTATAAAGTGAAATGTCTCCCAACTATAACATCAAAAAGAGCTAAACTTGATCTGATTGATTAGTTTCAGGTTTTCTATTTTAAATGTCTCTTGGCACTAGCCAGTGTGTTTTCATTTATTCAGAAGGAATGCATTTGTGATCATTCCAATTAATCCCTTGTCTGTTTTGTCTGGCATCTGTGTGAAACTAGTTATAATAACTTTAAAGTTTGGCAAGCTGTACAGTAAACTGCCCAAGGTGGGATGGAAAACTTTCAGGGCCCAATGAGTCAACTTGTCCTCCAGCCTATCTACACAAAATCATCTGTTGCGTTGAGTTGTCTCTGTAACTGTTAATAACATTTGATGAGTAGTTCAGGGCAAGAAGGTAAAACCAAGCAACTGTGTCATTAAGAATGGATTCCAGAGTTTTGAGGACCAAATATCAACAAATAAAAACGGAGTTCTCTCTCGCTCTCTCTCTCTCCCTCTCTCTCTCTCTTTCTCACTCATTCTCACTCTCTGCTATAGTGTTTAGGATGAGAGAATGGAAGAGAAGTAAGCTATTGAAATACCTGGAACTTTGTTTAAGCTTTATTCAAAGAAAACATGATTTTGGTTTCAAATGTATGGTAGAAGCTGAGTGATATTTTATGGACTTTTTTGTACCCTCCTGGAGTTGGCACAACCGGAAGACCAGTACACCATTCAAAAAATAATTATTGAAACCATTCAATAGCTATTATGCACCAAACTCATCAAATTATGTTTCATAGTTTTTATTTTCTGTTTTCATTGGCTATCTTTTATCTTTTTTCAAGTAAAAAATGGAAATTAATTTCAAATTTTTTTGCAGCCACATTTGATATCATTTGGGGGGAGTTTCCTCTCAAACTTCATCTATGAAGCCTGTGAGATATTAAACTAGATGCATACTTGTACATGCATCACACTTTGGACTTACTTCTTCCAAGGTTCTCCCTTTTATCCAGCATGCAATCACCTTTACAGTATGCCAAGAGAGTTAAACCACATTTTCATTTACATATGCTCATGCAGTAAATGCAAAGTTTATCTTAATTTATGGTATTTTAAGTGTCCCAGCTCACGTTCCTGTCACAACTTCTCAAACATGGGATTTTTTTTTCTTTTTTTTACCAATAAAGAGTTTTAGCCACTTACATTTTTATTATTGAAACAAAGAAAGTTTTTGTAACCTTCTTATTCCAGAATATTCTAGGCACTTGAGGAAAATTGTCAACTCACAAAATTCAGAGATCACTATCCCATTGCATGCTTTGTAGTGGGTTTTGTTGAGATCATAAAGCAGAAATAGATTTTTTAAAAATATTAAGCATCGAAAAGATGACTGAAAATAGGAACAGACCTGCTTTTATCTGTTTGATAATTCTCTCTCATTCACCAGAACGTGTTTCTAAATTATTTAATCTTTCTCTTTGTTCACTCTGCATTTTGCTCCTGGCAAAATGTGCTGAAGTCACTGTTGTCACATGTTTTTAATTTTTGAGAATCCATCTTTCTAAGATAGACACAAAAAGAAAAACTAACTGCACAGAACACCACATTAAGAGGAAAGTAGTTGAAGTTCTGCCATGAATAGTTACCAAAAAGAAAAAAAGTATGATACTATTTGGCCCCATCTTCCTAACTAGGGAATTCAAATTGTTGAATACCTAATAGTACTTTTGCAAGTATTTCAGTTTTTAAAAAATATGCTATGGTGGACAAAGCATGCCTATTATGTAAATATATAGTTACTAAAGACACTAGCATGTATGTGCCTTTTCTTCTTGTTGTTGTTTGTTTGTTTGTTTTTTGAGATGGAATCTCGCTCTGTCACCCAGGTTGGAGTGTAGTGGCGCGATCTCGGCTCACTGCAACCTCCACCTAGCAATTCTCAAACAATTCTCCTGCCTCAGCCTCCTGAGTAGCTGAGATTACAGGCACCTGCCACCATGCCTGGCTAATTTTTTGTATTTTTTAGTAGAGACGGGGTTTCACCATGTTGTCCAGGCTGGTCTCGAACTCCCGACCTCAGGTGATCCACCCACCTCAGAGTGCGAGGATTACAGGCGTGAGTCACCGTGCCCAGCCTGCGTATTTTAAAAGATATAAGATGTGCCCAGGTAACAAAAAATGTGTTTAAATGCCCTATATCGGGCCGGGAGCGGTGGCTCACGCCTGTAATCCCAGCACTTTGGGAGGCTGAGGCGGGTGGATCACAAGGTCAATAGTTCGAGACCAGCCTGGCCGACATGGTCAAACCCCGTCTCTACTAAAAATACAAAATGAATGAATGAATGAATGAATGCTCTATATCAAGTGGTAAGCCCGTCCGAAGACTGCAGTCCTTCAGATCACTAGGATGCTGCTAATTGAGTAGGACACAGCAGCTTACAGTAAATATTACTTTCTGGCTACTTTCTTATGATAGTTGAAATTACATCTAATTTATCAAGAAAGTGAATGCTTATTTGATTTGGCTATGAAATTATGCTGCTCAGTTTTAAGATGTCTTCATGAACCCAGTCTCAGTGAAGATGTTTCTGTATTTTAGGGTTTGTTTGGGTTTTTTGGCCTCATCCTCCCACGAATGTTTAAAATTAGCTTGGCATTTTAAATCTGTGCTTTTATGTTAGGTCTTAGATAATTATAAAATAGAAGAAAAATTAAGAGCAAAAAATTAGATATGCCAGGTTTTGCTATCTTGTTGAAAGTGATCGATCATCTGAAAGCTGTATAATTTATTTAGACAACCAGTTTTGTAGAGTATCAGTTTACATCATGGTGCATATAATTTTACTTCAGCATACTAACTCTCTCTTATATTAAAGAGACGAAACCAGAAGTCTAATGTCAGCTTAATGCCCCCAAGTTGCCACTCACATCTCTCATTTCTCTAGTGACAGCCAGGCTTCTTGAAAACACTGTCTGTGTCTAACCTCCCATTTTTTCCTTACTCCTCTAGACCTGGAATCTGGCTTCTCACCCTACACCCATCACAATCACTGAACAATAACTGCTTTTTACAGGACTACTTCTTTGGTACTACATTTGGTCCTCACTTCTCTATTTCCCTCCTTCATAGCTTCTTTGGCCCCACATTCAATTGTCTAGTTACTTATCGTGGGCCTCCTCTGTGGATCACTCTTCCTCCACTGCTTCTTACATGCTGATGTTCCCCAGCATTCCATCCCCTGGCTTCTGATCGCTGGGCAAATCTCTCAACATGACCACATGTCCTCCCCTAGTTTCAGCCTCACTCACATGCAGATGATTCCTAGATCTGTCTCCTGAAGGCAGCTCTGTGTATCCAGCACCCTACTGGACACCTCACAAGTCTTAGGTTAAATGTACAAAACTGGATCCATTTTTACCTATTGTTTTTCTACCTACTCTTCTTATTTTCTCAGAGGCAGTGAATAGCAGCACCAACACCAATTCTTATTTTCTTTGTGATCCCTTTGTCTCCTCCCATATCCAGTTTCTAAATTTTATCAAGTTCACTATAGCCTTCATATCCTCAAACTAACCACTTTTCTCTCCATCTTCATTGCTGAAATCTCTCATCTGCTTTTGCCTTCTCCCATTTGGCTTGATCTTATCATTCAATACTTTTACATGCTTTTATTGTCATTCTAGTGAAATTTTGAAGAGAGAAGAGATAACTTGTGATGAATTCATTGTGTGTACACGGAAGTCTAAGCCAGCTTTAAATTAAAGCATTAATGTTTTGGAAAAGTTAGAAAATACAAATAAACAAAAATTTTAAACTAAAAAAACCTGAAATTATAATATACTGAACACTGACTCTTAACTAACATTTGTCTATATTATTGCAGATTTTTCCATTCCAATATGTATGTCTATTTTTTAAAGGGGATTATAATATATGAACTGACTTATATTCCAGTTTAGTGTGTACCTACTTCTTTGTTGGTAATTATACACCTGCAGTATCATTTTTTCATGACATTATTATATGGCTGCAACACAGCTTATTGAACTAGTGCCCTAAAGGTAGATGTATAGGATCTTTCCAACATTTCATTATTATAATCAAAGCCTTATTCATACATCTTTCTGTACTTGTACATCTAGTTTCTGAGGACAGATTTCTGCATGTGGAATTTGTCTCACATATTTGCGGGGATGCATTGTTTTAGGGCTTTTAAAATAGATTGTCAAATAGCTATTGTTTGGGAAAAACTCTCAAACCACCTTTTCTCTCTTCTCTTACACCACCACAGTAACAGTCGTCAACACGGAATAAGACTTCTTTGACCAAATGTGTGTGGGTTGCTTTCCACCACCAAGTGAGCAATTAATTCTGCAGTGGCCTCCAATTCAATCCCACCACTATCTACCTGGAGATAGTGTGAGATCCCACATGCTGGGGTTCAGTCCCCATGATTGTCCCAACAGCACACCAGTTGCAAGTCCAGGTCTCAAGAATTTCTGAATGACCAGCTCAAGTTGGGGTTCCCACAACTCCCACTTTTGGTTCTGTTAACTTGCTGGAGCAGCACACAGAACTCAGGGAAACACTTACTTACATTTACCGCTTTATTATGAAGGACATTACAAAGGATACGGATGAAGAGATGCATAGGGTGAGGTATGAGGGAAGGGGCGTGGAGTCTCAGTGTCCTCCCTGGGGTACAACCTTCTGGGAACCTCCACATGTTGAGCCATCCAGAAGCTCTCCGAACCCTGTTCTCTTGGGTTTTTATGGAGGCTTCATTACGGAGGAATGATTGTTTAAACCATTGCCACTGGTGATCAACTTGATCTTCAGTCCTTTTCCCCTTCCCTGAGGTTGGAGGATGGGGCTGCAAGTTCCACTCCTCTAATCCTGCATATGTCTTTCTGGTGACCAGCCCCATCCTAAAGTTAGCAGTCAACATTAGTATACCAAAAAGACAGCCTTTTGGAGATTCCAAGGATTTTAGAAATTGTATGTCAGGAAATGGGGATGAAAACCAAATATATATTTCACAATATCACAGCTATCCAAAGTGTTAATACCTTTTAATACACTGCAGAGCAAGAGTTTGTCGATGTTCCCCACTCCCACAATAGTAATAGTAATAATTCTTTTACATTTTTATCCAACTGGGTAGATGAAAAATGGTATCTCAGTCCATTTACTCCAATCTCAGACAAGTTTCTAAAATGTTTGGTTGTGTGCTTGCCAAACCCACAGTAGATCAGAAGCAGGAACTTTGGAAGAAGAAAGATGCACTGATATAGTCAAGTCCACTGGCAGCAGCATGAGTAATAGCAGACAGACCAACAGTGAGCAAGGATACAAGAAACCCCCCACACAGAAAAAAAAAAAAAGAAAAACAGAAATAGAATCCCAAAATGCACACACAGTCCATGGCCCATTTAATTCAAGGCCCAAAAGCCCAACTCTCTTCTGTGGTCTCTAAGGCTTTCACTGCATTTCAACACAAGTCCCCCCCACCTCAGGATTTTGAAATCTTACAAAGAGCAAAACCTTGGCTCATAAAAATAGTAATTAATTAAATGTCAACTGTTGTCAATCAGTTTCAGAAGATTGCTAAAATAATATTCTTTATTTAATCTTTTACTAAAATAGTCTTTAAAATGCTTACACTATGAGTTGCAGAGCTTCAGCCTTCCACTTATCTTCTTCCACCAAAATACCATGAATAAATTTTGTCCTATTAACCACTATATCATTTGATTAAACACTAAAGGAGATATTAATAATATACAAACAAGAAATATATTCTAAGGACTCTGCAAGGTCCGGAAGAAAGAATGCTTCTGGCAGATGTGATACCTAGCTTTCAATTGTGTGAAAATCTACTTGTTTGAATCTCTCTAGAGTCAAGATTAGAGGGCCTGGGCAGAAGTTAAAGGAGGCAGATTTCTAACAATTAGGACTTCCTGGCAAAGATTTTCTTATGAAATGTTTTGCAAATTGGCAGGCCTCTAAGGCATCTTAGCAATCAATAAATAACAACTATGTTTTAGAGGAAAGAAAACCAAGGTGCACAATGGAATAAGTCGCTTACCTTCAGGAGTGGGGTGGGAGTATAACCCCAGCTATCCCAACATTTCATCCACTGCTCTTTTACTTGTAACAAGGTACTCCTCAGCCAGTTCTACATTGCTAGAGTGTTAGCTCTGGAATTCAGTGTCTAATCATCAAGGATGTTATAGAAAGTATTTCTACATTAGGAAGAAGTAAGATTAGAAGAATACGAAAATCCCTACTATCTCAGGGAGCCTATGAATTTTGGTTTAAGTAACTAAGTGTTTAAAACCAGTATAGAGGCCAGGTGCGGTGGCTCACGCCTGTAATCCCAGCACTTTGGGAGGCCAAGGTGGGCGGATCACGAGGTCAGGAGATCAAGACCATCCTGGCTAACACGGTGAAGCCCCGTCTCTACTAAATACAAAACAAAATTAGCCAGGCATGGTGGTGGGCGCCTGTAGTCCCAGCTACTAGGGAGGCTGAGGCAGGAGAATGGCGTGAACCCGGGAGGCGGAGCATGCAGTGAGCCGAGATCACGCCACTGCACTCCAGCATGGGGGACAGAGCTAGACTCCGTCTCAAAAAAATAAATAAATAAAATAAAATAAAATAGAACCAGTATAGAAATACCTTCAGGCATCTTTCTCAAGGGAGAAGATACTAATTTTTTTAAACAAAAGGAAAATAGAAAGTGAAATGACTTTACAGTGGGATACTATACTAACTGATTTTAGTGGGACCTTCCTGTAAAGTGAATATTCTGTAAAAGGGATGACAAATGAGTGCCACCTCCTGTCCAAGATGAGGGAGGAACAGGTAGCACTTGCTGAGAAGCACTCTGTGGCCACAACCAGGCTCCTTGGGGAAAAAGGCTTCAGTATTCTGCACAGTTGGCCTCAGCTGTGGGAATAGGTGGCCCATGTAGTTACCATCTCTCTTCTGCAATCTTCAGATAAAAAGAGAAATTACAAGGTCAAATCAAGGGAATCTTTGAATCGAGAGCATTTAAAAATAAGGCAAATTTATTGCTGAGAAGAATTAACTATTTCCAGAATTCTCGTGGCAATCAATTATCAAAGAATGTAAAATATTCAAGTTACTCTGTGTATGTGTGTGTGTGTGTGTGTGTGTGTGTGTGTGTGTGTGTGTGTGATGGAGTTTCACTCTTGTCTCCCAGGCTGGAATGCAATGGCACAATTTTGGCTCATTGCAACCTCCACCTCCCAGGTTCAAGGGATTTTCCTGCCTCAGCCTCCCGAGAAGCTGGGATTACAGGTGTCCACCACCATGCCCAGCTAATTTTTGTATTTTTAGTAGAGACAGGGTTTCACCATGTTGGCCAGGCTGGTCTTGAACTCCTGACCTCAGGTGATGCACCCGTCTTGGCCTCCCAAAGTGTTGGAATTACAGGCGTGAGCCACTGCGCCCAGCCATCAGTTATATTTTAGAGTCAATTTTATATTCTTGAATTTTCATTTTGTATGAATTTATTTTTTATGAAATTCATAAAATTGGGTGAAGAAATAAAGCTGAAACTTGCCTTTCATGTCAGAAGACCCTATGAGTTTCTGTGCTGGCTCCTACTGGGAAACACTGTTTTTCACCCAAAGCAGACTAACTTAAATTCTTCAGTTCCAGAATAAGGCTTTCAAGATGTATTTTTACCATGCCAAAGTCTGCAAAAGTTTTGGAAAACCAAAATCATAATGTGGAAATCTGACAGTCTTGCACTGTGATCTGCTTCTTTGGAGATAACACGTTCATTGTTCACTTGAGAAAGGGGATAAATGTGCTAATTAGGTAGTAAACATCTACTCTCAAATTCTTCCCATCCTTTATTACCTTTTTGTCTATATCCTAGGAGACATTCTTTTCTATTTTTTCAGACCTACTGTTAATAATGGGGTAATAGAGGCTGTAGATTAATAGCAGTTCACATTCATGTGGTACTATCGAGGTGCCAGGTACTGGACTAAATGTTTTCATTACCTCATTTAAAGCCTGGAGAGTTAAGTATTTTCTCTGAAGTCACATAACTTGTAAAGAAAGAAGCTGAGATTAGTTTTACAGCCCTCACTTAAAAAAAAATAAAAATAAAAAAACCTTATTTTGATAACTCTTTTCTAACCACTGCCTTCTGTTTCCTTTCTTCTAATATCCATAGGACAATTGTCTTCATAATTTAAAATTCAAAATTTTCATATATCCTTTAGGCCTTTGATCCAGTTTAAATGAACCAAAGTTAAATGATGAAATCTGTTCACATCATTTAACTAGAACACTACTATGAATTATTTCTCATTACTTTTGAGGAAAATAGAGTATACATTTACTATATATTTCTGATCAATCCTTGCATAGAGATGATGAACAAATGTTTTGGTTTTGAGGTTTTACAAGCTGATTCAGATAGATTTCGAAATGAAACTTACTGTTCAAAAAGTGACACACACAACACACTCTTGTATGGTTCCAATTATTGATAATTGGAGCTGGCTTCCAACTCCCAGGATCATTATTATGGAAGATTCTATAGCAATGACTATGAATTGTTTTCTCAGTGAATTAATGTTGTTTGGTAACATAAAGTTCCAGATATGTTATATTATACTTAATGGTAATTACTTGTATAAATCATGGTAGCCCCAGAGATGGAGTACATGGGATAGAATACACAAGTATAATTTATATTTACATCATACTTTTTATTTTATGTACCTGTTGATTAAAAGTATTATGGATATTATGGTCTCCAACTGTTAGCTAGAGTACAAATTGTCCAAGGATGTTAGGGAACAATTTGGTAATACCTGTCAACATTGTAAATGCACATTCCCTTTTATCCTATACTCTTACCATCAGTAGTTTCCCCTAAGAATATACTTGTGAAAGTACACCAAGCTGTATGTACAAAGATGTTCATTAAAGTGTTGCTAATAATAGTAACAAACTGGGAATAACCTAAATGCCTATCAGTAGGGAACTGGTTGAATTAATTACATTACATCTGTAGTATAGAACTCCATATGCTCCCTGAAAAAATATGTGCTGCTATCGAAAGACCTTCAGGATAAAATAGTCAAAAAAGGCAAGCTATAGAAGTCTGAACAATATGGGTTGTTTTGTGTATATTATAGACATACATTAAATTAATACATGCCAACACAGACTCCTATAACATAAAAGATATTTTGTTCTGGAAGGAAACACAGAAATATAATACATACAAGTAAGAATAATTAATTTATGTTTCATGCCTTTCTCTACTGTTGGAATTTTCTAAACCTATGTGTGTATTTCTCCCCCTTTTTAAAATTTAATGTTCACTTCAACCATTTGGATGATGGGATTAGGTACAGCTTCTTTCTTTTAAAAGTGGTTTTTGCATCACAAACAACTAGTAAATTTTAAAATATAAAATCAATCAATGGGAATGATTTTTTTTTTTTTTTTTTTTTTTTTGAGACAGAGTCTCTCTGTCACCCAGACTGGAGTGCGATAGTACTACCTTGGCTCACTGCAACCTCCACCTCCCAGGCTCAAGCAATTCTCCTGCCTCAGCCTCCCGAGTAGCTGGGACTACAGGCGTGTGCCACCATACCTGGCTAATTTTTGTATTTTTAGTAGAGATGGGGTTTCACCATGTTGGCCAGGATGATCTCGAACTCCTGACCTCGGGTGATCCACCCACCTTGGCCCCCCAAGGAAATAATTTTTTGTTGTTTTTAAGATCACATGCTTGATCCTTGTATATATAATTATTTCTAAAGTCTATGACTCTACTTATTAATGTTTTTCCTAATCTAAACAGCGATTTAAAAAATTTCAAGCCTAACCATAACCTTGTTTCATATAGAAGCAGTTATCCTATTTCCTATTTATCTTTGGTATTCCCCAGTCCACAACTGGATGTAGATAGAGAAACTAAAGGGAAGGGCAGATGCCTAGAGCCCTAACATTTGGACCATGTGGTACAAGGACAAGATACAAGAAACCCTGACAAAAACAAGCCTCTTCTGTTTCCTGCAGTGATAGGTGCTTTAGAGAAGGTTACAAATAAAGACAGCCTCAGGATCCCACCCACAGTGTTCCAGAAATGTGACCTGTTATCTTTTAATATGTGAGTATAAAAGGCACAGAGGATTGAAAGTGGAATACTCTGAGCTGGGAGTTCGGAGACCTGAGGTCAAGCCCCATCTCTGCCACTAGCTGTGACTTTGGAAGAATCACTTAACCCTCACCTCCACAAAGAGGTGAAGTGGCTACTTATCTGGCAAGAAAACAAGTCAGACATATTGATATTTATATGATGAAATTTCAGTCTTGCAACTTGGGCACCTATTTTACAAAACATCTTGACGTCTCTTTACTCAGCAATACAAAATAACCACAAGAGAGATCAACCTTGAACTGAATGCTCCTGTCACAACAGAATAGAAAGGAGGACAAGCTGTCTCTACATCATTAGGTATTCTAAATTCTATCCTTAGATTAAGTTAGAGCTCAGGAAATCTTTGTGCCCTAGCCTCATTGGTTTGGGCCGTAAGATTCTTTCACTGAAGCACATTTACTTTTGTAGTGACCTGAGCTGTCATCAAGGGTCACAATAAGAAAATCACTGTTAAGGATAGATTATTTCATTATGTGTTTTAGTGTTCTTGTTTTTAAATGTCCAAATGTTAATATCCCTTTAGAATATGCACCAGGAAATGTTTATCTCTTCTACCAGCTAGATTGCTTCAGCTTGTGAGATAATGAGAAGATGATATATCATTGTACATACTCATTTGCCTATATGAACCAATTTCTACATCTTTATGTTGAAGAAAACAATACCCATTTTAATCTCCTTTGACTTTCAAACTTATATCTTCCCGTCAAGCACTTTCGTTTGAACTATAGACTTATATATCTGTCTGTCTGCTTGACATCTCCACTCATTAATTCTTTCGACAAATATTTACCAAGCATCTACTATATGTCAGACACTGCTCCAGGCACAACAGATGCAGCAGTGATCAGGACAAGCCATGCTCCTGTCTTGGAACTTTCAGTATAGTAAAGGGAAAAAAAAAGTAAACAAGATAGCAAAGTAAAATGTATCCTATGATAGTGCTAAGTGTGGGAGTTACAATGCAAGAAGAAAGGAAGGAGAGTTGCCAGTGGGGCAGGGAGTGAGGAGGGAGGAGGAATGCAACGTTGGATGATCACGAGCATGGAAGGCCTCACTGAGAAGGTGACAAATGATCAAAAACAGGAAGAGGTGCAAATCAGTGCAGAAAGTAGTAGGAATAATAAGTCCATAGGTCCCAAGAGAGAACTGCACCTCTATAGCCAGTGCCAGAGGAAAAGAGGCAGAGTATCGTTACCCCTTTTATCCTAGCAAAAGCAATCCTCCAGGTTACTCTCTCCCACAGTTACCTTAGCATATCTTCTACATAAAATTTATTAGAACCTGAAACTAGGCTCTTCGTTTCTTAATATAGATATATTGATCATCTCCCCCACCAAAATATGACCTCTGTGAAGGCAAGGATTTTATGTTTATTTTATTCTCTATTGTGTCTCTATTGCCTAGCACATAGATAAAAAGCGCCCTTGGGGGATTTTTGCTCATTTCTCCTCCCATAAATTTGCATAGGTATTATCTTGGCAGTCATTTGGCTTAACAGTGCATCTTTTATTAATATCATACATTTATTAGCCAGCACATTTATTTGAAAATGAAACAAAATTTTTTTAAAACTTAAAATTGTAATAATTTTTACCATACTTTAAATTTATTGAGACTTGTTTTGTGGTCTAATATATGATCTGTCTTAGAGAATGTGCCACATGCACTTGAGAAGAAGGTGTATTCTGTTACTGGCTGGAGTGTTCTATGTATGTCTGTTAGGTCTAATTGGTTTATAATGGTGTTCAAATCCTCTTATTTCCTCACTGATTTTTCATCTAGATATTCTTTCTATTATTGAAAGTGAGGTATTGATGTCCCCAATTATTATTGTCGAATTTTCTATTTCTTCCTTCAATTTTGTAAATGTTGGCTTCATATACTTTGGAGATCTGATATTTGGTGCATATGTGTTTATAATTGTTATATCTTCTGATGAATTGACCCTTTTATCAATACATAATATCTTTTTTTGTCTTGTAAAAACTTTTTGACCATTTTAGCTGATATTATTTTAGTCACACCAACTGTTTTTTGGTCACTATGTGCATACAATATCTTTTTTCATCTGTGCACTTTAACCAATGTTTGTCTTTGGATCTAAAGTGAGTTTCTTATAAACAGTATATGGTTGGATCCTGATGTTTTTTACTCCATTGTGCCAATCTCTGCCTTTATATTGAAGAGTTTGATCCATTTATACTTCAAGTAACTACCAACAAGAATCTTAACCTTTTTGCTATTTGTTTTCTGTATGTCTTACACATTTTTGTCATTCCCTCCAGTACTGCCTTCTTTTGTGTTTAGTTGATGTTTTAGTGGAATGTATTGTTTTGATTCTCTTTTCCTTTTGTGATTTTTTAAAGACATTTTCCTAGTGCTTACTATGGGGATTACAATTAATGTCCTAAATTTCTAACAGTCTACTTTTACTTGATACCAACGTAACAGCATATAAAAACTCTGCTTCTGTACGGCTTTGTTCTCCTCCTCTTTATGTTGTTCTCATAAATTACATTTATATATTTTGTGCCCATTAACATATGTTTAAAATTATTTAAATGTTTTTTGCATTTGTCTTTTTTTTTTTTCTTTTTTTTGAGACAGAGTCAGTGGCACAATCTTCACTCACTGCAACCTCCTCCTCCCAGGCTCAAGCGATTCTCCTGTCTCAGCCTCCTTAGTAGCTGGGATTACAGGCAGCCACCACCGTGCCTGGTTAATTTTTGTATTTTTTGTAGAGATGGGTTTTCACCATGTTGGCCAGGCTGGTCTTGAACCCCTGACCTCAGGTGATCCACCCGCCTTGGCCTCCCAAAGTGCTGGGATTACAGGTGTGAGCCACCATGCCTGGCCACATTTGTCTTTTAAATCATGTAGAAAGTAAAAAGAGGAGTTACAAATTTAAAATATATACTAGCTTTTATATTTACCTGTTTGATTACTATTTTTCTGTTTTTGAGACAAGGTCTCACTCTGTTGCCCAGGCTGGAATGCAATGGTACAATCATGGCTCATTGCAGCCTTGACCTTCCGGGCTCAGTTGATTCTCTCACCTCAGCCTCCTGAGTAGCTGGGACTATGGGCATATACCACCATACCCAGCTAATTTTTGTATTTTTTTGTAGAGACAAGCTTTTGCCATGTTACCTGAGCTGGTCTCAAACTCCTGGGCTCAAGCAATTCACCCAAAGTGCTGGGATTATAGGCATAAATCACCATGCCTGGCTCCATTTGGTTACTTTTAACGGCATTCTTTATGTCTTTGTTATAGCTTTGACTTACTATCTAGTGTCCTTTTGTTTCAACCTAAAGAACTCTCTTTAGCCTTCTGGTAAGGGAGGTCTACTAAAAGCAAACCTTCTCGGTGCTGGTTTTTCTGGGAATGTTGTAATTTCTGCTTTATTTTTTAAGGATGTCTTGGTCATATATGAAATTCTTGGTCAACATTTTTTATTCTTTCAGCACTTTAAAAATGTTGTCCCACTCCTTTTTGGTCCCCATAGTGTCCAATGATAAATCTTCTCTTAGTCTTATTGAAGCTCACTTCTATGTGGTAAATTCCTTCTCTCATCTTGTTGCTTTAAAAATACCTTGTTTCAAAATTCCTTGGCTTTCAATAATTTGATTATTAGATGTTTTGGTGCAGATCTCTTTGCATTGATTCTTGTTGGAGTTCACCGAGCTTCTTGACTGTATAGATTTGTGTCTTTTTTTTACATTTGGGGAGTTTTTAGCCATTATTTCTTCAAATCATTTTTTTTCTTTCTCTTCTCTTCTGGGCTTCCCATTATGTGTAAGTTGGTATACTGTTATGGTGTCCAGCTGGTCTTTTAGGCTCTGATCATTTTTCTTCATCCTTTTTTCTTTCTGCTCCTCAGATTGGATAATTGCAGTGGACCTATCTTCATGTTCACTGGTTATTTTTTCTGCTTGCCCACATCTGCTATTAAAACCCTCTAGTGAGCTTTTTATTTGAGTCATTGTAGTTTTCAGCTCCAGATTTTCTGTTTGGTTCCTTTCTGTAATTTCTATCTCTTTATTGATGGTCTCTATTTGTTCATATGTCAGCTCCAGATTTTCTATTTGGTTCCTTTTTATAATTTCTGTCTCTTTATTGATATTCTCTATTTGTTCATGTATCATTCTCCTGATGTCCTTTAGTGCATCTATGGTTTCCTTTAGTACTGTGGGCATATGTAAGACAACTGACTTAAAGTCTTTATCTGTAAGTTTAGTGCCTTTGGTCCTCAGGGAAATTTCTATTAATTTCTTTTGTGAAATTTCTATTAATTTCTTTTGTGAAAAATATATAAGGCATGCAAAGAAAGAGGAAGTATGGTCTTTTGTGAATGGACCATACTTCCTCTTTCTTTGCATGCCTTATATATTTTTTGTTTAAAATTGGACATTTTGACTTTTGTAATATGGTAACCCTGGAAATCAGTCTTTCTTTTCTTCAGGGTTTTGTTGTTGTTGTTTGCTGTAAGCTGCAGCTGTTAGTTTAGTGACATTTCTAAACTATTAAAACGAGGGATGTATTCTTTATCATATGTGGTCTCTGATAGCTTTATTCCTTTAGCTTCCATTCAGATAGTGTTCTGAAAGAGATTTTCTTGAATGCCAGGAGCCACAAGCAAGAGAGAGGAAGTGGGGTGGGGGGAAGAAAATCTCTCAGGGTCTTTTTTTGAATGTATATCATGCTGTGGGTATGTGCATGACTTTGTAAATTCTCTAGTATATATAGACACTTTTGAATGCCCTGTTTTCTCAAAACAACGACAACAACAACAACAACTCTCTCCAGCTTTTCTTTTCCATATTTTTGGGACTCGTATGCCTCAACTTTAATCTTTTGTCCTAGGCAGCTGCAGGGTTTCCACCTCGAATGTGTTTTGAGTTAGGTGAAACAAAGTTCTTCAGGTAGCCTCTAGATAAGTTAGAAATGACAAAAACAATTCTTTGTAAATAAGGTACACTGTGCAGCCTTCAGAACCAGGCGCCAGGGTCCCACACTGGAAATCCAGACTGTTGCCTTTAAGACTGCTGCTGAGCCAGGAAACAGGTTTGGGCCAGAACATATGCAACTGTTACTGTGCTTTTCTACCATTTTTAAATTGCCTTACTCTTGATTCGGCATTGCTTAGTTGCTGTAAACCTTTGTCTGTTTTCCAGAGTTCTAACAATGTCAATTCTCAAAGCTTTTTCTTGAATTTTGAATGTTTCCTTGGGAGATGGGGCACTTGGAGGTGCCTACTCTGCCATTTTTGCTAACATCACTTTCCTGCCCTACTTTAAATTGTAAGTTTTAGAAGTGTGTTTTATTTATCGAAAAATTCTTTCTTAAACTGTAAAATCTATTCCAGTTTTGGAGCTTTAATTTCAGTTGTAATCCTAGTAAAATGCTGCCGTAAGCTCACAAGGTATGCTTTGCAAAATATTTATATATTTATAAATCTCTGTAAAGAAGAAATGGTAAATCTGACTGTATTAGCTTGGCAGAAAAGTGATTAGATCGAAAATTTTATCCTTTTCTAAAGTAACCTAATTGTTGTTGAAGGAAGAAAAGTATTGGGGTATCAGGATTGAATGGAAGGGTGTAGAGTCTTCCAGCTGTGCTGCTATCTTCCTTTGTCTTACAGTCCTTAGGTGGAGGGGCAGGTTCTTTAAGGTCTCCATCTAGTATGGCACATGAAATGTGCTCGATAAATGTTTGTTAGATGAACTTCAAGTTAACTAAGACATTGTTATTAAGTTAATCTAAAGCAGGAGATGTGCATTTCAGTGCTGGAAGAAGTATAGAGACTTTCACCCAAAGAACTATTTCTTAGGCAGATTCCAGAAAGTGATGTTGGAGTATGGCACATATGTTACCGAAGAGCTGGTGCAATGTGGAAACACTGGAGTGGAGGTCAGAAATTAGATCGATGCTCTTTCCATAAAATAGTTTCCACTTTAAGAACAGTGTTTTTAAAAGGAATATGTTCTTTCCTATGCAAAGAGGCAGTGTGGTCCTAGTTAGCAGTATGTTGGAAGCAAACTTTGGATAATGATGCCTAATTTTACTGACCGTTTTGAGTATTAAATGAGTCTATTTATGTAAAATATTTGATCTAGAGGCCTAACACTGTGTGGATTCTCAATAACCTAACCTGTTTACATGAGTTCTTAAAGTTGAATATGAGTTTCTACTCACTTTTCAGGTTATCAAGCATTTGGTGTGAAAGGAAACTGTTCTGTGGCAGACATGAAATGGCTGGGAAGTGGGAAACGCAGGGACATGATGTTCAAGGAGTGGACAGGTGATCCAGTGAGGAATTGGGCTATGGAACATGGAAATATTCTTAGAAAGTAATTACCTTATTTTTCTCCTTTTGTTGTATTAACTGATTAGCTTAATCACCTCCAAATAATGAGAAATCAGTATACAAGTTCTACACCTTGGCAGAGGGCTTGGATCCCAAGACAGAGGAAGGTATTTGCAGATGATGGATGGAGAGGATATATACAGCAACCTTACTGAAGTAGCTGGGTCTTCCTTGCCTGTATGTCATACCATGCTTCTTCAAATGTTTTATCCAGACTAAAGGATGCCAGGACTGATTTCCCAAACATTAGGATAATTCTACCACTTAGAGGAATGCAAGAAAGCTCCCCTGTCTTTGGTGATTTTTTTTTTTTTTTTTTTAAGTAGAAGATGAGAAATAGCTTGTATGGAACAGAGAAGTCTTTGTACCGATACATATTCAACTAAAGATCTGAAAATCAATAATCTCAGGTTTTGAAAATAGAATGCTATTCTTATACCATATGTTTAATGTACATCTGTATAAGGTTAACAAAAATCTATTACCATCTCACTACTTAGTCTGAAATGGAAAACCTAGTGTTTTTAAGTGATCATAGATAATTCATTAAAGCGTAAGGCTCCTACATAATAATTATTGCTTGTCACTTTTGAATCAACAAATAGATATTATGATGGATCAGAGAACTTTTGATATATCCGTATTAATTATGATTGTCTCATTAAATATAGAAAATGTTTGTTCTCACATTCCTTTGGCTGACACCTCCTCTTCCTTCAGGCGTCGGCATTACAAAATGTATTTCCCACTGCACCTGCCCCTGCCTCTACCCATCCCTACCACCTTTGCCCTCCACCCTCTTCATATGAAAAGGTCTTCCTGCTTCACACCCATAGCACACTGACCATCAGTAGCACTGATCACAACTACAGTTGGTTAAATTTTGCGTAATAAATTTTCTAATGAGGATTTACCTCAATATATTCTCTGCTTCAAGAAATAGTGATATTAGGAAAGGGCATATACAAACAACTCAATCTACTTTGCTGTATAAAAAGTTCACTTATTTATAGAAAATTTAAATATAATACATATTAAGATTCTCTGAGCTCCCTACTAAATAACAATAACCCCTCACATTTGCATAGTGCTTTATACAAGACACGTATATTATCCTCCTCAATTCTTCAGAGGTAGGTAGAATCTCATTTATTTTATGGATAAGAAACTGAGACTCAGAAAGGTTAAGTAAGTTCCACAAGATCATGGAGCCTAGTAATTTGCAAAATAAGGCCTCCAATCAAATCCTAGTTTTCTTTCTATACCCCAGCTGCAGCTTTTAGTAATGGTCTAGTTCAGCATACATATAAATATTTATAAACATTGTGTCATTGTTCTGAATGAGTATATCTTACTATTTTGACTGTTTTATGACAGTGGAGCTGCGTAGTAAAGTGAACATTTGCAGAAGTTTAATCTACAGCCATTTTATATTCCCTCTCCCTCTGCTTTGAGATTTTATCCTTTGCTAGCAACAACATTCTTCTGTAACAACAAATAAAGCAAGCATCTTCCTATTTGCCTTCAAATAAAACAGGTTTAGGGATTATCTGCTCTTTTCACATACTTAAACACACCTTGAGTTTCTTTTTATAGACTTTCCTTTCTCCTGACACTGTGAAATCCCAGTGCTGTTTCTTATTTGAATGTTTTATCATCTGACACCTAATAATAAAAAGTCATTGGCACAATAACAGAGTTTCATCTTTCTTAAAGTTTAAAAATGTTTAGAAATTATTTCATTTCTTAAATAAAAATTGCAGTAGAATTAAGTATTTCCCTAGAGAGATAAAGATTGAAATTTGAAAGTAAATTGCTACTAACTTTGAGCCAATTAAAAAACTTTCATGGAAATGATTTTTTTCACATTCATTTTTTTTAATGTAGTGCTAAAACCAAGGAGTATCATATAAAACAGGCCCAAGGCACGTTTTGTACCTAAGCTAAAAATTACTTTTGTGGCCTTTGACATATCAAGGAACTTTGCTATTATAATGCAAGCATAAGATGAAATTTATTCAACCTTTTGAAAGTTTAAACATAAAAAGTTTAACATAAGAAACTAAAAAGTTTAAACATAAAAAACAGTTATTGTCTGTGCAAGGACTCAAATTCTTTCACTCTCTTCTTTTTTGTTTGTTTGTTTTTATTTTTGAGACAGAGTCTCACTCTGTTGCCCAGGCTGAAGTGCAGTGGCGTGATCTCAACTCACTCCAACCTCTGCCTCCCGGGTTCAAGCAATTCTCTGCCTTAGCCTCCCGAGTAGCTGGGATTACAGGCACCCACCACCATGCCTGGCTATTTTTTTTATTTTTAGTAGAGACAGGGTTTCACCATCTTGGCCAGGCTGGTCTTGAACTGACCTCATGATCCACCCTCCTCGGCCTCCCAAAGTGCTGGGATTACAGGCGCGAGCCACCACGCCCAGCTACTCTCCTCTTTCACACACAATTTCCAAAATCACAGCACAGATTGTCCAGAAAACATTTGTACTAATAGTTTTGTTTATGGAATTTGAGTTATTCCCCAAAGCACAAAATGTAAAAAAAAAAAAAAAAAAAAAAAAAATTCTTTTATGTAAAGTCTAAGAGAACAGTAAAAATATATAATGTGGTAGCTGGTAAGGAAGAAACTGGTTATAATTTTAAAGCATAAAGCATAATGCTTGAAAAAGATTCATGGAAAAACTATAATTTTATCTAGTTAATATATTTACAAAGCAATATATTTATTTACTGATATTTTTAGTGGTCATCATATCGAAAATATATAGGGAAGGAGTATATAGGGAAGGAGTAAGTAAGGTTTTCCAAAAAGTTATGTGAAGGTATTCTTGTGTTCTCTAGATCAGTGCTTTTAGAAAATTTGTGTGATCTAAAGAACACAAAGAATACCTACACAGAACCACCTGCAGACTGGTGCCAGTCCACAAAATATCTGTTTGAGTATGCAAGAAGATAAATACAGAAATTGAGAGTAAACATTTAGGAAATTTATAGCAATCTGACATCTCTGCAACATCCAAAGTATATGATTTTTGTATTCTACAAAAGCTTAGCTCAGATCTATGATGGGTTAGAAAACAAATACTCAAAACAAACCAGCTCCTTCACCACAGATGGTATTTGAAGTTCTGATCAAGCTCATGGTCTGCAAACCTTTTCTCTAAAGGGTCAGATTGTAAATATAGGCTTTGTAGGCCATACTCAAAGTCCCTGCTACTCAGCTCTCCCATACCCAGCTGCAATAGACAATATATAAACAAATGAATCTTGCTGTGTTTCAGTGAAACTTTATGGACATTGAAATTTGTATTTCATCTAATTTTTATGTTCTTAATATGCTAATATTGTTTTGATTTTTTTCCCCCAACCATTTAAAACTGTGAAAACCATTCTTGGCTCTTGCAGGCCATATGAAAACAGGGAGTGGGCTGGATTTGGCCCTCAGGCCAAGTTTGCTGACCCCAAGCTAGATCAGCAGTCCAGCCATCGTCAGGAACAGATGCTGTTATTTCTTAGTCTCAGTGTTCCCGTCTGTCTCGGGATTTTAATTGCCACTTACTTTCACTCTGCAGTTTGGGTTATTATTCAAGAAATACCTTAGAGCACTCATAATGCTTAGAACATTATGTTTAATAAAATCCAGAAGGAAAATGTTCCAAGTATCTCACTGTGGGAATACATTTTAGGATTTACTATGACCTACTGGTTTACATGAACTTTGCTGAGAAAAAAAAAAGCATGGAGAAGATTGGGATGGAAGATCTCTTTATTGTGTGTATAAAAGTAGTAATAGGCTATTTTAATTTGTGGCCTGGAATGGGTAGTGATAGAGCATGAGTTGAAATCTTGCTTCACGATTACCCTCAAATGGAGAAGTAATCTGTTTCAAATGGTAATCAAATGAAAAAAAGCTGTGAGTAGATTGTGTTAGCTTAGCCACCAAAATAGAGAATTTCTCAGATTCCCCCTCTGTCTCCAGTCCTTATTTTCTCCTACTGTTAACAGAAATTCAAACCCCAGCTGCTCCCATAGTTAACCAGCCGTCATGACATCGTCGTCTTTCTGTTCTTAGCAATTTCCATCTGGCTTAGTAGAAGTGGTTCCTCACTACCTTGAGCATAGTCGTTTTTTTTTTTTTAATTTTTGTAGAAACGAGGTTTTACTGTGTTGCCCTGGCTGGTCCTGAACTCCTGGCCTCAAGCATTTCTCTCACCTCAGCCTCTCAGAGTGCTGGGATTACAGGCATGAGCCACCATGCCCAGGCCGCCACTTTAAACACTTGAATACTACATACTTTCACTACTTGATTGATCTTGCACATAATCATCAAATTACAACATTCATGTTTATGGTTTTACTTATTTGTTTTTCACATTTATGTAGTGCCTTTTTTTCTGCATCGCTTAACATTTGCCAACAAATATCTGCACGTGAACTAAGCAAGTCATTCTGTTAGCACAATGACCTTGAGCAAAGGCACTTTCCTTCTTCATATGCATTTGTTAGTCTTTAGTCCTAAGTTTTTGCTTTTGTTTAGTTTGTTTTTTCACTCTTCACATACGAGCAGTCTTTTGGAAAGAGTTACTTATAGTATTTCTAACTTGGAGAAACCTTTCATCAAGTTGAAAAAGTTCAGTGTTCTGAGCGATTATGATAGAATCTCCTGTCAGAATATATGTTCCCTTTTTGTTCTACTTCAAAATATAAGAGGTTAACTCTTGTAGGCATGCCACAGTATTTTTGGATTAAGTCAGGCCCTCCAAAAAACTTAGAACTATGAAACAAACCAGTGTTTAAGAAGACACATCCTTGGAATATGAGCAAGCCCATTAATTCTGTATTTTGAGTAAAAGGTGTTTGATCTTATGCATGCTGTCTTCCATGTCATCATTTCAAATGATGAAGAAACTACATCTCCTAATATTTGAGAACAAACTGCAAAAGTTGGTCCCTTGATTGTATTATAAATCCATAAAAAGACCCATTTTTAAACACAGCAACTTTTTAGGCAACTTCCTGTTTTTCACTTGAAATAGAAGTCAAACTGTTATAAGTGCTGTCTTCATTATTCATATTTAATTACACAGTGGCTTATTCTTCATTATTTTAGTGTATTTGTGAATACTCTAGCTATTGAGTAGAATACTGGTTACAAAGCTAGTCTATAAACAACATGAAATGAAGGGTGCTGACTCAGAAATTTAGAGTCCTCCACAATACCATATCCAATGGGAATTAAATCATTGTATTGTCTTGTGAGTCTTGAGGCTTATTTATCTAACTGATGTTTATCAAGCACCTTCCATGTGGCAGGCAGTATGTAGCTTTTATTTTATTTAGCAGTATCTTTTTTAAGATTATAAATTTTTTGTTGAATATTATTTGCAATCAGGGACACTTCTAAACTTAAGGAAAAACTTTACGACTAAAGTGCCAGCTCTCTTCAGAATGGCAGTGAAGGTAATGATTTGCGGTTCTGTGTGTGTATGAGTTTGTTATTATAAAATCCTTCAGCTCCGGGCTATGTACATTTATGTTTCAGTAGCATGTCTCATTAAATCCTTTAGTGCAGTACTTCTCAGTGAAGTGAGTTCTGATCAATGTGAAGGAATGCTGAGTGGGCACAATTGTGACTCTTGTTCTGAATATTACCTGTGCTTCCAGAAAAGTATTTTAGCAAGTGTATGACCCCTGGTTAATGAAAAGTGTTAAAATATATCAAATAAACTGTCTTAATTGTTCTTTTAATAAAAATATATGTCCACTTGGAAATAATAATTTCACTATTTTAACGACTGTAGTTGTTTTGGAAATTTGTTAGATAAAGGCTCCAACAGCATAAACTAATAGTTTTATATTACCAGATTGCTTCCAGATTTCTCTTTTCTGTTCAGTGAATAAGAATAGGGTGTAGGATCAAATTTCTAATGATTTTCTCCAGGAGAACCACTGTTACGCAAATACCGAATTTATAACACTTCAAAATAGACATCAGGGCAAATTTTACAAGACCTATCAGTTCATTTTTATTGTTTGCTTCTGTAGGTAGTCATATAGAAGACCAAAAGAACCATAAAACACTGTTTTTACATACATGATGATAGGAGTTAGGTGGGGTAAAGTTTACTAATATTTGTTAAGGAACCTACTACAGTAGTTCCAACTTTATTTTGGACACTTACATTTGTTTGTCATTATCTGTCCTCTGTTCCCAAATTGCCTTAATTTGTATATCATCATCTTACGTATTCACTGTCATTATCTCAAGTTTCCAAGGGTTTTTGCTATGTCACTATTTTTTACCTGTGCCTATTCTATTTCTTTTCTTTCTAATTTGTTTATTAGTTCTACAGTGTTATTGTTTAATTTATTGTTTCCTTCTGCAACCTCCCTTTTTATCTCATTTTTTTCCACTGGTGTCTCATTTAATTTCTATTTTCTTTAATCTTGTAGTGTAATGCACTCACGGAGATTTTTGGAGGAAGGTGGAGAGGGCTGTTTTCTTCTAAACTAGATTCTTGCTTCCTTCCCAGCCCTCCCCCTTTCTTTCATTTTTTTCTTTGCTCTGGGAGTCCTGCTTAGTTGTCATAGTCTTTTCTCTTTGTAAAACTTAAGTTGAATATGAACAACTCACTCAGGATCTTTTCTTCATTCTCTAATGTTGGTGAATTGTCCTTGTCTTGCTTTTTAACCGTCTCTAATTAGACCTCGGGGTCTAGTCCCAGAGCTGCATTCAGTTTGAGGAGTCGACCTGAAGACCCACATGCTGGAGATGAGGTAGAGTTAGTTGAGCTGGGCTGCGTGCTGGGATCCTACAATCCCAGTTGTTGGTAGGATCTTTGCTCTTCCTCAGTAATTGTATTAAATGCCCTGCATCAGGGTTTGCTCTACATATTCACAGATATATCTCTGGAGGAGTGAGATACGGGGCTTTGGATTATTCCTCCAATTCAAGGAGGTGCTTGCAAGCCATTTGTTTGATTAGTTTTGGCTAAGAATGTCAGCCTCAGGTGTCTCCTTCCCTTGCCACATCCTATCTTTCCCCCAGCAAGTGTTTTTATCTCTTTCCAGCTAATGGAGAAAGGAGAAACCTGTATGCTTTTACCATGGCATTATTAATCCACAGACAGGGAAGGGAACCTCACCTGGGAATTTTCTGCCTTTAATTCTCCTTCTCTCCCAGCCCTCAACACACACACACACACACACACACACACACACACACACACACACACACACACACCCTTATTTATTTTTCTCTTTGGCTAGACCTTTGTTTACTGTTTAAGATACAGTAAACTCTGATACAGACTAGCGAACCTCATGTTAGCACCAACTAAGATTTAACACAACTGGCAATTGGCTATCTCCTTCCCTTCATCCCAGCCCTTGTCCTTGTTTTATTAGCTCTACAACAATGAGATCCCACATACATGATTGAATTTGTTAGACTCCTACATACAGCTTTATAATAGAGTTTGGCTGTAATTAATTAGCTTTGCTTGATTATGACTCATTTCCCTTTTCTTCTCCTTTCCTCCCAGGCATAAAAAGCCAAAATGGTGAGTTCTGATTTGCTTTTCTGTGTCTGAGGAGATTCCTGTGATGGCAGGAAGAGCTTTTTACTATGGATGGATTTTTCCATCTCCTCCCTGGGCTGCCAAAATGCTAGCTTAGATCCATTTTCCCCAAATTGGGGGCTGTTAATGATAGTTTTCAGGATTTTGGCCACCTAACTTTCCCACCTCCAATGCAATCCCTTTTTACCTAGGAATCTTCTATTCATGGGCACCGCTTATACAGAATATGGTATGATGTTCTCTTTAACTTGGTTGGTCTCTGGTAACATTTTTGACTTTTTTTTCTTTTAACAGCGATTTTAAGTTTATTCCATTAGGGGAAAGATTCTATAATCTGGCTTTATTATGTCTTTTTTTTTTTTTTTTTTTTTTTTTCCTCTTGAGACCGAGTCTTGCTCTGTCGCCCAGACTGGAGTGCAGTGGTGTGATCTCAGCTCACTGCAACCTCCGCCTTCCAAGTACAAGCAGTTCTCCTGCCTCAGCCTCCCGGGGAGCTGGGATTACACTTGCATGCCACTACGCCTGGGTTTTGTATTTTTAGTACAGATGGGGCTTCGCCATGTTGGCCAGGCTGGTCTCAAACTCTTGACTTCAGGTGATCCACCTGCCTTGGCCTCCCAAAGTGCTAGAATTATAGGTGTGAGCGATGGTGCGCAGCCTATTATGTCATTTTAGCCCAAAAGTTCTGTGCTAGGCACTTCAGGTTTAAGACTTTTAATCTTTACAGGCCTGCTCAATAAACCATAGTGATATGATCCCTCATTCATACATGAGGAAACTGAAATTTGAAAGAGTGAGGGTTCCCAATGCCACACAGCTAAAGGGTGGAATATCAGGGTCAAATGCAGATGGATCTGTCTCCAAAGCCTGTGGTGTCTCCACTTCAGTGCTGCTGACTTGTGCTGCTGTCTGATGCTGGGTACCTCAGCAACCCTTCTAGGCTTTAGTTACTTCGTCTACAAAATAAGGGGCCTGGCCTGCAAGGTCCTTCCCAGCTCTAAACTTCTATGTTTATGGTTAGTGGAATGAGAACACTACATTTTACTTTAACATAAATTTACTTGACTTTACATTTAATAGCAATGGCCATATATTTCAAGTTTAAATATATATTTACATATTTCTGCAGTCGGGAATTTTAGATTATATAAACCTTTTTGTTTTTGCAACTCATTTTTCAGGTGCTTTGGAATTTCACTGCTGTTCTTTTTAATGTATGGTGTTTGCAATTGTAAAGTTTGGAATTTTCATTCAAATGTGAATTTTTTCTCTTATTCTGTCTTGGTTTAACACTTCTCAGTGTGCTGAGAATGCCTGAGTTGGAGGTAGTTTGAGAAAGTGGAGCAAAGCAAAACTAAATAACTCGTTTGGAGGTTAAACCTTCACCCTTGACCTAAACAAACTGAGTTAACGAACCAAAGATTACATTATGGAGACTACAAACCCCTGCTTCTACAAGTTTATAATCTAAAAGATAAACTGTCTGATGTCAATGTACGTCTAAACTACTCAGTAAACATACCCAGTAAACGACAAACATGTCCGTGTTCACAGTTGCAACGTAATAGTGATGTAGAAGCTAGGAGTACAGTGGAAATAGCGATTGTCTGTTAGATCAGGAAGTACAGAACATGAAAGGCCACTGTGGACAGAATGGATCATCGTAGGAATAAGGTCACATGAGGCAGGACTTTGAAGATGGTTGAGTAGAGACGAGGAAGCTGACTCACATCTCTCTCAGCCACTCCAAGCTTACTCCTTAGTCAAGTGCTGTTTAGCCCTCTGCCTACAAGAATGCAGCCTCCCTGATCTGTTGCCCAGGAATCAGTATTTGTTTTTCACTGCCTTCTTTCTAAATGTCAATTCCATCCCAAAGATGGGATCCTTAGAAGTATTGAACCTATATTGGCCTGTCTCTGCATAGTGTAACTTAATTGGGCTACTTCTAACCATGCTTTTCTCTATTTTGTTTATTTGGTATTCTTTGAGGACATTATATGTGCCAGACACTTTGCTAGGCCTTAGGTATATAGTGACGAGCAAAAGAAATAGTAATTAAGCTGATACATTTGTAGTGAATCAGAAAATTAGCAATTCTAGAAAAGCAGACAAATAATTAGCAAAGAAATCAAGGAAAAGGATAAGGTAGTAGGATAGAAAATAGCTGAGAGTGCAGTCGGGAGCTACTCAGTAGGTGATCAGGTTTGTTGTTTGTTTTTTGTTTGTTTGTTTGTTTTTTGAGGCAGGGTCTCACTCTGCCACCCAGGCTGGAGTGCAGTGGCATGATCACAGCTTTCTGCAGCCTCAACCTCCCAGACTCAGGTGATCCTCCCACCTCAGCCTCCCGCATGCCACCACACTCAGCAAATTTTTTGTATTTTTTGTAGAGATGAAGTTTCACCGTGTTGCCCAGGATGGTCTCAAACTCCTGGGCTCAAACGATCCTCCTGCCTCGGCCTCCCAAAGTGCTGGGATTACAGGTGCGAACAACTGTGCCCGGCCAGGTCATTTCTTTATTTCATCCCTTTTCTCATATATTCCAAGTCTCTTGCTCAAGCTGTTTAACCACTCCCTTGTGGACTTTTTCTAAAGCCCCATATCTAGGCTGTTTGTCTACAGAATTGATGATACTTTTAAACTCCTTTTAGTTAAAACCCAAGTATTTGTTCAAACCCTGTTGTGTTTTTGGCTCTGTGCCAGACATGGTGGTGTTTACCATGTAGTTCTAAGGCCCTGTAAGATCCCTAGAAGGATCTTAATTCATTTTCTATCCTTCACTTGCTGTGATTTTTATCTCCCATGCCCATGTAACATGGGGTCCAGAGTTGAGATGAGTGTCTTTCTTGTTCCTTACTGCCACTTCCAGACCATTTATCTTGCAATTAAAAATTCCATTTCCTTTTAATTTTAAGCCATTGCACTATTCTACCTACTACTGTTCTGGACACATTTTGTACAGCTTCCTGTTGATTCTGACCATCATTCATAGAAGCTTTTGAGCGCTGGTTTGACACCTCTTCTTCCCATGGCTGTCTGTCATTCTTGGAAACTCCAGCTCTCAGGTAGAAAATTTATCCAGCTTTGGTTCTCTTAGTTCCTTGAGCACTTTCCTTCCAACAATCTTTCTTTCACTCTATCTCAGCCACCCACTCAGGCCATTCTCAACCAGACTTGGCCATTATAAGTAGCTGTACCACCTGTGAAACCTCATCTTTAAGCACTGTCTTTGACAATTCCTGTCTTTTCAACTCACTTACTCCATACCTGCATCAGAAAAACTGAACATGACAGAAGGAAAAACCAGCAATACTACTCCTGACTGGCTTATTAAATTGATGACCATAAGGCTCAAGGGGCCCCAAATTTTCTAGTAATCTTAGCTGGTCACTTCTCTGGGAAGGACTCATTCATAGTTTCTCCTCCTCTCTCAAACCTTCAGTATCCCTTCCACCTTCTCAGTGGATGACCTCACTCCCTGTTTCCCTGAGAAAATAAAAATCATCAAAACAAAAAATCTACTAACCTTTTACACACACTTTCTTACCATATCCTTTTTCCTTTCACCTACTGAAGTTACATTTTCTTTCTGGCATCATCACTTTGTTCTTCTCTCTAGTGAATTATTACAATCAGGATACAGAGTGTTAAAATTATATACATAGCCCGTTAAAATCTTTTAAAAATCCCTTCTTATCTTCCCCAACACCCCCGCCCACTCCCCACTGACCAGCCCTCCTCCAGCAAGTTTCTTTCTTGGCTCTGCAAGCACACACTTATCGTGAAGCTCCTAGAGAGAACATTTATTGTCTCTTTGTTGCCTCCATTTCCTCCCCTCCCATTTTCCCTCTTGAAGTCATGCCAATCAGTTCTCTCATGACTCAACTACTACGCAATCCACAGCGGATCCATCCCTCCTTCCTGAAGCACTTTCATCACTGGTGGCTGCTTATCACACCCTCACATGTCCTGACTTCTAAATAGTGGAATGCGGGCCTCATTTTGTTTTTAATCTCTTCTCCACCTACACTCATATCCTAGGTCATCTCACCTTTCCCATGGTTGTTTTGTTTTGTTTTGTTTTGTTTGAGATGGAGTCTCGCTCTGTCACCCAGGCTGGAGTGCAGTGGCGCGATCTCGGCTCACTGCAACCTCCACCTCCTGGGTTCAAGCGATTCTCCTGACTCAGCCTCCTGAGTAGCTGGGATTACAGGCGCATGCCACCATGCCCAGCTAATTTTTGTATTTTTAGTAGAGACGGGGTTTCACCATGTTGGCCGGGATGGTCTCGATCTCTTGACCTCATGATCCACCTGCCTCGGCCTCCCAAAATGCTGGGATTACAGGCATGAGCCACCGCGCCTGGTCCTTGGTCCATGGTTTTAAATACACCAATGATGCCTATAAACTGATGAGTCCTACATTTAAATCTCTAGCCAAAGCTCTCAACCGATTTCTAGATTATTCCTGTGCTTCCACAGCTTCTAGTGCCACTGGTATGTCTGATGCCATCTTACATTTAAGGTCAAAAGATTCCTGAAGCCCCCACACAACTCAAACCCAACTTCTCCCCCATTGTTTTCCATCTCAGTCAAAGTAGCATCCTTCCCTCTCTTCCCCACCCACCCCACAATTTACCTAGTTCCCTGGCCCCAGTTTCTCTCAGTGCCCACATGAGCAAGACCAGTTGCCTTTATCTTCAAAATATATCCTGAACCTACAGTATTACCACCCTAGTCCAAGCAACCTGCAACCATTCCTCTCTGGATTCTTGTAATTGCTTCCTACCTGGCATCTCTGCTTCCATTCTTGCCCCTGCCCGCCCCATACTCTTTACATGGATTTTTTAAATAGATAAATCAGACTGTGCCACTTCCCTTCCCAGAGCCCTGCGGTGGTTTCTCATCATGAAAATAAATAGCTCTCCTGACCCAGGCCTTGCTTAGCTTTCTGACTTCCTTTTCTACTGCTGGAGACAGTTAGAGGTGAGCACCCTGTAGAGAGGTGGGCCCTCTATTAGGTGGAGGGGAGGGGAGGAAAGGGAGGAAGGGAGGGAAGAAAGCGAGAAAACACCAACAACTCAAAGAAGAATCACCACATAAACAACTGTGCCCACCAGGAACATGCATCTTGCCTGCTATTATCTAATAGTTGAGATGTGAAGTGGACTGGCAAATTTGTGGGTTCTGGTTATGGAGAACTGACCTAGGTTGATATTCATTCTGCCAGAGCCACTGGAATTTGTAGTTTCTGAAAAGACTTGTGTTATTTGGCAAAACCAGAATTGGGCATCATTTATCTTCATGTACTTAGCCAAAGCCCTAGAAAAACTTTTTTGATTCTTAAGAAAATGATCTAAACCCAATAATCCTTGCTTCGTTTATTTTTAACGACAGGCCCATTCTGTAGAGTTTTTCTGTATGAACTTACCCGACCTCCTGTAAAAAGAAAGATCTACCTTGGATATAGAAATTTATTTATTATCTGTTTCATTCTGTTCTTTTCTGAGAACAGCAAGTTTTCCACGTAGTTCTGTATACATAATCCTTTTTTTAAAGGATTGCAGGCACATTTTATTGTGAATTTGGCCATGGTTTAATGATGTATAATGTTGGATTTCTTCATATCTTAAATATTAAAAAAGCTTATACAGAAGTAAAGGGAAAGGGGAAGAAGGAGAAAAGTAGAAGAAGAGAATGACTAATGCTTTGGTTTAACAAATAACATTGTGAAATAAACCATTGATATTTTGTAAGGTAAAAATCTTTCAAATCTACTCATTATTATAATAATAAGTAATAAAATACTCATCTCACAGGCAGTTCAAAGGAACCCCATTGACTAAACTTGGTAATTAATTGGTAAGCTTTAATGGACAATATAATAAATATTTTTCTTGTAAAAGCTTGACCTAGTACAATTTTTGGTGAAACAGTTTGCTTTTACAGAATAATAAAACTACAAAGACATTTTGAGAATTAAGTCAGCTGCATGATGTGATCATTAAGCTATTTGCTATAAAATGTACATTCAAATTATTAGAAGTTCAAAAGAATTGATGACACATTAGAAATGTATTTTCTGTTTTTCATATGAAACATAAAAGCTCTAGAAGTTATGGGCATAAGTGAAGTATGCATGTTTCCTTCTCTCCCTTCTTAAAAAATCCATAATTGTTCTCTGTTTAAGCATAGAAAAATGCCATGTGACTTTTATTTCTCCAGAAAATTAGGAATAACCTGTGGGCATTTAAGGTTATACTAGAACATGCATAATGAGTGAATTCCTATTAATTCCATGTTATATTGAGGAAAAATGCTTCAAATATACGTAACTTCCACCAGAGTAGTTAGCTTTTTCTTAGCTATATTTGGAACTTTGATTACTACTCTTAATCTCTTTCAAAGTTTAATTTTATTAAATTGCTCAAAGGTAGAGACAAAAGGTTATGGTGTTTTTCTTTTTTCTTTCAGCAAATGAAGAAAATACAAATTTGCTACATGCCTATGGGAATTAAGCAGTATCATAGCACTGGTTGGTCTAGTTTTAAAACTTCAGGACTGCCGGGCGCGGTGGTTCACGCCTGTAATCCCAGCACTTTGGGAGGCCAAGGTGGGCGGATGACGGGGTCAGGAGATCAAGACCATCCTGGCTAACACGGTGAAACCCCGTCTCTACTAAAAATACCAGAAAAATTAGCCGTGGCAGGCACCTGTAGTCCCAGCTACTCGGGAGGCTGAGGCAGGAGAATGGCGTGAACCAGGGAGGCGGAGCTTGCAGTGAGCCGAGATCGCGCCTCTGCACTCCAGCCTGGGCGACAGAGCGAGGCTCCGTCTCAAAAAAAAAAAAAAAAAAGTTCAGGACTTTATTTTCAAGCAAAAATCAAAGTTGTTTGTTGTTGTTGTTGTTGTTGTTGTTGTTTTTTCTGGATAACACCTAAGTTACAAACGTCTGTTCATATTTGTTTGAATCAGTGTTTAATTTTATTCTTTTATGATTATTAATCTACAGATTTCAAATGTAAGGAACATTGGAATAGTGAGTGATGTAGCAGCTAACTTTCTTTTTCTTTCTTTCTTTATTTTATTTTATTTTTTTTTGAGACGGAGTCTCGCTTTATCTCCAGGCTGGAGTGCAGTAGCGGGATCTCGGCTCACTGCAACCACCACCTCCCGGGTTCAAGCAATTCTCCTGCCTCAACCTCCAGAGTAGGTGGGACTACAGGCGCGCCCCACCACGCCTAGCTAATTTTTTTATTTTTAGTAGAGACAGGGTTTCATCATGTTGGCCAGCATGGTGTTGATCTCCTGACCTCATGATCCACCCACCTCGGCCTCAGAAGGTGCTGGGGTTATAGGCGTGAGCCATCGCGCCCGGCCCAGCATCTAACTTGCTATTTGCAAAACGGAAATGTAATGACTGAATATTTTCGTCAGTCCAAAAATTTGTGAAGAGAAGAATTTTAATAACATTATAACAAACAGTAATGTCAGTAAAATGGAAACTGAAATGCATGCATTAGCATGAAATATAAGACTAGGGGAAGAGACAGAAGATAGGTAACACTTTCATAAGAAAAATTATTAGAAAACATTCGTTCCCGAGTGAAAGGAAAGGTGAAGGTACTTGAAGAAAATGAACAATTGCCTTTTCACTCATCCAGAGTGCCTTTGAACTCATTCAGAGCTCTTTGTAAATCTAATCAATTAATGATGCTTGAAATATGTTTAATTTGGGTAGTTGAGGGAAGTATGTTCTAGAAGAAATGCAACCAAGATATCTTTTGGGTGAGAATCTAAGAGGAAGTGATGGATTGTTTGTTGATTTCACAGTAACTGAGAGGAAATCTATAATAGCTTAAAGGATTTTAGCGTAATTTTATGATGCTAACAAATTTGTGTCGTAAACTGACGCTAATATGGCCAGACTGCCAAGTGATGCATACTGTAAACACCGATAAGAATTGCATTTTATTTATTTATTTATTTTTGAGACAGAGTCTCTCTCTGTCACCCAGGCTGGAGTGCAGTGGCATGATCTCGGCTCACTGCAACCTCTACCTCCCAGGTTCAAGCGATTCTCCTACCTCAGCCTCCCAAGTAACTGGAACTTGCAAGTAACATGTGCCTAGAGGCACATGGCACCACACCCGGCCAATTTTTATATTTTTAGTAGAGACAGGGTTTTGCCATGTTGGCCAGGCTGGTCTCGAACTCCTGGTCTCAAGTGATCTGCCTGTCTTGGTCTCCCAAGTGCTGGGATTACAGGCGTGAGCCACAGCACCCGGCCAGAATTGCATTTTGGGTGTCAACCTGGTAAAGGAGACAGTTGGAAGATCTTGGACAAAAGATTGATGTATGCAAAATACTGAAAAGGTTATTGGTAAGACAATGAGTGCAGACTATTTTAGAAATGTGATTTGATTCGTTAATTCCTTGTACAAGAAAGTAAAAATATTTATCCAGACATGTGGTAGGGAAGTTCCCTAAAGTAGACATATAGTGCTGTAGTTTAATTGCTCACTAAGTATTCTTGGTGTCACAGGCATTATAAGCCAGTTTAAAATTTTGATTTTTTTTTTTTTAGCAGAATGTTAACCAAGGAGAAATATGGATAAACTCCTTTTTTAACCACCCTCCCCAACAAAAGACTAGAAGAGCCATACAAGTAAAAGCAAAATAAAACATTTTGCATGTTTGTAGGTTCTTCTAAATGTTGAACCCCATATCAGTTGAGGGTGTTGATTTTAACAAGCCTCTGGATCAAGAGAAAACTAATTGAGCATTTTAGTATGATGTATCTCTCATAATGAACGCTGTTATTTCTACCCTCATGAGAATGAATATAAACACAGATATGACGTTGACATGAATGGCCATGGAAATTGTTTACCCCAGAGTGGTGATGATATTATGGTTAAACTGGCTGTGCACTGTTTGGCCTGGGAAGTTCCTTAAAGTGTTTCATACCCACTTCACCCCACCCCACTCCACCCCTTTTTTTTTTTTGCCATTTCATAGTGTACCCCTGATCACATAGATTTGGCACATCATGGTTGGTGTTAGTATTATTTTGATACAGTTAGGTGATTTCACCATTGTGTGACCATCACAGAGTGTACTTACACATACCCAGGTGGTAGAGCCTGCCTGCTACACTCCTAGGCTGTATGGTAAAGCCTGTTTTTCCTAGGCTACAAACCTGTACAACATGTACTGAATACTGTAGGCAACTGTAGCACAATAGGAAGTATTTGTGTATCTAAACATAGAAAAGCCGTAGTAAAAACTATAGTATTATAATTCTAAAGGCCCATTATCATATATGCAGCCCATCCTTGACTGAAATGTTGTTATGCTACACGTGACTGTACTTATTTGGCACGTCCACATAGGGCTTTTTTCTCAAATATTAAATGTTGTTTAAACTACTGACATAAGAGTTATGCTAGACAAAGAAAAACTAGTGTAAATGTGATGAAAACCAAATGAGACTTTTTAAAACTCCACATCAGGCTGTGTGTGTGTGTGTGTGTGTGTATGCGCAGGCGTGCACATGTGTATTTTGTACTTATTCCCTGATAACCTTTTATCTCTCAGACACTTAATTTGTCATTTAGGATATCTGTGGTTAGGAATGGAAGGCCCATTTTGTAATTGGTCACTATGCCAGAGGTGAAAGCCATTGACACCGAGCCTCCGGGGACGGAGAACTCTTGGCAAGGCTTGCTACCAGTGGGTGTTTTTTTCAGTTCTGTCAGGTCTGTGTTCCCTTGGGGGAATTTGTACCCAAAGAGTATTGAGTTTTTTCTGTTGATTTTTTCCAAAAGCATGTGTTTTCTGCATTCCTGTTTTATGGTTCCCTGCAAAGGAGGAACAGTTTCTATCCTTATTTGGTTTGGATTTGATTAGCAGCATTTGGGATTAGTTTAGTCTTTTTAAAGTAAAGCAAATGATAGGTAGCAGAGGGTGGTGGAAATCGCACTGGGCAAGAAACCAGAATTCTGGTCTCAACTTTTCCCTCTAGCGAACCCCAGCAGAGGAACTCTCACTGCTTAACTGGCTCTTGTCCTCAGGTTATATGCAGATAAAATGCATGCAAAAAAATGAGAAAACTGGATAGTCTCAAAAGAATTTCAAAATTCTACATTCCTTTTAATGATAATGACAGTAACAACAATGGCAAGAGCAGCTATCAGATACTTTAAACACATTGTTTCTAATTCCCACAATAATCTTGGAAGTTTTGTTTGTTTGTTTTTCAGATAATGATGCAAAAGTTTGCTCAATAGCATACCAATAGCAAGTGGCAAAGCCAGGATTGAAACTCAAGTTAGTCCAACCCCTGCAATTACCCCAAGATTCTGATTATCCAAGCTAGACAATAGTGTCATAGATATGCACATAGGTTTTAGACTCAGACATCTGGGTTTAAAAACTCAGTTTTACCACTTTCTAGCCATGTGACCTTGAGCAAATTGTTTAAACTGTCTCTAAGGATTGCTAAACTGTGAGGCGGGCAAAATCACAGCTACATCATAAAGTTGGTGAGGATAAATGCACAAAAAACATAAAGTACGAAATGTGAAAGTGTGAAACAAATGGTAGCTTTGGCCTCTGCTGCTTATTTATCATCATTATGTCTAGGAAAAGAGGCCTAACATGAAGATAGATATAGTTTCATTATGTCAATATATGTACCTCTCTCTGAAAACTAAGTCTTTCATAAATGATTTCATTTTCTTTTTTTTCCTTTTTCTTCTCTGAGATTACAAATAAACCTCAGAGGCCGGGCACGATGGCCACGCCTGTAATCCCAGCACTTTGGGAGGCTGAGGCAGGTGGATCACCTGAGGTTGGGAGTTCGAGACCAGTGTGGCCAACATGGTGAAACCCCATCTCTACTAAAATTACAAAAATTAGCTGGGTGTGGTGATGCACATCTGTAATCTCAGCTACTCAGCAGGCTGAGGCAGGAGAATCACTTGAACTCAGGAGGCAGAGGTTGCCGAGATCGCACCACTGTACTCCAGCCTGGGCAACAGAGACTGAGACTGAGTCTCAAACAAAAAAACCAAACAAACAAAAAAACAAACCTCAGAGATTATATGGATCTGTGGTTGTTGTTGTTTACTTTGGGGAAATATGGCTGTCAACATGCAAATCAGATGTGAATAAATTCCTCCCGCTCCACACTCCCAGGTTTACCCAGGAATCCAGAAAACCTTGAAGTACATTTCAAAGGATTCTTCTCAGTAACTCTTTGAGAGCTTACTGTCTGCTGGGTACTATCCCAGGCACTGAAGTTTTGGATATTTCCAGTTGCCTCTCTGTAGGGAGAAGTAAAAGTCCACCAACTGTACTGAAACAGAATGATGTGTGCTAGACACCTCTAAAGAGGACAGGCTTGCTATTATATGCTTTAGTCAGCTAGTAGCTGAATAGTATTCTGTTTATTTTCTTTTTTGTTATTCAAGTCAACAACTTATCACTACTTCCATCCTGCACAAACATGTATCTGCTTGTTGGCAGCTACTGCTCCTGGATGAGGGTGGGTGTAAAGAAAGAGCTCCTTCACTAAGTGGGAAAGTAATCCAAGAAAAAGTGTTAGGCTATGAGTATGTTTTCCATGAAACAAGTAGCACCCAATTGGCTTGTATTATTTGATAGATTTTTTTACATTCATTTATTGATTTCATTATTTACTCTGAGACTACTCTGTACCCAGCAAGTGCCAAAGGAGTCTTTATTGTGATCCTCCCTCCTCTTTTTATCCCTGTTGACTCTTCAGTTCCATGTCTGTCTTTATTAAGGACATTTCTAAAAAATGTCACCTCTGGGAAAGGGCTCTGGATTCACCCATGTGAGAATGCTTTTCTGCATAATTAGCCTAATTTTTTAAAATCAGATCATAGCAGCCATTGTCCCAGTATGCTTTAACTCTGTGATGTTACCAGCTTGAATATTGAATTTGAGGCAGTCAACCTTCCTAAAGAAAGATGTATACTGTGCTTTATGCATCATCACTGAAAGAATTTTGCTTTGAAGCCCAGTGTGAACACTTAATTTTTATTTGCTATTATAAAAGAGTCTCTTTGAGCTGACAAATATGAAAATATGACTGTGATTTGGGCAGGAGTCCAAAAACTTTAGAGAGAATGATGCTTTTATCTTTTGAAAGTCTTTTGACTACCGCATTATTCTATTAATAGATGGAGAATGGGTAATAACATCCTTCAAGGCCTTCTTCTATTGCAACTGGTCTCCCTACATACTATAGGGAAAAGATGTATGTGCCTAGTGGTAAGAGTTTAATGTACATTTATTTAAATCTCCTGTCTTTGGGCAGCTGTCAAGTTTATTTAAGAGCTCTGCGTAGCCAGGTTTCTATTTTTTTTTTTCTCAATTTATATGCTGTCCTCCCTAGAATTTCAGTTAAACAATAAAAATCATGCTTTTAAGTTGGTATGTGGTTACATACTTAAGATTTCTCATGAAATGACAGTAAGGAAGCCTTGAGCTAAATGGCAGCTTTCCCAGCATCCGGGAATTCTGCATTTATCTTTACAGAGTCTGTGGATATGTCTACCTCCAAGTACAGCAGGGATATAAAAGCAGTTTATCTCATTATATTCTGTTGTAACGAATAATTAAAGATTTTATGAAGGGTTAACACTCCAGAGGAAATATTTTATAGACCAGCTATATGCATGTACTGAGCATAGGAAACATTTCTATAAACATCTATCAGAAAGTCTTTTTAAAATAGCTATAATAATGTCAATATTTCAACAGAACCCCAGGTGAAATCTAATGGTATCCTTTTTATGAAAATTGTTAGAGTAAAAGAAAAATTATTTTACCAATAGTGACTGATTTTGAGTTAGAGCTTAAGGGATTCTGCCCACACAGCGGTCATTTACATAACCTTGGGAATCTTGAAAATCTGAATTCAGCCCTTGGTCATTGCTATTTAAGCCAGATTTTGCAAATAACCTGCAGGTGTCATTGTGAAAATATGTAACATCAGCCGTCATCATCTAAAACTGAACTAAGCAACTTAGAAGAAAGCATAGATTCTCATTAAGAGAGATCCTTAAACCTAATGAATATTGAAGATAAGCTTTTTAAGTGTTCATTCTGATGTATCTGACTGCTTTTTCTGCATCTTTTTTTTTTTTTTTTTTTTTTTGAGACAGTCTCGCTCTGTCGCCCAGACTGGAGTGCAGTGGCACAATCTTGGCTCACTGCAAGCTCTGTCTCCCAGGTTCACGCCATTCTCCTGCCTCAGCCTCCTGAGTAGCTGGGACTACAGGTGCCCACCACCACGCCAGGCTAATTTTTTGTATTTTTAGTAGAGATGGGGTTTCACCGTGTTAGCCAGAATGGTCTCGATCTCCTGACCTCGTGATCGCCCACCTCGACCTCCCAGAGTGCTGGGATTACAGGCGTGAGCCACCGCGCCCGGCCTTTTTCTCCATCTTTACTGATAATAGAAAACCTTTCTACTGGTGGTTGAGATCTGTGAAAGAATGCTATTCAAACTACACCCTCCCTATATCCTATGTCTTTTTTCCTTCTAGATTTGATTAATCTCTTCTCTTAGAGAGTAATTCTACCTATACCCCCTTGCCCAGACCTTGGAAGATTCTTGGAGAGCATGAAGCACAGTTGGGTAGGGTTGTTGTTTTGTGGGGAGGCTCTAAGGTTTGTCCCAAGAAATAATGTCAAAAGAGAACAGCAGAGATGCTTTGTCCTATTCTAAATAAAAGCTTTTCATTTTATTATTGTTATAAACTAAAGTGTTGACTCTGTGATAACTATGGCCTTACATTTTCATGCTTATATGATTACTTTCAATTAAGCCCTATTGCACCCAGTAAATTTGGAGACATTTGAGAGATGACGGGGATTACGAGAAAGGAGATTATTGGGGCTTTAATTGTCCTTTGCCCCAGCGCTTCTACATTTTCCCCTGTAATTCCTTGAGCTCCTTCGTCTTTGAGGATCTCACATTTAACCTCTATTTGCAAATCTCTATTCCCTTGGCCTGCTTTGCTATTGCCAGCCACTTGCTCAGATCTCAGAGGCTTCATTAACTTCACACTGACACTGTGTCCAGTGTTACCTATAACCAATATAGCACGGAATGATAAAGACCACAAACATTGGCTTTATCCTGCTTTCTGTTTCCAAATTTGGCTTTCACCCAGTACTCTTGATCAAGGCACGGAGTCTTCCAGAATGTTTATAATTTCATAGTACCACTTCATTGGCGTAAATTCATTCCTCAACCCAGATGGTGATCCGCTTAGAAGGTTTTTTTCTTCCTTGCTTATTTGTCATTTAGAAAGCCTGAGATTGGGAATAGTAGGTCCATTTTGTAACTGGTCTTTGTGCCAGAGGTAAAAAGCCATTGGCAAGGCTCTCCTATGAAGGGGGAGCTGTTGGCAGGGCTAGGGGCTGGTGGGCGTTGCTCGGTTCCGTTTGGTTTACACTCCCTTGGGGGAATTTGTACCCAAAACTTTTTAAGTTTAGTTTTCTACTGCCTTCTCTCACCTTCCCCAAAAGCATATGTTTTCTGCATCCTTTATCCTGATTCTTTCTTAATAAGCGGAAGTTCCCTTCCTTATAAGGTTTACATTTGTTTGAAAACACTCATGCCTATGATTTTTCTGTAATGTAGCAATGTGTGGGCACTGAGGCTGTCCCTTCTTAGTTTATCAAGTTAATACAAATGCCAGTTTACAATACTAAATTTTCAGACCCAGCAAAGTGTGAACTAATTTCTAGAAACCGTGCATTATGTAAAATAATCATAAATGTGAGTTGCCGCGTAAGGCCAGTAACTGATTTAGGGTAGGCCTGGCCTATCCACAAGTATTTTTTGAATTAAATAATTACTGTGCCGGATGGGCAGGGAATATAGATGATATATAAGTCCCAAGCCCAAACCTCTAGCCTACAGGCTTACTTAAAAGACAGTTATTGAAAAAAGCAAACACAAACAAAACCTACTTACTGGAGTTAAGACAGAGAGAGGCTTGTGGGCTAAAGTAAGAAGAAATGAAATGTCTGACCCCTACTTATTCTCATTGTGTTTGGTTTTAGTTGGGTATTTATGCTGTTGAGAAAGTAGCAATGTACTATGTAGGAAAAGGTACATAATTTTTTATATTATTCCTATGGTAAATAGTGGAAGAAAGTAAAGGTGCCAAAGATGAGAGAGGTAGGATTGGATCTGGTAAAGGTGTTGACTTCTGTGGCTTCCTTTAGGAGGAAGATCCAATTTGGTCATGCCTGCCTAATGCTGAGACTATTCTTAAAGCTTAAATATGATAATAACAAAGAAAAGCAAGCTTTCTAACAATTTGTAAGGGACTGCATCAGGCACACCATCTACCTTGATGGGATTAAATTACTTAATTTTTCCTTAAATCTTTCAGCAAAATAAAATGACAGTAATTTGCTTTAAACAGTAACAAACTGATTGTGTCCTACGTACATCTTTTCTAAGTGGTAAGAACATCATTTAGACAATAATTGGTGTGAATAGCCCCCTGTGTGATGGAGTGTGTGGCCTGTTGGGCTAGGAGCAGCGACCCTGGTTGGAGGAAAGATGAAATTGAGATTTTTTTCCCTGCGTTTTTTCATAATAATATATATGCTGTTTGCTAATAGCATACGTGAATAGTATATAGCTGTCATTACTCTTTCTTCCTCATTGTAGGCCAAATAAAGCTGACTTTAAACATTTATGTTGATAAGGATTTAATTCTGAGTTTATTTATAATCACCATTTATGATTGATGAAGGCATTAATTTGACCTTTCCCTTGACTCAATTGTTAGGAACATTATCATGTATTCTTAGGAATCCTTTAGAGATAAAAAATAAATAAAATCATGGAAAGTGAATCTACTGCCCAGAATTCCTCAAAGAATCTGTAAGACAGTCTTTCCAGTTAGCTAAACTACTTCTATTTCAAACTGATTTCATGAAATTAAATTGGTATATATACAGCTTAATTCCCTCTACCGACCTGCATCTTTTCTATAGGGAAACCACTTGAATTAACAGTGTCCAGAGGTCTGATGATGGATAATGTAGAGAAAACTGTGGTTTCCTCCTTAGTTTCCTGTTCATAGGAATGTCCTCTGTAGTCAGCATGTGCGTGAATCGACCACCGAAAATATTCCCCTGGAGTGTTGAGCAACCTAGAGTGTGTTCTGTAATGACTTCGCTTTGAAATGATCTCTAATCCCAAGACAATACCTCTGCCTCCTTTCTAACAAATATATCTCTTACACCTAGGAGAAGTGATGTCTATTTTTACAGAGTATTTATCAGGCTTATTGAAAGTTACATTATATGCAGGAAGGTTTATCCATGGATGGGAAATTTTCTCTCTTTCAAGTGACCCTTTCCTTCTCAAAGACTGTTTGGTGATACCAAATTCAAGCTGCCCTGATGATACCCTCTCAGGTGACCAAGAAATGTTGGCAGGTTTTTAGTAACAGGAGGAGAAGCCATAGGCTGCTTGGTTAAGATGGAGGTCTTTAGGTAACATTTAAGAGATAAAATAATAAAAAGTGTGTCTGTCTCTTCACTTCCCCTCCCTGGTAGCCAATTGCAGTATATATTGGATGGGAAGAAGCAACTTGTGTGGGTATGTGATTTTTAGATTTATTATGAAAATATTTTATTTTTTATTATTGTATAAAAATTTTACTTTGAGCATTGCTGGTAATCCATCTTTGTTTATGTGAGGCTCTCCAGGTATTTAATATCATTGAGCCTTAATATGAAACTCCCTATAAATTATTTGGCTTCTCATTAGTGTTTAATATAAAAAGAACCTATAATAAATGATCAGCCCCTCCTAAGAACAGAGCATAAGTAAAGAGAGCACTTCAGGTTAGCAGCAAGTGTGCCCACACTAAACTCTCTTCCTCGGCTTGCTTTCCTTTTCTGCAATAGAAGAGTCCCAGCTGTCCTGTACCTTTATTTCCCATTTGCATTCTGCCACACCATTGCCTTGTAGGGGGGACTTTGACTGAGAAGCCAGATTAGCAGGTGCATCCGCCTCTGATGGTGTGAACCACACATTTATGGTAGTCCATTGGACCTTTCACCCTGTCCCCCATGACCAAGCTCCTCAACACTGCCATGCATGAAATACTTTGCTTTTATAATGCTGTCAGATAAGAGAATTATCTTTTTGGAACTAATTGTAATAGAAGGGCATTGATGTTGCACAATAGCAGAAAAGCTACTTTTAAAATTGTTACCAATTTCTGATTCAGTTCATTGGTAAAAATATGTATAATTATTTGCTAGCATACATGGGTAGTGGACAAATGATAGTATTATAGTTTTCACTATGCTCATCTTTAAATAACAATCTTGGGGTAGTGTAAAGGACACACAATTATCGTGACTTCTGTTTGACCCATAAGAGAAATGCATATTCGGGTTGTACTTTTCTCAAATGACTACAACCACCAATACTTTACATAACTCTTGACTTTTTAGGGCAGGGCATTTAGCTTTAAAATACTCCCATTGAGGGAAAAATAATATTTACCCTAATTTCCTCCCTCTGTCCCTTTTCGCTTCTATCTAACCAATCTGCGTGCTTTTATGTATTTTTTTTTTTTTTTTGGAACTTATTTTCTATCTGGAATGCTTATCTAAACAAAGAGTTAGATGGCCTTGATAAGTGAGACTAATGGAATCGTTTCCCTCTAACTTCATAAAAACTTTAAGGATTATCTTTCTTGAGTTCTCTGTATTTCTGTTTTAGAAGAAAAGAACAAAATTTCAGAAACAAGATTATAGTGCTTTTGCTAAAGTATAAATACGTGGGCCCTATACAAACTGGCAAATTCATTAGTCTTAAAGCAGACATCCAAGCTATTGTGGGTGTTTGGATGACACCATTTTCACAGTAGGAAATCATTTCATTCTGAGCGTGGACTCGGCATTGGTTAACGCAGTGAGTTTTATGTGGTATAAACACCTGGAAGTGAGAGAAAAGACAGCACAGAAGCTCTGTGGGAGCTCTGCTGAGCATTGTATAATATTCTTGAACCAATCACCCGACAGCCACTTCCTGGAATAACAATGTCCTTGTTAAATTTTTTTCAAGTTTATCCCATAAATATGTCCATATACTTGAGGGCGGGAGGATTAATATGAATGGATATTAGGGGAGGGGGAATGATTATGAATGGATATCAATATAATTTGTAGAATTTGGGTACCTGGCTCTATTTGTTTGTAAAAGTCCTCAGAATGGAGCCTCAATTTATGCCTCGCACTTATAAAGGGTATTTGGCAAAGCCTCTTCCTTTCTTTAACCTGAAGTGATCTGCTGAATTTTAATCCTTTATCCACACTTCATAGCAAGGTTGGAGAATTGGAAGTAAAAAGAAAGATCTGAGGAGCTGAAGGATCCTTTTAGAAAGATCATGGCTAGGACGGTGACACTGATTTTCTACCAAAATGCCTACATTTACTTTGCAGTTAAAAGAAAACATTAATCCAAGTGCTAATCCTAAAATACTGCCCTCATTTAATATCTAAACTACCTAAGCAACCATAAATCATACCCTTCTCCAGGAACCTTTTCTGGCATTCAAAGTCAGCTATCCGAATCTTAACTCTAATCAAAAGTCCATCTCAAATCCTGTCTCCTCCATGAAGACTCCAGTAACGTTAGTTACCGTCAGTCTGGCTCTGTGCTGAGAATGAGTGTGGAGATCAATAATATTCACTGACATTTATGCAGTGCCTCCTACCTGCCAGGCACTGAGCTAAATAAATTCCTTACCTCTCACCTAGTCCACACAATAGCCTTAAAGATACATGTTATTATTAGCAACATCTTACAGATGAGGAAGATGAAGCCCGGGGTGGTTAAGGGAAACATCCACGGTCACAGAGTTAGTAAAGGGCAAAGTCAGACTTTGAACCCAGCCTGCCGGGAGTCCAGAGACCACTTCCCTACAGGCTGCCTTGAGTTGCTGCAGCCCTCTTTCAAATCATACATTTTTGATTCAGTGATGCTCAGTTTTCACCTCACTATACTTGATCCTTCATCCTCAATTTTTTATGTTATTTTTGATGTCCCAAACACAGCTACCAAGACCCTAAGCTCCTTGTCCATACCATTTTTCAGAAAGCAGAACATGGTCCTAGACACATACATAGTACGTGTGTGATCAGTACTTGCAGGGCTGCACTGAGTTGATATGGACAGTGCCAAAAATTAGGGAAGGAAATTTGATGCGGACCTAGGGAAACTTTATTCCAAAGGCTTCAAGAGGTGATTGTAGAGGAGGTGAATTGGGACCCAGGGCAGGTGCTTAAGCAGGAAATAACAGAGCCAAATGTATAACCACTTACGAATGAGAGCTTTTAGCTGAAGGATGAAAACATAAGGGTGGTGCACGTGTGTCTGTGTGTGTGTCTCTGTCTGTCTGTCCATCTTCATTTGTGACTTGGCAAGGCACAGAGCTGGGCAGGAGTGAGATGGACAGACATGCAATATAGGTAATGTCAAGGCTCCATTCTTCAGAAACATGAAGCTGATGAAGTTACCAAAAGAGAAGGATTTAGAAATTTGAGGAATTCTGTCCATCTTTGCTGTGTTGAGTTCCTATTCACGCCCTCACTGCAAGTTAGAAAATTAACGATTAAATGGAGGGTGGAAATGGTTGCACAACAATGTGAGTGTACTTAATGCCACTGAATTTTACTCCTAAAAAATAGTTGAAATGGTCAATTTTATGTTATATATATTTTACCACAATAAAAATAAAATTAAAACGGAGGAAGATATTGGGGCTAGAGAGGCTTTTGGACTTTATTTTTTTTTTTTAAAAAAAAAGGTCTTGGTGACTGAAGGTTTAACCAAATAGTTCAACATGTGAGGTCTTTACCTTGAGGCATGTTGTATTCTTTTTCTGCTGAATTTTGTGGGGGGTTTTCCTGGCTCATTGAACAACTTCCTTTGGAAACCTATTTCATAGGTCCATACAGAATAGTATCTTCTAGTGAGCCAAAGTAGAGGGAAAGAAGAGCATGGATGGCAGAGAGAGAATCATTCTCGTGAAGCTGGGTGGCAGAAGGATTTCTGTAAGATTGGATATCAGTTTCAGCTGAATGGTTTTTTTGATTGGCGTAGAACAATCTGAAGAAGAGGAAGCCACTCACTGTCAATTTGCTATCATGTCAATTCCTTTCCCTTCTCCTGTCAACTGCATTGCCCAGGCTCCCTGACCCTTATGCTTCTGATTTGCTCTGGTCAGGGAGGGACAGACAGAATTTTGAGGGGAAGAAGGACAAGTATGGGAGAAATGAGAGATATTCTTACCTGTCTGTGCTTTGGATGAAGTGGCTGGGGTGGGGGGACTTTTTTCCCGCCGTGGCTGCATGTTCTCCATGGCTTCATCTTCCCACTAGACAGCCCTTTCTTCCATGGTCCCAGATTCCACTGGGCAGCCCCTGCCATGGTCCCAGTTCTCACCAGATGGCCCTGACTTCTATGATCTAGTAAAGACACCTCCTGCCCGCATCTCTGCAGCCCTGTGGGCATTAGTGGCTTCCTGCAATCTCTGAATGGCTTTAGTATCTTGGTTGAGACTCTTAGTACTTCTGTCACCTGTGTAGCCAGTTTTCTGTATTACATTCCTTAGCTTGGAATAACTGGAGTGGTTTCTGTTTGCCTGATACAATAAGATACTTGGATTGCGATGATGTATCTTCTTTAGGTGTTTTTAAAATGTCTTTATTTCAGTGTATAGTTAGTAAAAAAAAAAAAAAAAAAAAAAGAAAGAAAAAAGACTAAGGACATAGAGGTTCATAACAATATATAATTGGTAGACCCCAACCCTTGTTTCAGTCAGAGAATCCCTCCTATGTTTACGATACATATTTAAGTTCTTTGTAAGATACGATTTGAAAAACAGGTTTCACTGCTTAAAAACAAAGTTTTTTTTGTTATTATTTTGGTTTTTTTTAAAGACAAGGTCTTGCTCTGTCACCCAGACTGGAGTGCAGTGGTGTGATCGGTGCTCACTGCAACCTCGAATTCCTAGGCTTCAGCAATCTTCATGCCTTAGCCTCCAGAGTAGCTAGAACTACAGGCACATGCCACCATGCCCAGTTAAAAAAATAACATATATATAATACAGATGAGTGTCTTGCTATATTACCCAGGCAGGTCTCGAACTCCTGACCTCAAACGATCCTCCTGCCTTGGCCTCCCAAAGCACTGAGATTACAGGCATGAGCCACTGTGCCCTGCCCCAAACCTCACTTAATGTATGAAAGGCCAGGCACAGTGGTTCACGCCTATAATCCCAGCACTTTGGGACACCAAGGCAAGAGGATCAGTTGAGTCCAGGAGTTCAAGACCAGCTTGAGCAACATAGCAAAACCCTGTCTCTACAAATAGTAAAAAAAATTAGCCAGGCATGGTGGCATGCAGCTGTGGTCCCAGCTACGAGGGAGGCTAAGGTGGGAGGATCACTTGAGCTTGGACATTGAGGCTGCAGTGAGCCATGATTGCACCACTGCACTCCAGCGTCGGTGACAGAGTGAGACACCTTCTCAAAAAAAAAAAAATTATAAAAATAGAATTATGAAACTGTAGGTTTTTAAATGGCCCAAGTTAGGAAGTAGCACAAGAAACAAATAAAAATTCAAGAAAAAAGTTGAAGTGTCTGCAATATAGGACAAATGAAGAATTTTTTTTTTAATGTTGAAAATTGAAGCTTGGGAGGAAACAGATTTTATTAAAGGCAGTAGAAGGAGACTTCTGTGAAAATGCTAAAAGACGCTTATAAGCACCTTTTGAAGGAGTTGAATTCTTTCTTGTGTCTAATATGTCTAACTTAACAGTTTTCTAATTTGAATGTAATTCCTTCCCTTCTCTGTAAATTTATAAATATTGATTGAGGTATTTGGGGCTCCCAAATTACATTGTATTTGATAAGAATTGAAAGAAAGACCAGGAGCTATTAAAAAGAAGAGAGCCAAATGAATGTATATACCTCCTCCTTGGGAGAGAACCAAAGTCCCTGTGCACCCTTGTTAGGCCAAAGACAGTTTGGTTGCTGTCCAGAGTTGGGAGGAGGGGCATGGGGAGTTACGGTGAGCAGCCTTTAAGTGAGAATGAAAAATGAAAAACAGTGTGGAACTGGCACTGAGTAGAAAGAGAATTGGACTAAATGTTAGGCGTCTAGGTTCATGCCCTCAACCCTCCTAGCCAACTTTGGCTTTAGTCATTCTCAGTCTCCTTAGCTGTGAAATGAGAGGGTTGAAATAGATGATTTGTAAGTCCCCTTCTGGCTCAAAAATTCTGACTCAGAGAAGATCTTTTCTGTATCAGTTCTTTGGAATGAATCTTATTTTCAATTTATCTAAACAGTTTTAAAGTGCTGTTTAGAATAATTAAAGTAACACTAAGAAAGGCTTGAAAAGTAATCAACAAAATTGGGAATATCTCCCATAATGTGGCTTGTGTGACAATCTGCTAAAATTTTTTAAGCTAATAAAAGTAAAAGACAACACCAAATGAATGCTTTTTAAGAAAGCTAAGGAGACGTAATGGCAACTTTCCAAAAGCTGCTAAAGCTCTCAGTCTGCTCCTCCCAGCTGTTACTTCTCAAGGTGCTCATGGGCCTTCGGAAATCTGACACAATGTCAGACAAATACCTTTCTCCGGACACTTTTATTACCTCCTTTTCCTGAAAGTCATAGTCTAACGCCAGGAAGAGAACTTATAGTCATGTCTCATTTATCTTCAACGTTCTGCTTTCTAATTGAAAATTTTCCTTCAGCGGTTTTTCAAATCAGATCTTAAGCTTGAATTACAAGTCGTTATAAGTCTTTTAACTTTACAGTGTTTACTTGGTCTGAAAAATAGTCAGGTTTTTTATTTTATTTTATTTTATTTTTTTGAGACGGAGTCTTGCTCTGTTGCCCAGGCTGGAGTGCAGTGGCGCAACCTCGGCTCACTGCAAACTCCGCCTCCTGGGTTCATGCCATTCTCCTGCCTCAGCCTCCCGAGTAGCTGGGACTACGGGCGCCCGCCACCACGCCTGGCTAATATAATCAGGTTTTTAAAAATGTATTGTTTAAAAAATAAAACTTGATAAGTTTTTTAAATATTATGAGATTTTTATTTTGACATGCTCAAGAATATACCAGAACCGAAAGAATTTCATTTAGGTTGAAAAGAATCAGTTTAGGTTACTAGTAAAGGAGATGCCTTTAGGTAAATCATGCTTATTTGAGAAAGCTTTGTGCATTTGACAACCTATTATATTTGTGCATCTGACAACATCCAGCAATTATACAGGATGTATAATTCATCTCTAGAACTCAAAGATCATTTTACCAAGTAGCCCTTCACCGACAAGGAGGCAGTGGGGTGGGGACAGGGAACAGCCTGCCCTTCTGAAGCAACTGCGTCATATTTTATGCAGATGTAAAGTTTTATGATCTTAGCAAAAATCAGACCACAAATACAAACTTGTGTTTCAAGTTGGAGAGGCAAAAGGACTTTGTTTCTGGTGTGGGAGGTGATTGTTTGTTTGTTTTGAGTTTCAGGAGTTCCATCCTGACTCACCCTTACCAATGGCAGCCATTGAAGACCAGAGCCCGAATCGTGAAGAGGCAGTCATTCTCCAAAACTTGCTTGCCCTGAGTTTGAAGTTCCCTGTCACTTGAGAAGACTTCTTTAGGGTGTAGATTATAGACTTGCCTCAGAAAGGCCACTTTTTAAAAATTAATCATCAAAATAAATGAAAGCGTGTATAGGTCACTTCTGTTTTCTGTATAAGTTTCTCAGAACATGCTCTGTATACACTGGTTATTCAATAAATGTCAGTCAGTCAGCAGCATTTATGGAGTGCTGCTCTACTTGAAATGCTCATAAAGGAAAGTGAAAGTCCCCAGGGGAATAGACAGTTTTCAGATTGTTTTTCTCTTGTGTTTCTGGTTCAGGATCTACACAGCTCAGTTGTCAGCACAGATGGAAAAGTGGCTGTCCTTTTCCTATGGAGCTGTTGTTCACAAGTCAAGCAATATTCCATCAATACATCACTACAGATGTACCACTTGTTAAAATATTGACGTACTGGCCTATCCATTTGAATGCCACCTGTTTCCTCCCCGCTGGGACCTCTTGGGCTGCTCCACAATTTCACAACCAAAGCAGTAATTCCTGGCTTGGTAGAGAGCCTCTAGAACTGCACTACAGCACTGCCACCAACGTTCATTCTGGTTGGTTAGTGTCCATGACATACTCCATCTTTAATATCTTAAATGTTCCTCTTGTACTAAACATTATCTACACAGAAAGTTAGGGGACATTCAAGAATGATGCCTCAAAGCTGATACAGTCATTGTCATTTAAAAAATAAGAAGACATTCAAAGACTAAATGAACTGGTACAGTGATCCTTTTACGGTGAACTATTGGATTCTTCTCCTGGTCCTAGGGCAGAGACCAGGCCTGAATCTTGTTTGTATCCTCGTTACTAAACACAGGCAAGGGAACAGTGAATGTTAATTGAACTAAACGGAACTGAATGTAGACTTCAGACTTAAAGGAGAGAATGGAAGCTGAGATGGCCATACCAGAAACACAAACTAAGGCATACCAGAAGACAGTCTTTTCATTACCAAGTGGCTGCCAGCTGAGGGTCAGTAATTAACTGACAAAACACATGGTGCTACACTACAAGTTAAGTAAAACAGGAAGTAGTTTGATGAGCAGATATTGATGGATATACCTTGTCACTAAGGTACATATTGCTTTCAAGGTGTACATTAACTTTCAGTGCATAGCTCTGGTATGTCTGCAAAACTGAATTCTAGAACTGAATTAGACATTTTTTGTTTTAAAAGGGAAAGAAATCTGAATAGCTCAGTGTTGAGAATCAATATGATGGCACATAGTGATTGTCAAACTGCTCATTCCTGGTAACCCCAGCCTTGCTTTAGTCAGAGCAGTCTGCTTTTAATGATTTTTTGTTTTGTTTTGTTTTGAGACAGGGTCTCTCTCTGTCACCCAGGCTGGAGTGCAGTGGCACAATCTCGGCTCACTGCAACATCCGCCTCCTGGGTTCAAGTAATCCTCCCACCTCAGCCTCCCAAGTAGCTGGGACTACTGGCGCACTCCACCACACCCAGCTAAGTTTTGTATTTTTAGTAGAGACAGGTTTTGCCATGTTGGCCAGGCTGGTCTTGAACTCCTGACCTCAAGTGATCCACCTGCCTTGTGCTTTTAGTGTTTTATACGCATTATTCTGTCACTCCCTGAGTGAAATCATCTGCAAAAATTAGTTCATGTTAATTTTTACTATTCTCCACATAATTAATGGGAAAATAAAATGTTTCTATTACTGGAACATAAGTTCAAGGTTAAAAGGGGAAATGTCTAACACATAGGTTTTTGTACTTACATACTTACAATAGCTATAGGGGGGACAGTATACCCATAGGTAAGAACATGGGTCCTAAAGTTTCACTGACCAAGGGCAGAATGTCAGTTTCTTCACCTGTTAGCTGCTTGCTCTTGAACAAGTGACTTACCTCTCTGAGCCTCTGTTCCTATATGAGTTAAATGCAGGTGATAATACATTACCTGACAGAGCCGTAATGAGAATTAAGTGATGAAATGTTTCTGTATTAGAGTAATACAGTTGCTATAAAGCTTACATTCTCGATGTCTTGCCACTGTAGGTCACCTCACAGTGCAATATGGTCAGTGGGGGCACTCTGCTCCTTGTAGTTATTCAAGGACCCTGATGTCCTCTATCTTGTTCTGCTCTCCTCTAGGTCCTTGGGGCCACTTTATTCAACCACTTATGAAAAGGGAGAGAAGGACTGTGCGCACAAAAAGGGGACATCACAAAAGTTTAGTTTGAGCCAGGCCTGGAGGTTGTGCACATCAGTTGTGCCCCGACTCCCAAGACTCAGTCACCTGGCTACAGCCAACCCTGGCAAAGGCTGTGAATTGTAGTGTAGCCTTTTGCCCTGGAAGAAGAGGAGGACACAGATATTGCTATGCACTAGCTATCTAAGGCACTTACCACAGTGCCTGGCATGTCATAAGTAGGCAGCTCCTTTTATTTATTTATTTATTTATTTATTTATTTATTTATTATTTTTTAATAGAGACAGAGTCTCACTATGTTGCCCAGGCTTGTCTCAAACTCCTGGGCTCAAGTGATCCTCCCTCCACAGCCATCCCAAAGTGCTGGGATTGCAGTCATGAACCACTGCACCTGCTGGCAGATACTTTTTAAAAAAAAATTCCAGAAGCACCAGGCAGCAGCTACAGTGATGCTCACCATTTGGCAGTTGCTCAGTGACTGTGCAAATTATCCTGAACCCATAAAAGCACTCACTTTGTGTTGAAGAGCCATTTTTTAACAAAATGACAAGAACATATATTATGAAAGGCAACCAAGCAAGATATACACCAAGTTGAAACCACAAATGAAAAACATAGTGTGGGACCCTATCATCATGTCTTCAATTACCCTCCAACCCTACATATATGGGGGAAAAGTTTCTAAAATTGGGCTACTCTACCAAAAATAAAATAATAATTTGGGTAAAATAGACCCCCAAAAGTTATGAAGGTACTTACGGGAAGGAAGGATTGTTCAGGGCTTTAGCATGAGACTTCCATTTTTTTTAAAAAGTTATTCACATATTACAGCTTTCTATTAAGTAGTTATAAATTTTATTCATAAAGCTACCAATTTTTGAGCACCTACTCTGGGCAGTCACTGTGCTAAATACTTTACCTATATTTGTGCCCAGTCTATACCCAATCCCTTCAAAGACAGCTGTTATTCCCTTATTTTAAAAAATTAGGAAGCTAAAGACATTTACTGACTCGTCGGTTCAAGATTACTTGATTAGAAAATGGCAGGACAGTGATCTTTCTAGTTCAAGTTGCACAGCTCTGATACAAGGAACAAAACAACAACTCAAACACCAATGTCACTGGTTGCTATGAGAAACGAGTGAGCTGATCCAAACACATGGTATTTCAGGTACCCAGCATGGAATAGTAGGTGCTCAATAAAGGTTAGCTCTATCTGCCTCCCCTTGTTCCCTCCCTGTTGCCATTCAGTAGAAATAGACCATGGCAGCAGCTGCTGCAAGTCTTTCACCTTAATCCGAGCTGTTTATTCTGAGTGCACACACAGGCGTGCTCAAACCTTTCCTTTTTTTCCTTTCCCATCCTGTTTTGTCTCCCTCAATCACTTTCTTCTCACTTGTATTATTGTTTATAGAAAGCACTAGGCTGATCTTTTTTCTTGTCTTCATAAGAAAGGTAAATGTATTTCTACTGCTCTGCACTCCACTGGAGTGTGAGTTCCCTTGGCAGGAGCACAGATAATTTTACAAGGGGTAGCTAGTGTTACATTTGTAGATTCTACCATGATTATTTACGGTTCTGCAAACCATTCTGCATTCATTTCAATGGCTTCCCTAATTCCTTCCAAGTTGAGAAAATCTGATGGGGAGGGCTTTGCTATTTACCACTCAGTATATTGGATAACACCTTTGGCACACACCTCGTAGACTTACGATGTAGTATTTGAATTTGTTAAGGAAAACTGTATGACTGCTGATCTTTGCAATATGGTTCCTGTTTTCACAGAGATTGGCAGTGATCTATAACAAAAGCCTTGATAGGGAGGTGTTATGAGGGGTGTATTATGTCCTGTACAGTTGCCCAGTGAATGTTCACTCACACCTGGTGTTTATAAGATAAACCATTGAAATTTTCCTTCCCAATGAAAGACAAAACCAGTGGAGGAAATAAAAAGCCCAGTAGAAATCCAGAAGTTATAAAATAATTGTATATCTTCTTGTACTAATTTTAATTGTGTAATTAGATTGTAGATTTGTGTTGTTACTTTTCAAGTTTAATGGACCTTCGAAAATAATGCAGCTTTTTTTTTTACTGTCAACTTCACCAAATTATAAGATATATTTCAAAATCTCCTCTCTTTTGCTTCCAGATACTCAGACTCTTTTATTTCATTTGCTAACTGTCAATGGTCTGTGTGGCATTATCTTAAAGCCAGATTTTAAGAGCTTCATATTTATTAGTGTGCAGTCTCTATTTGTATTTTTAAGACTGTCAACCTTGGATAATTGTTGAAATTCTGCTGAGTTTGAGAAGCTTTATTTTGCATGACCCCCCAGATCTAAATCACTCTCATCTCTCATTATCACATTTATGTAAATATTTTTAGATTATTATGCAATTGACAGATACCTTTAAAATGTCTGATTTCCGGCTAGCAGCAGTGACTTACACCTGTAATCCCAGCACTTTGGGAGGCCAAGGTGGAGGATCACTTAAGCCCAGGAGTACGTGACCAGCTTGGGCAACATAGTGAGATCCCCCCCCATCTCTACTAAAAATAAAAAAAAATTAGCCAGGCATGGTAGTACACATTTGTTGTCCCAGCTACTCAGGAGGCTGGGGCAGGAGTATTGCTTCAGCGCAGGATGTCAAATTTGCAGTGAGCTATCATCACACCACTGCGCTCCAGCCTGGGCAACAGAGTGAGACCCTGTCTAAATAAATAAATAAATAAATAAAATCTGCTTTTTCTAAATTGGTTTTCTATATTTTCCTTCTCTCGACAACCTCTCTGCATTATTTCTTGATTCATTAGTAGTTATACACTTGGGCATCTAGTGTTCTTGGCTGTGGTACAAACTGAAGCCTCAGTTATCTCATGGCCATATGTTCTTATTGCATATGTCGTATGATTTCTAAGAATGGGAAATTCAGAGCCTCTTTGAGCCTGAGTTTAAGATAGACAACTCAGAATATGAAATATGTGTAAGCACAATACTGCCTTGTGTCTATTTACCAAAAGCGTTTTAAGGAATGCAGCTTCAGTTTTGATTGCCAGTGTATTCCTGGCAGACTCATAAAAATAGGGAGCAAAAGGGCCCCCTTTACCCCTCTGGTGAAGGAGTTTGATAGATGAGGGATTAGAGCAATGTTAAAGCCTTCCAGAGGCAATGCAAAGAAGATGTCCTGCAGCTTGAGTATCAGAAAAGGTTAATCTTAACTGCTCTTCTCAAGCCAGAGACTTGAAGAGCACTGTTTCCTGAATCAATAAGGATTTAAGGAAATAAACTGGTCACATTTGTAAAAAGAGATCTATTTTCTGATGTGTAGTCCCCAGAATGGGAGCAGGAGGTGGGGTTGTTTTCTTAATTTGTCTGCTCTGTGAAGGCAGAGACTTTAGATTTTATGTGTTTGGTTAGTGCCTATGGAGTATATGTAGATGTCTAATAAACACTGTGATGATAATGTTGAGGGATTGAGGGAACATTCTCAATTTGAGCTTCTATTTCTGAAGAATGAAACCCTTGTCTAAAAGGTGTCTGTATCTTATCTCCACTAGGGGCCCATCCAGGCTTGAGCCAATGGAGTAATTCTCCATCAAATCTTCTGTGTTCAAATTCCTAGGAGAATTTTTTGATGATTCAATCTATTGGTATGTTTCACTAACCTTCATATCTGAAGTGATATCAGAGACACACTTAATGAGTTGCAGCTCTCAAATAAGTTGCTACAATTGGACCTAAAAGGCTTTTCTCAGGCAAGTCCAGATATCCACTTTCCCTTATCTGCTTACTTTCAGGGGCCTTCCAGAGAACAAATGGCTGGTCCTTTTCCAAGGGGACAGATTTTCCTACCTGATGCTTTTGTTCTCCAGCAAGAAAAGAAAATGAAAACTGTTGTCTTCCCCTAGAATATTGAGTCCAGAGTAAGCTGAAGCTTTGTGTATTTCTTTTGTAGTGATTTCCTTCATATATATATGAATAGAGTGACTACTGAATATCGGAGGTTTGGGCTAGAGGTAAAACCATCTCTTTGATATGCAGAGCAAAATGAAATGATAAAACATCAAATGTTGGGATGTTTGAAAGAGTTTCCTACATGACCTGTCAGGTCTTAATTTGCTCAGAGTAATGCCTTGGGCCTTCTTGTGTTGTTAATAGCCTTTAGGGGAAATTATGTTGGAGGCTGTATCAATCATCTGGCCTTTTTCTTGTTTCATACAAGATTCCCTGTACCCTTATCTTTCTATCAGAATATTCTAGATTAGCTGTGTATTTGCTGGGCAGCCTTAGTACTGATGCCTTAAAAGAACATGTCACCTGCCCCTGTCTTACTAGGCACTTTCCAAATAATAATAATAATACTTTGTGTTCTGAAACCTAATTTTCTTTCTTTCTTTCCCCCCAACTTTTATTTTAGGTTTAGGGGGTTACATGTGCAGGTTGTTTTCCCTGCAGCAGGTAAATTGTGTCACTGGGGTTTGGTGTACAAATCATTTTGTCACCCAGGTAGTAAATATCATACCCAATTGGTACTTCAAATCTCTCCCTCCTCCCACCCTCCATCCTCAAGTAAGCCCTGGTGTCTATCGTGGAACCTAATTTTCTATTTCTCTTTTTTTTTTTTTAATATTACATTTTGACTCTTCACCTGGACACAGCCACATTGAGATTAAGGTATTCTCTGAATTAAATCTGTTCTGGGTATTTTGTGAGTACGTTTAGAATTTCAGGTCAGGTGCAGTGCCTCATGCCTGTAATCTCAGCACTTTGGAAGGCTGAGAGAGAAGGATCGCTTGAGCCCAGGAGTTCAAGACAGTCTCTCTACAAAATATAAAAATAAATTAAAAAGCCAGGTGCAATAGTGTGTGCCTGCAGTCCCAGTTACTTGGGAGGCTGAGATGAGAGGATCTCCTGAGCCCAGAAGGTCAAGGCTGCAGTGAGCCATGACCATGCCACTGCACTTCAACCTGAGTGAAAGAGCAAGTTTTAGAATTTCTATCTTGGAATAGAAGCCAAATTGGGAACCAAGAGGCGAATCACTTAAAGTCACCTGACAAATCAAAAACCAACCTTAAATCAAGTCGTTTCTCTTTCTTACTTGCTGCAATGATATTTAAAATATATGTTGCCCTGGTTGAGACTGTTTGTCTTGGATCAACATCATTCTAAAGAAAAAGGGTAAATTTGACAGGGATGCTTATTTTACATTTCTTCCTTTCGCTTTTTCAAGTTTTTACAACTAAAATAAATGAATAGTGTAGCAGCTGGAATAGAAATCTCTTACTGATTGGGCCATAAAAGTGGGAGCTTTCAGAAACAGCCTATTCTCCACAAAATAAAATAACCTAGACATTGTCCAAACTGTTCAATGCTAGACTTGAGAACTATAGTTTTAAAGCTTCTTTTGCTATGGATTTATTATCATTTATAAATATTATGAATTTTCAAATGAGTTAGCAACTATCAAGACAGGTAAATCTCACACCCTCTTCTGTGTTCCCACAGCCATTTTTATACATACCTTGTTATAATTATTATCTTTTTCACCCAGTAGCCTACGGGTTCTTTGAGGGCAGTATCAGGTCTTGGTTATCTTTCTCTCTCACAGCACAGTGCCTTGTGTGTGATAAAGCCCCCAACAAACTGAATTAATAAAAACTATAGATCATCCTGCCCAGACTGTTTTAGGAAGTATTTGTGTATCTCCTCCCCCTAGTAGTTTGGTTTGGTCAGCTCTGTGCCCAGCATCTCTGCTCAGAAGGCAAGGACAAGGGAGGGAAGGAGGGACTGAAATTTCTTTGGCTGACTGACCAGATGCAGTGGCTCATGCCTGTAATCCCAGCACTTTGGGAGGCCAAGGCGGGTTGATCACTTGAGGTCAGGAGTTTGAGACTAGCCTGGCCAACATGGTGAAGCCCCGTCTCTACTAAAAATACAAAAATTAGCTGGGCGTGCTGGCACATGCCTGTAATTCCAGCTACTTGGGAGGCTGAGGCAGGAGAATTGCTTGAACCAGAGAGGTGGAGGTTGCAGTGAGCTGAGATCACGCCATTGCACTCCAGCCTGGGCGAAGAAGCGAGACTCCATCAAAGGAAAGAAAGAAAAGAAAAGAAAGGAAAGAAAAAGAAAAAGAAGATAAAAAGAAAGAGAAAGAAAAGAAGAAAAGATTCCTTTGTCTATTCTCATTAGCAGCTCATTCAGTTCCATTCAGTGAACACTCTGAGCATCTGCCTCACTTCAGACCTTGCTCCAGATGCGGAATTCGCCAAGATGAGTGAGAGGGTCTACTTTGGGCAAAGCTCTCTGAGCCTTGAGGTCTGTCTTCATCCCAAAGAATTTGCACTCTAGCAGGGGAGAGGGGAAATGAATGGACGAATATTTATGTATTACTTGGGTTGAGGGAGCAGTCAATTCTTCAGGGAAGGGAGAGCAAGGAAAACAAAGAAGGGAAGTGACAGGGGAAGGGAAGGAGGTTCCAGAATGCATCAGGTGGATAAGTAGCAGTCTTGAAGTGTGAAAATTAATACATGGTATATTTGGGGAGACAGCAAGCACTTTAAGGCATAGTTTCAAGTAGGGTTGGGGCTTAAGTTGTTGAAGTGAGAGGGATTTTTTTTTTCCTTAAGGCTTTCTACACGATTTAGATTGTAAATCTTTGGAGGATAGACTGCTATACCACCAAGCTTTCCTCAGAGAAGGAGATCAAAAACATTGGGAGATTTAAATGTAATAAACTAATACAGAACTATAAAGTGTGTGTGTGTGTGAGAGTGTGTGTGTGGGCCTGTGCACTTGCTAATTTCACTTCCCTTTCCTTGTCCTGTCCACTCTCTGGTATATATAAATAATGAACTGATTAAAACACTCACAGAAGGGAAAAGGAGATAAGGAGGAAGAAGAAAAGTTTATGTTCATTCTAAACCCTCAGGTGCTGTGATTTCAGGAGGGAAGAAGCTGTTTATAAGTAAATAAATATACACACACATATAATAATTGTACTTCACATATATATAATAATTGTACTTCAAGATAGCGTGAATACTTGCAATGATACAGGTTAAATACCATTAGAGTGATAAAACCAAGGGACTACAGGATCTCAGAGAAGGAAAACCTCACCTTCAGCTATTGTGATTAGAGATTGAGAAGTAGCATTTGAATTGGGTCTTAAGCACAGATAGAAATTTAGTTGAGGTCATAGTAGTAGTAGAATAGTGCCAGGTACTATTCTGAACACTTTAATATTCTAATTCAATTGAGCCTCACAATGAACCTTGTGATATAGGTATTATTGTTCTTGTCATTATTATTATACCCATTTTCCAAATTAGAAAACTATGGCCTAGAGCAGTCAAGGGACTTACCCAAAGCCAAAGAGTTAGTAAGTAATAAAAAGGGGATTTGAACAACGGTAGTTTCGGCTTCAGTCCAGTTAACTAGCTAAACTACCACTCACAAGAAACAGGACAGAGGGCCTTCTAGGAGAAAGAAATGTCTTGGGCAAAGAGTTCATATTTGGAAAGGGCAAGGTGAGTTCAAGGAGTGACTAAACTCAGTTAAGGGGATAGGATCTGTGAGTATTGAGAGATGACAACCCTGCTTTGTTTTGTTTTGTTGACACAGAATATCACTCTGTTGCCCATGGGGAAATGCAGTGGTGCAGCCTTGGCTCACTGCAACCCTGCCCTCTTGGGCTCAAGCAATCCTCCCACCTCAGCCTCCCAAGTAGCTGAGACTCCGGATGCATGCCACCATGCCTGGCTAATTTTTAAAAAAATTTTTTGTAGAGATGGGGTCTCACTCTGTTGCCCAGTCTGGTCTTGAAGTCCGGCCTCAAGTGACCTTCCTGCGTCAGCCTCCGAAAGTGCTGGGATTACAGGCGTGAGCCAGCATGCCTGGCCTGACCACCCTGTTTTGAACTGTAGACTTCCCATGCATCTTCCTGCTTCATCTTCCTAGTACTTTATGCCATTGTCTAACATGCTACATACTATTTTAGTGGTTTATCACATTTATTTAGTCTTTCTTCATTAGAATGTAAGTAGCTAGAAGTTTGGGATTATTCAGCTTTGTTCACCGCTCTATCTTTAGTCTCTAGAAGAGTATCTGGCATGTAGTAGGTTCCTGTTGAGTATCTGTTGAATGAATGAATGGATAAGTTGAATTCAGATCACTGAGGGTTCCACAATACTCTAGCAATCTTTAGTCTCTTGTGGACCTCACATGATATGTGGGAAGCCACCAATCAACCTTGATCATATCAATGTGTCATGTGTCTGTGCATTCAGTGCTGCCCTTTGGAGGAGGGGGTGCTGCAAGATTATGGTGGAGAAATATAAAAACATTGAAAGGATTCTGTGGTTTGAAATGCTTTGTTCTACTTGCAATACTCTCAAGGAGTAGCTGCTGATGTGGACTGAGTTTTAAGGGACTTCAGGAGGCATTGCAACAAATCTCATCCCAACCCTATTATAAGTACCTAAAGTTACATACTGTTGGATTTCATTTCGTGTTATTAATCACTGATTTTTCATTGAAAACCGTTTTTTTGTTGTTAGTACTAGCTCAGCATGCAGCATACTAAGTAACAAGCAGCATATTTCCACTGTACACAGGCTCTTGGGCCAGACCACCACTATTGTGTCTTGCCCCCATAGCTTGGACATATTCTTTAACCTGTCTAAGCTTCGGTGTCCTAGCTTCGAAAAATGGAATAATAATAGTACTTTCCTCAATGGACTGACGTGAGGATTAGTGAGTTAATATATATATTTTTAATCTTAAAAGAGTGTGTGGTGCTCACTTTGACAACACATATACTAAAATTGGAATGATACAGAGATTAGCGTGGCTCCTGTGGAAGGATGACATGCAAATTCATAAAGTATTCCATTAAAAAAAAAAAGTCTGACACATGGTAAGGTATATAGAGACTTCGGATTGCTGGAAGGAATTCTTGGAAAGGAAGGTGAAAAAGAAATAAAGGCAGATTTTATTTATCTCACAGTTTGGCCAGAATCCTATGGCTAAAGACACCTTAACTTTACTGTTTTTATATTCCACCATCACTACCCTGAAAGATTATTTTGGAGAGTGTTGTTGGATTTGATCGTGTGGCATTAAAAATGCCAGATGACCATATGTTCTCACTCATATGTGGGAGCCAAGCTATGAGAACACAAAAGTATAAGAATGACATATTAGACTTGGGGTCTTGGGGGAAAGGGTGGTGGGTGGCGAGGGATAAAAGACTACACATTGGGTACAGTGTACACTGCCCAGGTGATGGGTGCACTGAAATCTCAGAAGTCACCACTAGAGAACTTATTCATGTGACCAAACACCACCTGTCCCCCAAAAGCCTATTGAAAAAAAGGTTAAAGGTACTTTGGAGAAACAATCAATTTAAAAAATGCCAGATGACATCTAACATCTGATCTATAAGATAGTAAGAACTGGACGGTACAGTTAAAATCCTATCACCTGAAAATATCACAGTCATGGGGGAAGGAATGAGGGAGAGAAGGAATGAGGGAGAGAAGGAAAGAAAGGACAAAGGAAAGAAGGAAGGATTCTGAAAAAATGATGTTGTAAGCATCATTCATTTTATATAGTAAAACAATTGAAGAGTCTCTTGGATTTTGCTGTAAGGGACTTGACCTACTGAAGAATTTCTTCTTACTGTGATATTCTTAAAATGTTTTAAATGAGTGAACTTCAGTTGAAGCTTCTCATACCAAGACAATTCTGATAAAACTGGAGTCCACACTCCATGGTAAAATTAAGAAGCCCTCAAAATAGTAAGAATGATCGAATATTGGTGGCTTTCAATGAAGCTTCGTGTATTCTGTTAAGCAGTTATGCCAAGGAAAGAGATAATTGAATGTTATTGTTCAACTCCAGATGGAGATATTACTTTATTTTTATTTTGTCTATGTAGTCCACTGCTTCTGTCTACAAAGTATTTAAAGTGACTCACATGAAAATAGTAATAATAAAATATTGAAATACAAGAAGATCAGAACAAAGAGAAGGCAACTATAATAATGCTCAACCCTACTCCAATTGGTCGAATCACTTTTCCAATTGAGTTTCATATTTGTTGCTCTGGGTTTTTGAAAAACGAAAGGGCAGGGGAATCATGATCTGTGACATATTCTTTCTCATTATGGAAAACAAGGAGAATGTGTCTTCCATAGGGAAAATAAAAGCTGTTCGAGCATAATTCTAAGAAGACGTTTTCTTTATATATATATATATATATATATATATATATATATATATAATTTTTTTTTATTATACTTTAAGTTCTAGGGTACATGTGCACAACGTGCAGGTTTGTCACATAGGTACACATGTGCCATTTTGGTGTGCTGCACCCATTAACTCGTCATTTAAGACCATAATTCTAAGAAGATGTTTTCTATAGAAGACATTGAGTGATCTAATGAGTAATTCACAACACTGTTATAGTAAGCGTAGTTTTGAATTTCTTGTGGCCTTTTCTTACGGTGGCATTAAGTAATGTTGAGACCCTAGTATTGAAATGCCATAAAGTGATTTGGTAGCCTTCAGCAGGGTATACTTGAACTTCATTCAAGGATAGCATTAGACATCCTGTAGAGGAAGATGGATGATCTGGCCCTTTCAATGATCTTCTCTAAAGATTACTTCTCCCAGGAGATCTGATAAAGAGCAGGGAGTTGGAGATTTCATTTCCTGTCCGGGCCTGAAGAGCTGGTACCACTAATTCTGGAAAATCCACATATAAACATTGCAGCCCTGTGGGCAGTTGTTGGATTTTCATTGTGAAAGTTAAGAATCCTGAGGGTCTTCTGGCCTGCCTGAAAGGTTGCCCACCTTCCAGAAACAGACAAACTCTTATAAATTATTATTGACTTAAAATTTAAATCCCCAAAGTGCTTAGATAAGATAAAAATCCATATTTCTTAACTATGATGGTTAAAAAGCAACTATATTTATCTGCGGCACATGAGTAGATACTATTATATGAGGAGAATGTTTATATTGTCAGCTATTGTGTGCTTCACATTCATATAACTCATGTTTGTTGAGCTTCTACTGTGAGCCAGGTTACCTTCTTGGATGTGTCTCTGCATACAGTGTAGTTTTATTTCCTTAAATTCTCTTTTTGATGTGTTCATGTGTATGTTTTTATGTTTTGTTTTATTTTATTATTATTTTTCTTTTTGAGATGGAGTTTCACTCTTGTTGCCCAGGCTGGACTGCAATGGCGTGATTTTGGCTCACCACAGCCTCCGCCTACCAGGTTCAAGAGATTCTCCTGCCTCAGCCTCTTGAGTAGCTGGCATTAGAGGCATGCGCCACCACGCCCAGCTAATTTTGTATTTTTAGTAGAGACAGGGTTTCTCCATGTTGGTCAGGCTGGTCTCGAACTCCTGACCTCAGGTGATCTGCCCACCTCGGCCTCCCTAAGTGCTGGGATTACTGGCGTGAGCCACCGTGCCCAGCCTGATTGTTTTTATTTTATTAGTTTTTTTAAAATACAAAAACTATAGTCACTTATTATTTTAAGTCCAATTATTCAGAAATACATAAAGATATATAAAAGTTAATAATCTTTTCCCTCTTTAATCCCCAAGGTTATTATCCAGTGTTATCAGTTTGATGTGGCTTCTTCCATACCTTTTTCTGTGCTCAAATAATTTTCTTAATTATTCAGAGCATATGTCTAAAACTTCAATATATAATATTAGTGATTTTTTTCAGTGGAGCCATATTTATTTTTGCTGGCAAGCAGGAGAAATTTTCCCCTAATTATAATTGATTTTCTATAGTGTACTTGTTTGTTTGCTCTGTCTTGAGGGAAGGGAGGGGAAACATTGTTATTACTCTCCCGAATAATTTAGAAGCTGAAGACTCCACCTATGAATGGAACTTTTCCTGTTCTGAACAGGACCAAACTTGATGGGATATGATAAGCATGTATTTTTCAAATGATGTCATCTTCCATCTGATGTCAACTTTTGTGTATATGCTCATTAATTTTGAGACTAGCTCCAGTGTCACAGTATCAAATCTGAATATATCCTACACACCCTTCTCAAAAGTCAATGCTCGAATATCCTTTCATTGATCTTTTGTCAAATAGGGAAGTCATCTGGTTTGTAGTATTATTTCCTGTGCATTTAGTGAGTGTACGGAATCCCAGGAACAGCATGACCCTAAAGTTGCAAAAAAGAAACATTTTGAAAATCTGAATACAAGTGGATCACCCCTTATTGACGGAGGATACATTCCAAGGCCTCCTGTGGATGCCTGAAACTACAGATAGTACCAAACCCTTTACAGTTGTCCCTCAGTATCCATGGGGCATTTGTTCTGAGACCTTTCTGAAATAACAAAATCTGAGTCAGTGAAAGAAAATGGTGTAGTATTTGCATATTACCTATGCATATCCTCCTATATATTTAAATTATTTCTTGACTCCTTATAATACCTAATATAATGTAAATGCTGCGTAACTAGTCATGCTCTATTGTTTAGGGAATAATGATGAGGAAAAAAAGTTCATTACATGTTCAGTACGTGTGCAATTTTTTTTTGAGTATTTTCAATCCACAGTTGGTTGAATCCACAGATGTGGAACCCATGGATACAGAAGGCCTGCTATAGATACTATATTTTTTTCCTATATATACATGCCTATGATAAAGTTTAATTTATAAATTAGGCACAGTAAGAGATTAACAATAGTAACTAATGATAAAATAATTGTAACAACATACTGTAATGAAAACAAATGTGGTCTCTCTTTCTGTTTTTCAAAATATCTTTTTATATGGTAGCAAGGAAAATGAAACCACGGAAAGCGAAACTGCATGTAAAGGGGGACTATTGTCTATAGTTATGACATCATTTTTGTGCCTGTGATGATGCTTGAGGATGAGAAGTCTGAAACAAGATAGTTAACTGTTGAAAAAATAGGACTGCTTTATGTGGCAATCTTAAATAGCAATCGTATCTGAAACATTTCTAGATGCCCAAAGCAATATCTGAAATACTGAGTGTAGAGGGTCTCTTCCATATTTCAGTTATTAGGCATTGCTCACACAGAGAGTAAGAATATATTAAGGAACTCGGCTGGGCGCTGTGGCTCACGCCTGTAATCCTAGCAATTTGGGAGGCTGAGGCAGGCAGATCACGAGGTCAGGAGATCGCGACAATCCTGGCTAACAAGGTGAAACCCCGTCTCTACTAAAAATACAAAAATTAGCAGGGCATGGTGGAGGGCGCCTGTAGTCTCAGCTACTCGGGAGGCTGAGGCAGGAGAATGGCGTGAACCCAGGAGGCGGAGCTTGCAGTGAGCTGAGATTGCGCCACTGCACTCCAGCCTGGATGACAGAGTAAGAGTCCGCCTCAAAAAAAAAAAAAAAAAAAAAAAAAAATATATATATATATATATATATATATATATATGAACTCTTAAGCCAACCTTTCAACCTTCTTCTCCATGCCCATTCCCTCTAGTCTGCCCCCACCCAAGAAAACCAAATACACACATGCTCACCTACACATTTGTCAAAATCTTGACTCTTAAACCCGAAGACCAGTAACTATAGATATGTGTCATATATCAGTAGGATATCACCACAAGGTATGTCTAAGAAAGCTAACTTCAGTATTCCCATTTTACAGATGGGAAAATAGATGGAATGTGGGAGGAATAGTAACATGGAGAAAATAGTTTCAAGGTATGGTGGCCATGTAGTAGTTAAATGAAAAGTAAGTCCCCTGCTAGGAAGCTGTACTTCTTGCTAGCCTCAATGAAACCATTCAAGGATGGCCATCCTTGCATGGAAACTTAAAGTAACCTGAAGGAAGAGGCAGCAGCTTCATCGCATCCAGTTGGTTAATCCCCTCTCTGTCAATCACCTGCATACAAGCTGAAAAAACTATAAATTCACATTTCTGGAGCCACATGGTCAAAATAGCACTTTATATTCAGTGTGAAATTCTTAAAATGAAACCCAGCTGGCAGATGGGAAGGACTGGTGTGGGGAGGAATATTGAGTGTGCAAGGGTTTCATGATTTTCCAGAGAGCTTTTTATGCTTTGTGCAGATATAGGAATATTTTTAAACATCTATGATGCAGCACAAATGAATTTCTTAAATCTAAACTGTAAGTCTAATTTATAATATTTCATAAAAACCATTAAGATAGTTATGCAAGCCATTGCAAATTCAGCCTTGCCTATAAGGATAGAGTGATTTGCTCATTTAGGGAACTCTTTTCAATTCCTCCATGAGTGTTAGTTAATATATTATGTCTTTTAGTGCTTTGAATAAGTCCTTTGCTTAATAACATACTTTGTGAGAAAGTGAGGGGAACAAGAAAGAGAATAGTTAGTTCAGTTCACTTCCACCTCCACCTCATGTGCAGAACTTCCCCCCATTATGTTGTACCTCTTAATTGCTTCCATTTTTTTCTCTTTCCCCAGGTTTTGTAGGAGGTAAACCATATCTTGGTGATGTACAGGGCCAGTGGTCATGCTGGAACCTGTCAAACCCCCATCCCATAGTACAATGCTTTTTGTTACTGATCCAAGCCCTGCAACCTACCGGACACATTTACAGATTTATCAAATCAGTTTGATAGAAGATTGCCCCTTCTCATGGTGCCAAAAAGCAGTTCAACCTGTAAGTAGGTTACTACATATTTGGTGTCCACGACTTCATATAAGAAGTCAGAATTCAAGTATTTCAGCAGCTGCAGGAGATTTCAGCATTTCCGTATGTTTTATGAAAACTATAATTGACTTGCTAAAAAGTGTGCAGGTTACATGTGTTGTATGGATAGATGAGAAGCTACAGTCAAACAGGCAAGAATTTGTTTCTGAAATACTGATTTCTCTAGAGCCACATCTTTTCCTTTTTTTCAGTGAAAGATTAGATGCTGTGACTAGGCACCTAAAATTTACAAACCCTATTTCAAGGACTCTGACGTATAAGTGTCCTTATGCTAAATGTGACAGGGTATCAGGAACTAAAAGTAAGTTTGTGGACACATAGAGGCAAATGCCATTTACATGTATCATTTAGAATTGTTTTGTTATTAACACTTACCTTCTAGTTAAAAATAGATCATTGGTACAAGCTATCATTTGTCAGGCATTGGAATTATATGATTTTTGTTTTTAAGCGCTTTTCTGGAATTGGCATTTTACCAAAGGAAAAATGAATTTGGTAAGAATTCATTTGGAAAGAAACAGATGATAATTTCAAGGTAAAATAGGACTATTCTGCAAAGCACTAAGATTACCTGCTCTCTAAAGAAATGTAGTGTGGAAGATTGTAATCAGGGCATGGGCTAAGAAAAGCTCAGGACATTTTCTTGATGGGTATACTTTATAATAGAATTCTGTTTCTGTTCTGGGTCTAGAAAATTGGAATAAGTTCTATTTAGGAAATATTTTACAAATACATTCAGAATAACATTATGTTTAATATTTTAACTAATATTATATTTAATAACAAGGTTTTCAGTTATAACCATAATATGCTTTCATAGAGATGAATATTTCTACAGGAAACTGTAGGGGTGTGGGGGTGTGCACATGAGCGTGGGTTTGAGTATTTTAATTTTATTTATTTATACTCGACTGTCACAAAAAAGGATTTGAGGTGATAGACACTAGTATTGATTCTGACAGTGGACATGCTTTTATGTAACACTCTAAACTTCAGACTGAAGTGGGTGTTAATGACTTCCCCTCTGAGAATGCTTTTGATTCAGACATGATGAAAAGTGTGACTGGAAATTTAGAGCAGAACGTGTAGTTAAAAGCCCACTCATCTGGCCTGGTCTGAACTGGTAGTTGAACAGTTAATCAAGAACTGGCTAAAAGGCCAGGCGCTGGTGGTTCACACCTGTAATCCTAGCACTTTGGGAGGCTGAGGTGGTCAGATCATCTGAGGTCAGGAGTTCGAGACCAGCCTGGCCAACATGGCAAAACCCCATCTCTACTAAAAATACAAAAATTAGGTGGGCATGGTGGCAGGCACCTGTAATCCCAGCTACTCAGGAGGATGAGGCAGAGAATTGCTTGAACCCGGGAGGCAGAGGCTGCAGTAAGCCGAGAGTGTGCCACTGCACTCCAGCCTGGGTGAGACTGTCTCAAAAAAAAAAAAAAAAAAGGAACTAAAAATAAATAATTTATTTTAATTTAAACATACCAATGGTACTAATCTTTTCATGTTGGGCCAAGGCCTTTTATCTGAATATGTGGCCACTAATCAGAGTTGTGTTTTATATTTGTTTCATTAAGCAGCCATTACCTATGATTTTTCAGCTTCTGTTTCTTTAAAATGGAACTATAAGTTAAAGATACTTGGGAAGCAATCTGCATCTTTCCCTCTCAATCCTTTGTAGTTATCTTATCTAAATCCAATCCAACAGCAGTTTGGTTTTAGTGACTCACCTTTATTAAGTTCTTTGAACTCATTCCATTTAGTTTTTCATAGGAATAGAAATTCTCAAGTTCATATTTTATCTGTTGGTGTCACATTTACTTATACTACTTAATAATAAATATGATTGCCATCTTGAGAGCTGTGAAGCAACCTAGGAGTGCTCACCAGTTGTCAGCATCCACTGGGTAATTACCATCATTCAGGGTGATGTGTCCACTGGTCATGAACATTCACTGTGTAGGCAACATCAATCATTTGTCTTGTACCAGGACAATGAAGAGTCGGTTGATCCAAGGTGATTAGGTGGAGACTAATCAGTAGAGCTTTTATCATAGCTCTATGTGCTATTGTTTTGAACCCAACTATAGATTTGTCCTTATCTATGGCTGCTTTATATTTAACCCATATATTGCCTTCTGTCCCTCCTTTAGATCAGTTATATAGCAAATGTTATTATTGCTGTGGTACTTTCTTTTCCTTCATGTCACTTATTCCTACCCGACTTTACTTAGTTACTTGATATCTGTCAGTATCGCTGGCCACCATGTAAGCTCCATAGGGCCAGGACTTGTTATGTTCACCTTTGTATCCCCAGAGCCCAAAACAGTGACTGTGTAGACTGAGTGAAAGGTGGCTACTTCCTTGGCACACTTGTTTCAGCCCAATTTGGTGTACTGACTTGGCCCCCCAAGATCTGTTGATCATTCATTTTGAGCCAGAAAGAAGCACAGAGAATAGGAGCTGTTGACCTGTGATGCTCCTGGACGGAGCTCCTGGTCTACCCTCCCAGTCCACTTTCTAAATCTCCTGGTTCCAGGGAGTGAGTCTGATGGTTTGTGCTGCTAAACTGTGGATTGAATCATTAACAGGGGTTTGTTCTCTGACTTTTGCCTTAGAAGATCAGTTCAGAGCAAGGTTTTTCAATCTTGGCATTATTGACCTTTTGGGCTACATAATGTTTTGTTGAGGTGAGAGGGGAAGCTGCCCTATGCATTGGAGGATGTTAGCCACATCTCCCTGGCCTCTACCCACTAGATGCTGGTAGTAACCACCTGCTCTGCTTCCCCACCCCCTGTTATGACAACCAAAACAATCCCCAAACATTATCAAATGTCCCGTGGGAAGGTACAGTTGCCTTTTCCTTTCCCTGGTTTAGAACTAGTATTTTCAACTAGTCATGGATGACAATTACGACCCAAGGCCACACTCCCAATGCTGTGGTAAATCCCAGTCAATGGCTTTTGGAACCTTTATTTCTGGTGTTCTCTTTATGTCTGATTAGAATGTTCTTGAGACATGTCTTTCACAGGCTTTGTACTGAGCTCAACTAGTCCTGTGTGGGATTTTTTGGCTAAAATTCCTCAGTACGGATTACCACTTAGCTTTTCTTTAGACGGCCTGCAAGCCTCTTTCCAAGCTCATATTTCTCAGTTGCCAGGATATTAGGCTCCTGACTGTATTGCCAGCAGGGAAAGAAATTCCCTTCCCGTGACTGACATGGCACCTGGTTACAAGCCCATTTGTTACCTGTTGCCCTTGCTCAGATGTGCTATTGAGGCGGCTGTCAGCTTTTTCTGCCTCAGCTCCCTGCCCCTCTTTCCCCTAGTTCTCCATGCTTTCCTGTTTTTTCTTTTCCTTCTGGTGTTTCCATGGTGGCTTCTTGCTGTAGCCAGAGGACAAACTGCTGACAGGCACATCCCTTGAATATCTCTGCATCTGGACGGGGCCATTGGCACCCTCCATTGGTGACTGAGTAACGCGTGGCTTGCCATATTTGTCTGTCTCCTGTTTATGGCCCAAGAATTTGAATCTGCTCCAGCATCTAAATGTTGTCGTTGTTAGGACAGAGTGCTGCCATAGTACCACAAGGCCAATATTAAACATGTTTATTTGGGTTCCATATATTAACATTTTGATTTGTTACTACTGCTGTTGTTTTTTCATACCCGACAGCTGCAAGATTGAGACAGGGGACATATATTCCATTACAAAAGCCAAATAACCTTGTGTGTATAAACTGTTTTTAAAAGATATTTGTGCCTTCAACATTCTTTAACCATTGACTAAATATATTCTCCCTAATATTTTGTTGAGTCAGAGAATCCCTTGAGTTGGCCAATTGACAGTAGTTTAATAAAGTGCACAAGGGTGCCAATATTGGATTAGCAGGGAGAATAGCTAGACTTGACAAAATCAAATCACGTTCCCCTGGTTGTCTGATCAGGTAGCAATCGTTTGACGTGTATTTGTGGCACACAGCCTCGTATAACAGAAAAAGTTGAATGTGAGGTGTGGCCAAAAACTCATTTTAAAAGATAGAGTAGACTTTTAAGAAAATTGAGAATGTGAAATAGAATCAGGAATTGTTCATTTGTCAGCTAACGTTAAGTTACCTCAAATGTTTTGTAAGGTCTTAGAGGGATGAAATTTGATGTTCACTCTGAGGCAAATGTTGGATTTGAAAAATACCAGGCTCAGGGGCTTCTTCCTCTCATGCTATTTTGCAGAATCAAAGGCTATGGTGGGAAAACCGTGTTTTCTGTAACACAAAAGCATAAATTCTCAGCACTGGAATGTCCTCAGAGCACATCTAGCCATCCCAGTCTAAGCTTTTAGCAAGGCAAAGGAGGAATAATCCAACTGTGTTGAAACATTTCAGTTACTGAGGCAGACACAATTGTTGGTAATCATGAGTTGTTTTTCTTTTTCATATGCTCTTTAACCTCATAAAATATGGAACTCATATCTTCAACCTGCACTTTGTAATATCAGGATGTGCACCCACCCTCCCACCCACCTAGCCATTTCAATATGCACACTTAATGGGTATTAAGTTTAAAAAAAAAACTTAAAAGAATCAATTTCATGGTGAATGCATCTAGTTAAGCAAGCCATTTAAACAACATTTTACTCGTGTGTAGCAGACCATTTTATAAGATACTGATAGCTTTACAAGCCTGTGTTTCAGACAAGCTAATTGGTTGTCTCTAATATGTGTTTGGGGCTTTCACTCATTAACTCCCTTTCCTGTCTAGTACATACTTTGTTAGCTTACAGACATATAGGTAGGACTCCTTAAACAACCTTATTCTATTGCCAGGAGAAAGGTTTTCATTGAATAGGTTTCTTCCTACTTACAATATTTGCTTTCTTGAAAGGAAGGAAAATCATAACTGAATATTACCCCAAATACAGAAGATAAAAAATCAAGTAGAATACCCTAAAAGTGCTTGATACCAAAAATGAATGCTCTTTTGAAAGAGTGGAGTGGAAATGATTGACAGAAAGGAAGGAAAGGAGGAGAGGAGAAAAAGGAAGAGAACATGATGTGCTCTTGAACCTGGCTGCCTCTGTAATTAACGACTATGTTATGTATGGTATTGAGAAGTCTGTTGCTTGCACCTGCATGCAAAGACAAGTGTACTGATGCTTCTCTTTTTGCATATGTCAGAGCTTTCCATTCTCTGAAATAAGAATTAGATGCTTTGTTTGGACACAGATTAAAGGAATAGCTCAAAACATAAGTGTCCTATGTGGGTCTTGAGATTTCTGGAGTGGTTCTCTTTTCCAGGATAGGTTGTTTACTTTTCTGTTTGCAACACGATTCATTGCAGCTGCCCGTAGGCATATGTGTAATCATTTGAACCAATTATATCTACAGTTTTGAAACTCTTCATGTAAAATCCCACCTCCTTCATGAAACCATGGCTTGATTAATTGGGAAGACTGGTAACTTCTCTCCAATATTCAATTTTCTTCTTTTACTAACATTTTAACATGGAATGAAATATAGTACATATTTTGTTGTCTTTTTCATTGTAGCTCAGCTATTTAAATCTATTTTTTTCAAATAAGTATCCTCTTTGTGTCTCACATTATATTGAGAATACTAGATAATACAATTTTTTTTCATTTCTGTGCCCTCAAGGAACTGAGGACTCATACACATGAAAAAAATAGGGAATAATTATCCAAATCTGGATTATGCTGTAACTGAAAATGGAGTTCACCAGAGACTTGTGGAGATGCTTCATCTGCATTGAGTCTTGATAGCCTAACCCATTAATTTATACAATAATTATTTATAATGCCTGTTATAAGCAGAGTATAATGGTTCCTATAACTAAAAAGTTCACAGATTGCAGGCCTTTGGCATAGCTTGATTCAGGGGTTTGTGGTTCAATCACACCTGCAGTTTTCTTGGCTATTTCTTCATGTATCAGCTATCTTTCAGCATTTGTATCCTGCGGAGACTACCTAGAAACCAAACCTCAGCTTTGATTACCTTATGAACCTCTGAATCCAGTGGGCACACACTAGCAGGGGATATTTCAGTTTTATAAACAAATAAATCCTCTTCATCTTTTTAGGCCAGTTTAAGTTGGGCATTCTGTTTCTGTCAACCACAGGCCTCTTCAGTTACTGATAATTTCGTACTAGAAGGGATTGCTGAGTTAATTCTACCAAACATTAACATTCAGTTACTCATAATTTGGTACTAGAAGTGGTTGCTACAAGTGAACTCCGCAATGTAGAATTGGATAAATAGATGTAGGGAGGAAAAAAGTAAGGAGGACTCTTCTGTCCCTGATTTGTAAGATTAGAAATCCTATTCACTGATTGAAAAACAGATCATTTACATTTTTTCTTGTCGTAACTTGGAATATGTCATTAACTCTTGTGAATACAGAAACAAAATGTGAGAGAGACATAATCCAACTGAATTTTATTTTTAACATGTATAAGAGGTATAACCATGCTAGATAAGAAAACAAGGAAAAGAATATAGAACTTCATTTACTTGAATCAATCAAAAAAGCTAGAAATTGAAACATAATAATATATATGGGGGTGAGATCCAACAGAATGCTCTTAAAATGCCATTAAAATTAAATGTTTGTTCATCCTTAGGAAAGTAGGAGAAAAAAGAGCAAACTAAACCAAAACAGACAGAAGAAAGAATATAATAAAGATTACACTAGAAATAAATGAAATAGAGATTAGGAAAACAATAGAGAAAATCAATAATACCAAAAGTTAGTTTTTTTGAAAGACCAATAAAATTGACAAATCTATTTTTTTTTTTTTTTTTTTTTTTTTTTTTTTTTTTTTTTTGGGATAGAGTCTCACTCTGTTACCCAGGCTGGACTGCAGTGGCATGATCCCAGCTCACTGCAATCTCTGCCTCCCAGGTTCAAGCGATTCTCCTGCCCCAGCCTCCTGAGTAGCTGGGATTACAGGCGTGCACCACCACGCCTGGCTAATTTTTTGTATTTTTAGTAGAGATGGGGTTTCACCATGTTGGCCAGGCTGGTCTCAAACTTCTGACCTCAGGCTATCCACCCACCTCAGCCTCCCAAAGTGCTGGGATTACTGGTGTGAGCCAAGACGCACAGCCAGTTTGACAAATATTTAATCAACTAACAAAGCAAAAATGAGGGAAACTTAAATTTCTAAAATTAGGGATGAAAGAAGAGACACAACTACCAACCTTGCAGAAATAAAAAGGGGCTGGGTACAGTGGCTCATGCCTATAATCCCAGCAATTTGGTAGGCCAAGAGAGGAGGATTGCTTGAGCCCAGGAGTTCGAGACCAGCCTGGGCAGCATGATGAAATCCCATCTCTACAAAAAAATACAAAAATTAGCCAGGCATGGTGGTACACGCCTGTGGTCCTCGCTACTCAGGAGGCTGAGGTTGGAAGGTTCCAGGCTACCTGAGCCTGGAAGGTTGAGGCTACAGTGAGCCATGATAGTGTCACTATACTCCAGCCTGGGCAACAGAGTGAGGTCTGTCGGGGGTAGGGGGGGCAGCGGGTGGAACCCAAACCAAAAAAAAAGAAATATAAAGGACTATGAAGGAATACAATTAAAAAAATTGTTTGCCAAATAACTAGATAAACTACATTAAATGTACAAATTCCTAGAAGGGTGCAAACTACTGAAATTTACTCAAGAAGTAATAGAAATCAAAATTAGACCTATAACAAGTAAAAACATTGAATTACCCTTCCCATCAGAAAAGCCCAGGACCCTTGCTTCACTGCTGAATTCTACCAAACGTTTAAAGAATTTACACCAATTCTCAAACCATTCCAAAAAGTAGAAGAGGAGGGAACACTTCCCAACTCATGCCACAAAACCAAGATTACTATGATACTAAAACCAAATACATTACAAAAAAAAGTTAAAGACCAATATTCCTTGTGAATATAGATGCAAAAATCTCTCAACCAATATATTTGACTCTTGAACAACATGGGTTTGAACTGTGTGGGTCCACTTATATGCAGATTTTCTTCTGCCTCTGCCACCTGTGAGATAGCAAGACCAACCTCTCTTCCTCCTCCTCCTCAGCGTGCTCAACATGAAGACAGTGAAGAAGTTTATAATGATCCCCTTACACTTAATAAATAGTAAATATATTTTATCTTCCTTATTATCTTATTAATGACATTTTATTTTCTCTAGCTTATCTTATTGTAATAATGTAATGTGCATATAATATACAAAATTTATGTTAATTGGCAAGGCTTCCAGTGAACAGTAGGCTATTAGTAGTTAAGTTTTGGGGGACTTAAAAGTTATACATGGATTTTTGACTGTGTGGCCGTCAGCACCCCAACCCCCATGTTGTTCAAGGATCAACTGTACTAACAAATTAATCCAGCAACATATAAAAGAGAATTATATATATGATAATCAAGCATAGTTTATCTCAGGATATAAAGTTGTTTCAACATACAAAAATCAGTGTAACACATTATATTAATATACTATAAGATAAAAATCATACAGTCATGTTAATAGATCATGTCAAATGCAGGAAAAGCATTTGACAACATAGATTTAACACATGACCCAGGAATTCCATCCCTAGATATATACCCAAAAGAAATGAAAACATGTGTTTACACAAAACTGCTCATAAAAAGCAGCATTATTTATAATAGCCAAAAAGTAGAACCCGACCAATAAATGGATAAACAAAATGGGATATATCCACACAGTGGAATATTATTCAGCCGTAAAAAGGGATGAAGTATTGATACATACTACAGTGTGGATGACCATTGAAAACATTGTGTTAAGTGAAAGAAGCTAGACACAAAAGACCACATATTACATGATTTGATCTATATGAAATGTTCAGAATAGGCAAATCCATGAAGAAACAAAGTAGAGTAGTGGTTGCTAAAGGCTGAAGGAAAGCATAATTGGGGGATGACTATTAATGGTTCAGGTGTTTCTCTCTAGATGACAGAAATGTTCTGGAATTAGATGGTGATGATTGTTGCACAACCCTATGAATATACTAAAAGCAACTGAATCGTATGCTTTCAAAGGATGAATTTTATAGTATACAAATTATCAGTAAAAGAAAATGGAATATCTGTAGAGCAAGATGGAAAGATAGTAAAACATGTGCTAAAGAAACATAAAGTCCAACCAAGCAGTGGAAGAAATTATCTAGAATCTTAGGTGGGAGTATCCATCTGTGTGAGTAGACAGTGAAGTAGGTAATGATAACTACCTCCTAATCCAGGAGCAAACAACCCCCTTTGAAGACCGACGTTTTCTAAGAGTTGTCACAACTATTTTTTGAAAGGGCTTAACTTGTCAATGAGTATCTCCAAAAATTTTGATTGAAAAGCAACCCAAGTTTGGGCTGGGCGCGGTGGCTCACAACCTGTAATCCCAGAACTTTGGAAGGCCAAGGCAGGCGGATCATGAGGTCAGGAGATCAAGAACATCCTGGCTAACACAGTGAAACCCCGTCTCTACTAAAAATACAAAAAATTAGCCGGGCGTGGTGGCGGGCGCCTGTAGTCCCAGCTGCTCTGGAGGCTGAGGCAGGAGGATGGCGTGAACAACCCGGGAGGTGGAGCTTGCAGTGAGCCGAGATCATGCCATGGCAATACAGCCTGGGCGACAGAGTGAGATTCCGTCTCAAAAGAAAGAAAAAATAAATAAATAAATAAAGGGAAACCAACACAAGTTCAATTAGATGGGAACCTCAAGTTACATGGAATTATAACCCCTTTCATTTGGGATGGCAAATTGTTTCCTTAATGAAAAGTCTTTTTACCCTGGAAGATTTAACATTAAGAGTATAAAAATGATTAAATAGGCTGGGCGTGGTGGCTCACACCTGTAATCCCAGCACTTTGGGAGGCCGAGGCAGGCAGATCACTTGAGGTCAGGAGTTTAAGACCAGCCTAGCCAACATGGCAAAACACTGTCTCTACCAAAAATACCAAAATTAGCGGGACGTGGCAGTGCACACCTATAAGCCCAGCTACTCGGTTGGCTGAGGCACAAGAATCACTTGAACCTGGGAGGTGGAGGTTGCAGCAAGCCGACATGGTGCCATTGCACTCCAGCCTGGGTGACAGAGCAAGACTCTGTCTCAAAAAAAACATTAAAAAGTAAAATTAAAATGATAAAATAACCCCACAATATTAATACTTTCATTTAAAGTATATGTTACACATAGATCAAACTGATAGATTCTCTTTGTGATTCTCATTTAGAATGTACCAGAACTTGAGAGTCATTTAATTCATAAAATTCATGGAAAAAAATTCTAAGATTCTCAACCACTTGGGGATGTTTTGATTGTTAAACAGTTGAAATGCTTAAAAAGAAAACTGAATATATTAAACTTATAAATGGAATTATAAAATGAGTTAAAAATGAACTTAGTTTATAAATGCACCCAAAGAGTATTCAAAGGCACCATAAATGTAATTGTTAAAATTGAAAAGATATGTAGATAGAATATTAAAATTTTTAAGTGTAACACAAAAATTTCAGGAAAAGCTAGGCTTCAGGTGGTGTAAATTTAACAAACTGTATATTCCTTTTCAAAACTGCAAAGTAACAATAACTAGTATTGCTGTGCACCAAAAGCCATCCTCAAGGGCACCAAAAACCTCAAACTGACAGGTCACTGACCACTTGCCTAATGGGGAGTAGTACTAAGGGAGTTGGTAAGAAAACTTCCTGTGCCCTGGCTTGTTCTTGTGGTCTTAGCAAGTCTCTACATACACGAAAGAAACACAGGCTAAACACAGAGAGGAAATAAAATATGGCTTTCTTTAATGAGAGATGACCCTACTGCCTGCTTGACTACAGTTCAAAGCATCCGAAGTCGTAACTGGAGCCCAGCCAAGCTGGAAAGCCCAAATCCTCTGTCCCACTAAAGTGTGAACTAAAGCAGGGGAGAGGAAGTCTAGCAATTTGAGGTCAAACTGAGGCACAGAAAGCCTGATGCCCCAGGCTCCTCCCAAGCACTCCTTGGGCCTCCCTGCTAGACAAAGCAGAAGGCTACAGAATGCTTTAGGCCAGGGGTTGACTTTTTATTTTCTATAAAGGGCTAGGTAGTAAATATTCTAGGCCGTGTGGGACATACCATCTCTGTGGCAATTACTCAACTTTGCCACTGTAGCATGAAAGCAGCCATAGATAATACTTAAGTAAATGAGCATGCTGAGTTCTAATAAAATTTTATTTACAGGGAATTTATGGTGCCTGGGTGATGAGGAGGCAACCAACAATGGCCTCTGCTACTAAGACCCCTTCTATATAATTCAAAAGTTGCTCCTATATCATAAGCGATCCCCTTGAGGTGATAGGAGGACATCAGCTTGGTCTTAAAAGATGAGAGAGTATTTATAGGCTGATCCTTCCCACCTGTGGATGGAGGCACCTAGGGTTGGAAGCAGTAGTTGGAGCAAAGGCCTGGATGCAGGAATCCCTCAGGCTGTAGAGGGCCTGATAGAATAACTGGAGTAGAGAAGGGTACAGATATGGGAATACTGGATGTCTTTCATTAGTCCCTGAAGACAAGAAGCACCCATACATAACTGTGCCTCTCATAGTGGTTATCTAGAAGTAAGCTTTTTGGATAGAAGAATAAAACAAGCCCCTAAGGCATACCAAAAATAATAATTTAAATAAAAACAGACATGTTTGCTCTGTACTTCTTGGTAATCAGATTAAGCAAAAACAAGACTGTTTTTCAGATCCTAGGTCCTACCACCAAAGCTAATGGGATCATTTTATTTGGCTATTCTGGGACATACTAACTTCTCCCGTGCATTGGAAGACTGGGTTTCTACACAATTATTGTCACAACAAATAAAATTCTATACATGTCGGAGGTTACTGATTGGGGAAGATGACTTATAGTAAGAGCAAGGCTCAATCACAGGTGATTACCTGCAATTATTTGTCTGGTTTTCAATTATTCAGGTAGGCTGCACTGAACTTTAGTATCCTTAAGAAAGAAGCATCTTATGAGAACTATACTTTTGTACTTACCATCTTTTTGAAATAAATACGCACCCCCAAAGTAATATTGTGATATTGGTTAACATCAAGTCATCATTTTCAGGTCCTTGTTAAGCACTCAGTAAAAAGTGAATAATATCCATTCTGTGTTATAATATTTTGGGGACTGTGGCAAGTTGGTTTTTTATTTGTATCATTTATTTCTGCCTTTAATGACATATTTAGTACCTTTCTAAGGATTTCAAAATCCTGCAATGAAAAGAGGAACAGCTGGTGCTGCTCTCTAGACTAACCTTTCTTTGAACAAGCTGCCAAGAATGCACTCTGAAGAATCTTAATGATGCCCTGCCACTTTATCTCCAGACCCTGTCCTGGAGCCATGGCGTGGGCATGGCTTTCTCTGACTTTGGTGAAGGTTACCCAGTTAAGCTGGCTTCATGAGCCTCTGTAATGAAGGCAGCAAAGCTGGAGGGCCCTTTTGCAAATACATATACAAGATGTATACACTCAGTAGTGTGATGGTAAATGTGACTTTGTTTGTTTGTTTGTTTGTTTGTTTTGAGATGGAGTCTCGCTCTGTCGCCCAGGCTCGAGTGCAGTGGTGCGATCTCGGCTCACTGCAAGCTCCGCCTCCCGGGTTCACGCCATTCTCCTGCCTCAGCCTCCCGAGGAGCTGGGACTACAGGCGCCCACCACCACGCCCTGCTAATTTTTTTGTATCTTTTAGTAGAGACGGGGTTTCACCGTGTTAGCCAGGATGGTCTCAATCTCCTGACCTCATGATCCGCCCACCTCTGCCTCCCAAAGTGCTGGGATTACAGGCGTGAGCCACCGTGCCCAGCCTAAATGTGTCCCTTTAAAAAGAAAAAAAGTCCTGATTTGTTGTACTCGCAGGTTTCTGTGGTGTAAATACTCAAACCATGGCCACGTTCATGACTTGTACAATTTGACATCCGTGTACCTGGAGTTGGAAGGAGAATGCACACAATCAGCTATTGCCAGCCCTATGTCAGCGGGCCCCACCATATCACTGAGAAAAATTTCAATGCAAATATTTTCCGCTAATGTGACACGTTCACACAATAGGTCTATCTACTCTAGTGATTAAAGAAAGGTGCTAGGACATAGACAAGGAAAGTCCCACTCTTTTTGTAACAATCATGGAAAAGGTCCTACGAAATTTTGCTGTCCATTCAGGCTCTCTTGGCATCCTATTAATTGGAGCAAGACCATACTTTTACTAGAGAGTTTAAAACCAGTATAGGCCAGGCACAGTAGCTCATGCCTGTAATTCCAGCATTTTGGGAGCCAAGGCAGGAGGATCACTTGAGGCCAGGAGTTCAAGACCAGCCTGAACAAAATAATGAGATAATGTCTCTACAAAAAATAAAAAATAAATTAGGCAGGCATGATAGCACATTCCTACAGTCCCAGCTACTTAGGAGGCTGAGGTGGGAGGATTGCTTGAGCCCAGGAGTTCAAGGCTGAAGTGAGCTATGATTGTGCCACAGCACTCCAGCCTGGGTGACAGAGCTAGGGCCTATTTCTTTAAAAAAAAAAAAAAAAGTAACAGTAATAATAAATAAATAACAGAACCAATATGAATCCATCCCAAAACCATGATTCCTATAGTTCTTTGAAAAATACATGCCATGCAATGGACACTGTGTATTTAAACTTACAAGAAAGCAGTAATAGCTGCACGTGGTTCAAGACAGTTAACAGATTCTCTTGCATCATCTTCCAGCTTGCCCTTCTCCCTGTCACATCCCACAGTTGCACTTCTTTTTCCTGGCCTTTTGTATTTGGTTTGAGATCCTCACCCAGTCATCTGCATTAGCTGACCTATCCCCATCAGTTTGAAGGAGCTAAAGTTGTCAACCTAGACTCCTTCATGAGACCTGTTTCCTTTTCCAGAGATGGAGAATGTGCCTTTATTTCTAAAGTTTATTTTAACAGTCTTCTATCCAGATACTTTTTATTCAAATTGAGTTCTGTGATTTAAGAACTAGTCTAAGTAATCATATCCCTCTTTATTGGAATCCATTGTTTTTCTGCCTTCCAGTGGAAGTAAGTCCAAGTGCTATAAATAAGTGAAAAAGCCCTTAGTAAACTGTGCAGTATTAAACGGTCTTTTATGGTCACTAAAAAGCTCATGGGGGAAAACCCTGTACTCTTATAATACAAATGATGAGGACAGTGCTCTTCTCAGACCACTGCTGTTGTTGTTTTGTTTTCAGTTTGCAGCATCGTGTCTTCAGTGGAGCCCCGTCTGCTGGCACCTGGAGTGCTGGCACCCGAGCTGCCTTCTCACACTCTCCAGTCTCGTTCAGGACAGAGCGGCTGAGTGAATGAAGTTATGGGAAGCCAACTTTTAGGGCAAAACTTTCCAAAGCTCCTTAGATAGATCCTGACCCCACCACAACCACCTCGCAGGCTTAAGAAGGGTCAGTTATAATCCACTAGTTTTTCACAGAGGGAACATAGGCATTGTGTGTAGTGGGTGATCTGGGGGAGAATGGGGAAAGCAGATATCCAGCTGCCATCCCCAGTGGTGACTATGCAGAAAAAATAAGCTAATAGCCCCATACAGGGTGAGAGGTACCTGTATTTCACATGGCAAGAGCAGCAGTTCCCAACGGGCAGGACCACCCAGGGAATGTGTTGGGCATGGGAGGGTGCAGGTTGTTTTCATTTCTAGCAATGACTGGTTGTTGCCCATGGCATCTAACTCAGTAGAACTAGGGGTGGCGTATTCTATGATGCAGAGCAGAGTCCCACGCAGTAAGGAACTGTCACACACCCTGGCTCTCCATGTCTCACAACACGTTCTTGTGGGTCAAAGCTCTGTTTATAAATATCTGAGCTGAGAACATGACTCTCTTTCACACACAAACACTAAGTAAACCCTTTCTGGACTGTTCTGTTCCCCTGCTCCCCAGAATGCTTACAGGAAAACTAGTTCAACTCTGGGCACACACTACTGGTTTAATAACAAACAGAGGAAAAACAAGCAGCCTACCATTAGAAATAAAATGAAGTTTGCAGATTTTTAAAAAGGAAAGACTTGTTATTGAAGTTCAAAACTGTTTACATGCCTTCTAGAAATTTAGTCACACCAAATTGGCAAGAACTGAAAATCAAAATTTTGAATCTCAAGTGAGGGCAAGATAGGGAAATCAGAGAGCATCACTGCCCCGTTAGAGATCCTGGACCTAGGAAAGGATGATACTGTGATTTCACTGCTCAAGGAAACATAAAGGACATCTCCTACCCAATGAGTGGGTCTCCAGTGCTATGTAATGTCTCACAGGTTTAACAGCTGCTACAAACATTAGCAGCAGTGAGATGGTGCCGAGTCGTCTCTGTTATATTGGGACTTTACAGTAAACGCGATGTGTGAATAATGGAACGCAGTCATGCCAATCAGCCGGCAGTGGCATGAGTGGAGAAAGGCTCTGGTGACAGGGCTAAAATAGGTTGGCTGCTGGTGGTGGCTTTGTTTTCCTATCTCTAGGGTGGACACATGGCTACTAATAAATGCCCACTCTCTGTGGCTTTCCTGAAAATAGCTAAATGACCACAGGTTGTCAGACAGCTGTATTCTGATGTCATTCTCCCAAGTGCCGTCTCCAAAGGCCAATGTGAAACAATCACTATCTCCTTATTCAAGAAGTTTTCACTTAACCGTGCTAGTTCAGCAACGGATAAGTAGTCAAAAGATTTAGGTTCATGTTCTCTTCAGTCATTTTTAAGATGTTCATCTTGATAAGTAAATGGCCTTAAAAAATTGTATGTCCATCATAAAAAATAGATCATTGCATCACAGGCAGTTTTTTTTTTAAACCTTAAAAATAACGTCAGATGTTAAGTATATGACTTACGTTGTTCAAAGTTAAACACTATTCTTTAAAACTGTACATCAACATATACAAAGACAAAAAAGCAATGGTGAACAATTCAAATGTGACTGTAATTGTTACTGTAATAACATAGGGAAAGTAAAATTTGAATTTCAGATTGATATAAGATAACAAAATAAAAATGTTATCCTAGGCCAGGCCCAGCAGCTCATGCCTGTAATCCCAGCACTTTGGGAGGCCAAGGTGGGCAGATTGTCCTGAGGTCAGAGTTCGAGACCAGCCTGGCCAACGTGGTGAAATTCTGTCTCTACTAAAAATACAAAAATTAGCTGGGCCTGGTGGCAGGCATCTGTAATCTCCGCTCCGTGGGAGTCTGAGACAGGAGAATCACTTGAACCCAGGAGGCAGAGGTTGCAGTGAGCCGAGACTGCGCCATTGCACTTCAGCCTGGGCAACAAGAGCAAAACTCTGTCTCGGAAAAAAAAAAAAAAAAACAGTCAGAACTAGAACATAAAGTCCTCATCTTCTCCTCTCTGTACTGTGGTCTTTGTTTTTAGAAACATGAAATTCCAAGTAATGAAAAGCTAATAAATGTTCCAGCAGCAGTCACTCACTGTACTTGAATACTAGTGAAATGGCAAAACTCGTTTAAAAATTGATACCATAAATGTAGAGTTGTGTGGAATCCTGTGGATACCAGTGGAGTGAATATTGGCAGTGTTAGATACCCACTTAGGTGATGGATCTGAAAATCTTGAATTACCCAGCCATATTTGTCAGCTTAACACCACTAGGCCCCTTTATCTGCTGACCACTCTGTCCCTGTAACCTCCACTTCTTTCTCATGTTTAGTATTCAGCAGGAACAACTTCTGAATCATGTCTACCTGCAGACACCTGTATTATCTTCCATGTATGCCTGTGTGATAGACTATATTTTCAGTTGCCTAGAAACCAACCTTTAACAGGTAGCTGAACTTCACTGTTTTATGTCTGGTAGGTATTGTAAAATATCACATATTACTGATATACTTTGTGATTATTTTAATCCAATATTGTTTTCAAATTAGCTGTAAATATGCTACCGGGATCAATTCCGTATTATTTTTAAATTAACCACCCAGAGGAAGTATTGTTAATGAGATGCCTTCCTATTATTATTATTATTTATTATTTTAATATTGAATTTCTTGTGACCAGCCCTCTTCTCAGTCATTAGCAATACTTAAAATGCTGTCCTTTTGGATTTGGGTTTATAATATGTATCAGGGACACAACTTCCTTTATGTACTAGATTTTGGATGTTGCATACTTCATCTGATGGGAAGCATTATTGATCAAATACTAGATTGCATTGTAAGCACAGTGGTCCCAATTTCTGAGCTCAGTGATACAACCTGAAGCCTTACTTTGTGGCAGAAGCAACAAGACCAACATCTCTGATTTTCAGCTCTTTGGAGCAGCCCCCACCTCCTTCTAAGGGTGGACTTAGCCAGGATTCCCTACCAGTCCCTCCTCCCTACTCTTTTTTCCCCTATTGGCCAATGGTCCCCTACTCAGCTAACTGGCAGTTCTTCCCTCTGCGGAGTTGGGTTGGTCCCTGATACTGGTCTTTGCACCAGGAATTTCAGATTGTCTTGGATGTCAATAGTTTTCAGTGCCATAAAGAAAACAAGCTAAAAGAATGGAGTTTGTGTTTTCAGTAAGCAAGAATCCTCTTAAAGCTGGGCATGGTAGCTCACGCCTGTAATCCCAACACTTTTGGAGGCTGAGGTGGCAGAAGCCCCTGAGCTTAGGAGTTCAAGACCACCCTAGGCAACATGGTTAGACCCCACCTCTACAGAAGATTTTTTAAAAATTAGCCAGTTGTTGTGGCGTGCACCTATGGTCCCAGCTACTGAGGAGGCTAAGGTGGGAGGATCGCCCAAGCCTGGGACGTCAAGGCTGCAGTGAGCTGTGTTCCTACCATTGCACTCCAGCCTGGGTGACAGATTGAGACCCTATCTAATCTAAAAAAATAAAAATAAAAAAATAAATAAATAAAACAAAAAAAGAAAAACAACAACAACAAAGAATCCTCTTAACATGATTTATAAAACACCTTGGGCAAAAAATTGTTCTGAAGTTGTATATCCATTTTCTGATCTGCAAGTGAGGTGTTCATTACTCTTCAGAATCAGAATTAATGAGGATCTTGTAATTCTCACAGGTTTTTTTTTTAAATTAGTGTTTATTATGAACTTTCAGACATTGATAAGGAGACTTTTTGGACATACTTGGACTATAAAATGTTAGTATATTTCTGGTTCCTAAATTAGCATAATAGCTTAGTATTTCTTATATATAGATATATATGTCTTCTGGCTTATATGAAAAAATGTACAAACATATTAATACCAATTTGGATAGCATATCTCTACTGTCAACAAACAGTAGTCTGCACTGGTACTGGCAAAATAAAACCGTATTTGAGCATGGCATTTAAAGTGGAGATACTTTTTTTTCTAGGTCAAGTATTGACTAAGGTAAGACTGTAATTTTTCATGACACATGAGATTTAACGAAATTTGTTAACCAAGAACATCTTTGAGCAATGTCTCTTTTGATGTTGCTACTAACTGTATTTGATGTTATGTAAAACTTTGTTGGGCAATAAATATAATGTTCTACTTTTGTATGATACAGTGTGTATGAGTCGGGAGCTTCCTGAACTTTGTGTTTTATGATACCTTTTGAGAGAAGATCATCAATACTTCTAGAAGCCATAATAATTTGCTATTTATTCACAGCCAGGAATTGGTAATACTAAATGCCGTTAGTCAGTATGCTGGCCAATATAGTAAGAGTGACTTGTGACTGGTTATTAATTGAACAGGTTTTTCAGCACATACCTATTATAAGTTCTTGCTTTTTCCATCCTAGAAAATTCAGGACTGAAAAAGAAAAAAAAAGGTAGAAGATTTTACGCATATATGTAAATTTATGTAAGTGTGTATATGCATACAAACATACATACATGCAGTTTCTATCCTCTTTCCTAGAAAACACGCTCTCATGTCTCAGAAGCAGATACTAGAAATTTGAGAGAGAAAGAGAAGAAGATTATTTAAATTAGATTTTTGTTGTGTTATGTGCTTGATGGTCAAAATAATTGAGTCTTGAGTAATCAATATAGTACCTACTGTAAGTCGTCACCCATTTAATAAGTTGGCAAGGTGAGATAGTGAAAGCTACTCTGCTAATTATTTTGATGAAATCGAATCTTTTGGTGTCTGCAATGTATCTTGACTGGTGCCATAGTGCAAATAATTTTTTCTCTGACTTCATCAGACCTCCCACGCTGCTAAATGTATGGGTGGAATGGTGGCTTGCACGCAGATCATTCACCTCTAAAGAAAACACTCCCAGGTCACAATATATAACCCACATTATAACAACAGCTGCGGACAGGCATCCACATTGCAAAGTTGTAGGCATCACAGTTCGTATAAATTCCGCCTCGAAATTCCCCTACTTTATCCCTCAGAATTTTGATATGAGAAAGTTTCTGATATAATTAATAACCTATTTATCTTTATTTTTTCCTCTTAAGATCAAAAAATATTTTGAACTTGAACCACTTGCACGTGGAAAACGCTGGATTCTACAGCCCTGCTCACTGGATGACATGGATGCACTGAAAGACAGCTTCTCTCAGCTGATTAATTTGTTAGAAGAAAAAGACCATGAAGCTGTAAGAATGTGAAATCTGGCAAAGAAAACAGGCTCCCAAAAGGCCTTGAACCTATCATGTTAGTTTCTCATTTTAATTTTATTTTGGTATCAAGACTATATTGGCTTCAGTATCTATTTTCCTCTGGTCATTTCAGACTCTCATCTCTCTATTAAAGTGAATATTCTGTAGATCAGATGAATTATCATCGGCATTAACGTCAAGTACACACTACTGAGAGAGAATTTATTCTCTGTTTACCACTAATTATCTTCCCCGCATGTCTCTTCCTTCTGTTGTTCTAAGCATCTCTTCTATACTCTGTGCTGAAACGGATGGAATTCATGGCTTATGGAAATCAAATCCCTTTTGAAGGACTCAGAAAGACTCACAAGACCTTGATCATTTTCTCTGGGTTTGGGAGTGGAGTATTATGTGACTGGGACTCCACAAAATATTTATATTATTTTCAAGACCTATTGGGGGTTTTGTTTTATTTTATCTAATTTTTTTTTTTTTTTGGTATACTGAGCTTATAGACTATGAGAGAAAAGTGAGCACCAAAAACTTCATTAATCACCTTATCAGGAAGGAATATCCTGCCATAGTAAAATTGGCTCTGAAGAGCTTAGAGGCAAGTTACACAATGTTTTCTTGATTACATCTGAAGTCTCTTCTCTTTTAAGAGCAAAGACATTGTTTCAGTTTCTGAGAGTGGTTAGAGGAAATTTAGGTACAATGCATGCATCACAGACTGTATTTGATTGATTCGAGTCTTCAAATATTGTTTAATGGAATGATGAGCCTGCATAAAGTGAAGCTGCAATGTAACATAGGTATCTTTTTCTAAAAACTTCAAGTGTTTGATTAAAATAGAGAAAATAATTTTTAAAATAATAGATAAAAATTTTAAAAACAGCCAGAAAAAGTATAATTTATACTGGTTAGGGTTTAAGATGGCATGGATTTGACAAAGATAACAAAGACAGAATCATCTATATATTCATTCATTACGTGTTACTGTAGTTTATTGGAATCTGTTAATGCCTTCCTCTAGTAGTTAAAGGTTTATCAGTATTTCTATTATAAACCTCTATTTTCAGGGGTTTCAATGTGCCCTTAAAATTGTGCTGGGGCTGCAGCAAATAAATAATATTGGGACTCATATTCAGTCTTTGGAACTAGTTTTTTTTCCATTTAATTTAAATGACAAAATTGCATAGGGATAAATGTACAGTTTTACTAAGGTTTAGCACCTTTGATCTTTTCTAAATCAGGAAAAAAATCTATGCATATTGAGGTTCACAGATGAAATATTCTTTGGCATACTTTGTAGACTTTGACCACTTAAAATACTAAGTGGCCAAATGATAAAAAAAACTGCTCCCTGCACATGAGTGTAAAAACATGTTTGTAATTTTAAGTAAAATGGACTGATACCCAAATACCACAGACTCACACTATATTACAGAATGATGTAATACCTGGTAATTCTCCAGAAGATAGACTTCAGACCCTTAATGCCATTTAAATGTAGTTTTTGTGGTTTAATCTTATGAGTAGATTGTAATGAAATCATTACCTTTGAAACATCAAACACTTCTTTAAGCTTTTTTTTTTTAATGTCATGAATCAGGAAGGATACATAGTGATTCGTATACAATTTTGTCTGCAGCATTCTTGAATATTTTTAACACTGTGTAATCCCTGAGCAGCACAAAACTTTTATTCCGATGACCAGTTACACAATTCCTGTTTTTATTTTGTCCTGTTGTGCTCATCTTCTATGAAAAATAAATGATTATTAGGCCTTGCTTTCCCTGCAAGTTCATTAAATGTAGAATGTTGTCTTTTTAAGACACCGTGGCTGAGTGCTCCTAAGCCATCTGTTAAATGACTTCCCGTGGTCTGCGTGTGTGTGTTCATGTGTGCGCCAGTGATGGGCCTCTCCTCAAACCCACGACTGTCTGCAGCGTCTCAGCCGTCAGAATGAAAACATTATCAATCAGTACCCAACAACAGCTGTTTTTGACAAGTTTCTGTCTGACGCCTAATGCTTTACAACTGTCAATAAGGCTCCCTCTTTGTCTAGCAGGTCGGAGCTCGCTGTCTTGCTGCTTCCGCGCGGCATCCTGTCCTTGTAACCCTAGAATTTGCCATGTTTTGGAAATCCACGTGGGGGCGGGGTGGGGCCTGAACGGGTGGGGATGGGTGGGTGGGTGGTGGGGTGGGTGGGATGGCTGGGGGTGGGAGTGTAAGTCCCTTTTCCTACTTTCATGTAAAGTGCCACAGGTGTCTTGGTTTGCATATTCAAATATTATATAGGAAAAACAGTCTGTTATGTATTTCTTCACCTAGCTTCTTGTAATATTTATGGACGTTTCCAGTTTTTGTACCTTCTTAGCTAAAGCAGTTGCCTTTTTGTAATGGCAATTAATTTATATGATAAAACTTTGTATCCACTGTAGTTGACAGTATTGGTTGCTAATTAACTGCCATATTGCCCTGTCTTTCTATTAAAAAAATACTGTACCTGTACTTAGAGGCTAACAGATTCATGTGGACATTTACCAGGCAAGACCAACTTGTATTGTCCATGATTTCTACGATTTCCACTATCTTCAAATGAAAAATAAACGCTGAGTAGAACTGGTGTTTTCAGACTAACTCCTTTCAACTTTAGCATTTGGGAGTCCCAGATTTCTGTTTACGTTTGTGTCGCCTGTTTGTCTCCAAAATAAGTTCTGCTGCTCTTGGGTCAAAACAAATGATTAATTCGCATTTCCTTTGAAGCCATTGTGAAAACCTTAAAAGAAAAAAAAAAAAAAAAAAAGCAAGTATCTTTTCCAGTTGGTTTGTCTTCAGCAGCAATTTACTCTTATTGAAGCTGTTCCTTCGGAGTGTGTGAACAGACTCAAGATATTATTATAAAGCATCATCCTTCAATCAAAGGATTATTTTATAATATGTGCTGTGAAATTAACTTGAGTGGCAAAGTTTGGTGCAATGAGTTATTTCATTCAATGGTGATTGATGCTGTTAAGTAATATTTTTAAGTGACTCGAGGAAATACTGTGCATTTACAGATCCATCCTTAAGGATGCAGGTCTAAAAAAAGAGTAAGAAAGAAAAATCAAGTGGTAGATAGATAGAAGAAGAGAGAAAAAGAAAAAAAATACGTAATTGAAGATGAAAAATTTAAATCCCAGCTTTTGCTTGGTCCCAAATGCAACGTTATCATCACTTAGTATTTGACTACACAGAGAGCTTGCAACGTTTCACTTCTAAGCTGGGAATCTAACCTTCATTCCTAGGTTTATTTCTAGTGTAGGCAATTAGCAGTTATCAACTTCCTAAGCATCTCAGTCCTATCCAAGTAAATGTGAACAGAACTGTAAGATTTTGAAGCAAATGGGGTTTTCTTCATGTCCATATTGCATATTCAGACTTGAATGGAAATCTAATATTCGTGCCTGGCTTCATCCTCTTTATAACTTTAGAGTGCATTTTCATTAACCTCCTGACCTAATGGCGCAAACAGAAATGAAAAGGTATGTAGGGTGGTGGGGCTGGAAGTGGGAGTTGCCCTTTGGGATCCCTCATTTTCAATGCATTTGGAAGGGAGGGTCTGTGTTTGTTATGCAGAAACTTTAGAATGTAGAGTCCCTGTCTTGTTCCCCAGCCTGGGTCCTGGAGATCTGAAGTTCATGCTGTAAAATGCATTACCACATCATGTTGGGAATTCCTGGCTCCCAAGGGCTCACAGCATTTGGTCACCAGTGAATCAGCATGTTTAAATTATGTGCATCTCAGGGTTAAATGTTTTTCAACTCAGATGCATGAAGTGACTGATGAGCCCAAGGTTTGGCACCCTACCCCACACCCCCTTGTACTAATTTAGGAACATGAAAAGGATCCCTTAGAAGCCTCAGATGGGATGTCAGTTTCTCCTCCCCTTTCCTATTCTCTTTGAATTAAAGCTTTAAATGACAAACTTTTCTTCCACCCACTGTCTCATCAGATCTGGAAATTCTGACTTCCCTTCCTGGGGTTTCATCTGTTTGTAACAACTTCTCCATAATGTGACTTACTGTGAAACCAAGCAAAGAAGTTAAAAGTCACAAAGAAGAATCTCTCCAATACGCCCTGTCTAGCATCTTCCTTTCCTTATGAAACAAAGAGAAATTCAAAGCCCATGATTTCTCTATCAGATTTTTCTCTATAATCTCATCTCACATGCCATCTCTGCTCTGCAAAGCATATTGTATTCACTGGCTCCTGGTTTAGAAAGGCCAACTACAGGGTTCTTAGGCTTAGCCTGCCCCTTCCCTTTCTTGCTGTACTTCTCAAGTCCTGACTGCACACAGGAATTTCCACAGGGCATTCTAGATGAATAATCACTTTCTACAAGGGAATAGTGTGGGCCTGGTGGCTTTCAAAGAAACTTCACTTACCATATATGCCTTGTAAGTCACTTGTACCCTGTTGGGAGAATAAAGAAAGTGGTTTCTAGATGTAATGCCTTGCTAGGCTCAGCCAGGTTTATAATCCAGTCCAACTCCTTATCCCCACTGCTCCAGCTAGACATAGACCAACGTGGGTACAGCCATTCCACCACACTTTTAAAAAACGATCTTCTGCTAACTACTAGATAATGGTGAATTCCCTTTTTCCTTCCTTCTTTTTCAAAAATCTCTTCCTTTTATCTGATGATCTCAAAGAATCCTACATAAATGTTTCAGCCTAGTTTTCTTCTAGCAGCAACATTTCAACCATGGAGGTGAGTTGGCAATGTAGTCCCCAGAGATGCTAACCTGGCTCAGGCCCAAGGGAACAAATCAAAATGAGGCTTGAATAAGCACCAGGTTCCCCAGACTCTCTCATTTTCCTGTTTCTTCATGGAATATAGGGAGGCGGAGGGAGCTGGTTATTTCAAAAAGCCTAAGATCACTTCCATCACAGGCAAACCCCTCCTGAAAGTGTGAAATCCAGCCTACAATGGACTTTCACCGACAAGTGATTCATTGAGACAAAGGCTAGAGTTCCAGCATCAAACAGATGTCAGACAAAGCACCAAACGCCTATAAATGATTGCTTTGCAAGCAAGGGAATGACTGGAAGACCTGGCCTAATGATGTACCCCATGTCTGGACAAGCTTACAGAAGATGGTGGTGGAGGGAGCTGGTTTTTTTTTTTTTTTGAGACGGAGTCTCGCTCTGTCGCCCAGGCTGGAGTGCAGTGGCGGGATCTCGGCTCACTGCAAGCTCCGCCTCCCGGGTTCACGCCATTCTCCTGCCTCAGCCTCCCAAGTAGCTGGGACTACAGGCGCCCGCCACTACGCCCGGCTAATTTTTTGTATTTTTAGTAGAGACGGGGTTTCACCGTTTTAGCCGGGATGGTCTCGATCTCCTGACCTCGTGATCCGCCCGCCTCGGCCTCCCAAAGTGCTGGGATTACAGGCGTGAGCCACCGCGCCCGGCCGGGAGCTGGTTTTAAACAGAGTCTGTGAAGAAAGCTGTTTCTGGAGAGAGAAGTAAGACCACAATTCTTACCTGAGAGGTTCATGTTGAAATGAATGATTTCTGGCCAGTTTGCGTATAATCTGTGTAAAGGTAAATCAGAAAAATGTGTGTCCAGGGCACCTTGAAGGCCAGAGTGATGTGGTATGATATTAAATCATTAGACATATAAATATTAAAAATGAGAAGATTTTGTTAGAATGGAAACGGCTCACCAAAAGGCAGAGACAAGAATGCAAACAGTAAGTCTAGCTGTCATTCTCTGTAATCTGGAGCAAGTCAGGTTTGTCTCTGGACCTTCTCCAGTTGTTTTACAACTTTCTAGACATGCAGTGTATCAACCCAACACTTTTATTAAGCAGCTTTGACAGGGTTTTTGAGATGACAGCTAGTCGAGATTCAACTTAGCATTGTACAGTTTTATTTCACAATTGGAACTTTCGGTTTTAATACTTTTAGGACTTTATTCATTAATGCAACACTTTTTGTTGAACACCTACTATGTACCAGGGATTGATATAGCTGTAAATATGACATACTTAGTCTCTGTCTTTGTAGTACTTTAATTCCTGTAACACTTGTTAAATTGGATTATTTTTATGACCGTAGAGAATTAGAGGGGGTGAGGGATTTTATTATATTAAAATTGCAATTTCAGTCTCTAGATTTTAAAAAATTTGTTCTTGGTCCTAATTTCTGTTTTTTAGCCCTCCTAATTTAGAATTGTTTTTGGGTGCTGTTTAGCTTCTGCGACCATTAATAAAACTAAAAATCTAACCATAGTGAAGTTTTTGCCTTTTCTTAAGCATCTTTGTAAATAGAACCTTGTAAAGCTAGCACCTTTTATTCTGCTATTTTGCTGCTACAACAATGAAGCATGTGTCTAGCACACAAAGGTGCTTCCAAAGTGCAAAATCAAACTCTTGTCAATTACCTACTGTTCTTTTCATCCTCTCTGTATTCAAAGGGCTTTGCCTCCTCTAGAACAGCCTTGTCTCATCCTGCCTGTTGATCAAACAAATGACTTATATTTGAAATGTTGAATGTTTAATCTCCAAGAGGAAAATTCTTATTCAGCAGCAGTCTCTTGTGTTTTATTCCACCTAACAGTTAAAGCGGCTGCATGTCTGCCACGATTCACATGCCCAGACAGAGGCAGTAACCTGTAAGCATATAACCTGCTGGGTTTTTTTGTTGTTACTGTTTGACCTAGGAAGGTAGCAGTGAGTTTTAACTGGGTTTCAAGAGGCTGCTTTGATTTTCTGTCATTGAGGACTGGGAACTTGGAAAGACCCCTTTACGCCCATGATTTATTCCAAAATGGTACTTGGGCAAAGTCGTTCCTTTAGCAGGAGTTAACACATTTTGGATTTAGAACATTTTTACAAAATCTATACCAACACTGTTCGCATTTCCTTGAACACCTAAAGGCCATATTGTTCCTGCTCACCAGTGTTAAGCCCCATGCTAGATGTGACCCTTAGAGAGCCATGACACATCCCTTATGCTGTTTACTGGCCCAGATGTTCAGGTCAGATCACAAAAATTAACTGAAATAGAAACCTCTCTATTTCCATTCCATTTGTTAATTTCAAATCACCCAATTTTTTTTTTTTTTTTTTTTTTTTTGAGACAGAGTCTGGCTCTGTCTCCCAAGCTGGAGGGCAGTGGCCCGATCTCGGCTCACCGCAAGCTCCCGGGTTCAAGCAATTCTCTTGCCTCAGCCTCCCGAGTAGCTGGGACTCCAGGCGTCTGCCTCCCCGTCTGGCTAATTTTTGTATTTTTAGTAGAGACAGGGCTTCACCATATTGGCCAGGCTGGTCTCGAACTCCTGACCTTGTGATCCGCCTGCCTCGGCCTCCCAAAGTGCTGGGATTACAGGCGTGAGCCACCACACCCAACCAGAGTCACCCAAATTTTTTATTTTTTATTTGTATTTATTTTTTTGAGACGGAGTCTCACTTTGTCCCCCAGGCTGGAGTGCAGTGGTGCAATTTCGGCTCACTGCAAGCTCCACCTCCCAGGTTCATGCCATTCTCCTGCCTCAGCCTTCCAGAGTACAGGTGCCCGCCACCGCGCCCGGCTAATTTTTTTTTTTTTTTGTATTTTTAGTAGAAATGGGGTTTCACCGTGTTAGCCACGATGGTATCGATCTCCTGACCTCGTGATCTGCCGCCTCGGCCTCCCAAAGTGCTGGGATTACAGGCATGAGTCACCGCGCCTGGCCCAAATTTTTTATTTTTTAATTTATGAATTTATTTTTTAGAGAAAATGTCTTATGTTCCCCCAGGCTCGCCTCTAACTCCTAGGCTCTAGCAATTCTCCCCTGATTCAGCCTCCAGACCAAATTTTTAAGTAAAACAGTAGGATCCAACGAAGTCATATAATATCAGCGATTAATCAAAATGTGTGGTTCGTAATTGGGTGTCTGCTCCTAATGAAATAAGGGGCAGTGGTCATCAGTGTCTGCTAATGTCACAGAAGCAACCAGGCATAGTTACATGCTTCCAGATAGAAGTGTGAAATACCACCGAGGAAGTATTCGTACCAAAAAATTGAACCTGAATCTGATCAACCCTCTGGATCTAACAATTTGTAGAATATACAGAAACAGAGGAATAGGTTAAATGACACATGGTGACACAATAATCAAAATCCAGACTATTGGAAATTTAAACAAATGAGCTGGTTTACTAAATGGCAAGGTGGAAAAAAGAAATAGAGGGAGGAAATCTGTAGATTAAAAGAGTATGAAGAGCTCCATCAACCAATTACAGAGTATGGGGCTTATTTGGATTCTGTTTCAAACTAGCAAAATGTAAAAGAATACAATTTGAGACAGTTGGAGAAATGTAAGCACTTGTTGAATATTTTATGAATTAAGGAATCCTTGATTACTAAGCTCTTTTAGGCGTGATAATGAAATTGTGGTTGTGTATTTTTTAAAGGAGTCCTTATTTATTAGGGGCACATACTGAGATCTTTATGGATGAAATATTATGATGCTCAAGATTTACTTCGAAATAATCTATTAGGTGAAGAGAGAAATAGAAGTAGGTGGGGATTAGATGAAATAAGATTGTTTGTGAGTGACAGCTGTTGAAGCCAAATCATGGTGAAGGGGGATAGTGATACTTTGTTTTCTGTCTCTAAATGTGTAATTGACATTCCCCCACCCCCTTTTATGCCTCTGAATATGTAATTGACATTTTCCCCAAAAAGTTTTAAAAGAAAGAAAGAAAAGAGAAAATGAAGAGAGTAAAAAGACAAGCCACAGAATAGAAGATATTTTCAACACAAACCCAAGACTGTTACCAGAATATTTATTCAGAGCTCCTCTAAATCGCTAAGAAAAAAAAAAAATCCATGGAAAAATTAGCAAGCAACTTGAACAGGCACTTCACAAAGGAAGAGGATATCCAATTGGTCAGTAAGTTTATTAGTAGTGAGGTGCAAATAAAAACTACCATGATCTGGCACTGCACACTCACCAGAATAGCTAGTTAAAGATAACACCAAGAAAAAGAAAATAAGAGGGAAAAAAAAGAAATGTGTCCATCTGGCATGTTAATCACCACTGAAAATTTGTGTCCTGACTCCAAGAAGGAGGTTTGTAGCATGGTGACTAATCCCACAGTGTTTGGAGTCACCCAGAATTGGCTTAGAGTTTGGCTGGACTCCTTGCTAGTTACGTGACACTGGACAAATCATTTAAATGTTTGTGTTTCAGTTCTCTCGTCCACAGTGGAGATAACATGCCTTCTTCACAGGCTTATCATGAGGATTAAATAAAATCATGCACATAAAGTGCTTCTTAAGGTGTCTGGCACACAGGAAACATTCAATAAATGGTGACGATGATGATTCCAGTAATGTCTGTTTGAAGGAATCTTTGCATTTCCGAGGTAGAAAGCTCTGCAAGAGCTGAGGTGGGTTGGGAGGTGCAAATGGTGAGGTTTTACAACCAATTGAATTTATATAATGGCTACAGCAACATTAGTCTTGGAAACCCAGTCTCACTGGTCATGGAGCTTTTGTAGATCAAGTAAATACACCTCGTTCCAGTGGCCTCAGAACTTCCATTTTTCATCATCCAATTGCCCACACATTGATTTATTCATTCAACAAACACTGATTGAATGTATATTATGTGCAAGGCATTGAGCTATATGTATTAAAGAAAGGTAAAACCAAATACATTTAATCTGATATAGTGCTCAGGACTAAATATTTGCTATTTAAACATGTTTATTTCTTCAGAGGTCATTGGTTCTTTCTAGTACTTTCTGTGTCATCATTCACTTATAAGTCACAGAAGAGCAATGATTATGTCTCTTTGTTGCCTTTTAAAATCTACAGCACTTAATAACAGAAAATTTCATGAATATTTGTAACTAGCTAACCACCTCAAGTTGAAAACAAGGGTTCCAAGTCATACATTTTTTAAAAATAGGGCTGGGATTACAAAAAGGTGAGCTTTACCATCAATGATTATAAAAGAGATTCATGTTCATTATGGAAAATACAAAGGAGAAAATAGAAAATAACTAATCCTAGAAAGAATCACATTAACATTGTGATGCATATCCTTTTAATTTTTTTATATACTTTTATAAAATGGGAGTCATACTATGTATATTATTTTGGAACATGCTTTTTTTTTTTTTTTGAGACGGAGTCTCGCTCTGTCGCCCAGGCTGGAGGGCAGTGGCACCATCTTGGCTCATTGCAAGCTCACCTCCCAGGTTCACGCCATTCTCCTGCCTCAGCCTCCCGAGTAGCTGGGACTACAGGTGCCTGCCACCACGCCCGGCCAATTTTTTCCATTTTTTAATAGAGACAGGGTTTCACCGTGTTAGCCAGGATGGTCTCGATCGCGTGATCTGATGATCCACCCACCTTGGCCTCCAAAAGTGCTGGGATTACAGGCATGAGCCACCGCGCCTGGCCGTGGAACATGCTTTTTATTTACTAACATATTAGAAGCATTTTCCATGCTGTTGAATTTTTTCCTAAAACATGATTTTTAATGGCTGCCTAGCACTGAGCAATACCATTATTGCAATGGTTCCATATTGTTGGGTATTTGGATTTCTGTTTTAAATGTCTTTGTATAAGAATATTTGTGCACATTCCTTGATGCTTTTTGTAGAATGGATACTTACAAGTGGAGTTCCAGGGTCAAAAATTGTAAACACTTTGAAAGCTTTTAAAACATAATTCTCAGATTGCCCTCCTTAGCTGTAACAATTCATAATTCCTACCAGTGATTAGAGGCTGGTTCCTATTTATTACCTGTGACTTTGGGCTATGGAATTATTTTAATCTATCCTGATTTAAAAGGTGAAAGTGAAATCTTGTTTTAGTTTGCTTTTCTGATAACCTACATTCTAGCTAGACTTTACACAAACAAAATAGCTTTGGTCATCATTTTCTGGGGAAGTGGGAGAACTGAACAATATTTAATTCTTTTTTTTTTTTTGAGACGGAGTCTCGCACTGTCGCCTGGGGCTGGAGTGCAGTGGCACGATCTTGGCTCACTGCAACCTCCGCCTCCCAGGTTCAAGCGATTCTCCTTGCCTCAGCCTCCTAAGCAGCTGGGATTACGGGCACCCGCCACCAAGCCTGGCTATTTTTTTTTTTGTATTTTTAGTAGAGATAGGGTTTCACTACATTGGCCAGACTGGTCTCAAACTCCTGACCTCGTGATCCGCGTGCCTCAGCCTCCCAAAATGCTGGGATTACAGGTATGAGCCACTGCACACAGTCAACAATATTTAATTCTGTGCACTAAATTGTTTAACTCAAACACTTCCCTCCCACCTTTACATGATGTTGACCACAGGATAGATATGCAATATATGTTATATATGTTTTTGTAGAGTGGAAAGACACAAATAAACACCATGTACTTGTGATTAATCCAATGTAGAAAATAAGTGTGAAAGGAGGGGAAGAAAGGAAAAAGAGTAGAGGCACAAAAGAGGCAAAGATCATACATAGTAGTCCCTTGCCCAAAAGGAGAGAATGAAAACACAAAGGGGAAGGTAGGCTGAAGTCAAATTGTGGAAAGCCTTGAATGCCAGGATGAGGAAGTGGGATGAAATGTAGTGGGCAGTGGAGACCCACTGAATGCTTTAAAGAAGAGCAGCATAATCAAAACATTTACTTAGGGAAAGTAGCCTGGGCAGAGGGTGGGTTGAAAGGAGAAGCTCTAGGGTGGTCACAGGTAACAGGGAGGCAAGGAAATGTGTTAATATGAGAGGTGTAGCAGGAGAACATTTGTCAAAGGGAACAACAAAACTACTAAGGCCAAACTGAGGAGCTGAGGTAATGAAGAAAGAACATGAAAACCAGCCTCCTTGCCCTTGTTACCAACCCATTGCTTCACAGCCCCTTGGTCCTGAACAACAAACACAGGCTTGGATGCCTCCGGAGGTGACTGGGTGAACCACATGATATTGGCAGATGAGCAAAGGTTCTGCAGGGTGCTATTCCCACCCACTCATGGAAGAGTTCCAGAGGTCAAGGAGCCCTACAAACTGCCCAGAAAGTGCTTTGTTGAACACACTCTAGTTGCCTCAGATAATGGGATTTAATTATAAGCCAACAAATAAAACCACCAACAAATAAAGTGGGCAGGTATCCATTTCTGAGGCTGCATAACTGGGCTGTTGGGCTAACAGGAACTGCATATTTCAAGAGGCAGCAGGACTTTATATCATCCAACAACAGCTAGATGACAAAAACTTCTCTACTAGTCATTATCCCATTCAGGTGCAGCTTCACAGGTGTGCAACCTAGTGCAGGGGTCCCCAACCCCAGGGCCACAGACTCGCCTGTAAGGAACCAGGCCTCACAGCAGGAGGTGGGCAGCAGGAGACCATTACCCATGAGCTCCATTTGCTGTCAGATCAGCAGTGGCATTAGATTATCACAGGAGCGTGAACCCTATTGTGAACTGTGCATGCTAGGATCTAGGTTGCATGCTCTTTATGAGAATCTAATGCCTGATGATCTGAGGTACAACAGTTTCACCCTGAAACCATCATCCCTCACCCCTCTCTCCCACTGTCCATGGAAAAATTGTCTTCCACGAAACAAGTCCCTGATGTTAATAAGGTTGGGGCCCACTGATCTAATGCATTCACACAATGTCCTGTGTTCAGAAGGGCCATGTGCTTGGCTTAATGCTCTGCTGTCACCATCTTGGAATTCTTAATAACTTTATTATAGCACTTGTGTTGTATTATAAGTAAAGTCCATGGGACAATGGAGCCTTCATGCAAATAGAGAAGATATTGCAATACGCATGTTCTTGTCTGCCTGTTCATCTACAGCATTTTCGATGTCCCCTGGGCACAGGATTTCGGTGGATGGGCCCGTGATGGACAAGAGTTCAGCAAGGCTCAAAACAGTACAAAGTAGTTGTGTTGAGTCTATGACCAGAAAGAGAGGACACTGGCATACCTCAGAGGCCATGCTTTCCAACTGAACCCGAACTTGTTTCAAATGCAGAAAGAAGGCAATGGCATTCTAAGAAACACCAACAAGCAAGGAAGCCTATCATATCCCTTCTAATCTGTTTAACTTCCCTGTTTTAACCAACCTCTTACACTGAAAATAATGCCATGGAAGGAAGGGGAAGACAGGACAACCCCTAGTTCCTGTTCTTTTCTTCCTTCCTGTCAGTAGCCAAAAGTAGAGTGTTGGTGTAATATACATGTATCAAGAAGTCAAATAAAAACAGATGAGGCTGGGCACAGTGGCCCACGTGTGTAACCTCAGCATTTTGAGAGGCCGAGGTGGGTGGATCACTTGAGGTCAGGAGTTCAAGACCAGCCTGGCCAACATGGTGAAACCTAGTCCCTACTGAAAATACCAAAATTAGCCAGGCATGGTGGCAGGCACCTGTAATCCCAGCTACTCGGGAAGCTGAGGCACGAGAATTGCTTGAACCTCGGAGGCAAAGTTGTAGTGAGCCGAGATTGTGCCTCTGCACTCCAGCCTGGGCGATAGAGCGCGACTGTCTCAAAAAAAAAAAACCAAAAAACAAAAAACAGATAAGTTAGTTTTGTGCAAAATACAAATGTATGTATGAGCTATAAAATCTCAATTGTGCAATTTCAATGATTCTGCATATGAGTTACAACTACAACTGGCATTTAAAACTGACATTACACAGTGAAAAGATGAATGGTAACATTTATGCTAATAATTTTAGTGTGTCATTTTTCTTGATTTAGAATGACATTGACTAGCAAATAGAAATTACCGTGACTAGGCAAGATCAAAACCTTGGAAGAAAAGAAAAAGCTTTATATCAATGTCACTTTTTCCCAGTTTTTTGAACAAGGAGTCCCACATTTCCATTTTGCACTGGTCTCTGCAAATTATGTAGCCAGCCCTGTCTTCAATACACATATGAGCCTGAAACAAACTAACTGGGTTTGAATTTCAGCATTGAAATTACTTGCCGACCTTGAGCAAATTGTTAACCTTGTCAAGGCTCAGTTTCTTCATCTGTAAAATGAGAATATTAGCAATTTTTTTAAACAGAGTCTCACTCTGTCACCCAAACTGGAGTGCAGTGGCATGATCTTGGCTCACTGCAACCTCCATCTCCCAGGCTCAAGCAATTCTCCCACCTCAGCCTCCCGAGTAGCTGGGATTACAGGTGTGCACCACCATGCTTGGCTAATTTTTTCTTTGTATTTTAGTAGAGACGGTTTCACCATGTTGCCCAGAGTGGTTTTGAACTCCTCAGCTCAGGCAATCCACCCGCCTCAGCCTCCCAAAGTGCTGGGATTAAGGCGTGAGCCACCATGCCCAGCCGGAATGTTAACAATTCATACCACATAACTATAAGGTCTTTATATAGGTTAAATGAAATACTATAAGAAAAAAAAAACACTTGGCACCTTGTCTGCCCAGTAGTAGATGCTTAATAAATACTAGCTCTTACAATGGCTGTAGTATGGTAGCTCTTACACACTAAATTGTTAGTTACTGCAGTTGCTCACCCTGGTGTCCCACCATATGACGATGCTGATGCAGTATTGCTGTGTGTACTCTACTTTGCCTGCTGACCTCCCCTTAGCTGACTTCCCCTTTCTGTGATGCATGCAAACTCAGAGGGAAGATATACCAGTCCTTCTCTAATGCAGAGCACTCTTGTTGGACTGATCACTCATAAATCGCTGCTGTCTTATAGATGCAGGTTCCATATAGGGCACCCATCCTTAGTCCCATGGACTATGGCCAGGAGAGCAGGGTCACATGGAACAAAGCATAAAAAACTCCTTGAAGGAGGCCACAGGGGCATGGCAATCCCTTTGATACTTCCCAGCAAGGGGCAAAATAATGAGCAGACACCTTGCTCTGGTAACCCATGACGAAGTCTGGCTGCCCTCTAAGATGGTTTTTGAAACTTTTGGGAATTAAAAAAATAGGTCCTTTTAATGATTTTGATGTCTACTGGGGATCAGGAAGGTGTGTAAGTACACTTCCTTAAATACAACACAACCCTGAAATCATAACACAACCTTTTAAATTCTCAGAAAAAAAACTACACATTGATATTGACATTATACTCTTGACATTGAAATAGCATTACTCCAGTAGACGTCCAGCAAGGTTTCCAAGGGCGTGGTCTGTAGACGACTAGCAAAACAACAAAAAAAGAGAGCCTGGAATACTCTTACAGTGCAGATTCCTGGGCCATGCTCCTAGATCTACTGAATCAGAATCTCTGTGAATGGGAGGCCTAGGAGTCTGTATTTTAACAAACTCCCCAGGCAATTCTGACCATCACTTTTTAATTGTTTGTGGGCAGCAGAGGGCAGAAGAGGGTGGACAATGATGAAGGAGAATTCAGAATAGGGAAATTTGTTTTTTCTAGGTGCTAATAAACTCAACCCGTAACAGCTGTGTTCTTCCTGAAGTTGTGGTTGAGCATTGCCCGGGAGTTGGAGTATGCAGGTCTTCTGTAGTTTTGGGGCTCTGTGTGCCACACTGCTGTGTTGCCCTTTGGAAAAGTCCTTCTGGAACTGGAATGAGGATTTGGATCTGAGGAAGAGGAACAGGGTCATACTGAGGACTCTGAAGAAAAACAGTTTATGACTCAATGGAGAAGATTATGGTATGCTCTAAGCCAACAGATATGAAACTATGTTATACCTACCCTTGTGTTGTAGGAAGATGTTCCAGTGGACACAAGGCAGGATAGTTTTATGGAAACCAATTGCTATATCTTCAACTCACATAGATATTTGTTCCTACAATTGGTCTGCCAGAGATTAGGTTGGCGTTTTTCCCCTTCGCCTTTCCTTCTTCTTCACAACCCGTCTTCTCCCACTTTGGAAAAGAAAGACCTTTTATCATCCCTTGGAATTGATCAGGCCCCCAGTGACCTGAGAGCTGAAAGACTGGCGGTGTTATGGAAGGAAAGGCAACTGGCAGAGTGACTCTCCTGAAAAGAAATTAATGCTTTAACCAAATGCCACTATGCACTACAACAACCTTCCATCCTTATCTTGTCTCAAAGACTCCTGATAACTTGCATTTTCACAGTTACTCTGGCCAAATCATCCAAGTTATCTGAGTGTCAAATAAAAGCAAAGAACAAGGGATTCTCCAAATTGTGAAATGCATTCACATTAGAATGCATTCATGACCCCACCACCTCCTTGCAGTAGACAGGGGCTTGTCATCCTAAGCAGGAATAGGGGGCTATTCTCCCACTTCAATACAGTATCTACAGTATGGGGCTGGAAAAGTCATCAAAGGTATTAGGGGTGTTTACTCCACATTCCTATCTATCTACTGGCCAATTAACATGATTTGCAGCTGAGAAAATAATACTCTTGTCCGTCAGAGATAAATAGGGTCCCCAAACTGTGAAACAAAGGGGAGAGGAGCAATGATGTTTATAAAAGTTATTGCAAACCCAAATGCACTTCAAAAGGAGCTGTGGTGACAGATTCTGTTTCACAGGGTCCTCTCAATTCTTCTCAGCCTCTCAAGACCCTTCCTCAGACTCAGCTGGGTGTTTTCACCACTGGCCTGCTGCTTCAAGATGTAGTGCAATGTGTGGAATTAATCTAGTCTATAGCCTAGCCCTGCTCTGTCCAATACAGTAGCTATTAAACACTGGAAAGGTGGCTAGCCCCAACAGAGGTGTGTGTGTATATAAAACACACACCAGATTGCAAAGACTTAGCACAAAAAAAGTGAAATATCTCATTTTTAATTTTTATATTGATAATATAAAATGGAGCTATTTTGGATATGTTGGATTAAATAAAATATATTATTAAAATTTATTTCACCTGTTTCTTTTTACTTTTTTGCACTGTGGCTACTAGAAAATTTAGAATGACATGTGCCTCCCATTGGTGGCTCACATTATATTTCTATTGGACTGTCTGTCAGTCTGGACTGTGGGTTGAGCAGCCTCAGGGACAGGTTGATGGGGATGTGGAAGTCCAGGCCTGATTGGTAAAGGAAGTTGGGGTGATTTGGGGCTGGCAGTGACCCCTCTTGCTGAAAAGAGGTATATTTGTGACAATTGCAGCATGTGGAGCCCAGCCTAACGGATTGTAATCCTGCCTTCCTTCTGGTTCTAATACTTAACCTCAAAGGAACCTTAATATTTAAACCAAATGGCATGTGAGATTTCAGTAAGCTGATGGATTGCTCTCCACTCAGCCATTTGAGAAATCCTACTGAGGTCTCTGCACAGCTGAGTTCCAGTTGCCTCCATATCCCAATGAAAGTCTGGCACAGCACTGATGAGCTGATGAGATTTTTTTCACTTGTTTGATATTAAATAGGAAAGCCTTTCGAATTAAACGTTTACAGATAGTGTGAAAATTGGAAGTGTGAGTTTTAGCTGAGCCAACTACAGCAGATCGAAAGACTGCACTTGCCTGCTGGTGAGAGAACAGTGCTTCTGGCTGCCATTGTTAGCTCCACCACCACTTTGGGGAAGTGGGAGCTGGTTGCCAGCTTACTCCTTTCCAGAGGTGAATTACTCATATACTGAGTCCACCAGGCTTACGCTATTGTGGGTACAACTCTGTTCTAAACATCATTACCTATGACAGCAACAACTTACTGGCCCAAGCCAAGAATTTAGAGCTTTTGGATGATGAGGCTGAGCCCATTTCAGAACTTGATGCCAGACATTATGCAGGGCCTCTGCATGGGTCCCTCAAATAATAATGACAACAACAATAGTAATAACAGCAAATACATATGGAGCACTTGCTCTGTGCTTTAAATATATTAGCTCACTTCATCTTCAGCCCTATATGACAGAAAGCGTTTTTTACAAAATATTATTCTGTTTTGTTGTTTTGATTTGTTTTTTAAGTTGCCTAAGGTGACATAGTAAGTGGTAGAGCCAGCTGCAAACCCAGGGTTTCTGACCAAAGCCCACACTCAGAACCATACTGCCATTCTTACAGAGAATAAATATTAAAATCTCAGCAGTGATTGTCAGAAATGGCAAAATGACAAATTAGAACATCTTCAGTCATTCAGGGGGACATTGATTCACATGTATGTGAATCAATGGCCCAAAGGTAAATGCTTTTTATTCCAATATGGCTTTTTGGACAAAAAGGACCAGACCAAGTCTGATACAAGTGATACTAGTAAAGATATGAGTGCACACAGACCTACCTGAGAATGGCTTCCAGAGTTTATCTTAGTAGAATCTTCCTAAAATTGGAGGTCACACGGCATAGACAAGGCAATCTTTCTTTCACTATGAAACTCTTTCTTCAAATAAAATCACGTCCTTAGATTAAATGTAGGTATACAAAGGAGAGCTACTCAGACCTCCATGAGCTCAGCTTTTTTTTTTTTTGAGACAGACTCTCCCTTGCTCTGTCACCCAGGCTGGAGTGCAGTGGCGCAATCTCGGCTCACTGCAACCTCGGCCTCCTGGGTTCAAGTGATTCTCCTGTCTCAGCCTCCCGAGCAGCTGAGATTACAGGTGCACACCACCATGCCCGACTAATTTTTTGTATTTTTAGTAGAGACGGGGTTTCACCATGTTGGCCAGGCTGGTCTTGAACTCCTGACCTCAGGTGATCCGCCCGCCTCGGTCTCCCAAAGTGCTAGGATTACAGGCATGAGCCACCACTCCCGGCCGAGCTCATCTATTTCAGCTCCCACAGTATGGCCCTAGGGAAACATACACACAGCCCATTGGCCACGCCAAACAATGCAAAACTACTGGGGAACTGGATTAGGAGATCTAGAGTTGAATTCTACTTCTGCCACTTAACCACTCACATGGGCCTCACTTAGCCTTTGTTCAGTCATTCCTCCCATTAGGTAGCTAAATTCAACCACAATTCCTTAGAAAAAGAAAGTTGATCAAATTGAGCTTTCCTAGAAAGAATCTTCTCTCAGTCCATGTGTGAAAAAGGGAAAGTCTTGTCTTACTGGTTTTTGTTTTATTTTGTTTTGTTTTTTTACCATGCCTCTCTTTCTTGAATTGGAGTAAATAGCCAATCCCTAAATTGAACTCTTACCTCTGCCAAAGTTCCTTGCCTTACCAATTCCCTGTGGAGGGTGAAGTAGACCATGGCAAAGGTTCTCCAAATGACTCTTTCCTGAAAAGAAACACAGAGCAGTGGGAAAGAGCACGGGGAAATCAGAGATTGAGCAAGGATCGAAGAGGAACCTGAGAGCTAAATGCACCGTGGAGCTGCCCCTGCAGTCAGAAGACTTTTTAGAGAGGCAAAGGAATTTCTTTTGCACACCCCTTCACCAGCCATAAACTTCCTTTTCTTTTCCAAAATTCCCCAAGAGGACATATCAGGAAGTGGGTGCTGTGAACTATTGGGCTCCATGGAGAAAACTTATCTTTTTAAATCAATAGAAAGTGCCTATGGATGGATGAACAGAAAGAACAACATTTAAGAAGGCTTTAGAATGAAAGAGAATCCTTCCCTTAGCTGAGGAGCTTATAGAAGAGCAAGATTAGAGCTACTGCCGGATTAACTTTCCACTTCCATTGCCCTTGTGCCGGCCTGTCATATCTGATACCAAATTAGAACAAGAGGAGCTTGCTACATGGTGTCTTCCATGAGGCACCATGCTCAAGACTGTCAAATCTACAAAAACAAATACATATATAAAGCCTTAAAGCATGGATCCTGATTTGAGGGGTTTGCTGGGAATTTAGACATAGAAAACTGAAACCATGCAGGGTGATGAGAGGAGCTGTGATAACTTTTTAGGGTACATGTGCTGTCATTCAGAGAGTGCACATGCCCAGTTCTCTAGAAGGATTTCAAACTATGATAAGATAGATGGAGAGTTGTGCGGTGTGTTAGGTGCAGACCAAGAGGGATACCTAAAGCCTCTGTCCTCTTGGAGTGCACACACCTGTTTTTCATAGATCCCTTCCTGGCTTCCCATGAACTGGTCACCCTTTCTGTGGATTTCATTAATCCTTCTGGGCCTGCCATGTCTTACTTTTCAAAGAATCGCTGTTGGCTATAGTACATACAGAGTCTCTTCAATAACTTGTCTAACTCTTGAATCTTTAACTTTTAAGTAACTTATTAGGTTTGATGCAAATAGAGGGAGAAATTGTGTTAGCCTGTTGTCAATACACTGTGCTGAGGACATTCCCCAACATGTGTTAATTCTGCAGCTCACTTAACTTTTCCAGATGTGGCTGGCTGGGCTGCCAAGTTGGTGACATTGCAGATGGATGGCCACAGCCTCACTGTAGGCAGATGAACATGGGTACCTTTGATGTGATGGGGTGACTCTTTTCATCTATTAGCCAGAAGGAAAAGCTATTTTCTTCTGTAGAGTTCTCAGTTCACTCCCACCTCAAGGAGACTGTATAATCCTCAGCATACTCTAGTACTCAGGACTGGGGTCTGGGGCTCTCATCCCTACCCACTGAGTGTGTAGCTAGTAGCTCCTGTCAAGTCAGAATAAAACTAATCCAAGGAGAGCTGTAAGAGAAGCTTCAGAGAAGGCTGTTTTCTTAAAGGGGGATGCTGTTTCATATATGAAAATGGTTGCATTTCACCTGTTTAATCAAATGTCATCCTAAGCACAAAAAACAAGGCACCCATGTCCTTTACACAGTAGATATATTTTATACTCCCTATATCCACATCGTGCATATACAAATTTCAGAGTATAACGACTCTTCTACTCCAGGGAGGAAATCAGTGATGATCAAAATCTAAGCAAGAGAAAGTGCTCTTTAGCCTTCCATCTTCCTGGCAGATAAAGGTAGTAAAAGAAGTTTCAGGTTTTCTTCTTCAGCAGGATGGGGACCTTCTTTAACAAGAAGGAGAACATATACATTACAGCCTTCGTTTAAAATATGCTCCATTATTTGGTATGTAAGCAAATTATTGAACCTCTAGACACTTTGGTTTCCTCATCTGGAAAACTGGAGTAATACTCACTCTGTAGGAATATGGTGAGAGCAAAGACCACATATGTAGAGCCACAGCATAATACTTGCCACATAATGGGTCCTCCATATTTACAGCCATTTGTAACAGTATAATGGAAATCCTTTTTTTGCTTCTAGTTCAGTACAAGGTTCATAAGACTGGTCATTAATGAACCTATAGAAGCTTGGATGTTTAGAAGTTACATTTGGGCCAGGCGCGGTGGCTCACGCCTGTAATCCCAGCACTTTGGGAGGCCAAGGTGGGTGGATCACCTGAGGTCAGGAGTTCAAGACCAGCCTGACCAACATGGAGAAATCCCGTCTCTACCAAAAATACAAAATTAGCCAGGCGTGGTGGCACACGCCTGTAATCCCAGCTACTCAGGAGGCTGAGGCAGGAGAATCACTTGAATCCGGGAGGTGGAGGTTGTGGTGAGCCAAGATAGTGCCGTTGCACTCCAGCCTGGGCAACAAGAGCAAAACTCCATCTTAAAAAAAAAAAGAAAAAAGAAAAAGAAGTTACATTTGAAGACTGATGCAAGGCCCACAACACAGAATTTGATGAGGCCAGTGGCTATTTTATTTGAGGAGGATTATCTTGTCCCAGCCTTTTTCTCAGATTGACAGTAAATTAAAAACTATATTTGTGCCTGGCGTGGTGGCTCACACCTGTAATCCCAGCACTTTGGGAGGCTGAGGAGGGTGGATCATGAGGTCAGGAGATTGAGACCATCCTGGCTAACACGGTGAAACCCCTTCTCTACTAGAAATACAAACAATTAGCTGGGCACGGTGGTGGGCGCCTGTAGTCCCAGCTACTAGGGAGGCTGAGGCAGGAGAATGGTGTGAACCCGGGAGATGGAGGTTGCAGTAAGCCGAGATCGCGCCACTGCACTCCAGCCTGGGTGATAGAGCGAGACTCTGTCTCAAAAAAAACAAAAACAAAAACAAAAAAACAGCTATATTTGTAGGCTGGGGGCGGTGGCTCACACCTGTAATCCCAGCACTTTGGGAGGCCAAGGAGGGTGGATCACAAGGTCAGGAGTTCAAGACCAGCCTGGCCAACATGGTGAAACCCCATCTCTACTAAAAATACAAAAATTAGCCGGGCACAGCGGCAGGCATCCATAATCCCTGCTACTAAGGAGGCTGAGGCAGGAGAATCACTTGAACACGGAGGGTGGAGGTTGCAGTGAGCCGAGATCGCACCACTGCACTCCAGCCTGGGTGACAGAGTAGAGTAAGACTCCCTCTCAAGAAAAACAAACAAACAAACAAACAACAAAAAAACACTGTATTTGTAAGCAATTGATTTGGGAAGGTTAATTGTTAAAAAACATTGTTATACCTTATTAACAATTCACTCTGGAGTTGGTTCTTTTAAACTGAAAATTAAAATTGCATTGTGATTCTAATATTTTATTTAGATAAACTCAGGGCCCTTGCAGTTCTTAGGACACACCTGCAATCTTTGAAAGCTATGTTTGGGTAGAGTAAAGTTCATAAAGACCTAAGGAATCGAAGTGGAGAAACAGTTTCAGAGTAATGTTTATTAAAATTACTTTTATACTTGTGTATCCCTGCAAAAGAGTAATTGGGCTTGGCTAGGTGCGGTGGCTCATGCCTGCAATCCCAGCACTTTGGGAGGCTGAGGCAGGCAGATCACCTGAGGTCTGGAGTTCAAGACCATCCTGGCCAACATGGTGAAACCCCGTCTCTACTAAAAATACAAAAATTAGCTGGGCATGGTGGCGGGCGCCTGTAATCCCAGTTACTCAGGAGGCTGAGGCCCGAGAATTGCTTGAACCTGGGATGCAGAGGTTGCAGAGAGCCAAGATCATGCCATTGCACTCCAGCTTCAGGGAAAAGAGCAAGACTCTATCTCAAAACCAAACCAAAACAAAAAGAGTAATTGGGCTTATCAGATAATATAAAGTCCTTGTCCAAAATGTTTTGTGTTTAATGTGGAGTATGGGAGTGTGACTCAGCTCCTTCAATGGGTAACAATAATTAACAATGATACTTCTCTCTTCTCTATTAAATCACAGAATTACCAAATAGGGAGTTGAAAGGCAATAGAGAAATCTAGCCCAACATCCTCACTTTATAAATAGGAAAACAAAGACAGTGGTAGATTGTGTTCTTTCTTCATTATTATTCGTTTCTTCTCACCCTCACCATGCTTCTCTGCCACATTGCCTATAAGCTTGGACAACGGAACATGGGTGGATATGGCATTTGCTTCAGAGCAGAAACTTTAGGTGCAATTGTGTGGCTTGGCTGGGTCCTCTTATTTCAGCCCTCCACCAGGAGAAGAGCATATCCTGTGTGCTCACCTTCTGTGTGGATTTTGGTATAAAGCAAAACTACAGCCAGTCCTCATCCTTTATGTAATATGAGCAAGAAATACATGCTTTTCTAACTTCTTGAGACATTAGGGTTGCTTGTTTTATTTATTTATTTTTAATTTTTATTTATTTATTTTTTTCCGAGACGGAGTCTCACTCTGCCACCCAGGCTGGAGTGCAATGGTGTGATCTTGGCTCACTGCAAGCTCTGCTTCCCAGGTTCACGCCATTCTCCTGCCTCAGCCTCCTGGGACTACAGGTGCCCGCCACTACGCCCGGCTAATTTTTTGTATTTTTAGTAGAGATGGGGTTTCACCATGTTAGCCAGGATGGTCTAGATCCCCTGACCTCGTAATCTGTCTGCCTCTGCCTCCCAAAGTGCTGGGATTACAGGCGTGAGCCACCGCGCCCGGCCTGGGTTGCTTGTTTTATAACGTAACTTAGTGAAAACTGACTAATACGATGGCCCAGGAGGTTGAAATGATTCACTCAAAGTCACATAGGTACCGTTACACCGCCTGAGTTAGAACACGAATATCCTGATCAGAAAAGTTCTCTAATAGACTTCAACTTAGCAGGTATGTCTCCCAAACCTGGTAGTGCTTGGCACAAAATAAGTACTCAATAAATATGTTGTATGAATGAATCAATGATGAATGAAATAGGAACTAAAGTTCCTATTGAGCTGCTTCGATATGTATCTAGTCTGGTATTTGTCACATAGCTAGTAAGTGACAGAAACAGAAACACCTACACTCTTTTGAACTCCAAAGCCTGGGTGCTTTCCACTGCTCCACAGTTTCGTTGCTGGAGATAGAAATATGACATTTTGGGCCATTTATGGACAATTGAAATATGTACAACGGTGTGACAGCAAGGCCCCTCCAAGGGGATAAGCTGCAATAGCTTCCCACACCATAAGTGACAGCCACTGGCATGCTAGGATCAGGTCATACTCCTGAGATGCCAGTTCCTTCAGTCCTCAGAGTATAGGGGTGCAGTCTGGGGCCAGCTCCCATAGGTGGAGAGCAGCCTCATTACTCCTATATGCCATGCAATTATCATCATTTTCTGTATGTGATGGAAAATGACATTAAAAAATTAGGGACACTAGGCCGGGCGCAGTGGCTCACACCTGTAATCCCAGCACTTTGGGAGGCTGAGGCAGGCAGATCACCTGAGGTCAAGAGTTCGAGACCAGCCTGGCCAACATGGTGAAACCTCGTCTCTATTAAAAATACAAAAATCAGCTGGCCGTGGTGGCACACGTCTGCAGTCCCAGCTACTTGGGAGGCTGAGGCAGGAGGATCCCTTGAACTTAGGAGGTGGAGTTTGCAGTGAGCCGAGATTGCACCACTGTACTCCAGGCTGGGCAACAGAGAGAGACTCAGTCTGAAAAAAAAAATATTTTGGGACACCCTCGGTGAGAATTAGTAGCTCTAGGTCAATCTAGCCACTTTGTGGATACATGATTTTTAGAAACCTTTTCAGCCAAATTTTCACTGGATCCTGGCTTTACTGTTTTGTTATACACATTTTCCATTTGTCCTGAATCCTTCACTTACTACATTTTATTGGAGTTTCTGTAAATCACCTTAAATTTCTTGTAGAAAGTCAGAAGCAATTGAGGCAAGTTTTGACTGTAATTACAAGTGAGTTTATTGAGTTTATTAAGCTGGGAGCATTGACATATGAATGAAGAAACAGAATGTAGTATATATACATGGTGGAATATCATTTAGCCTTTAAAAAGGACCATGCTACAAGATGGATGAAGCTTGGTAACATTACGCTAAGTGAAATAAGCCACAAAAAGACACATGCTATATAATTCCACTTATATGAGCTATCCAGAATAGTCAAACTCATAGAAATAGAAAGTAGAATGGTGGTTGCCAGGGGATGGGAAGGGTGGTAAAATGGGCAGTTTTTGTTTAATGGGTAGAGAGTTTCAGTTTTGCAAGATGAAAATGTTTTAGAGATTGGGTGCACAACAATGTGAATATACTTAACATTACTGAAATGTACACTTAAAGATTGTTAAGAGGGTAAATTTTATATTATGTGTATTTACCTCAATTTTAAAAAAAGAACATATAGTAAAATTGTGCTATTTACTCTAAACAGAGGCTTCAGTTAAGCTGTTGCAAGATGTGCTATTGCTGTGGTGTTGGAAGCATAAAACATACTACCTGACTGCTACATTGTTTCTTACGGTGAATCACAAAGTCCTGTTGATTCTCCCAGCAAAACATCTTCTGACTAGGGCTGACTACATCATTCATGGAGTCCAGAGCAAAATGAAAATTCAGTCCTTTATTCAAAAACCAGTACTCCTGAAAGTACCAAAATATAAAGTTTTTTCCTTTATTCTATGTAAAAAGCTTGTTTTCAACTTGCCACGGTGTTTTTTATTTGCAATTTACTATCTTTCTAAGTAAAGAAAAATTTAAACTTGAAATTTTACCATTCATTTTTATAATGTACAAGGCCATTTTTAAATGCAAATATAAAAGCTACCTTTTATATAAAATTGCCAAAATAACATAGTTTATATTTTGTAGCTCACAAATGCACTTGAGTTTCAGGTTCTTACCAGAATGGTGAAAACACTGTATAAAAGGAACTCACAGGTTTTTTTTTTTAAATCTTTTAATTGTCATTTTATAGCTCCCCACCACAGCTGCCCCCCACCCTTCCCTTTGATGACAACGTTTGCAGGCTTCAGGGGGACCAGAGAACAAAGCTGGGGCCTGGCAGCCCCACTACGCTGCCAGCCGAGGAGAACAAGTCACAATTACAAATTATCACAACAATTAGCTCCTGTACTTGGGGGATCAGCAAATTAAGGAGGCCCCAGCTCCTCATTGTACAGGGGGCTATTTGGCAGTGACCTTGCTCTGGAGACGATGATATTCCTTCAGCCTGAGGGAATTGATGTTGATGAACCCGGTGGCATCAATTGACTGATAATCACCCTGCACGTTCATGCTCACCGGCTCCTCCTTGTAGAGAGACAGTGGGGACTCCTGGCCAAGGATGTACACCTGGCCCTCGAGGACGGACACCTGCACTTTCCCTTCCACTTGCTCCTGGGACTTGGCGATGCAGTGGCAGACAAATTCACACTCAGGGCTGTACCAGAAACCGGTATCCACCAGCTCAACAAATTTCAAGCCCAGGCCTTGTTTGATTTTGCGCACTTCCTGGCCCATGGTGAAGGCCTTGGTGTCTAAATGAGCGAGGTAAAGGATGGTGCTTGCTGGGGCCTGGTAGATCCCTCGGGACTTCATTCCAATGAAGCGGTTCTCCATGATGTCAATACAGCCCACACCCTGCTTGCCCACGACTTCGTTCAGGTACATGAAGAGCTCCAATGAGGTCTGGTGGGTGGTGCCATCCTTGACGTTGGTCACCTTCACGGGGACTCCTTTTTTGAACTCGATCTCGAGAATGTCAGGGGTGTTGGGGGC